>NC_000015.10:60776874-61401874 GCF_000001405.40 Homo sapiens
CTTAGCACTTATCACCTTGTACCACTATACAATTTATTTATTTCTTGTATTTACTGCTAATTGTCTGTCTTCTCTCTGCAGAAATATATGCTCCTCCAAGACATGAGTATTTGTCTGTTTATCTTCATTGATATATCTCTAGTACCTGGAGTAGTGCCTAGTTAATAATAGGTGCTGAATAAATATTTACTAAATAAATGAATGAATGTTATTACTCCTTACAAGCTGTCCCATACTCTAAAACACCAGGAGCCCTTTAAGACGAGCAAAAACAGAGCCAAAATAACTATGCAGAAACAAAGCATAAGAATGTTCACACTTTAGTCTTCTCTAACAAAGTATATTCCAATTAGTTAAGTGAAAAGCTGAATACAAAACAAAATAAGACCCGGAACATTAGCTCAGGAAGAAACACGGATACGGAGAAATCACAACGAGCAGCCTCATGGTATCATGGAAAATTGATAGCCTAGATATCACGAGACCCTGGTTACAGTCCCAGCTTTGCATAAATCTGTGTGACCTTAGGCAAATCACCTTGCCTCTCTGGGCCTCAGTTTTTCCAGTTAAGTTTGATTCAACTCAAATATTTAATGTGTGCTCATTTCATCACTTCTATCTCTAAAATGGCATAATCTTACCTAGTCCCACCTGATATTAAGATGCTAAAATAGCCTACTACCTAAATGTGATCATTTCTGCGAGAGAAATTAAGATTGCATGCCCAGCCCCCTATCACTGTGGGCTGCAGTCCCCAGATGGATTACACCTTCATTTTAACATCCTTATTCAGCACGGTAGGCATTTACTCTAAGAGGTGAAGTCGAAAGAGTCCCCTCATGCAGCAGAGTCCAGGTGCTCACCTCTAGTAACCACTTTGGAGAACCGAGAATCAAACCGCAATCTCGGCAGCACAGGGAATGAGTAAAATACCCATAGTCGAGGAGCGTATTGAACTGCTGAGCAAGGGGTGTGCAAATACTATTTCAAATGGCTTAAAAAGCATCACAGCAATGTAAGTGGGTTACGGTTGCCTCACAAAAGCACATCTGGAGGATCTCTTTGCTCTCTTGCATCCTTGAATATCGAACCCAGAAAAATAAATTGACGTGCTGTTTAATCCAATAGTCAATATGAGCTTCTAGTGTATAGACTCAATTGACTTAAAACTCAAGCTATAGCCTCCGGCAAGAAAAATGTAACACAACTGCGCAGGCTTGGTATTGATACATATCACAGGTAGCTGTTTCTTCAGCAAGAAACAATTATCCAATGCTCAGTGCTGAGGGATCAATGTGCTTCATAATTTCTGATGTGGCTTACTGAACAGCTGGGCTCAGGTTTTTGTTTTTGTTTGTTTGTTTGTTTGTTTGTTTTTTAATCTTTACGGGTCTGATGGCTCTCTAAAGGGATTAGGTTATTGTGATTTTTTTTTTCCCATGCAAAAGGACCTGCCTTTCTTTCCCTGTTCTAACGAAAGGGCACCCCCCACTGAGTTCCAAAGAGCCGTTGCCCCTTAAAGTGCCCTCTGCCATGCATTACCTTAGGTTATGTGGCAAACCTAACCCCATACTACAGCCCAGTTACCTCGGTGCAGACAACTGGCTGTATTTGATTGTTTTGCTGTTGACAACAGGATGGATTAGCAGGGCTAGAAATTAAAGTATATTGAGTATTCTTTAATGCCTTATGTACAAATTTTTCTGGCTGTCAGATTCTCTGTTTGGCTTTCTCGGGGCCTTGAAGGTAGGGGGTCAGGAACTAAGTGTTTTGAGAACTGACAGCTCCCTTTAGCGAAAAACAGAATTCTCCCACCCTTACCCCTTCCCAGTTCAAAGAACTGCTTCCTGCTTCTTTGCATGGAAGATAGTTACTGTTTTTCTCTTTCCCTTTTGAGTCAGGATCCCTGGAGAGCCTTATAAGAGCACAGTGTCTACTGGTTAAAGGGTAACCATTTTCAGGGAATTTGCATTAATCTGATTACATTTTATCTTCCTTCAGGGTGAGGGAGTGGGACGGACTGTGAGGTTTCCTTTGAGTTTCAGGTTTAGACACACCCCAGAACTCAAAGTAAAAATGATATAGGCTTAATAATAACTTCCCAAGAAGCCTTTTCAAGTTCAAAGTGGATTGTAAACATTAATTAATCAATTCCTCCTCCCAACACTGTGTGAGGTATGAATTACTCCCATTTTATAGACGAGAATGTTTAGGTAGCGAGCATAAATAACTCGTTTCAAGCCTAAATTGGACTTCTAGTCAGTAAGGCACAAGCAATTTGGATTGCTGTGCAAAGTGAAGGCTCATCAGACTTTTCTCATTCACAAAAATTAATGAAAACCCGTCCTAGGAACCCAAGGCTCGTTGTCTCCCTGGAGTGATCCGAGTGGCCTCTCCCAGGTTGGCCCAACTCTTATCTTTTTGCATCCTCAGTTTTCTGGCCAGAAAGAATTGCCTTCCTCCAACACAACCACAAGGAGTTCAGATCAAAGGCTCACCAATGGTCCATTTAAATGCCCAGGGCAGTCTAATGCATCTCTCCATAAGACTCCCTGAATGGAGGCTTGGGTTTTACCGGCCCAGCCCTGCCATCGAAGTCATTTGCAATCCAGGCTGCTCACTGCACCTGCTGCTGTGGAAGATGTAATAGGAGCAGGAAGCACCATAGAAGGGGAAATGCTGTTTGGCACAAGTAAGTAAACAGATAGGTTAACAGGCCAACACATCTTGCAGCCTTTCACTATATGAACCTGTTGGCTAATGTTAGTAATCCACACTTCTTCTACAAAAGTCAAGCTGGTGGTCACTTTGCAGGAAACTCTACAAGGTTTTTCTCAAGACAGTCCTAGCAATGAAGCTTCCAACAAACTTAACATGGTTCTACATTTCCCCAGGAATTGCTGTAAACTGATAAGCACTGATATTCTTTCCATTGACTAAAACATCATGATCAGTCAACTGAGGCCTGGGAGGAATGATCTTTGTGGCTCATATGCACCAAGGAGGTTTGCCTCAACTCGAAGGGTGGAGACACTCAGATTTCAGCCTTCCCTCATCAGAAACACATTTCCTCATTTGGATATGTGTTTTCCAAAGCACTTGGGGGTTTTCAGCAAATCTTTATACATCTCATGGAAGTAAGAAGAAAAAATACTCATACTTCACAGAATACATGTGACATGTGTCTGTTAGGTGGGGAGAGGGTGGGGAGGAGGAGTTTTAGCTGAGCTGTAATGAATATGAGAAATTAAAGATAAATAGAGGGAGAGAATTTTCTTTCTTTTTTGCCACGCTGGGAGTGGAAAAGTTTGGCCTAGTGGATCTCTACCCTGGCTGCTTATCAAAACCATCTGGAGAACTTTTGGAGACTCTTATGTCCAATTCAGTTCTACTGCATTTGCTTCTCTGGAACTAGGGCCTATGCGGGAGTATTTTTTAAAAAAGTTCCACATGGACTGGTGATGTGCAGACAGGCCTGGGAACCACTGGGCTGGTCTAGAGAGCCCAGTGTAGACAGTGAACATCCGCATGTAAGATACATGACCTGTCAGAGAACATTCAAGAGGGAAGTTCCTTTAAAAAGAATCAGGCGAGCTTCTCCTCGCCTAATAGCTTCCAACTAGCATCAGTGTTCAATTAATAATGTAGTTTTATTTGATGTTTCATGTGAGAAACTATTTAAAAACAAGAACTCTTTCATTCTTTTTTTCATTTAAATGGACTCAAAAGAAACAATTTGCTTGATAGATGAGCACAATGAGGGATTCTATGACCGTAAAATAACTGAAAATGAAAAATGATTAAAACAACAAAACAAAAACCACACTTCTCCATCTGCAATCCACATCCGTGTAGCCATGTAGTCGTAAAATTTATTGAGGGTCTATTGTGTTTCAGGAACTATGCATGAATCTAGCAGTGCCAGGGTGAGGCAGACACGGTCCCTACATGCTAGTGTCACCCATTCTAGCAAGGGAAGGGACAACCAAAGAGAAAAAGCACTCTGATAAAAGCTGATTTTTACTTGCCTCTTACCAGGGGTCATGCAATCTTCCAAGTGCTTTTTGTTCCATATCTCATTTTGTCTTCACAGTAACTTTAGTAGGTGGATTCTATTATTATCCCCATTTCACAGATGGGGAACTAAGACTTAGAGGACTTCAGTAACTTCTTGAAGGTAACAAAACCTGTAAAAAGGAGAGCTGCATCTTTTGGACTCAGTAGATCAAACATATACATCCGCCTCCTTCTGCTTCTTAAGTGCATAGAAGGTATGCTGAGGCTGGCTGGTCGTGCTAGGGTGGAGTGGGGACGACTGAGCCTATCCTTGTCTCTTGTTAAGTCACTGCTGCTCCAGGTGAGAACAAACTCATCTCTGGTGCCCGCAGCTTTCAGGGTTGGTGTTGAGGAATCCCCTTCCCCTTGAACTTGCATGCTTTATGGTTAGCAGTGCCTTTGAGGCCACACACATAAGCGAGGAAGGAAAACATAACCAGCCCAGAGTCCTCGTGCTGGGGCTTAATTTGGTACCTGAGAGTCATTCATTCCAGTTCCCGGGGCAGGACTCTGCCTGGCCTGCTTACCAGTGTTTCAGCAGCACGGAGGGGACCCAGCCAGCCCACAGAGTTAAGCGCAGCTGATCTGTAACTCCAAGTCATCTATTTATCCCCTAACCGTGCTGCTCCACGGGCAAGTGCAGGGACGGAGAACGCACGCTTTGCCACAGTTCAGTGAGCCGAGTGCAAGCTCCCTTAACTTGGCTGTGGTGTCAAGTCACAGTTATATAACCCCTGGGCTGAGTGCCTCCCTGGGGTGGGGGGTAGGGGGCGGGCAACGGGGGAGCAGGAAAGGCATTATTAGTATAATGTTAAGAAAACAGACTCTGACATCCTCCAGAGTTTGAGAGTCTGGAACTGTTTGTTTCCCATTTAGTTTGTTTCCCACTTTGTTCTACAATCTTCAAATCCCAGATTTTGGAGTCTGGGCAGCTGTGGGTGGGGAGCCCAGCAGCGTGAACTGGACTCAGCCCCTTTCAGGCAGTGGGCTTATTTAGCTTTAAGAAATGTCCCAGGCCGGGTACGGCGGTTCACGCCTGTAATCCCAGCACTCTGGGAGGCCGACGAGGGCGGATCACGAGGTCAAGAGATAGAGACCATCCTGGCCAAAATGGTGAAACCCCGTCTCTACTAAAAATACAGAAATTAGTCAGGCGTGGTGGCAGGCACCTGTAGTCCCAGCTACTTGGGAGGCTGAGGCAGAAGAATTGCTTGAACCTGGGAGGCGGAGGTTGCAGTGAGCTGAGATCGCGCCACTGCACTCCAGACTGGCGACAGAGTGAGACTCCAACTCAGCAAAAAAAGAAAAAAAAAGAAATGCCCGTTGCACGACTGTTTTCAGAAGACCAATGATTAAGAGCACGTGAAAATTAATGCACAAATACAGCTAAGGAAGTGTACCATATAGCTTTTGCAACCACTCTTTTGCTTTGAAAGTGTTAAAGTACACAACTGGAAAGATGGAAAGACCTGAGATTGACGGCATTGTAGATACTTCTGGAAACTTTTCAATAAGGACAGCAGAATAAACAAATATGTTCTCCTTTCACGATCTTTATTTTGGTAAGTCCGTTTCTCTTGGCCACAAGAATTACAACCATCTTTTCATTTTTTTAACTGCAAAGGCGGTCATATGATATGAAGTCACTCCATATCACAGAAATCAGTTGAAGTTTTATTCATGGAGACTCTTCCACAGCTGCCATCTGCCCCTCCCTCTATGAGAAGCAAAGTTTCCCGAAGACAACCCCTCTCTCAAATGTGGCCCTAAAACATTTTTAATGAGTAGTAAGAGATAAGTGAACATGTGGGAAAATGTTCATCCCTGCTAGTAATAAAAAATGCAAATTAAAGCAACTTTGAAAAGGTAACATTTCAGTTTTCGGAAATAATACCCTAATGCTGGCCAAGCTGCATGGAAACTGATAGACTCAAATGCTATAGGCATTGAGTTAAACCAGCATAATTCTTCTTGAAAGAAATATGGCAATTGGTAACCAAAATTATAAAGATGTGCATATCCCGACCCAGCAGCCTTCTCTGGGACTATACGCTAAGGAAATAATCTGACAGAAGCAAAATACTACACAAATTGTACTACTGCCTTTAATGATCAAATCTAATCACAGACATACACACAAAATTCCAGAAGGAGCCTAATGTTCAATAATGGGGGATGGCTTAGCAAATTCTGGTATATTGATAATGGAATAGTAAAAAAAAGAAATCAAACTGCAAATACAAAGGGGGTGCATGTAAGATCTAATGTCACTGGAATCAGAGGATTTACTTGAATGTTTTTATCTTTTTTTTAATATACCAAAGAAATAAAGGCTTTTGTACAGACTGTACTAGGAGGCCCTTAAAACAGCTGTTTTCTTGTCCACCTCATCTCTGCAAAGGGGTGTTTATTTCTTTTCTATTTAAAAATTAATTAAATTTTATTGACAAAAATTATATGTATTTATTGTGTGCTACACAATGTTTTGCAATATGTAAACATTATGAAATGGCTAAATTGAGCTAATTCACATATGCATTACCTCCCAAACAGTATTTTTTGTGGTGAGAACACTTAAAACACAAAGGGGCTTTTATTAAGGATTTTGAAAATGAAAATAATGAAATACAGAGGGTCACCAAGATCACGCTGGATACAGGAAGAAGGCTTAAAACGTCGCATCCTTGAGTCTCTGGTCTAAGTCAGGTCCTTGGCCTTTGAGTCTCACCTTTGCAGAGGACCTCTTCCATTTTCCCACATGGGATGACTTTGAAAGGTGCTAAAATGGGGCCCCACTCTCCTCATACTAGCCACATGAGCTCACATCCATTCAGGTCCTGGAAGTACCTCCAGTAAGGGCCTGAGAAAACTTTAAATGCCAGGGTTTCAGAACCTTTCAGATCAACAACCTGTCTGTTAGCCACCCTGAAATGAAGGAAACCCAGATCCATGTGGCTAATCATCTTTTCAAGACTGGCAAAGAAGAGAATTTGTACGCATGATAATAAACCATTCCCACAATTAGTTTAACACAATGATTTCTGGTCAAACCTAGGGGAGCCATCCCTCCTTTACATCAACGGCTTCCACATGCTGGTCAGTAAACAGTATGGGCAGGCCCATGCTTTGGTTCTCACTGGTCTGTATCTAACTGGGGAAAATAAGGATAACATAATAAGTTTCCACGAAGCTAAATATATTCAAAGGAGAGAATTATTCCTTACTCTAAGATAATGTCCTTTCTATTTTTTCAGTCCCCAAAGTCCACTTTTTAGGGGAAAGATGACAAAAAATAGATGGAGTTATTTTGTTGTTGTTGTTGTTCATGTTATTCCTTTGCAGTAAAATATAGGGACCCTGTATTGGCCTCCCCAAATGTTACTGAAATCATACTGCTTCATTAAGCACATTAACCTTGGATCTTCCATTCAATGGGGGAGATGGAGATTCTGGACATTCCAATTGGGTCACTCCAAACTGTGTGGCAAAAAGTTCTGGTCCTGCTGGCATTTCAAACTGTGCTGCACAACCATTATAGAGCTTTGATTCCATCACTGTGTCTGTCTGTCTACCCTACCTGGCTGTGAGCATCTTTGCCCAGGAACCACTGCCTGATTCACCCTTCTGTTTCTGGTGACTAGCCCAGCACTGAGTGTACTGTTGTTAGACTGAATCCATAGTTGGATGTACAATATGGGTGAAATGCAAAGAACAGCTGTAAAATTGAAGAGAAAGCTTTCAGTGTTGGTTCAGAAGACCTAATTAGCATCCTGGTTCTGCTATTTAACAGCTGTATGACTTGAGCAGTGACTCTCTCTCATACTAATTTCTTTTCTTTAAAGTAGAAAACCAACCTAACCTCTATAAAGTAGAAATGTCGCCTATGCCCTTCACCAGTATCCTAGCTGTGTCCTTGTGTGAAGGGTCATGTGAAAGTGCCTATACATACATGTTAATTTCATTCATTTCTCTCCATTTTATTCCCTGACCAGATGCTTCTCATATTTAGATGTCACCCCTGTCCCAGCCCTGGCGAGAGGAAATTACAAAGCAAAAAGCCAGATCCCCCAACCCAAGGATGTGGAAGTCCAGAGGCAGCTGTCAGCATGCTTCAATTAAAGACAAAATCAAATACAAGCAGCATCCGTTTGCATTTACTCACGATTATTGTGTTTGACAAGATAACCTGTACCCACTTGTACATTCATTACAGAGCTTCTGAAATGATTTTTCTTTGTCTGTGAACATAGGAATTTTTAATGAACAGTTTCAGTGTCTGGTTTCATGCACTCGAAAAGTAAACATCAGTGAGCATCTTTCTAACAGGCTTGATCCATGCCCTCAGATGGTCTACCAGGAGGCAGACTTGTGTGGGTTTGAAACTTTCTTCCTGAGGTCACTGATGGAAACAAAGAAGGAGAAACTTTCAGCATCCCCTTTCCAGTGATAAACATTTTAAATAAATGAATAGGTAAACAGAGAAGGGATCTCAATTTTAATTGCTAGTAAGTGAGGCATAAAAAGGAAAAGAGAGAGTTGTAACTGCCAGGACAATCTCATGCATTCTTTTGAACAGATTCATCTACAAATGAATGTGGCACAAGGAAATGTCAGGTGTTCTGCAAGCAGTAGCTCAGGAAGCTCAAGTCAGGTCTCTCGTCTGTCCCTCCAGCTAGCTACATCTCACATCATGCTTCCTCACGTTTCAGGGCTGCAGCCTCGGTAGCCTTCACCCAGTTCCTCAAATACATAATCCTTCCTCTATCCACAGGACCTTTGCATATCACACTCCCTTTGTCTGGTTCAGTCCTATTCATGTTTCCGATCATCGCTTCCTCGGGGAAGCATTCCTCCCCTCCATATTGAGGCTAAAGTATTTCCAGGGGACAAATCCTTCATTGCGTTTGTCACTGTTGTTGTTTTACATTGATTTGGTGGCAATCTGACAAGCTCTGTCTCCTGCAGAAGACTGTATGCTCCGCACAACAGGGCCTGTGTCTCTGTTCTCCATCTCATCTCTGGCACCTCACAAGGTTGGTACTCAGTATAACTATTTGTTAGGCACTAAATGAATGGAATGAATGGATCCCTGACAAATAACTTCACCAAAATCTTTTATTAAAGACTTGCCTTTGCAAGGAACCCTGTGGAATACGCCAAAAGACATGGTTCCAGGCCTCTGGGGGCTTCATCAGCTGTAGATGTCATGTTTATACATACACGACATCACTACGGTTGAGAGTTGGGCTGTATCAGTGTACAGGAGTGCTCTGGATAGGATGTTCTACCTTGGACAAGCCACTAAATACATCTGTCCCTCCATTTCCCCATTGATCAAATGGTGACAATATCAGTGTGCTCCTTGTTGAAAGGTCAGGGGATAAAACAAGATAACAGAAACAAAAATGCCTCAAAAAGATAAATATTACTAATACCTTTTACCTAAAAGTATCCACCTCCTTAACCAACTCTACAAAGAGTCTTGAGCCTCGCTAGAGAAACACGATGGAAGCTACTCTCTTTGTGAGATGCACCTTGCACAGCAGGAGTGGGCTGGGCCAAGTTGGGGGCACAGTCCAGGCAGGTGGGAAGACAGAGATGGGGCTACTCTAGAGAGCTAAAGGACACCAACCTTCTGCCACCAGGGCCAGCCAGGGTTGACAGTGGATCACGTGGCCTCCCTGAAATAGGGCTACTGAGCAGCTTCGTGATGCACAGAGACCCAGGGGAAAGGAGCAAAGGGCCAGATCCTGCTGCAAAACACACTGCCCATCTGCCCTGAGGTCTGTCATTCCTCCAGTGGTCCTTGGGCCCTGTCTTGCCTGGGACTGGCAAACAAACAGGAGGCCTCCTCCCTCCCTGATGCTCACCCGACTGGATCCACACCTCACTCAGCAACAGCTGTGCGAGTGCAGGTAAAGTCTTTCTGGAGTCTCAGCTCGTGATAGGCATTTAGCAACCTTCCCAGCGGAGGTGTGGAGCAGACGAATGATCACAGAGTGAGAACCATGGCTTTTCTCAGGGTCAGTGTCTCAGGAACCATGGGGTGGTGTGTGAGTGGAATCTTGTCAGTGTTTTGTGAAGATACCTAAGACTTTCAGTCTATAGCTCTGAGAATGTCATCCCATTTTACAAATGAGAAACAGAGAGGTTAATAAGCAAATCTACAGCAAGTCATTTAATGCTGCAAAGGTGTAGTCCATGGAAAGAGATCTAACAGGAAAACTCAAGAGAAATGCTGGGGAGCGCCATGGGGCCAACAGAACAGAAGGCCCTGTTACTGCTCAAGCAGCTGCCACCAAGCCTGCGAGCTCAAGGATGCTGGGCTGGCTGAGGGACAGATGTGGCAGGCATGCACGCGATTCAACAATGCAACAGTCCCTTTCTTGTTTGTTTGGAAAGGTTGTACCCGCCTCGAATGCTAGCAGCAATCACGAAGGAGCCACTAACTGTGGCATTTCTTCACAACATTTCCCCTGCAACTGCGGTCAAGGTGGAGGGATGGCCACAACCAGTCATCTTTTCTGAGTGTTCCTCTGCAAGGGGTGGAGTGGGGACAGCATACGTTAGTGGGCTAAGAATTTGCTTATCTAACAGAAATACAGCTTAACTAACCAAGGGATACATACAATTGTTCTTACAAATTCTGCAACCCATACTGAGCACTTATAAAGGCCAGGCCCTGTGAGAGATACTGAAAATGCAAAGCTGAATAAGGCACCTTGACTGCTTTCAAGGAGATCTTTCCTAATTGGCTAGGAGAGGATATAACCCAAAATTTACAGCTGCCTTTTGGCAAGCCTATCACTGCAATCTACAAGGTGCTATGAGAACTTCAGGGAAGGAGAAACTCTGTGGGAAGAGCCTAGGAAACCTTCCCCAAACAAGGCATTGAGGAAAGAGTGGAAGTTCATCAGGCATCAGAAAAACCATTCATTCATGTATTAACATTCAACAA
The DNA here is from genome assembly GCF_000001405.40 of Homo sapiens. Taxonomy (NCBI): domain Eukaryota; kingdom Metazoa; phylum Chordata; class Mammalia; order Primates; family Hominidae; genus Homo; species Homo sapiens. The sequence continues at coordinate 60,787,889 of NC_000015.10, forward strand.
ATACTTAAGAAGTATTGATTGTGCTGGGCACCCTTGTGGCTGCTGGGGATACTGCAGTGGGTGAAACAGCCCAGTTCCTACCCTCATGGAGCTAAGTCTGGTGGCAGTGATAGGCACACAAATAGTGAATCACAAACTTGGAGAGGTCTATGAAGGAGAAGTACAAGGTGTCTGAAAAGTATCTATCTGGGGAGCTGATCATGTCTGAGAGGCAGAAGAAGCTTCGGTGGGGATGTGACATTTGAGCCGAGACAGGAAGGATGCTGAAAGCAGGGGTAGGCTGAAATTTCCGGGCTGAGTGAGCATCATGTGCATTCATCCACTCCACTGACATTTATGAAGAACATGTTGTTGCACCAGGGTCCCTGATGATGCACAAGACACATCTCTGACCTCAAGGAGCACACAGTCGAGTGGGGAGACAGATGATTGCAATAGAATGTGCTAAGTTCATGGCTGGTGGGGTGGGGAATGCTTTCCCATTAGAGGGAACAGTGTGTGCAAAGGCCAGGAACGCACAGCTCAAGACATTTTAGTGGGAAGTTAAGGGTTCCAAACTCCCCTCGATTGACTGCTATGTGACGTGTGCTTGACCTATCATCTTTCTTTTTCTTGCTTAAGAACGAAACTCCTTTCTCTACTAATCACGGTGTTGCTGCACCAAGAAGAAGCCGCCTCAGCAAATGCTGACGCATGCATTTTGCAGTGAGCTGGAAGTGCCTGGCCTAGCTTGGCCTGTGCCTCCCTCCTTTCCTCCCCAGGCAGGATCCACACAGTCATCAGCACCACGGGGCTGATTGCTTAAAGAAGGCACCCTCCCTGCCTCATTGCTCCAAGCTGGCCTCAGCCCAGGTACCTCAGCCACACCCACGGCCCATCCAAACCTGCTGTCTGAGGGTCAGAGCCCCCTTCCATGAGAAAGCCCCTGTCCCGCTTAATAACATTTTCTCTCTGCCTGTCTAATTAACTCCGTCACTGTATCTGCAGTCAGATAAAATGCTCATTTCACACCACATTAATTTTTATCAGCTGAACATTAAGCAACACAAAGCTATCTATGCTTGGTTTAATTTACATACTGACAGACCTACAAAGCGTTACCCACAGTGGCTGCGAAGCAAATAAGCAGAACTGGCATCAAACAAGGCTCTTCAAAATGAAATATTGATTTGCAAGGCTGACAGTAAAGAAGGGTTGGAGGGCTATGGGAGAAGAAGCAAGGAATAGAAGAGTGATTTTTCCTTGAAGAACAATTATTGATGTTGTCACCAGTAGGCCTCCCAAAGGCCAAACAGAGGAGCCAGCTGAGGCCAGGATCCCAAGGATCAGGTGTTCCCAAGGAACACAGCCCCACAGTCCATACTGCTCCCTGGAAAAGGACTCTCTTCATCCTGGCATCAGAGGCCATCCCAGCCCGAAGGAAAATGCCCTCAAACAGCAAAGTATTTTAATCACATACACAAACACTTAATATATCTTGCTTCTGTAACTTTGCTCAAGCTGTTTCTCTAGAAGAGTCTTCCTTCTATTCCATGGCCAAACTCAAGCACCACCTCTTCCAGGAAGACTTCCCTGGACACCCTGCTTCCTTACAAATGTGTTGCCAGAATTCCCAGCACTGGGTCTGCATTGCACCGACTATCCATACCGTTTCTTGATAATCTATATGTATGTTTCTTTATCCCACTTGTTGTGAGCTCTTTCAGGGACAGATCTAGGTTTGGGGCAGCTGAAGTTTAAGCAAGTTAGGGGATTTTCTTTAAGAAGAAAGAATTGTAAAATATCTAACTTTTGCAAATATTACAGAAACCTATAACCATGAAAATAAATTACTAGGGGCATTCTCAGGGCTTTAGGAGAGGCCGGTGCAAATGAAGGGTCCTGAAGTTTAAGTTTTATCAGCTTTGAAGTGGGTCTACTTCTGGTCTCTTGAGTGCAATTCCTTGCTTGTAACAAGCATTCAATAAATATAGGCAGCATGAATTAAATGAATAAAGAAAAAGGAACTACTTTGGGGTGCCCAGTCTGTGATAGGCACAGCCAAATAACTTTGGGAAGGATATTCTCCTCTAAGCAGCACAGCAGCCTATAGATGATACAACCGATAAGTGTTGAAGCCAGAATTGATTTCCAAGACTCACCTTCCTCCATCTGAGAACCTATGACCCAAGAGAAAAAGAAGCAATACCCCAAGTGAAAAGACAAGTGGCTCACACAGGTTAAGTCTTTAGACTTTAGAGGTCTTAGCACTCATAATTTCACCCAGACCAGTGGTTCTTCCACTTTTGTGAGCATCTAAATCACCTGACTCACTTATTCCATGGCAGATTCTCTGACCTGCAAACCAGAGAGTCGAATTTCTCATGTCTGTATAATTGGAGTGGAGCCTGAGAATTTGTATTTTAAATGTGTCCACTCACAATCTTGGTGCAGGTTTTCGAAGACTACACTTTGAGAAACCTTAACTCAACTACAAATGTTGATGTTGAAGGGAAGTGCACCAGGAGAATTAATTGGGTGAGCGCTGATGGAGAGGCTAGTGGAAAGCTGTATTTCCTTCAAGAAGCTGGGATGTGACTTTAACATGGTGTGGCACCATGGCCTCAGGAAGACTGGGGACTGACAGAGAATGGAAACTGCAAGTCTAGAACCTGATGAGTAAGAAGGCTGTATACATATTTTAAAGTGCCTAGGCAAGCCACCAGTTTGAGAACATTCCTCGTCTTTGTGTGACTTTCAACCTGCAGATGTTTTCAACTGAGTCCCCCATGAAGGAGAGGAGCTGAAGACCTTCTCCTACCACAGGGGCCAATGCTGGCTGAGTATTCTGCTTTGCTATGTTAAGAATTTCAAGAGGTAGCTCCTGGATATGTAATGCACAGCGCTCTTGTCCTGGTTATATATGGCTTCTCATGAAGAAAACTTCTGGCCTAGCTTCAATTTCACAATTATGCATGCTGGGGCTTGTAGGTACCAGATGGTTCCAGGGTTACCACAGGTATTTTCCTTTCAACACCATCATGGTAACGTTTTTCTCTTCAGAAATGTCTATGACCTTCAGAGGCCCTAGAAACGCCCCCCCATTGCCCCCCCAAAAAGCTTCAAAATCCAGGACTGTCTATTGTTTCATTGTCTTTTGCTTGTTTGGTGGTGTTTATTGGGAAGAAAATGCAATAGATGCTTTGGTATCAAAAAGTCTGGCTCTTTTAGAATCAAACGTACATAAAACTGATTGTAGAACGAGCCCAGGCTGATGTCATGGGCTCTGAGTTCAGGCCTGATTCAGTTACTACTTGGGCAAGTCACTTAACTTCCCTAGGTCATCTCATCTGTGATATAGACTTGATAATATTAGTTCTGCCTCCCAGAGCTGTGTTAACGGAGACAAAGTGTTTTGAAATATCTAAATATAAATGTAAGGGCTATTGGCTTTTGGTCATAATCTACTAACCCCTTACAGATAACAGTTAAGTTATCTACACACAATAATTTTTAAAAACCATTTTCAAGGCAATGGAATGCAGTCAAAAGTCCAACAGGAACTGGAAGGGAGTCTGTCCCCTGAAACATGAACCTTCACCAAGTAAAATTTATGAATTTGTGGGGTTTTGTCTGGGAGCACTCCCAAGTTAGCTTTCAGCTCTGGATAGCTTGAACTGTCAGAGAAATAAGTCAGAAAAGGAACAAGAACATAAGGGGAGAAATTCTGGAAAGGTGGGAACTGCAGAGGCAGCAAGCTGCAAAATCTATGTACAAAATCTGCCCAATCCTCGGCTGGCTGCAAAAATATATGTGCATGAGGGAGACTCCAAGGGACCCAATACGAAGAAGCAGCTGGAAGCTAAAAGAACAGAAAAGTGACTTTATCTGCTGTCGACCGCAGGAACAACAGAGCTGGAATTTGAGTCCAGGCAAGTCGAGTGGTTGCTAAAGCAAAAATTATTTTCAGAGAAACAAACAGAATCTAGGGTCTCTGCAACAATCATTTGTTTTGTCTATTACCCAATCCAAAGTCTCCATACATGCAAATAAAGAGTAAAATGTAACACATAAGAAAAAAAAAAGCAGTAATAAAAACCAACCCCAAGAATACTCAGATAATGCCCTTAGCTGATAAGTACTTTAAAGAAGCCATTATAAATATGTTCAACAAATTGAAGGAAATATATACATAATAAATGAACAGATATGGGACTTCAGTGAGAAACAGAAACTATAAAAATGAACCAGATAGAAATCCTAGAGTTGAAAAGTAGAATGAATATAATGAAAAAAAATACTACTGTATGGGCTTAACAGCAGACTGGAGATGGCAGGAAAGAGTCAATGGACTTGAAGATGAATTAATAGAAAGTATTCAATCTTAAGAACAAAGAGAAAATAATGAAGAAGAGTGAACAGAGCCTCAGTGACTTGAGCATTATAAACCATCAAACAGTATACATATATGAAATAGCAAGTTCCAGAAGAACAGTAGAGAGAGAATGAAGCAGAAAAAGTATATTTGAAGGAACGGCTGAAAATTTAACAAGTATGGTTAAAGACATCAACTTATAGATTCAAGAAACTCCGCACATCCTAAGCAAGACAAATACAAAGAAAACAATATCTAGACAAACCACAGTCAATTTTCTGAAGTCGAAAGATAAAGAGAACATCAAAAAAGCAGCCAGAGACCTACAGCAGAAACAACAATATGAATGATAGCTATTTCTCTCACAAATAGCAAAGGCCAGAAGACAACGGAATAACATCTTTAAGGTACAGACTGAAAAACATTGTCAACCCAGAATTGTATCTTCAGGAATAAAGAGAAAATAAAGTCCTTTTTGGATAAACTGAGAGATTCATTGCCAAGAGATCTGTACTAAAAGAACTGGAAAAGAAAGTTCTGCAGTCTTAAGGGAAATGACACCAAATGGTAACTCAGATCTACAGGGAGGAGTGAGGATCACTGGAAATGTTTTCTCAAAGATGTAAGAAGTTATTAATTTTTCCAGTGGGTAGCAAATTTATACCATATAATCATACTTTGCCCTATAGTAAATGACACATTGCCTCTTTGTCACAAAACCCCTAAATTCTACAAATACTGTCTTTCCTGCTCCCTTCCTCCCCATCCCCACCACTCCCTCAAAAGAGAGAGAGAGAGAAAAAAAAAAAGAGAAAGAAAACTTGATTTTATTTTCTAGCTGTGTGACCTTGGGCAAAAAGTTAACTTCTTGGTGTTTTAGTTTCTTCATTTATAACAAGAAAAAGTGGAGTAAATGATCTCAAAAGTTCCTTTTGGCCTGAACATACTGTGATTCAGACTAAACTGGTGCAGTATGTTAGGAGTAGTCTTCATTTAATTTTTACTATTATTATGGTTACAGTAACTAAGTCTTAGTCTTCATGATCAGACAAACTCATAAAATTCATTCAAGAACTAATAAGGCTTAGAAGTGTCTTACACACCAACATCCTTTGGAGTCTCATCACTTAAAAACAACAAAAAAATATGCTGCCATGGCTGAAGTAATCAAATGAGGTAAGCCACAATACATGTGCTCTGCAAACTGCAATGCCCAATGCAGACAGAGGTAAGGTGGTTTGATTATCCCAACTGCCAGATTCCCTTTCACATTTTCAATATATTGATGCTGGATGCCAGTTTCTTAAGTCATCTCAAACACCAAGGAACTACATTAAACCATATCAGAATGTGCTTAGTCAAGTGCGAAAGTTCACTGCACAAGTCTTGCCTGTGTGAGAAGCAGAGAGTAAGGAAGCCTTGAGCCTCCAAGGACTGGGAACAGTTAATTAAATATTCAGTGTGTCCATGTTTCACTTGGGGGAGAATTTATGAAACTTCAAAGAGCTTTCTGGTGATTTGCCACAGAGATGGACTTAAGCCAGGCTAGACTCCAAGGCTTACTGGCCACCAAATCCTGGGAGGCTGCCCTGGGGTAGCCTTCCTCAGTCCTGATGCTCTGTGACATTTGAGCCGTGCAGGCTTTCTCTCCCGCCTCAGTGCCTCTGTGATTCTGCCGGATTAAGCAAGCAGTGGGAAGTTCCTGACTCAGACAGTGCACTCTAGAACGGGTTCTTTGAGGACCTGGGTCCCAGCTGGCTCTCCAAGGTGACAGGGAAAAGGTAGAAAAATACAGTCCCTTCTTTGGCAGCCTTTTTACAATTCTGCTGAGTGCCGTGTGTTCAACTGTTTCTTTTCTTCCCCAGAAAACAGTCACTGCAAATAACATGCTGTTTGGTAACAGGTCTACTTAAAATGCCACATTCATATAATTATTTACAAATACTGGCATAAATGAAATAAAGGTCTGACTAAAACAGAAAATCTCAAAGCCCAACACTATTGCTTTAATGAAGAGAGTAGAGAAAGGCTGAATAATCTGCTGTTTCACCGCGTTCTTGAGAAACCTTTTCTCCCTCCTGCACACATATTCCATGTTTAATCTTCCTTTTTTAATTTGCTCCCATTACCCAACTTATAGCACATAATGAAGTATACATATCACCTGTGTTTTCAAATGGCTTTTAGATAGATTTGAACATGGTCACCAGAGAACCATTACACCTGTGTGTATGCTGCCCTTTGGAAGAAAAACGACCATAAAGTCCTAGGGAAAAATACTGGGTGCATACCACTGAGCCAAAGCTTGCTTTTAGATATCCAAAGCTTGCTTTTAGATATCCAAACCTCCACTGACGTCACCAGCTAACTGAGTCCCCAATATCCCTATGAGCTGCCTGCAGGTTTCCGACAGCAAAATCCAATACATGTTCAAAATGGCAATCATTAATTTCTAAACGATTGGCCACTGTTTGTTGAATAACAGTACTTCTATTCTGATAGGGTGGAGTTATCATTCAACCAGAGGCAGAGAAAAAGCACCTGGCTTCCTTACTTGCTTTCTGTTTAGAAGGGTGCTGTGCCTCATGCGCCCATATCCTAGGGCTCACTGCTCACAAGCACCGTAGGCCTGGAGTTCTGCCTGTCCACTTTCTGTCCTTCAACCACACAAATGTGGAAAATGGGTGGTGCTGAGATTCTGCCCTCAGAGGGGTTCATTTCAAAACAAATCCTGGACCTTAGTTGCTAAAATGCGACACCCCTTCCCACTGCTTCTCAATTACATAAAAACCTCAAGAAACCTACCATAAGCACTGGCATTTATAATCTATCACCATTTTGCTATGCATATAGGGTGATATCAGGTATCCAAAATCCCCACACACTAGATGTATGCCACCTCAGGAACCGGGAAAAAGAGTCCTTACCTCTGAAGAACCAACCTGAAGTTTGTGGTTGGTGGTGGAGACAGCCATAGAGAGAATTCAAAATGGCAACCCGAAGTCAATGTTTCAAATGGGCTATTCACCTTCTGTAGGCTGGCAGGAGCTCTTCACCTTTACTCCTGTGCTCACCACGAAACAACAAGAGCAGCAGCAGCAAATAAAACCCCAACTCAAAATGGGCTGCTTGAGATGTAGAATTTGCTTTTATATTCTTCTTCTCTAAACTGTGTTGGAAAGGGCAGCCAAACCCCGGGAGAGTATTTTTGAGCTAAGAATTTGACAACTGTTTAGACTGGAAGCTCCCTGAGGGAAGGCTCAGTCTTTAAACTGTATTTCGCTGAGGCACAGTTTGATACCATGGTGGTATATGGTAGCTAATATGATGCAATGATGAAGGAGGGATCTCAAACAGCCACTGATCTCCTAATATCACAACTTCAAACAGCTTCCTGCCCTCCCTCCCTCCATGGTGAGTAAGGCAGAAACAACAGGTTGATTTGTCAACCACAGACAATCAGAGGAGGCCTTCCTTATGGCGCCTCCCTATATATGGCAACTCCCCTCACCTAGCCCACCATTCTCCCCTCACCTCCATCCCTACCAGATGTGACATGCCTTGTAGACTGTAAGGCACTGCACCACCATAAAACATTACATAAGACAAAGTAATGTAATGGAGATAACTTTGGGAAATTACCCAAAAGGCCTCATGCCTCGGTTTCTTCAGCTTTCAAATGGGGATCATACTACCTGATGTCTTGCCTACATTACAGGATCATTGTGGGTATCAAAATGTGTAAAGCCTATGCAAATATAACCATCATCATTATAACATTTTCTTAACCTTTGCATCCTCAAAAAAGGGAAGTGCAAAGTGAATGTGTGGTTCTTGACAGAACTGAAAGAAGCCTGAAGTAGGAGTGAGACAGGCCTTAGCTGTGGTTCTGCCACGTCTCCTCCTGGGTGCGGGAACCAGGCTCTCTGCTCTCAGTGCCTCTCTGTATCACAGTGAGGGTGGTATTCTAGCTCTGCTGGGAGACACAGAATGTATGCTGGAACAGGCTTGAGCTCAAGAGCTTCCCCATGCACACGACTCTCCAGGCACTCACCCTTTTGACTTCCCCACATGGAGAAGCCTGATTCTAAACTTGGAGAGGTAATGAGACCTAGCAGGTCAGGCTGGGCCAGCCCATGGCAGTGACCAGGTCGGTATAAGCTTTTCACCTCTGAAAATCTTTAAACTATTTGGGAAAACAAATTACTCTGAAAGAAAATCAGACAGATACCACTTTATACCCACTAGGATGGCTATCCACCCCCCGCCAAAAAAAAAAAGAAATAAAATAACAAGTGTTGGTAAGGAAACTGGAAACCTTATGTGTACATGCTGGTTGGAATATAACGTTGTCACTATGTAAAGCAATTTGGTAGCCCCTCAATAAATCAAACATAGAATTATCATATGATCATATAATCCAGCAATTTCACTCCTAGGTATATACCCAAAAGAACTCAAAGAAAGTGTTCAAAGAAAAACTTGTATGCAAATCTTCATAACAGCACCGTTCACAATTGGAAAAAGGTAGAAACAACCTCAATTTCTCATCAACTGATGAGTCGATAGACAAAATGTGGTACATTCATACAAAAGAATATTATTCAGCCACAAAAAAAAGAATAAAGGACCCATACAGGCTACATCCTGGATGACCCTTGAAAATATTATGCTCAGTGAAAGAAGCCAGTCACAAAAGGCCACATAATATATTATTCCATTTATACAAATACCATGAGTAGGTTTATCATTATTTATGTCTAAATATATTTTATTTATATATTTATATAATATATAATTATATTATCTATATATTTATTAATTATATTTATTATTATTATTATTATTTCTGCACAGAGGCAGAAAGCAGATTAGTGGTTGCCAGTGGCAGAAGGGAATGGGAAATGGGATTTCCTTTTGGGATAATTAAAATGTCCTGGAACTAGATAGTGTCATGGTTGCATAACTTTGTGATTGTCCTAAATGCTACTGAATTGCACACTTAAAAATGATTAAAATGGTAAGTTGTACATTATGTGTATTATACCATTAAAAAAAAGATAGCCATACATAGGTGGGAATGAGGTGGCTGGGAGAAGGGACAGTTCTGGAGCTCCTGTCCAGGACAGCCTTCCAAAGCCATCTTTGCTGCACTGTGTGTGCCTTTCCAAGGGCCTGGGTTGTACATTAATTGAGAAATGATTCCTAATAAGTCCCAAGAAGCCACAGGTCTTTTCCTTACAAACAGGAAACAATCACATCTCATGGCAGCTCATTACACATTCTTTGGGTACCATGAGTTGTTTTAAAACCGTGAAATTAGTTCTGGCAGAGTTTACAGAAAAACACCCATGAGATGAGACTGAATGAGTTATGTAAGACTTCTCGCACTCTGCTTATGAGATATTAACTCCTTACGGGCCCAGCCAAGGACACCGGTGTCATTTATAAAGTAGTGAGCACACCCTGGTTCCCACCAAGACCAGCACGCGGTTGACAAGAAGCAGCAGTGGAGCCCTAGATCTGGATGGGCTCATCGAGCAATTGCCAGCTTCAGCAGCTAGGTACTTCCTTCTCCACAAGAGGCCGGTGAGGCTGCTAGCCAGGTGAAGGGACTTGCTCACACAAACTGGCTCAACTAAAAGTTCCAGTCTTTTCCCAGGAGTTAGGCTGACCTTTTGGGGTGGTGCACGGAAAGCTTTAAAATCAACCAGATGTGTAGAAGATTAATACGATCATCACTGGCCTACAGCTATGCCACAAGACCAGCCCCAACCCACCAGGAAGATAAGTAATCTGATCCATTGAGCTTGAACTCTGGCATTAAGGAGACACATATTTCAAAAGTTTCCGTCTGGCAATAGTCACTAAATTAATTATTATACATGAGAAAAAAAAACTTAATTAATGTGTGAGCCCCAAACAATGAAATGAGCTCAGAAGCTTTCCTCCACCCCTTCCCCTTCATTTCCCCAACAGACACACACACACACACACACACACACACACACACACACACACACACACCACCTGCAGTGTACTTACAAAATATGTATGGAATATTTTACCTATGAAATATACTTCATAATTTATTTAGAAAGTAGCAAAGCATTCAAAAATGAGTTTAAAAAGCTTGTTCAAGATTTGTCTCAGGAATCAAGTACTGAACTTGGAGAAACCTTAGGACTCTACTTAGAATCCATGGACTCTTATTTTAGAAATAACATGCTTAGTTGTCTGGTTCCTGAGCACTAGCTCATTGGAAGAGGAGACAGGGAGCACTGCAGCAAGGTACCCTAAGCAAGAAGCAAGTATTCACCACCAGAGTGGGAAGAACAGAGAGGACTAAAGGCAAGCAGAAGTCACCAAAAAAATGGCACCATCCCAAGCCTGGAGCCATGGGAAGTGCCAGCAAACCCTCTCACCCTAACAGGCAGCATGGTAGCGGGGAGGGGACACAGGCTTAAGTATCAGACAGATCCAGGTCTGAAAGCCAGACCTTGCTACTTATTAGCTGTGCAATATTGGGTAAGTTACTTCCCCTCTCTGACCCCTAATTTCCTTCTAAAAAGGAATGATATATCCCCACTCTAAAGTGGAGGCAAGCATGTGTAACTTACAGGGACTTTGTGAAAATGGGATAAGTTATATAATGAGCTAACAAAGGCATCTAGTTATTGCTCAATAAAGGACTTTTTTTTTTTTTTTTAAACTCAAGGACAGTGTATTATGGCGTGGGCTGATTATTCATGCTCACAATGAGAACCTTGAGTCATGCCGAGAGGGCTGACATATAGCTGTGTCCTCAGTGAGAGGGCAGGGACCTTCCCTTTAACCTACCCCAGGATCCCAATACCTCAGGCCTCCGTGCCCTCGTGCTGGTCTCTGGAACTACACTCAGACTCTCTATCTCTCTTTGAAAGCTACTTGCAGCTAACTATTCTTCTGTAAGTTATCCAATAAACTAATTTATCTTAAGGTGTCAGTGTTCAATAATAGCAAAGTTTTCATGGGAATCAGTTAGCAAGGGGGAACCGCTATAAACCAACAGTGATGTTTCAGCAAAGGTGACAGACTGATGAGGAATTCACTTGGGGTCTGGGGGCCTTCTTGGCGTCCTCTCAATTAGACTTTGTAAGCAGTTTCCTTTTTATGGCTAGCCTGAAACATTACAATATGGAGTCGAGACACTTCATGGGGCCCAAGCACTGGCTGTTGCTGTCTGGCACGTCTTTATAAGAGTTAGATGTTGATACACATCCACTCAAAACACAATAGCTCCTCTTCTGATCGATTCATATTTATTTATTTAATTAATTTATAAACTGCATTGGTCCAAAAACATTGCGGGGGAGATGAGTCACTAAGGTAAACAAGTTCAGATGCCGAAAAATCCCACCACCAAGATACTAAGTATATCACATGCTACATGCCAAGATGCACTGAAAAATCAAAATCATTTATTTTTCTTTGTCTTACTTTCCCCTGCAATCTGATGTTCTTCTAAACACCCATGTCCCAGAGACTGCAATAGCAGAGAGGTAGATAACGAGGGAGGGGCACAGGAAGAGACAAATGGCTGAAGCATTTCAGAATTTATCAAGATATGTAGATAGGAATGGATCAGTCTTTGTCTTGCTCTCTGTTTCTGTCTCTCAGTGCCTCTATCTCTTCAAAATAATAACAGAAATATTGCTAAGATCAAATTAAAAAATTGTCTCTGGCTCTGTTTCCTATAGAGGGCTGCAGCCAGGGCTGTGTTATTCACTTGTCTATCTCCTGGGCCTGCAGCCATGTGCTACACCAAGTCTGCCTCTCCTCCCAACCTCGTATTCAGCCACCCTCACGTTGGTTGCCCAAAACTGGCTACGGTGAGAGTATTTACACCACAGAAATTGGCAAACTTAGACATCAGGGCTTTTTTTTTCCTTCCTTGCTCAGTAGAACAACTTCTGTAGAGTTAAACATTTCCCAGCACACTACTGATACAAATACTTGTTAAATAAACAAAAGAAGAATGACACGCTGTTCCACTTAATTCAATCATTTCCAACACCTCTCTGGCCCTAATCATGACAAACCCCTCTGTAAGTTCTTCTCCACAACAGGATGACATGCCCTGGGATTCAGTTATGAAGCAGAGAAGGAAATGCCAGGAAGACTAATTTAAAACAAAATTTCGTTTTGGTAACAGCGTCTCTGACTCAGCTCTGGTGGAAAGTATCAACCTTATAAACCCACAAGGAAGAGGTGAAGATTTCACATCGTTTCTTCCTTTGATGTTAAAAAGAGAACCTTCTTGAAGGCTGGGACAGCACTGTGAGAGGAGGGCCACCAGGCTAGCAGAGAGCAGTCCCTTATAGCAGCCTCCTCTTGGTGAACTCAGGGGGCGAGAGACTTTCCCTGAGCCCGAGTGTCCTGGCTATAGACCAGTAACTATTATAGCACCTCCTCTGTCTACCCCACACAGCATCTACCTCCCAGCCCCCCAAACTCCTATTTATCCTCCAGGACCCAGTTCATATGCCGCCCCCACCTCTTTGGGAAGAGGCCTGCTCCCTCAGCATGCAGGTCTTTCCCCAGGTCCTTCCTGTCTCAACTCCAGCATTTACTATGTTGGGCTGCAGTTAGTTCTTATCGATTTGGTCACTCCTCTGTCCCTCTGTGACCCTCTCAAGGGCAGGGGCCACGTTGAGCCTGCATTCCCAATACTTTCTGCAGTGCTTGGCACACAGCGATTGATTGCTGCATGCCTATTAAAGTGAACCACTGAAAAACTAGACGTGAAGGGACTTTTAAACTGGAAATGTAATCTATAAAGTATAAAGAGTTATTACCAAAGGCAGACCACAAAATAGAGTGGCACACTACTGCCAACCCTTAGGAACAGCCCTTACTTGGCGCAGACCCTATTGAAGCATTTAATCACCTCACCACTAGGTAAAATTCGTGAAAACACCTGGTGAACTTGGGTGGAAAGGTTCAATTAGGAATTACAGAAAACATTCTCTAAGTAGTGGCCTCCCCCTCCCCCCTCCTTCGACAGCTTTATCCCAGGTTTCCACACCCTCCCTGCCCACAGGGCTCAGAGGTAAGAATATTATATAAGGAACGAATGCTGCCTTCATTTGTTTTAATAAAGAAACAGCCCATTTAAAGAAACACAGACTTTAGTGGCTTAGATATTTCTGAATGTGAATATGACCCAGAGGCTCAGGAATACAGAACGGCTGTCTTGAGAATGAGCGTTTTTTTCCTATTTAAAACATTCTGGAAAATTGCTCTGTATCCCCATGCCAAGATGAAAAAATAAAAAACATAAGGGCTATTTGGAATGTCTCTGCATTTTACAGATGACTTTAATGCATAATGTTATAAAGACATGAAGCTCTCTGGCCTCAAATGCCCCCAGTGCAGCCGCCTGAAAGCCCGGGAGAGGCACGCCACGGTGTGGAATCTGTGAGCAGACCCCACAAAGAAAACTCACGGTTTCAGATGAGCTTTGTGGTTGTTCGTGGGCTTTTTAGCTTACAGAAGTCTCCTAAGAGGATGCAAGCAGGCTTGTGTGGAATAATCCCTTAACTGTATGGTATAAAATTTGTTAATATAAAATGATAATGATGATGATGGTGGTGTATCTCAGTGTAAGAAGCTGTTTTCACATATATTTCATCTTGTTTTATTTGACATTGCAACCACGTTAGCTAGGTAGGAAATGAATTACTGATGTTATAGATGTGGAAAATGATGGCTGAGAGAGGGTTGTGGCTGGCTCCAGATCTAATTGCTAGGCAATGAATGGTCTGGCACCAGAGCCCAGAGCTACTGTACAATGCTTGGTGGGAGTGGGAAGTTGGGTAAAAACAGGCACCACTGTTAAGTAGGGAAGATTTGAGAGAACACAAGTGCTGGATCCTTACAGACCCAATTCTGCACCTGGGCCCTGACAAGGACAGGCTACATGATCATGGGTCAACCGTTACAACCTTCTGGTCAATTTCCTCATCTGCGTATGTGAATAGCAATTCCCAACTCATGGGTTAATATGCAGACCGAGTGTTTGGGCTCCATTACAGCACAGGTAGGAACCAAAGAAGTGGTAGCCATTAGTATTTTGTCATTATTTCTAGCTTTACAGAGGGCTATTGGTCCTGTAAAGAGGCTCATTTCATTTGTTCATTGTGACTCTGTCTGGGTGGGAATTCTCCTAAATACTTCATGAGGCCCATCTCTCTCTTCCCCTGCAGAAGCTTTGCCAAGGACAAATAGCTCAAGTATCTGGCTTCCATGTTCCGAAGGAAGAACCTTGCCTTTTAAGGCATAATGTGTGTGTGTGTGTTTATGTGCGTGTATGTGGCATGTGTGTGTATGTGTATACGTGGGGTGTATGTGTGTATGTGCATGTCACGAGCCTGGTGGCTTATGTCTTTTACTCCTCTTTACTTTTGAAATAATATTCACCTGTTGTTGTCTTTTTCAAATATTTCTATGTCTACAGAGATGAAAATCTTTGCCCAGATTCAATAAGGCAAGAAATCAATTAAGGTTTTCATTTACTGCTTAGCCTCAAAAGATAAGACACTGAGAGAAGACCTAAGAAAGTATGTACAGTTTCCTGGAGGTTTCATTCTGGGTTCTGTGTTCCAGAAAAAATAAAACAGGAAGGAAAACCCTTACATGTCCTATTTAAAACCTAAATGTTTTGTTTCTTTTTTAAAAAAAAAAATTTAAAGCCATACCACTTTATTTTGATTAATATGGACAACTCCAACAAAAGAAAGATGCCTCAATTTTTTGAAGACAGTCCTAAACCTAACAGCTTGGTTTTTAAATGGTTACATTTAAATATTTCTTTCTCTATTCATTTCCAAACCTGGGCCATAAATCACCCTTAGGAACACAATGGCCTGTGCCTATAGCAATTTATCATTTGGATAATGTCACTTGTTCAGGTGTGCACTAATTTATGCCTCAAATTAGAACTCCTGTTGGCTGAAACCTTGCCTTTCACGTGCACATCCTGAGCTTCGGCCCCTTCGGACCAGCTGGGAATGGTCCAGGCAAGGAAGAACCTACGCAATTCTTCACTCAGGGAAGGGGGATGGAGGTGATGAAAAGAGAGCTGGGGCTTAACAGTTCTCTTGAGTTCACTTGTTTAGACTCTTAATGTTTGTGGCCCAAGGATGCAACCTATTAGGAAATACTCAACAAGTCCAGACTAAAGAGGAGGTCCCTGCATGCAACGTGCATGTCAGCTTTTGCTGCTCCAAGAAAAGGCAAGGAATTGAACAGCAGTGGGTTCAGAGCCCACAAGGCAGCATTGCAGAGCGGGAGGGATGCCAGAGTGGCTGTCCCAAGTTGGAGGCCTAGCGTTGCTGCTAATTCCCTGTCAAATCATCTTTCTGGGCCTCAGTTTCCCTAGCAGTAAAAGAATTCTAAGATCTTCCTTCTCTGGCATTCTGTGACTCTCTCTCAGGAGGAAGTAGTTGTTTATTACTATAGCCAGCTGTTATTACTACCTACAACCCCCATGATATCCCTATTTTCTCCAGTTACCCAAAAAGAGATGGCACAGAAACAACTCTTAAGTTTCTGACCCACAATATGGAGAATCGGTACTTACACATTCGGCAGGGAAATCTCTATTTGGAATTCTCCCCTTCTATCTCCACTCTATATTTTCTCTCTTTCACTGTCTCTCTCTTCCAAATATGTCAGGAAGAGACAAAGCACTTTCTAGCACCAGCATTAAAATGAACTACCAGGGCCAGGTGCAGTGGCTCATGCCTGTAATCCCAACACTTTGAGAGGCCAAGGTGGCGGATCACCTGAGGTCGGGAGTTCGAGACCAGCCTGACCAATATGGAGAAACCTTGTCTCTACTAAAAATACAAAATTAGCCAGGCGTGGTGGTGGGTGCCTCTAATCCCAGCTACTTGGGAGGCGGAGGCAGGAGAATTGCTTGAACCCGGGAGGCGGAGGTTGCAGTTAGCCGAGATCACACCACGGGACTCCAGCCTGGGCAACAAGAGCAAACTCCATCTCAAAAAAAAAAAAAAAAAAAAAAAGAACTACTAGTTAACACATGTTTGCTCTGTGTTAGCTGTTATGTCATAGTTCTTTAATAAAATAAATTCATTTAGTGCTCCCAACAACTTCTGGAGGCCCACACGAATCCTCTTCATTTGACAAATTAGGAAACTGAGGCTCAGGGAGGTAACCTGTCCAAGATTGCACAGGGAATGGCAGCATCTGAATCTGAAGCCAGGGCCATCTGAATCCCAAATGAGTACTATTTCCACAGTGCTGAAATGAGCAAGTTCGTGAATCAGGGCCATTTAAAATGTGGCTAAGTGAGTTTGATTGCTTAAGCTCCATTGGTAATTAAGATCAACGGTAGCCAAGAAGGACTACAAATATTTTTGAATTTCCACAAACGAGGGGTGTGACTATAGAATTACATATGTATGAGATTAAACAACCGATTTCAAGAGCCACACACAAAAATTAGTCTCATTGCATTTTAGCCAGGGTTTATATATTTGAATTGTAAATTCAGAGATCCTTTCTCAGTTAATATCTCTTTACAACTCTGTGATAATAGCTCTTAAATTATAATAGGCTCTCTCTTTCAATAGAAGAAACCAGAAACCTAAAATTCACATTTGTTCATTGTTCTTTTGTAATGCAGTCATTGACTTTCTTATATGTGTAGCTTTAAACACAATTTCCTCATCGCCCAAGTAAATCAAGGGAAAATGGCTTCCCAGACACAGTTTTTAAATGCACCAGTTTTGTTTAAGGCGTGAAAATTGTGAGAATCCCATGGATCCAGGGTGATGAATCACTGCTTCCGCCAGTCACTTCCCCAACCTGCAGCTGGAGTTGTCCCAAGCTGCTCTCTCCCACACCCCATAGGCAGCCATCCCCTCTCACCATGACGCCACTCTCCTCTGACACGCAAGGGAACACCTGCCAGAGGGTGACTTCACCATACCCAGTCACTCTGACAACAGCCCAAATAAAACCATGTCAGTCATTTGAACCAGAAACAACAGTCCAACAGGGCTGGGGAATTCAAAGTCATAGGAAAGACAGAGAGAAAGAGGGAAGAGAACTGTTGCCACAAACAATTAAAACCCAGGCACAAATACCTTAATGTAGGAAATGCAGGGAGAAGGAGGCAGCCAGAAGGGAGGAGTCAGGAGTCAGAAGGGACTGGGTTTGAGCCCAGCACTTACCGGATGTGCAACCTTGGGAAACTTACCTACCTTCTCTGATCTTGTTGTCCTATATGTAGGATAGAATAACAGGACCCAACACATAGAGTAGTTGGGATTCTGAGTATTTATGTAAAACACTTAACACCTAGTTAGCACTCAATCCATGTTAGCTGATAATATATTGTATCATTGATATAGGATTACATGGTAGGTCTATGAACACTCTAGAGCCCAGTAGGCTCCTCTCTCTGGCAAACTGAGCAAAAAGAGCCTTGGATTCCAGTCCTGGTTTTGCCACTGGCCAGATGAGGCAAATCACATTACTTGGTGTCAGTTTCCAATTCTGCCAACTAAGAGGGTCATTTCAATGCCTTCCAAAGACCCTTTTATAGCTCTATAATATGGTATCTTTTCCTTTACACAATGTTCAATACCAAATTGGCAACACAAGTCACAGAAGTTTAAATCTCAGGTGTTCAGGAGCCTCTTCGGAGGACCAATTCTTCTCTCTGTCCCAGGAATCTGTAGGGGGTAGATTGGGCAGGCTTTGGGGCCTAGCAATGCTTTGTAAAGCCTCCCTCTTGATTGCTTGGCCAATCTGACTGCATCCCTCATAAGCATTTTAGGCAGTGACATGCTGCCTTGAAATTCTTCCTTTCAGTAGAAAAGTCAGATCTGTCAGGAGGAGAATAACTCCCTGCTTTTGATTTCTTGTTAAGAACCCAAGGCGGGAAAAAAATGCAAGGAGATTAAAAAAACAAAAACAAAAACTTTGGGGCAAAGGAAAATACATACTCTAGCAGCTGGCTGGCCAAGGTGCCCGAGTGAAAAGCACCCACAATTCTGCACACTCTGACTATAAGTTTTTCTCTGTATTAAGGTGTCTATAGCTCCACCCATGAACAGCAGCCACATGCAGACTAAATCAGGCCAGACCAGAATGGAATAGTTAAAACATCTCTTGCCATGCCTTCCGGAATGCCACTCTTTTAATATCGCAGAACTCTTATCAGTATTACTAACGGAAACTTCTAGATTGCCTGTACTGATTTCTCTCCCAGGGAGTTGCAGTGGTAATGAGAAAAATGGCAATGCCTGGGATCTATAAGACTTGGTAGTTTCATAAAGGACCTTATCTATACACTCTCTTTTGATTACCTGCAACAATGCTACAAAGTAGGCACTGTGGGTATTATTATTCCCATTTTACAGATGGAGAAACAACCAACATGCTGAGTGAGTTAAGGACCAGTAGGTTAGGAGTAGAGTTAGAACTGGAGTCATGGCTTTCTTGCTTCCCATCACATGCCCTCTCCCTTTTTGGAACACCTTTTATGGACAAAAAGGAGAAAAAGGCAGGCTTGAAGGTGTCAAAGGAAGAAAATTGGGCCAGTTTTCTTTGTAGTGAGGCTCCTGTCTATTTAGAAAAAGTCATTCAATGTACCTTAAGGTAAGAAAAACCATCTATGACAAACCCACAGCCAACATTATACTGAATGGGGAAAAGTTTAAAGCATTCCCCCTGAGAACTGAAACAAGACAAGGATGCCCACTTTTACCACTTCTATTCAACATAGTACTGGAAGTCCTAGTCAGAGCAATCAGAAAAGAGAAAGAAAGAAAGGGCATCCAAATCGGTAAAGAGGAAGTCAAACTGTTGCTGT
This sequence comes from Homo sapiens, assembly GCF_000001405.40. NCBI lineage: Eukaryota > Metazoa > Chordata > Mammalia > Primates > Hominidae > Homo > Homo sapiens. The sequence continues at coordinate 60,807,130 of NC_000015.10, forward strand.
TTGCTGATGATATGATCCTGTACCTAGAAAAACCTAAAGGTTCATCCAAAAAGCTTCTAGGTCTGATACATGAATTCACCAAAGTTTCAAGGTACAAAATTAATGTACACATATCAGTAGCCCTGCTATACACCAACAATGACCAAGCTGAGAATCAAATCAAGAACTCAACTACTTTCACAATAGCTGCAAACAAAACAAAACAAAACAAAACAAAAACTTAGGAATATACCTAACCAAGAAGGTGAAAGACCTCTACAAGAAAACTACAAAACACTGCTGAAAGAAATCATAGATGACACAAACAAATGAAAACATATCCCATGCTCATGGATGGGTAGAATCGACATTGTGAAAATGACCATACTGCCAAAAGCAAGCTACAAATTCAATGCAATTCTCATCAAAATATCACCATCATTCTTCACAGAACTAGAAAAAACAATCTTAAAATTCATATGGAGCCAAAAAAGAGCCCACATAGCCAAAGCAAGCCTAAGCAAAAAGAACAAATCTGGAGGCATCACATTATCTGACTTCAAACTATACTATACGGCCATAGTCACCAAAACAGCATGATCTTGGTATAAAAATAGGCACATAGACCAATGGAACAGAATAGAGAACCCAGAAATAAAGCCAAATACTTACAGCCAACTGATCTTCAACAAAGCAAACAAAAGCAGAAAGTGGAGAAAGTACACCCTGTTCAACAAATGGTGCTGGGATAATTGGCAAGCCACATGTAGGAGAATGAAACTGGATCCTCATCTTTCACCTTATACAAATATCCACTCAAGATGGATCAAAGACTTAAATCTAAGACCTGAAACCTAAAGATTCTAGAAGATAACATCAGAAAAACCCTTCTAGACATTGGCTTAGGCAAAGACTTCATGACCAAGAACCCAAAAGCAAATGCAACAAAAACAAAGATAAATAGACGGGACTTAATAAAATTAAAAAGCTTCTGCACAGCAAAATAAATAATCAGCAGAATTTACAGACAATCTACAGAGTGAGAGAAAATCTTCACAGTGTATACTTCTGACAAAGGACTAATATCCAGAATCTCAAACAAATGAGCAAGAAAAAAACAATCCCATCAAAAAGTGGGCTAAGGACATGAATAGACAATTCTCAAAAGAAGATACACAAATGGCCAACAAGCATATGGAAAAATGCTCATCATCACTAATTATCAGGAAAATGCAAATCAAAACCACAGTGGAATACCACTTCACTCCTGCAAGAATGGACATAATAAAAAAAATTTAAAAAATAGATGTTAGTGCTGATGTGGTGAAAAGGGAACACTTTTACAGTGCTGGTGGGAATGTAAACTAGTACAACCACTATGGAAAACTGGGTGGAGTTTTCTTAAAGAACTAAAGGTAGATCTACCATTTGATCCAGCAATCCTACCACTAGGTATCTACGCAGAGGAAAATAAGTCATTATATGAAAAAGATACTTGCACACACACGTTTATAGCGGCACATTTTACAATTGCAAAAATATGGAACCAGCCCAAATGCCCATCAATATATAAACATATATATGTTATATATATGTTTATAATATATAAAACATAATTTATATATATGTTTATAACATACATTATAAACATATATACAAATTTATGTGTATATATACACACACACACCATGGAATACTACTCAGCCACAAAAGGAATGAAATAATGGTGTTTGCAGCAACGTGGAAGGAATTGGTATTTGCAGCAACCTGGAAGGAATTGGAGATTATCATTCTAAGTGAAGTAACTCAGGAATGGAAAACCAAACATCGTATGTTCTCATTCATATGTGGCAGCTAAGCTATGAGGACACAAAGGCATAAGAATGACACATTGGACTTTGGAGACTCAGAGGAAATGTTGGGGGGTGGCGACGGATAAAAGACTACACACTGGGTACAGGGTACACTGCTCGGGTGATGGGTGCACCAAAATCTCAGAAATCACCACTAAAGAACTTACTCATGTAACCAAACGCCACTTGTTCCCCCAAAACCCATTGAAAAAATAAATTAAAAAATGTAAAAAGTCCTTCAGCTCTAAATTCTATAAATAAATATTCCACACATCCTAAAAATGGCCAGGTGGATATCAAACTTGAATTGGTAAATTGTGTGGTACCAGTGGCCTGAACTACAACAATTGACAGCAATGTGCACAGTTAATCCCAATTCTGTGTTTTTCAAAATTCATTTATTTAAAGTTGTACCTGCACGTTAAAGAGACAAATAATTCTACAAAGCTTTATAGAAAAACCAACAGTCCCTGCCCATATTTCTTATCGCCAAGGGCAACCACTTTCAACTTCTTTAGCTGATTCTTTTGATATTTACCTCCATATCTCGAAATAACAGGTTTATGTAACTACTTTTTGATGTTTCTGTTTTAGGCTTTATCTACTGACCTTCCACGACGGAAGATGAGGTTTTTGCTTTCTTTCAAGAACTCCCACCCCCACCACACACATGCACATTTCCTGTTCCCCATCCTGCCAATTGCAATTTATCACAGTTTTGGTTGGATCAATATTCTGTGCTTCTGGTTTTATGACAATGTAAATGCTATTCACCAATGGGGCATGTTATATACAATGAATATTCTCTCTTTTCTGTATAATATTATGTTTTTTTTTTCTGGCATTAATAATTAACTTTTTTGCTTGCTTAATTTTCTCTCTACTTATTTCTTATTCAACTCCAAACTCTCCAAATGTAAGTTTCAATGCATTCAGACAAATCAGGTGTTCTATCAGTTTCACCTTCTTGAAGCTATTTCCCCAGGATCCTGCTGACCTGCTCCAGTCTAGATTGTTTTGTTTCTGGGCTGCTGTAAGGCTGTTGTGTTGTGATTTCTCTTTCTCATGATCCTGGGGACTCTCTTCACTCTCTATTTTGTTGGCTTCCTTGTTTTTTAGAGCCTCCTGTCTTTCTTGGTTTATGCCCTCAAGTTTGATGGTGCATCTTTCAGTAGTCTCCTGAAAGAGTGTGTGTAAGCTAACATTTTGGAGACCACACATATCTAAAAATGTTTTTGTTCTAACCTCACATTAATTAATAGTTTGGTTAGATAGAGAATTCTACACTGGAAACAATTTTCCTTTGGGACTTTGAAAACCTTGCTTCATCACCCTCTGGTTTCCATGTTGCTGTTGAGACATCTAACATGGGTCTAATTCTTGATCTTTTATACAAAAGCTGCTATTTTTCTTTGGAAACCAAGGGCCTTCTTGTGTTTGGTGTTCTGAAATCTCATGATCCTGTCTTAGTGTAGATCTAACCTCACCCCTTACACTGGGCATTTGAGAGATTCAAGGAGAAACTTCAGTGTTGGGAAATTTTCCTGAATCACCTTTTGAATTATTTTACCCTTCCCATCCCCTGCTTATTTTTCTCTCGTTTTTTGCTTCTACTCTTCAATTTTTAATTTATTACAGCTCATTATTATTTTTGAGTATTCCTTTTTTTAGAACATTGTTCTTTGCTCATGAATGCAATATCTCTACTTATCTTTCTGTGTTTTTTAAAGTCAAGGGTATTCCACCCTTTCCCTCCAGTTTTTTTTTTTTCCTCCCTTCGTAGTTTCTGTTTCCTCTAACTTGCTGCTTTCTCTGTATCTCACATTATATGCTTTCCTTAAATGACTGGTAATTCTTGTTTATCTGCTCTAATTTAAGAGTGGGGCATTAAAAAGCTGAGTGTGATTTCTGGGTACACGAAAGGGGTTCATCCACTGTTAGAATAATGGATTAGGCCATTTCCTTGGGGAGCCACAATGCCAGCTTCTTTGGTCTTTTATTCCTCTTAGACTAGTCAGATACCACAGAGAAAATTCCAGTTGCTGCTTAGAGATAAACATCTGGCTGCTATTGTGTGGGAGACAAGTCCGAAAGAGAAAGCAGGGAGTCTTCAATTAAATACATGAACCTATGTCTTAACCCCACTGTTTGCACACTGTCCTGAGTCCAGAGACACTCAGTTTCACACTACCCAAAGGATAATTGTCTAGCTCAGGAGAGGGATGGTACCATTTCCTAGAGTGAATCTAGGATAAAATTGCTATTTCAACAGACTTTTCATCCAACTTATTTTTAGCCCATCGATTTCATTTTCAGAGATACCTGGTGCCATCAGTTCTTAAACCTGCATGGCACTGGGTTCTGTGATAATCTGGGTTTTCCCCCTTGCTGGCTTGGGATTCAGCTTTCCTGTATCTGATAAGTCAGTTATCTCTATTCCATCTGCTTTCCAGCTCCCAAAATATTGTTGCCAATCTATTCTCCACTATTCTTTTTGGTCTGTGGGTTATTCTTGAAAAAGACTCTTTACAAATCATTTTAGTGGATTTTGAGGAGAGAATAGAATTACACATGTGTATTTAATCTGCTATCTCTAACCATTCTGTCTAAGCTCCTTCATTCTGTGTTTAACATAGTAAAACAGTCAAATATACTTTGGACCAATGATATAATACAGAAACATTCTTTGAAAAGAAATCTTAATCCACTGGAAAACTGACAGTTTCTTTATGGCATTTATTATTACCCACATCTCAATTCTCATTTCTGACTAGTCCATCTCTGCAGAACCGGTCCTGCCCAATGGATTTATAATCTGTACCTTTCAAATACCTATTTGATCATTAATCCACAGTAAGCAATGTGGGTGCAAGGCCAGCCAAGGACCAAGGTGTGTTAATTTCATTTACTGTCTCTTGGGTGGCTAACAACTTTCCATCTCAGGTTATTTATGCAAGTTGAATCATTTTCATATTCATTATTTTAACGGTGAAATGGCAAAGTTTTCTAATTATTAAAAATCCCAAAGTTGAATCAAGCAGTAGCATTCTTTAGTTTTTAAGAACTGTGCACATTGTGGGGAAGCATCACGTGTTTATAAGCATGGCATCTCTGATCACACTACCTAGATTTGAATCTCTGCTTCCCTTTGTTTGACCCCAGAAAATCTGCTTAACCACTCTGTGCCTTAATTTCTCCATCTATAAAATGGAAACAACAATAGTACTTAACCTGTAAGTTTATTGTGAAAATTAAATGAAAGCAAGGTGCGGTGCCTCACACCTGTAATCCCATTACTTTGGGAGGATGAGGTGGGAGGAATGCTTAAGCCCAGGAGTTTGAGACCAGCCTGAGCAACATACTGAGACCCCATCTCTACAAATATATATATTTTTAAAATTAGACAGGCACAGTGGCGTGTATCTGTAGTCCTAGCTACTGAGGAGGCTGAGGTGGAAGAATTGCTATAGCCTAGGAGTTCAAGGCTGCAGTCAGCCATGATCATGCCACTGCACTCCAGCCTGGGCAACAGACTGAGGCCCTGTGTCTAAAAATAAATAAATCAATAAATAAAGAAGAGTGAATGAAATAATATGTGGAGAAAGCAAATTCCCCAGTGACTGGCACAAAGAAAGAGCTCAGTAGATGTTGTCATCTCATATTTTTAAGGACTTAGGAATAACATCAATAAATATGTATTAAGTGGCTTAAGGAGACCAGAGACACTCCCTCCTTGTCCACTGTGATAGAAGAGAAGTAGCAGTGTCGTCTGAGAGTTCAACTGTAAATTCAGCACCTAGCAGGTTTGAGCAGAAATACAGAAAGTCAGGTTGAAGGAGGTATTAGGTCAGAGAGCTCTAATGCAGTGTAAGTGATGGAATCTGGACATTGGATAGGTGAACATCATCCAGAAGGGGCATGTCCTATCATTGTAATAAAAAAGGACACTGCCAGTTTCTGAACTATAGTGACACCACCAAGGCAACGGGACTGTGCTGGTCAGAAGAGGCTGTGCCCTATGATAACAAATCTCTACCTCTCAGTAGCTTACAGAAAAAGCTTTATTTCTTGATTCCATCAGGTCTGATGCAGATCGGTGGTCTTTCTCTATCTTGTTTCTCTGCCATCTGCAACATCCTGCCTCCAAAGGCACCATAGGAGAGAAAGAGAGACAGAAGAACTAGGACTTGTATCCTGTCCATTTACATCCCATTTGCCAGGACTCAGCCTCACGGCCCCAACCCAGGAATGAGGGGACTGGGAAATACCATATCCTCTCTGCCCAGGAAGAGCAGACAGGTTGGTGAGGGCAGAGACCATTGCAGGCCACTCGCTTTGTGGAGTTCTATCTGGACGCCCAGCTGCTTTCTCCAGGGAACACCTTTCTGTATCTTCATTGAGTGCTCACGGTTGTGCATGACGGGCTGTGTTTGCTCACGTCCCACGAAGTGTATGGGTGGCAAAGTCTTGAAATCTGTGTGCTTAGCTCTCTTAGGCTTCAAAATAGTGAGAATCTAGGCAGGTAATGTGTTAGGAGCTCCACCCCAGTGCTGAATGGGGTCTGGAATCTGTTGACTAAAATCTAGTCTTCAAAATGAGCCCCACTTAATTGTAACCTTTGCCCATCTTCCCATCAGCCTGCCATTGAAATCTTAGCATACGTTGTGTGGCTGAACTTAGAGTCTAACTGGCCACAGTTGAGGGAGTAAAAACTACTACAGAATACTATATCTTTATTATAATTACCTATCAGATCAAATGTAATAAGAGCAATATTACAGTATAGTTTACAAAGTACTTTTACCTGTGTTGCCTTATTTTATCTTTGAAATAATCCTGAGAAATAGCATAATTATCATAATTTTATATAATAGAAAATCAAGGCTCAGAGAACTGAAGCATCACATTTAAGATCAAAACTTGTGTTAATTTCACCTTTTTCTTTGTCTTTTAGGTAAATGTCGGATACTCAGTCCTGCTTAGTTCCATGTTATGGGGGAGAACAAGGTCTTAGAACTTGAATAACATATAATCTATTTGGATAAAAAGGCATACTACATATCATAAAACAATCTATGAAGATTATGAGAGAATATATTATTAGGGACTAATTTAGCTCTTCTAGTCCAAAGGAACAATGTCACATAATGAAGACTTAACTTTTTATATGGCTTCCAAGCCTCCTACAGTGTCATGTCTCCATGCCCTTACTCAGGCTGTTCCTTTTGCCCAGAAGGACTTTCTCTTAGTTCTCAGACCAACCTTGGCTCCTCCCCAAAACTTTCTCCAACTCCCCAGGCAGAATTAGCCAGCGTTCTTCAAGGCGTTCTGCATGTGACTCTCCTGTACTGAAGCATGAATCATATGCTAAGGATGCTGATTTTGGGTGGAAGTGGGAGAGGCGAAGGGGATCTATGGTATCTTTTTCTCTTTCCAGATGGAGCTTCCTGAGGGTAGGAATTAAGCCTTATTCTACTGTATCTCCAGTGTCTAGTGCAGTTCCTAATATGAGTTAAATATTCATGGAATAAAATAATAAATGAAGAGAGAGCACAGCTTCCTAAGATGCCCAACATAGTCCCCGGGATATTTTTTCCAAGCTTGAATCCAAGCCGAAGAAAATGGATGGAAGAGAGGAAAGGGGCTGCACCAGTGGATGCTGAGGAATTGCTGGGCTTCAAACTCCTGCCATCAGAAGAGGAAGCTCCTGAAAATAGTGGCCTCTCTGTCCTTCCATTTCCCTCCCCACCTTACCTGGCTTTGTTTGCCATTTTCAACCAGTGCTGTGATTTTCCTCCAAAGCACTGTCCTTGGCATCATTACCTATCAGCTTCTCTCTGTGCATAAAGGCCCATGAGAGTATGGAGAAATAAAGGGCACATGTATTAGGATTGCTTCTGGGTGCTTCTCATCTCCAGCCCGTCCTCAACCCTGGGGTGAGGAAGGTAGGACCAGGGTCTCTAGGGTTTCTCAACCCTGTAGGTTTATTCTTTGCCTAGGCACTAGGTGAATCTGAATCCATGTTCAAAAGTAGGACACATGAGGCGAAAGGGTTGATCAAACATAAAAACCCCCAGGTTTTTTTTCCCACGGTTTGACCTTAAGGAAGTCAACTAATCCAACTGTGTTTCAGTTTGACTCCTCTATAAAAACGAGTCTAATGATGCTTCACCCAACTTGTGGAGGAGTGGCCAGGTTTAATTAACCAATGCTCATTTCTCTCAGCACTTTGGATGTCCTCCATGGGCACAAAATTATGTTATTACTTGGAATAATAATAATAGTTTCCCCTAATAATTCTGTGTTATTATTGCATTTAAGGAACTGTATTAGAGGCCTTCTGGAACTAGTTTAATACCTATAAATGTCTCTCCCTGGCAAAACAAGGGAGCATTGCCTGGTGATTATGGTTTGTCTTACATTTCAAAACTAGTCCGTTTAAACCCTCAGCAGAGTCCTTAAAACAGCGCCTGGCCAAGGGGGACCTCTTTCAATCTCAATTTGCTGGACCACTGACAGCACTGAACTTGAACAAAGTGGCTTGTTTTCACAGCCGAGGACTTGGCAACTCTAAGGGCCCAACTTACAAACGTGGAAAGATAGGCACAGAGAAAAGATAAGCAGACCCAGCTTCCCCCACTGCAGCCAGAGCCAGGTGCTGAAATCACAGATCTGACCACCATTGCCCACCCTCCCTGCCCCGCCACCACTTACTTCCACCGGCTCCCCTTGGCTCTTCATTAGAGTCCAGTCAACACCCCCCGAGGTGTGCAGAGCCCTCCAGCTCATCTTTAGATGCCCCCTCCCTTGCACTCTGTTCCTCCATTCTGATCTTTTAAAAAAAATTTTATATTTCATTGACAATAATAGTATATATTTACACTATTTATATACTATAAACTATATAAACTATATTTATACTATTTATATACTATAGTGTATATATTTATAAACTATAGTGTATATATACTATAAATAGTGTATATATACTATAAATAGTATATGTATTTATTTACTATAAATAGTATATATATACTATAAACAGTATAAGTATTTATATACTATATATAGTATATATACTATAAAAACTATATGTATTTATATACTATAAACAGTATATGTATACTGTAAACAGTATATGTATTTATATACTGTAAACAGTATATGTATTTATATACTGTAAACAGTATATGTATTTATATACTGTAAACAGTATATGTATTTATATACTGTAAACAGTATATGTATTTATATACTGTAAACAGTATATGTATTTATATACTGTAAACAGTATATGTATTTATATACTGTAAACAGTATATGTATTTATATACTGTAAACAGTATATGTATTTATATACTGTAAACAGTATATGTATTTATATACTGTAAACAGTATATGTATTTATATACTGTAAACAGTATATGTATTTATATACTGTAAACAGTATATGTATTTATATACTGTAAACAGTATATGTATTTATATACTGTAAACAGTATATGTATTTATATACTGTAAACAGTATATGTATTTATATACTGTAAACAGTATATGTATTTATATACTGTAAACAGTATATGTATTTATATACTGTAAACAGTATATGTATTTATATACTGTAAACAGTATATGTATTTATATACTGTAAACAGTATATATTTTATATGTTAAATGATGAGTTAAAGGGTGCAGCACACCAACATGGCACATGTATACATATGTAACAAACCTGCACGTTGTGCACATGTACCCTAAAACTTAAAGTATAATAAAAAAAATAAAATAAAATAAAATAAAGTGTAGTGTTGAAGTCTCCAGCTATCTTCTTGCATTTGGAAGCTCTGTTATTAGGTGCTATATGTTTATAATTGTTATGTTTTTCTAATGGGTTAACATTTTTATTGTTTTAAAATGTCTCCTTTTATATGTAGTCACATTTTCTGTTTTAAATGATACTTTTTTCTGTTAGTAGTGTATGCATTCTAGCTTTGTTATGATTGCCATTTGCAAAATATATTATTTTCTACCCTTAAAAAAGTTTTATATTTCATTGACAAATAATAATAGTATATATTTATGGTGTACAATGTGGTGGTTATGATACACGTATGCATTGTGAAATGAACATATCATCACCTCACAGACTTATCATTTCTTTGCAGTGAGAACATTTAAAATCTAATTTTTTAGCAATTTTGAAGTACAGGCAAATGTCGGAGAGATTGTGGGTTCGGTCTCTAGACCACGGCAATAAAGCAAATATCGCCATCAAGTCACACAATTTTTTTGGTTTCTCAGTGCATCGAAAAGTTATGTTTAGACTATACTGCATTCTATTAAGTGTGCAATAGCATTATGTCTAAAATACTTTATTGCTAAAAAGCTGACACAGAAACATGAAGTGAGCACATGCTTTTGGAAAAATGGTGCTGACAGACTTCATCGAGGCAGGCTTGCAACAAACCTTCAATGTGTAAAAATATGCAGTATCTGTAAAGCGGTGCAATAAGATGATGTATGTCTGTATATAATACATTACTATTAACTATAGTCCCCAGGCTGTGCACCTGTGCAATACAACACCAGAACTTATTCCTCCTGTCTCCATCCTGGGCTTTTGTTTCTTCAGTAACACCAGGTCCAATCTCTCCTTGGCGCCCTGACACACCTTGCTCCTAGCCTGGCCAGCCCTTTCTCCCGTGTCTTTACCTCTAGTTCCCAGGTACACGTTACTGCCTTCCCATGTGTGGGCTGAGGCCCCTCTAGGGTGCACCCAAAACACCCTGTGTTTGTCCCCTGTGCCAAATCACTTGGCAGAGAGAATCATACCTACCTGCTTACTTCCAGGTTTGCTCATATACTCTGTGCAGGCATGAAGTATGTCAGTCTTGGGCCCTGGGTCTGCACACAGTAGGTGCTTCATCAATATTCACTGAATGAATACAAGGATACAGTTTTCTTTTCTCTCTTATATACTATTTTCTTTTACTCAATGCCCTGATTTTAATGCTAATCCTTCCCTACCCTCTTTTATGCCAGTCACAGGTGAGTAATACGGATGAAGAAATGAAAAAGAAAAGGAAGTAGATTCTTTGAAAGGAGAGAGAGAAATACTGTGAGTGAGAGGGATTAGGAACAAGGCAAAGTGAGAGAGAAAGAGGGATATTTGGATGGGGAGAGACTAAAATGAAATCAAGGAACAAGTACAGGATTCTATTTAGGTTGGTGCAAAAGTTATTGCAGTTTTTGCTATTACCTTTAATGGCAAAAACTGCAATTACTTTTGTGCCAACCTAATAATAATATGTTAAAATGCAAAAAATAAAATCATCCTTAAATTTTATTTTTCAGGAATTTTCCACATAAGAGAAGTGAAGAGGGAAGGAGAAACCCGTTAGAATTATTTACATATATGATTTCCTTTTATTCCTCATACCTTATTAGACAGGAATTCAAGCTACATTTAACAGAGGAAGACAAAGAAGCTCAGAGAGGTGGAGTACCTTGCACAAAGTCACACAGCAAAGTGGCAAAGCCCAATGCAGAACCAGCATGTGTTTGAATCCCACCTTGCCCATTTATAACCAGGATGAAGTGTTCTTCCTTTGGGACTCTAGAGCCTTCAAAGGTCCCTTCTCTTTGGGATGCAGAAGAGAAAGGCAGTAATTAATAACTAAGAAGAAAAAGAAACTTAGCACACAGCTAAATGCTGCACTTTGAAGAGTGGATTCTTGCTTTTGCATGAAAGATTAAAAAACAAGGATTTCTATCTTTCATCAGTAGGACAATGAATTGAACTGATTTTCTTTGGCTCTTGGTTTGTCTTTCCTATGATTAGGTACATGTTTCTGAGCCCTGTGTACATAAGCCCAGCACGAAACTTGCTATTTCCTTGTCACAGCAATATTTTCCACGATGGTTTGGGGCAGGCAGAGAGAATAGTGCTGCTGGACTTTTGCAAAACCAGCCAAAGGAAGGCCAAGAGGCATGTTGAAGAACAAACTCTACACCACTGTTTGCCTATCTTAAAGCCTCCCTGACGATAATGAATAGATTCCAGCAGCCCAGACCATTACTGACAGCTAAATAACTTGGTCTCACTCTCTGGTTTTCTACATCTAAATATCCCCTCCCTCTGGGGCATGAGATTAAAAACAAAAATCTCGAGCAGAGCAAGCAACAGTCTTGTCTTTGATTTATGCTATTACTGGAACTGTAGTCCTTGAAAGAAATTCCTTCACCACCATAATGAGGATGAAGATTCCGTTAACTAATAAATGCTTCAGGAGTATGCTCTGATGCTGTTGAACTTTTCATGAAACCATGATGTACAAGAAAAGAAGAAAGATTTTTAAATAACACTATACAGACACACATCCGCTATGGAATTAGTCAAGGCTTCGAAACACCATGTGTAAGAGAACCAGGTTGACAATCAGTGATAATACATCTCTCCTGAAAATACTAGGTAACTTAGCCTTTTCTTCATTCCTGGGCCTGCCTTTGTAAAGGGAAGGGAGAGAACTAAAAACCTATCAGTGATTCAATCAGAAAATGCAAATGAGGTCAAGTTTCTTACAGGCTTCTGTGAGATTTCTCTAGAGACATTTCCACAGCATCTCTGCTGCTGGCGCCCTTCGGAGGCTGGGGCTCGTCTGTTGGGTGGGAGGAATGCAGTACGAGCTTCCTCCTTTTTCCTCGGACCTGAGTGGATGGTTGAATTCCAGTAAGGGGCTCCCTAGTGCTTTGGGAATATCACTCCTGGACTGAAGTCAAACCCAGACACACACACACACACACACACACACACACACACACACACACACACACGGGTTGCTTTTTCATGGGTGGAACTCATGGCCGGCCCCTCTGCCCTGTCTCAGAGTGAGGACCCTGCATCCCAATCAGGCAAGAGGGAGGCTCCTTAAGTGAATCCCTGTGTTCTGAACCGATCCTGCCTGCTTCCCTGCCTGCTTCCAGGGCCAGCATCTCCACCCCTGCAGATGCCCCAGGGCAGTCTGGAAGGAGCTGTCTCTCACACAACCACGCCTCTCCCTAACATCCCAAACTAAAAGTGTTCATGCGTGTGCACGCGGTCCTCCCCTGGGCCACAGAAGTTTGAAAAGCCTTCCCTGCTATCTTTGATTGGGAAACTAGTCGATTGGGACAGGCTGACGAGTGAGGCTGCAAGTCAGGACGCTGCACTCCACCTCCCATCACGTGAGGGTGGTTCAGGGAATTTACAGGGTTTCTCTTTGTTCAGCACAGGTTCTAGCACGTGTTTTGAAAGTTGCCTATTTTTTTTAACCCAAAGGTAGGTAAACACCACCAATCAAAGCTCTAAGCCAGTTCCCTTAAGTTTTAAGATTGGACAGTATCAGGTGTTGTCTTTCAAGGGGTTGAAAGGAAGGAAGAGACAGGAAAATCCCCCTCACCCTAGCTTTAAGGGTGTTGGAGGTCTTGAAGAAACGGACAGACCCTTGATTAAACCTTCTATATTTTTATGTAAAACATAGGAAAAGGGCTGGTGAAAATGAGGCCTGCATTGCGTGAAGAAGGTTTAAGATTTGAGGGAAAAAAGGCGCATTCTCTTTTCTGTAAAATTTTTAAACATTTTAAAGCTAAATGCTACCCTCTTGGCCTATAGCTTTCACACTGGGAGTAAAGGCAGAGGGGTGGGGGTGGAGGTGGCAGGTGAATGGGTCCTTCAGGAAACTTTGAGGAAAACAACACAGGTTTCCCCTAAACCGTAAAAACGGCAGATCTGGAGGTCCCAACTTCTAATTTTCAATCCGTCGGCTTAGTCTTGGTTTTTCATTACTGAGGTTCCCTTGACTATATAGTATCTCACAATGTCTCTCAAAGTGCAGTCACAGACTACAGATGAGAGAACTATGAGTGAAGCTGCTTAAAATGCAGATTCCAAAGTCCTTCCCTGAAGGATTCTGGTTGTGGTACAGGGATCTGTAAATGGGGTGGTTGATCTCTAACCCCCACCCCCCACCCCAGCTCTGCAATTCTATGCTTCTAGACTCTCTGGAAGGGAACACCACCAGGAACTGTGGCTGTCCCACTGCCAGAGGATACCTCACCTATGCCAGGTGTCACCAATTACCTATTTCCAGCTGTAGGGCCTAGGACCTTGGCCAACATTGGCTCCTTCCACCAGGTAACAGGGCCAGTTAGGCTGTACAAGGGATCCATCTTCCACTGGAGATGCCTCCAGTGCCTCCAGGTTCACTGATCATTGGCTGCAGTGTGTGCTCTACTTAGCCAACTCCCCCTTGCCATAGCCTCTTTCCGTCTCCCTGCTGTGTGCTGTTCCCTTTCAGTGCTGACTCTTGTCCCCTTGGCTGTTTGGATCCGGGGCTTCTAGCCCCTACGCTCTGCACTGGGTCCGCTCCATCTGCTGCCCGTGTCCTGGCGCCTGTGGTCCCCTTAAGTCCTCCAGAAGGTAGGGCTCGCATTAAGAGCCTGCTCCTTCTTCCTTTCACCACCCAAAGTGGCTCAAAGGCTTCCACGTGACTAGTAACTCACCACTTTTATCCCCTATCTCTCCTCTGTATTCCTCAAAGGCTGGGAACACACTTTTGTCATTTCACATCATATTCTAGTGATTTGTATCTCTTTCTCCTCCCTGCCTAGGTTGTAAGCTCTATGATGCCAAGGACTGTGTCTTACTCATCTTTGCATCCGTAGCAACTAGTGTGGGGCCTGATGGTACTGATAAAAACATTTACTGAGTGCTTACTATGTGGCAGGCATTGCACTAGGTGCAAGATACTCCTTTGTGCAATACTTGCTATGCTACTCTATCCTCACAATCACTCTACAAGAGCCCCAGTTTTATTAATCCCATGTGAATAAGTGAGAGCAATGAGGCCAAAGGGTTTAGGTAATTCGATCAAAGTCACACAGCTAGCATGTGGTCAGCTGAGGATTGGAATCCAGGCAGTCTGACTCCTGAGCCTCATACTAAAAACTCAAAGTTTGCTGAATAAATAAAGGAAATCTGAATAAAGCAATGAGTAGCAGTATTCACAGAAGCACGGAATTTTAGAACTAAAAAAAATATATACACTGTGTAGTCCAAACCCTGATTGTATTGCTAGAGAAACTGAGGGTGAGAGCAATGAAACAAGGTTTGGTGGTAAATGGTAAAACTCTTATTTTATCAAAGGGAAAATTGGGGTTCAATTTCACTCTTACTTCCACAACTGAAATTGCCAGAATTTGATCGTTTAAAAGAAGCATAGTTATCTCCTAGTTCAAGAGCCTCATTTTGCAAAGGAAGAAGTTGTAGCCCAAGGAGTGCTATGACTTGCCAAGGTCTCTACTTCACCAGAGCAGAACTGGAAATGAACCTGGCTCTCCTAACTCCAGCTACACTAACACAGACCCATGAGCCAGCCCATTCCCCACCACTCTCCCATCCCAGCTTCCCAGGTCAGGTACAGACAGTCCAACCGTCCATGATTTAACCTCAGTGGAAACGCTCCACACTGGAGCTCAAATGCAAGGCAAGCAGGTCCATCCAGATCCAGTTCTTTCATATGACAGGTGGGTAGAGTTACAGGCTCACATTGCAACTGGGGATTTGTGAGATCCACCTCAGAAGAAGGCAATGCTCCCCACAACGAGGCTGACTGTTGAGTGTGTGAATCAGCATCTGGGTGGTGAAGCACCCCAGGATGTATACACTAGCCAGTGCTCAGCAATCAGCACCACGCTTTCTGGCACCACCTAGCATGCGCATTAGCTGCCTTTAAAAATGCTGATGCCCAGGGTCAGGCCCGGACAAATGCTAACAGAATCTCTGGGAGTGGGGCCAGGCATCAGTATTTCGTTTAAAGGCACCACCCCCTGGCTCCAGGTGATTCTAATATATGCTAAGCTAATTCATAAGGCAAGTGAAATGTCTTCCATCCAAATTAGCAGTGTCACCTGGAAACGTGTTAGAATCCAAATTCTACATTAGGTACCCTTCATTATTTTCTTTCTTTCTTTCCCATCTTTCCTTCCTTTCTTCTTTTCTTCCATCCTTTCTTCCCTCCCCTTTCCTTCCTTCCTTCCCTCTCTTTCTCTCTCCCTCCCCTCCCCTCCCTCCCTTCCTTCCTTCCTTCTTTCCTTCCTTCATTCTTCTCTTTCTCTCTCTCTCTCTCTCTCTTTCTTTTTTTCTCCCTTCCTTTCTTTCATTTTCTCCCTTCCTTTCCTCCTCTTCCTTCCTTCCTCCCTTCCTTTCTGAGACAGGGTTTCAAACTGTCACCAAGGCTGGAGTGCAATGGTGCAGTCATAGCTCACTGCAATCTCAAACTCCTGGGCTCAGGCAATCCTCCTACCTCAGCCACCTGAAGTGCTAGGAGTACAGGTGTAAGCCACCACAGGCTTTCCCTGTTATTTTCTCTCATAGCACTCTATTGTTAGTTTTCATAACACTTAGCAGGATGTGAAATTATACACTTGTTTATTTTATATCCTTTGCCTCCTCCCAACCTCAGATGGTAGGCTTCATGGATAGAGGCCACACATGTTGTGTTACTCAGCACACCTCATGCCTGGCACACAGTGGGCACTCAATACACATAATCAACAAATGGATGGATAGACATTAGGTGCATATAGGCAAGACAGATGTCTGAATTTTTCATTTTTTGGAATTCATTGCTGTAGCCTTATAGAGACAGAACACAAGCATATGTAATAGGCACTTTATCTTCCCCAGAAATAAGGAAGTTTAGCTTACTGGAGTAGGTAACTAGGAATTTTTTTTAGACAAGTTACCAGAAAAAAGAAAACACCAAAAATAAATAAATAAAAACAGCAGGTGCTGATAAGAAATTAAAAAAAAAAATCAATGTAACAACTTTGGCCATAAGTGTGGCTTCGCCTAAAATCCTACTGCTTCTTTAGGTCAAGTCCCTAAATATTTATTAAATACATCTTGGGGGTGGCCAGCATATTAATACATTTTTTTTGGAGAAATAATAAAGTTTAAAACATGGTTTATGGCCTTCAAGTTTGTTGGGAAAGTGGAGCTTATTGAAGTAGAATTATAAGAAGGATAACATAAGTTAATAAGTAGTGAAGTGTTATTCCCAACACACAGGCCGGTGGAATGCATGCATATATGTGAGCTGGCAGATCCCCTTTCCTAATTTAGGTTCAGGGGAGTTCCAAGGAAGAGATCTGCATGAGGAGAGCACACTATGGGCTGCCATAATCAGGAGGATCTTTGTGAATGAGGAAGAGGTTTGGGACTTGCAAACATTCTTGATTCAACCAGGCTCTTGGAAGTTAATGTAGTCAACATTTTCCCCTAGTCCTTGTGTGGAGAAGAGGTCTAATCTATGAAGTCAAAACAAACTTTGTTCTTGGATATGATTTGGGGGTTCAAATGAGGAGACACAATTATCTCTTTGAGCTTTAAATATCGTTTTGCTGACAGAAGACAACTGGCTCTTTTCATAGACATCTTCCCTTATTAAAAAAAAAAAAACTCCTAAAGTGCCAGGAACTGGGGTGTTACATTCAGTAATAAAATCCATGTTTCAAAACTTGGTGTGCTCATGGCCATATGCTGTAGTGATTAAATCAGACTAGCTGGATTCAAATCTCATCTTCTGCCATTTAACAGCTGTGCGACTATGGACAAATTATATAACCTTCCTTTGTCTCAGTTTCCCCATCTATAAAATGGGGCTAATAATAATTCCTCACTCGTACGATTGTTGCTGTGAAGATTAAGTGAGGTGATTTTTGTAAAGTTTCATAAGAAATGCTATAGAAGAGTTAGCTCTCATTGGAAACCAAACCTAATCTCAACTCACACCCATGCAATCTCCCATTAAGATCTATTTACTTATCCAAAAGACCACCTAAAATGAACTGCAAATCTGCTAGAGGACAGAATAACAGCTGGCCAAGGACAAAATAACCTAATGGTTGTGGAAAAGGTCACAGCAGTGACTTCATAATGGAATATAAAATATCATAAAGACAGTCCAAATGGGCTAACGTAGGACTGTATGGCTAGGAACTTCTAGAGCTGCCTACTGCTGATACCTGGGACTTACCTCAAGTGATGAGAGCATTGTTGGTAGGAGAAAAGTATAGGGTTCATCCTAATTTGAATCAGTTGCTATCTTTCCTGTGCCGTGGCATCAGAGGTATCTGTTGTCAACCAGGGCACCTTCTAAATTCTTGTGCCACTGTTACCGAGCAGAACCAGAAGAAAGTGTAGTGGAGATGGCTGGCCACAATCCATCACTGCTTCTAGAACCACACCTCAGAGCACATGCTAAGTACTTCTATGTTCACACCACCCAAGCACAGAGAAGGCATTAATGCAATTATCATACAGGAAAGTCAGGTTTGATAGGCAGAGCAGTAGAAATGATGTAGTGATTCTGTGGAAGTCACTGTGACATTAATAACTATATTCACTATTCATCAGAGACCAGAATTTGAACTATGGCAAAGCTATCTTAGAGTCTCATTCAGGAGGTTGGTTTGAATCACTGAAGTTCCATAGAGGGTTTGATTCAAGATGGCCTCATTTATAAGTCCCAAGGTCAAGAACCAGAGGCATTATAGTGAAATCCTAGCATATACACAGTCAGCACCAAGTAGGCCTGCTTCCCCATCTTCCGTCTCCATCCTTCACGTGCTGTGATGCCACCTTCCCCTTCACACAAAGCATGGCCCCGAAGAACAGCGAACTGGTACCCCAGCAGCCTGACTCTCCCAGAACCTCCTCTTCTGTGACATACAGGAATTGGGTTAGCTAATTTCTAACATCTTTCCACTTCTAACATTTGAATCTAAGATTGTCTTTAGTAGGTATAGTTTAGATGTACCTTGTCTGATTATTGGGCAGAACAAGCAGCGGCCATCCAGAATAACATGAAGAGTATCCTTACTGAAAAACTCTCTCCCCTTCTTCCTATCACAGTTCCTGAAATTCTAGCATTATAAATATATTCCTTTGGGCTTCAAAGCCCTTTTAAATTCTTAAAAGGCTTTAAATTCTATGAAAAGGCAGGTAACTCTGAAAACAATTTAAGCCTTCACTAGTTCTCACCTTAGGCAGGGCCAATTGGTCAGACCGCTTTCCAAATATGAGGAAGCCACAGGCCCTATGGGAAAGGAACACTGGATGGGGATGGAGTGGATCCCAGTCTACCCAACAGTAGGAACTATGTCTCATTCATGGCCATAAATCATGTCCTAGTACTGGCACATGCTTGGCACTTTTTACATTTTCTTTTCTTTTAGAAGGAAGGAAAGAAAAAAGGAAAAAAGAAGAAAGGCAGGATTAATGAATGAACAAACCAGAAATTACTACTGAGAGTATTTTCCACACCTGACCTGGTCAGCATATCCCCAAGGGCACCTTTTCAACTTGGGTCCCGGGTGCTAAAAACAACCCCTGTTCTCAAGGGGCAATTTCCAGCCTGGCTGCTGACTTCCCTTAGCTCAGAGAGGGCCCTTGCTATCACTGAGGACTATTCAGGGACTGAGGCAGCCCAGGCCATTGCAATGCTGAGTCCTGCACCAGTTCTAGGCGCTACACTTTTTTTAAGCACTTGATTTAAATGAAGAAAGAAATTGGCTTATATTTTTAGCAGCTCCTGCTACTAAAACTCATTTGACAAAAGTGCCAAAGGGACAGTTAAGTCTGAGTATGATTTTTTTTTTTTCCCATGGAGGAGGAGGAGGGTATAATTTATCTGAAAATGACTGGTACTTTCCTGGCCTGGGGACATTATTCTACCTGCTCTCTCTCTCTCTCTCTCTCTCTCCCTCTCTCTCTCTCTCTCTCTCTCTTTTTTTTTTAAAGACACACCTGTTCTTTTCCTTCCCATCAAATTCCAAGCTTAAGATATTTACTGTCTTCAGGTTTAGTTCCTAAACCCTAAGACAATCTCAGAAAGGGAAAGGTATATAATTGGAGTCTGGAAACTCCATAACTTTCAGTAACATTTTAGAATTAGCAGCATCTTAGTGGGTATACCAAAGCCCTCCGTGATGTGAGTATAATATCAAGTTCTTGTAGGAGTATAACATTAAGCCCAGTTGAAAAACAATATTAACGCCATTTCTACATGTACTGGGTATCAGATTCAAAGTGTATGACTTCAGAGTGCCCCAAGCCCCTCTTCCCAATGTTTCTATTACTGACTTGCTTAGTATCTACCTGAGGTCCCCTCCATTACAGCTATGGGGAGAAATTCTTTTTTCTTTTTCAGGGCTGAGGCACTGTTCTGTCAGAAGGCTCTGCTAAAATACACATATATTACTTTTGAAAGTCACATATTAACCCAATGCTTTCCAAACGTAAATGACTTCAAACAATGCGTTAGCTCGTGGAAATTGAGTCTTGAAAGAACAGGAGCTTTAGGGCTGCTAAGAAAATGTCTGGCACGTAAAAAAATCCAAAATGAACTCATTTGTTTATTTGTTATTTGGAAACTTTTCCCCAGAAACACAAAGTTATGAAGAGTGGTTATGTTCCCAGAGGACAGTCTGAAAAAATATGTTTTATAACCATAATGTAATTGAAGTGTACTCCTAAAGGGTATCCCTGAACCACACTGCATGGCCAGGCTTCCAAGGGAAACTGTGTTCAGACAACCAGCTTGGAAGGCCAGGACCCCAGATTCCTGCTGCTGGGACATGGCGGGTGTTGGAGCTGCCTCCTGGGAGAGAGGGGGCTCCTGAGGAATCTGGGTTGGGTGAGCAGCTGCCTGTGCGGGTCCCTGGGAAGAGGCCAGCTGCATGTATGGATGTTTGCTCCGCGTGAGCCTGGGGCTGCTGATTATTGCTGCTTCCAGTTCCAATCCTATAAAGGATTCTTGAAGACTCCTTTATAGCAGTCAGGACCATTACAGCTGTCAAAAAACGATGACAACTACTGTTTGAGATGTTTTATAGACAGCCAGGTATAACCGCTCATTCATGTTAGTAACCCCTGGTATAGTGGTTGGCATGTATTTGGTGCTCAATTAGTACTGGATGAAGTAAGACAGATTCGTGTACATATCAGAGAAAAACTAGTACCAACTATGTTGGACATTTCATTGAAGAGGGTCACTAGGGTGAAGAACAGGCAATGCCAGGAGTGGTGGGCACTGCACCTGGAAAAGGTATAAGGCAGGAGGCGGGCAGGGAGCTGACACTTGAGGAGACAGCTATGAGGGAGTGGCGGTAGCTGTGAGGAGCAGGAGGGAGTGCTGCTGGTGGGAAAGTCAGGGTCAGGAGAGGCAGCACCCTTCCCTATCCTTTCAGCCTTGACTCAGTGTCTCAGCCTGGCGCAGGCAAGTAAAGAGACATGGTAGGTGAAGAAGGTGGCCCTGCCAATCTAGTAATCAGTTCCAGGTAGAGAAAGTCTTGGGTTGGGCCCAAAGTACTTCAAAGGGCTCCAGAAGGAAAGAGAATCTATGAGGAGGACAAGGGAAGGGAAGGGGAAGTGAAGACACTCTAGTGCACGTAAAGTCTGGATTTAGCTACAGTGTGGGGGTCTGTTCATTTCCAGCATCTCTGGGTGGCTAGTGACTGAGGCCGCTGAGTGTGGAGAGGACACACCCTCTGAAAGCCCCCACACAGGGGAGAGTGCACCACTCTGCCTGGTTCAGGCGCATGGGGCCTCTGTGACCCTCAAAGAGAAAGCTCCTGGGAGGCACTGGGGCAGAAACCATACGGGATATTTCTTTATAACCTTCGGAAGAAAGTAATAAAAGTCAAGTCTTCGTTAATAGCTTCTCTAAGGACCACCTCTTTACATTTTCCTTCTCTCTCTTCTTCCTGATTCCCATTGATTTTGATTCTCTCTCATGATCAGACAACGGCTCTCCACCAGTAGTTCTCTAGGCTCTCTCAAACCTCTGTAAAGGTGCAGAATTCATTTGCATTCATTATGGTCTCAGGGCAACTCATTTACTTTCATCTTGCAATATCCAAAGAGTTGCTCATTTACTTAGATCATTTAAGGGTTTCCAGAAATCCTGCAAAGAAGACATCAGGTGTCCCTCTCCCCCTAAAACTTTCAGAAGAAGTTTTGCACACCCCATGGGTCGGGGGGAGTGATGCCTTGGAGCCAGTGAGAGAACCAGTCAGACAGAGCATTCAGTAAGAACCTATCAGGGAGGAGATGCCTTTCTTCTGGCCCACTCTGGTTCAAGCCTCACCTTCGCTTACCTGGACTGCTGCCAGCCTGGAGACAGGAGATGCCTCCAGGAGTTTTGCAGCAGGAAGGCTTCATCCCCACTGGCATTTATTTATACCTTAGGGCTAATGGAATTCAGCAGGTCACTGCTGCCCGGAGCACCGGCCTGTTCAACTCTACATCTCACCGGGATGGACGATTCCCTCCTCAGTCCCTGTATCAGTGAGCAGGGGGCAGTGAGGGTGACAGAGGGCCTTTTCAGGACCTTTGAGGTCACGTCTTAGAGGTTTTAACTTCCACCTCCACATGGGCCCGATTCTGCCAAAAAATAGTTGTCTGGCCACATCTCTAGCTTGAGTTCTAGTCCCACAGGATCCCCACATTGACTAGGAAGAAACTTCACACATCTGGAGGCCTCCACCAGTGACTCCTTCCAGAGTCATCTGTTCCTTACATGGTATAAGCTCGCCAGGACAGCACATGGAAAGAGTTTGTCAGTTCTTCCATGAGCCATTGTCATTTTATGAAGCAATCCGCTGAAAGGGTAGGGCCCAGACACTTGAGATTCCTACCAGGAGATGGAAGAAATCTCACAGAGCACCAGAAAACTCCGGAATAAAAGGCCAGTGCTGGTGATGATCTCTGGCTTCCGTTCATTGGTAAATTCACACATTTATTAATGTCTTCAGTGAACACATACTTTATTCACAACACCAGAAGACAATTAACATACTGTCTTAGCAGTAGTTAATGTCTCCCTACTGTACTGTAGTCTTCTCATGGTGACCTAGGCTTTACTTAGTTTAGCACTGTGCTTGGCATACAGTGGGAGCACAACAAATAGCTCTGAGTAATGAATGAATAAACAAATAAATGAACAAACAACTTTAAAGATATCCCACTGAGCACATGACTTTGTGTTAGAACTCACTCAAAGGTGAGGAGTCATACCATTTGTCTTGGATTTTTGTAGAAAATATCTACTTCCATCCATACCTTCACCCATTTTTTAAATAGTAGTTTTGCGCTTATTCTTTTTAAAAATAAAAAACTTTATTTATAATTGTAATATGTATTGGCATTCAAATAGAAGAAAGAATTATTTATTTAGAAAATGTGGGAAAATACAGATCAGCTTAAGGAATAAACCAAAACTTGTCCACAATCTCACAAACTCTGTTAACATTTTGGATAATTTTCTGCCACTGTTTTTTTCTGTATATAAAAATTTACAAAATTGGGATCATGCTGCAGATGCAGTTTTAGATATTGATTTTTCCACTTAACATTATATCGTGAGCATTTTACCACATCATTAAATATTCTTTGAAAATGTTACACTTAATCGCTGCATAATATTATATTATAGCTCTTCGATTCTTAACTAAGGCAGATTTATTGTCCTTAATAAATCCCTAAATCACTACACAACTGAAATTGTTCCCTGGCTTCTGTAACTGTCTTAGTGGCTGATGCAGATTGAAAACTTTTACAATATGACAAGTACTTCCAGGCAAGAAAAGCTGTTTCAAGTATGGCTGGATCTCATCTCCAGCTTTTTCCTCCTCAAAGCTACTAATTCATACAAGCATACTAATGGCTTTGGAATGTTTATTCTCTTAAAATTGGAGGCTCTAGGGTACACAAGAAAACAGGCACAGAATGTGATGAGAAACACATGGCAAGTGTCTAGTTGATTCACAAAACACTCAAGATTTTCTTGGGCATGAGGGACCACACCTCAATTTAATGGAACAGAAATATTTTAGTTCTCTACAGTAAAGTGTTGTTGCTAAAAATATATGTGTGTGCATGCACGTGTGTGTGTGTATGTGTGTGGATCCATCAAAAAGAGAAACCCCAATTCAACATAGACACACAGCTATGCACTTGTATAGTCAGCGAGGAGACTGAGAATACCTGGAGAGGCGATAGTGAAAGAGAAGCAGATGAAGGGCCTTTACAGTTTGGGGAACATTAAATAAGCTGTGTCTTCCGCTCTCTTCTAATGAACAACTAGTTTCCAAATGTTACTGTATTCTCTTTCACTCCCTGGGTCTCATCCTTTTCCAATCCAGTCTTCTTTGCCTTGAAGCTGGAGCATTTGACAGGGTCTATTGAAACTTCTAATGAGGGGAGGTTACATGGAGAGCTCACTCCAGAACAGCCAGGACAAAGATGGGATGGTATGCCTCGCAGGGGTCACCCTCACGACTCAGTGGTCACACCTGTGTCCTCTGGCTCATTCTCTCCTGACATCCCAGCTTGAGAGTGGATACTACCTCCTAATAGCAAAGGACACACAACAGACATCTCTCCTAGAAAGCTATTTCTGGGCTGCTCATTGGCCACTTCAATGGAAAATCTTCCCTGGAGGTCAGGTCTGAGGCAGGTCCTTACATTTGCTATAGGTGAGTCTCCTAGAAGCTCACAGTTATATAGCTCTGATAATATTTTAATACAAAACACCATATCCATGCATTTGTCCCCACCTCATTTGGGTATTTTGAGTTGAGGGAGAGAGACACCACACTCTCCAGATGAATCTTTCTCAAGTGCTTTTTCATCACGTCATTTCACGACTCTTGAACTCAAAACCATTCCGGTGACCTACTGGAATGCACCTTAGTGTCTGTGTCTGGCCAAAATGGTATGTTGCAATCAATTCTGAGGATGTCAGAAGAAATACTTGTGGCTGATTAATACTTTTAAAAACAAGCGAGTAAGGTTCAAGGTTGCCCCTATAAAACATCACTCTCAGATATGCCTCCTAAATTGGGAAAAAGGTGAAGTGGCAGCTAATATGGTAGGAGGTACACAAAGCCTACAACCTGACCTTCTGGGACAGTGTCTGCTGAGCTGCATTTACGGATACAGCACCATCAGCCACACGAATGCCTGCTAACTCTTCTCTCGACCAACAAAAAAATTTGTATGTTATCGCAAAGACAGCTAGCTGTGGCTCAATATCTATTATCCCCTTCTTCCATAGCCAGAATAAAGACCATATTTTCCATCCTTTCTTGCAGCTTAGTGCAACTTGGTGACAAAATTCTAGAAAATGAGATGTAACTACAAATGAAGCACACAACTTTCAGGTGGGGCCCTAGAATGAGGCTGACAATCTGCACTCCCAAGCCTATCCCACACCACCCCTCCAGTTTGCCAGGAATTTTCCTGGTTTTAGCATTAAGAGTCCTGTGTCCTGGGAAATCCGGTAGTCTGGGCAAAACTGGGATATTAGTCACCTACCTCCCCATTTCCCTCTTTCCTCAGCCTATTTCCTGGAGTATGGACTTGGTGGTGAGCCACCTTGAACATGCAAATAAAGGCAGACCCCAAGAAAGACAGGAGAAGCCTGGGACCCTGCCAGCTTCATGGAGCACAACTGTTACTCCAGCTCAGACTTCGATGTAAAGGACAAATCAATTTCCATGTTGTTTAAACTACTAATTTTTGAGGTTTGTAGCATACTCTTAGACATCTATACCCAAACTAATGTATCTAATTGCATAGTTTACCTTGCTGATGAAAAAAAAAATGGAGGTGGGGTGGAGAGTCGATTCATCAAAATTTAAATATGCCAGAGGAAAAGTGTCATTCCCAAAAACATCATCTGTCACATTTTGTTGAGGAAAAAATGTTGGGCAATTTTATAGGACTGAAGTCCGAGGCTTTACCTGGCATTTCTCTCCTGCTGTTACCATGCCTACACTGTGTCTCCCGCCATCCAGCCTTCTCCTCGTCCCATCTAACCTTCTGTTCCATCCCAACTGAGTGTTCTTTTTTTTTTTGAGACGGAGTCTCACTGTGTCGCCCAGGCTGGAGTGCAGTGGCGTGATCTCGGCTCACTGCAAGCTCCGCCTCCCAGGTTCATGCCATTCTCCTGCCTCAGCCTCCTGAGTAGCTGGGACTACAGGCGCCCACCACCATGCCCGGCTAATTTTTTGTATTTTTAGTAGAGACAGGGTTTCACCGTGTTAGCCAGGATGGTCTCGAACTCCTGACCTCATGATCCGCCCGCCTCGGCCTCTCAAAATGCTGGGATTACAGGCATGACCACCATGCCCAGCCGAGTCTTCTTTTTTTATTTGTATTTTTTATTAAGACGGAGTCTCACTCTGCTGCCCAGGCTGGAGTGCAGTGGTGCTATCTTCACTTACTGCAACCTCCACCTCCCAGGTTCAAGTGATTCTCCTGCCTCAGCCTCCTCAGTAGCTGGGATTACAGGCATGCACCACCACGCCTGGCTAATTTTTGTATTTTTAGTAGAGATGGGGTTTCACCACGTTGACCAGGCTGATCTCAAACTCCTGACCCCAAGTGATCCACCTGCCTCGGCCTCCCAAAGTGCTGGGATTACAGATTACATCCCACCCGATTCCAAATGAGTCTTCTTCCTGGGTCCTTCCTTTCTATGTCCCTTTCTCATTTGCTACTCTCCAGTTAAAAAACTCTTCTCTTTTCCCTTAAGTTCACCAAACCCACCAAGCCCAATCTCCTTTACCGTTTTTTGTTACCATGATTTCATCCTTTTCTGGAATCTGGCAACACCTCTATGAATTTGGCATATAATTACTAATATCTTTGTACTGTCTTTTTCATGTATTTAAGTCTTGTATCTCTGGAAAGGTTCTAAGATCCAGGGAGGAAGAGTGGTTGAGAGAACATAGCTTAGGAGTTAGAAGATCTGGACTGAAGTCTGGGTTCCAAGACTTGCCTCTTGGGTGGCCTTGGATGTCAGTTTCCTCATTTATAATGTGACGGTGATTATAACTCCTCTGCCTTTGCACCATGAGGTTGTGAGAACTGGACACTATAGGAATACATCATCAACCAGTAAGCACCTTAGCCATGCTAATTGTTCTTCAGAAGCTATCCTTTCTCTAATGTCCCACTGGACAGCCCTAGCATGCTTACCACAGTGCTGGGGATGTAGTGAATGACAGCCCCATAAATCTTTGTACAATGGATGAGGAAAAAAGGTAAAAATAACAGTTCCTCAAATATTATAAAACTGCATAGAAAAGTCTCTGCCTGGACATCTCCTTCAAATGCAAAGAAGGCACAAAATAGCGGTACATGTCAAACTGAGGTCTCAAACCCCAGTTCAGGGGCAACCTTGAACCTTACTCTCATGTTTTCATTTCTGAGTGGTTTTAAAAGCTAAATGACTCCTTAATTCATGGTAATAAAGTCTAAGTCAATAATGCTACAGATCCAAGGTTAGTTCCTGTGAACAGCGGCACCACCCTTCTCAGCCTCAAGTCCGTGTGCTCCATACCTTGACATGAACACGAGTAAAAATCAAAATGGCCCCAGATATGTCCTAGGATGCCAAGAAAGAAGTGGCTTCTACTCAGCAAGCTGCAAAGAGAGTTGCTATTTTCAGGTGCTCTCTAGTTTGGCAGATTACCAAGGTGATGATATTAAGCTTAAGACTGCCTGTTAATGGAATGATAAATGTGAGAAATTCAGTGAGGCCACTTAAGCAAACACCAACTGAAGGATAAAAAGCATCACAAAGCCCATGGGGGAAGAATTCAGATGCAGATTTGCCCAGCAGCCCAATGGACCTACTTCCATCCCCCGATGAGGGGCTGCGCATTTGTTGAGGGGAAGTCATTTTGTTCGCATCTGAGAGTGACACAGCGACCCCTCGACAATGCTGAGACCTAGGCCCAATGCCTCGAGTTTTCCTTGCTTGTTCCCCTTTTCCCCTCTCACACTGCAATAGTATATTTTCCTTCAGGACCCTCATCTTCGCAGGATTTTTTTTTTCCCTCCAAAAAAAAACTATCTTTGTTTTCAGAATAGGAGTCGACAAGCTCGGCATCACTGAATTATAAATGATTAGTAGTTATGTTTCCTAGATATATTTAGAGCTTTAAAGGGATTGGAGGTTCTTAAACACAGAACGTGGACTTGTAATTGTGAAGCTCAAGTGTCTACAAGACCGGGTAGCAGTGGTATTGTAAGGGAAAGTGGTTTTGAAGGGAGAGACACCCCAGTCACTTCAGAATAACATAATTTGGCTGCTGTCTTGGCTGCATCTGCACAAAGTGGGACCAGAACACTGCACACAAATTGCTCTGATCAAATCAAGGGGCCCTAAAGGAGATCAGGCTTGGCTTAAAAGCTCTTGGGCTATGAGTTAATAAGAATTTTAATAAAAATGGAAAGTATAGCCTGGGGCCATGGTACAATATCTCTCTGGGTTGCTGGTGTTCTATCAGTCAATCATATAATCTTTCTGACGTTACTAAAACGAAGAGGGTAAGCAAAAACTGTGTGGACCAAAGATTTCAAAAACAGAACCTACAGAAACACCATCAGCTCTCTGATTGGCCTTCCAGAGCCAGGAGATATACCTAAAAGTGAAGTCTTCCCCAGAATGTGAGACACCAGTGAAAACGACCTGTGCCCAACTCACTTCACATCACAAAGCAGTTTCCATACACATATAACTCTCATGGCAATCGTGATTTCAGGTTATGACCATCTCTATTTTACAGGTGAAGAGTCTGAGGATGGGGTGTGGGAGCCTTGATCCAGGTCTTTGACTCTTACTTCCCTGTCCAAACTCCTCAGTAGCTTATTTGTACATTTGAACTCAAGCTATTGAATCGTTACGATCCTCTGCTTTGGTTTACTATTCTGACATGCAACCAAGTAGATGACTGGCCTCTGTCATTTGATTCAACTCTAAAGCCAGAAAATATTATTAATTCACCTTACCTCCAAGAATTGGCATTGATATGAAAACTTATTACTGATTTAAAAACAAATAGCTTCCCTGGTATTTGTTTTTGTCTGCAAAACTCAAGTTCTGCGATACTCAAGGCATACATGAATACCTAGAGTGTTGCCCGATCACTTACTTACTTCATTACACTGACCTCTTTTAGGGTGTCCACCAGTGACAGGCATATTTCTTATGGTTAAGCATTGGTCACAACAGTTTACATGCAAACTTGGTTTGTTTTTGAAATAGATGGCATTTAGCCGAAAGTCTAGTCTATGTGGTGTACCGTTAGTCAGCATGTGCTGGCGTAAATGTCATTCCGTGGGAAAAGAGCACCCCCAGGCAGGACTATGATGTGGCTTGAAACATCCCTCAAAGATCTGGGCTGGCCACATTGCTTTATGTGCAGATGGAGAGAGGAGACAAAAAAAAGGAACTTCCGTCTTGCTCTGGATTTTTTAAAACTTGTACAATGACAGAAGGAGAAGAGATGTAAATTCAAGGACACTGGTTGTCCTTGAATTTCTCGGACCATTCTTTATCCTTGCCACAGACTCCTCCCTCTCTGCCTGTCCAGAAGTGAAGGTCCCACAGGCTTCCTTGAGCAGTAGGCTGGTCATCCCATGCTCCACACTTTCCCTGGACACTAAGAAAATCCCCAGCATCAATCTCTAAGCAGAGCTCTCCCTGGGTCTAAGCTCCCTCTCCGATGGCTCCCTGAACACTTCCACCCACACGTTCAGCGGGGACTCCAGACATAGCATTGTCAGAATCAAACTCAGCCTTCTTGCCTAACCTACTGTTTCCCAGGTTTTCCGTCTTAGCTGGAGACGCCTCCATTTAACCCCTGCAGGAAAGCTGAGAATCTCTACCATCAGCCCTCTTCATCATAGCTCATGTCCATTAGTCACTGAATACTCCATGAGCTCTCTCCTAAAATATCCTCCAATCAGCTCCCCCCTCTGCCCTCCCACCTTTACTCTCCTAGGTTAGGCTGTCCATGTCTTTTGCTTTACTCTTAGGCACCAGCCCACATTCTTGTGTACATTGCAGCCAGCAATGCTTCTACATAGCAAATCTGACCAGGGCCTTTCCCTGTTGAAAAATCCTTCAGTGGCTCCCTAAACTCATGCTCACATACAAAATTCATATTCATACCTTGACCTTTTTTTTTTTTTTGTAGATATGGGGTCTTGCTAAGTTGCCCAGGCTGATCTCAAACTCCTGGGCTCAAGAGATCCTCCCACCTCAGCCTCCCAAAGTGCTGGGATTATAGGCATGAGCCATCATGCCGCACCCCCTCGTTGACTTTTAAGGCCCTCTTGAACTTTGTCTTTGGCCCTTCCTTCCTGTCACTGAAACTCTTTCTTTCTTATTCATTTTCTTTCCCATATTTCCTATGTTTGTGTCAATATATCAAATTAGAAAAAGCAACTGACTAGGAAAAAAATGAAGCCTATTTGATTGAGGTGATTCCAGATGTGAAATGAAGCTTGGCGAACACCAGCTCCTCTACAGGTGGGGCTTTAATAATTACGAAGCAAGAAGGATGCACATATATCAATCAATGCGCACGCAGCACACTGCCAACCTCACCCCTCCTTGCACACGTCAATACAGGCTCAGGCTTGGTAGCAGGTACTACAAGTTCCACATGTGAAAAACACAAAGCAAGAAAATCGCCACCTCCTGCCCTGCCTTCCATGGGGAGCCTGTTTGGAGTGTAGGGGCGCACCCACTCTAAGTCATGTCTCAGGCTGGCCTGTAGCCTTGCCCTTGGTTTCCCTGTTGAACACAGCCTTGTGCACCATTTCCCCCGCTAAAGAGCTCACCGGGGACACAGTCCTTACTGTCTTCATCCGCTGTGAAATCATAAACGGCTCCACTAAACAAGTTAGCATCTGATTGTTTCTTCTCAGGTTGCCAGAAAAAAAAAACAAAAACCTGGATATTTGGACACCTCTGGGAGCAATTGAGTTGTCCGCTTTGCATGCAGGCATTTGGCATGTGAAGGTACAGCCTGAAGGACAAGAGCTGCCTCCTTCATGTCTGTGTCCTTGTTGCCTAGCATGGGAGCTGGCAGAGAAAACGTCTGAAAATACTTGAGAAGGGGCTTTTAGAAATGAACAACCCGGCTCTATCCCATGAAGAGGAGCGTAGTGGACCATCCAGATCCTTCAAGGCTTGGCTTCCAAGTCCTTCTCTGAATACAGACTCTGTTCTTACTGCCTCTGAGATCCACTCGAGCCATCCCAAGTGGTGGGATGAGCTGTGTTCCCTACCCCCTTAGACCTCTATCCTATTGTTTCTGCCACCCCTACTCTCCAGCATGCTGTTCCACACCAGACCTTAGAGTCTGCTTTATCTACCAACAACCCTAGAAAACAGGTGTAATTTGTTGACCCAGACATGGCCTGGGCTGGGGATTTTACTCTATGACCACATAGCACCAAACATCTGGAACAGAAAGGGAAAAAGCTCTCCAGCTGTTTCCAGACATCCAGATGTCTGGCATGGGAAAGAGGAACATCCTGCCACCTGCCCCACTGAGGGTATGCTGTCCAAGCAGACAGGCAGCAGGTCACCGGGCCATGGGGCCAGCCTCTGTGGTGCAGGGCTGCCACTCTGTCTCTGTGCAAGATGAGACTTGACCTGAAACCTCCAGACTGAAAGACCCCTCTTTCTGAAGTTTTCTTTAGAAAAAAAAGTGGCAGAAGCCACAGTAGGTTCATGGGGAACCCCACTCACACCAGACGTAATGGCGTCTTTTATTTGTAGGTATCAAAAAGTGTGGCCAGTTCAAGATTTCCCTCCCTGCTTTCAGTTTCCAGGGCACATGGTTTAACCAAAATCATGTTAAAAACTTCAGTGTCTTCTGGGTTTAACTCAGTTCCCCCAGACAATTTTCTTCTTTTCCTTTCAAGGGAGCATTTGGCTTTCCACCTGGTCATCCTTCAAAACATTCATTCAACACACACACACACACACACACACACACACACACACACACACACATATACTTTTTTTTTTTTTCAGAGGGTGTCTCACTCTGTCACTCAGGCTGGAGTGCAGTGGCGCGATCTCTCCTCACTGCAAGCTCCGCCTCCTGGGTTCACGCCATTCTCCTGCCTCAGCCTCCTGAATAGCTGGGACTACAGGCGCCCGCCACCACACCCACCTGGCTAAATTTTTTTTTGTATTTTTTTAGTAGAGACAGGGTTTCACCGTGTTAGCCAGGATAGTCTTGATCTCCTGGCCTCGTGATCCACCTGCCTCGGCCTCCCAAAGTGCTGCGATTACAGGCGTGAGCCACCGCGCCTGGCCTCAACATATATTTTTTAAGTGCTTACGTGTCAGGCATTGTAAGAATAGTATTAATATATTGTACCCTTAATGAATATAATGACAATTTTGACTAAACAATAATCACATTAAAGATGATGATAATAATTGAAATTACATATTGACCATTTATGTACCTCACTGAATAATCTCATTTGTATTTCTTTACTTAATTTATCAAACCACACTAAAAATAAATGCATTACTTTTAATGGCAAAAAACGAAATTACTTTTACACCAACCTAATATCTCCTAGGAAGCTCAGAGTGATTAAATACCTCACAGAAAGCCACACAGCATATTGATAGTCTAGCTCAAACTTGAATGCAAGTCTGCCTGGAGTTCAGCAATCACACCCTTACTCACTGCATTATATCAATGCACATCTGTACAGTGCACGTGGCAGAGAGGAACCAGGGTAGGTATAATGAGTTTGTAACTCCAGAGAGCACCATTGTATTCCATGAGACTGGCACTGGCTAGAGCACAGTGTACAGCCTACACGGTGAATGACTCCCCATGGAGTTGTGAGACACAGTGGCCCTGTCCTGTGTTCACTTACAGGCACCAGAAGCATGGGAGGAAATAAAATCCCATGCTTATGTATATGTGCATATATCATATATGTCTATGTGCAGGTATGGAGTGTCTAGTATGAAGGCTGGCATCTAGTAGGTGCTCTTAGATCTTTGCTGTTTGCCTATTTAAATAAAAACATTTTAAAATGTAAATAGAGAAGGCAGATGCCGAGACTGGAGGAGGAAGTAAGAGTTACGCCCTGTTGTGGGTAGCAGGCAGGGGCTGGAGGGAGAGTCTGGGAACAGCCAAGGGATAAAAGCTGTGATGATGGGCGGGGTCTGAGTGTGTAGAATTGGGCCTAAGATGGCTCTCAGAGGGAGGAAGAGACCTGGGTCTGCAGCAGCAATTAGAACTGTTTCTGGGGTTCACCTCACTTGCTGCCTTAGTATGAGAACTAGGTTTCCTTTGACA
The DNA here is from genome assembly GCF_000001405.40 of Homo sapiens. Taxonomy (NCBI): domain Eukaryota; kingdom Metazoa; phylum Chordata; class Mammalia; order Primates; family Hominidae; genus Homo; species Homo sapiens. The sequence continues at coordinate 60,840,207 of NC_000015.10, forward strand.
GCCTGTTTCTTGGGTGGTCCACTTTTGACTCGGAGGGCTCATCAGAGGGAAAGGAAGGATGCCTATTCCTCTGGTGCCTGGTCCTCTCAGCCAGTGTCCTCTGCACCTGCCCCAGAGGGCTCTGACACAGGCCTGGTGGAGATTGAGAGCTCAACATGGGGCCAGGTGAAGGCAAAATTCCCCAGGTTCTTAGGCAAGATTTGATTCAGATCTGTGGCTGTGAAGCCAGGCCTTTTGCCCTTAACCAGAAGTCTCCAGACAATGGATTTGCAGCCATGACTCATAGAACCCTGTCCCCACTCTCACCAGCAGAGGCTTGGCTCTGGGAAAGATGGTTCAGGACTCTGGACCTCAGGAGTCCCATTTAGAAAAGAATCAAGAGAGTGAGATGTTTGCTCAGCTGCCTTTTCCCTCCAGAGAGGGACACTGCATGTGTCCCGCCACTGCTAGGCTGAAGGAGGAGAAGAGCGAATGAGCTCTGTGTTCACAGCACATCTTCTTACCCAGCCTCTCTGGACATCCCAGGAATGGGGGGCTTAGCTTCTGGTTTGTGACAAGGGGAGGATGCCTTCATTATCCCCTAATCCTGTCTCCGTGGCCCGGCAGCCTGACTGACAAAGCATCCTGCCTGGCACTGTGGCAACTGCCATCGAAGCCTGACCAGCTGGAGCCCAGGCGATAGTTTTTCGAAAGCTGTTACCCAAAAAAAGCAACACTGAGTTGGGTGTAGAGATAACTATCTCTGCTGTCACACCACACGGGGAGGGAGGGTAGCGACAATACCACCTCCTTCCTCGACAACGATACCTTACGGAAGCCAGAGAAATTTAGGCATTGAAAGTAAAAACATTCAGCGTACTTACCAAATGTTGACTGACTCCCCGTGAGCATTTTTTCAGCAGAGAGCTGAGGGAAACAACTTTTTCTTGTTTTCTCTCCACGCCATCCCACAGCTGACACAGCTTGGAGAAAGAACACACACCCATAGACTGCAAACACTTCTCAGGTGGCTGTGAACCCTCTCGGGGCCTCAGGCACTACAAGGTGCCCTCCCTGACCTCCTGGGTATGAAACACAGAGGAATCTAGGGCTGAGTGATTGTGTGCTACCAAAGAGAAAGAGAGAGGAAGCAAAGCCACAATTTGGATCGTCCTGTGGCTGCCGCGGCCACAGCCATCCAACCAGCAGCTCGCCTGGCAGTGCCTACTGGCAATGGGCTCTCTCTGTCTCTCTCTCCCTTTCTGTGGCTCTTTCTTGTTTTCTCTCTCCCTCTCTCTCTCTCCTTTCTTGGGGGCTGTATTGGTTCTGGAGAAGGAGGCCCCTGCCATTGCTTCTGACATTGCACAGGAAAGGAAGAGTAAAAATGCTATTGAGAAAGACCTGGTTTTTCTGTTTTTCCTGGAGGGATTCCTCCCTCGCAAAGGGAGTGGATTAGAAATGATGGAATAATTCGAAGGCCACAAGTGGACAGGTGGAGCCAACACCCCTCCACACACCTGGTCAGTCCATTTTCTGCCCTCGTTCTCTCCTCCCCGTCATGATGTTGTGCTCCGCCCTTTATCTCCTTTTTTTTGGTTGTCACAGTTTCAGCTCATTGTCACTTGTGAGGAAAGTAGAAACCATCCACTGTATCTGGTGTAAAACAGCCTCAAACCTTTTTGAGAAAAGCAGGATACAAATGAATCAATGTGCCAAGCAGTGCCCTTGGGGGCGTGGGACCTGGGTCCAGTGATCCCAGATGGTGGCCTTCCCCCAGGAGAGAGAACAGCACTGTCTCTCCTCCCCTCGCACTACAGTTTGGGTCACTGCCATCACGGATGCCTTCTCAAAACATATCTTTGACCCCTTCTTCCTTCTCTGTGGTTGCCAAGCTGACCCATCCCTTGCTCCTCAGCCATCTTCCTTTCTAAAGTTCACGAATTTGTGTTTTCCACCCCCTTCCCTTCTCTACCACCCCAGGGCCGTCGTCCACTTTGCTTGGATACTGACAGAGCCTCCTTGCCAACATTCCTCCTTTCTCCCCAAACTGATGACAGGTGAAGATTTCCCCAAACAGCAATTTATTTAATATCATCCCTGCAGGAATATCTTCCTTGGCTGCCCATGGGCTGCAGGATAAAGTCCAAATACCTAGTCTCAGCAAACAGAAACTTCTACATCTTGACCCTAACTTACTGTTCAAAGCATTAATCATAATAGATATTTTCAAAGCTACCATTTATGATTTATGGGCCACTTAGTACACATCAGATACAGCGTTAAGCATTGCTTCCTGAGTTAGTTCTCACAAGAGTCCTACATGAAGTTTCATTACTTGCACTTTCCATTTTCAGGCCTGTAGAGATGAAGCAGCTTCAGAAGGCTGACAGTGGGTCAGTGGTCAGTGGTGAGCATTGGACTGCAGATCTTATGATGTCAAAACCCATGCTCTTGACCCCTTCACTGCCCCTTCTACCTGAACGGATGCCCTGTGCTGCTGTCACACCCCTCCCCCGACCCTCCACACAGGTCCTGGGCTGTCATGGTCACCCCCTCCCAAACCCAAACTGGTGCCTGGGGCAGAGGAGCTCTAAGAAGTCCTCAATCCATATGAGCTGAAAGTTCTCAGCCTTCAAAGTAGAAGATCGGGTGGATAAAGAAGACACGCAGCCCAGGAAGCTTCAAGTAGATGGGCAGTGAGTGCCAGCCCGCCACATCTGCTGAGTGAGAGTGGGTGGTGGAAGAGCTGGGGCTGGCTGTATTCATTTGAAACGTGGGCTCTTTCTCTGCATCCTGCAGCAGCCTCTTTCTCTGTCCACCCTTCTCGTTCACCCACCACACCCCTCGTGAAACTCCATTCCTAAGGTAATTCTCCAAATGTCCAAACCCAAGATCTACTCAGCCAAGAAGCTGGGTTCTGCCGCTCTCCCTCCCCCTGCTGTTCTGCTGCAAGGAAATGGAAGAAGGAACAACCTCGCTGGGCCACTTGGTGATTTGTTTTTTCCTTGCTCAAAGCACAAACATGCACAAATCTCAGAGTCCCCATGTTAAGCAGAGACGCTCCCTGGTCAGTCTCCTGCACTCTAACTTCCTAAAAATTAAAGAGTCAAGGCAGAATCAGACACGGTAGAAGGGAGAAAAGGCCTCTTAGTAGCCATAAAGTCCAGGTACCTCATTTTACAGGTGAGGACATCGGAGCCTGGAGAGAAATAACTTGTCCAAGGTCATTCAGTATCAGAGTGGTAGAGCCCACACAGTTCCCAAGGCCTTTTCTCCCAGGCGGAGAGCTCTTTCCCTCTCCCTGTGATGTGGCTGCTGCAGCCACACAAACCAACTGTTCTTGTTACACGTGTCATGGTCAAATGTCCACTAGCTGCCCAAGGGCAAGATGAGTTACAAGAGCAATTCTTCCCATGACTTTACAGTTGTCAGGAGGGGTCAAGGACGCTTTCAAGATTCACACTCTGACCGTGGCAAGCCAGGTTCTCGGAGGGTTAAATGACTGATGAAAAGAAAGCCAAAGGCTGAGTCAGAACCAGGGACAGAACGGCTGGCACAGCCCTGTCTTGCTGGGGAAGGCAAAGTTCTCCATTTTGGCAAGGTCCGTGAATGTCTCTTTTTGCTTTTCCTGGGTCTCTGGTGCACTTGTTGGATTGAATCTTAAAGCATACCCTGAATGCTAAACATCTCAGGATAATGCACTAAGTCCTTCCTCAGCTGGGCTGGCCCATCTTTCTACAGCCTCACCCTAATATACCTACTCTGCTCAGGGCACAGGAAACATAGCCCACACTTTCACATCTTCATTTACTTTTTTTTTGGTTATTCTCTCCACCAGGAATATCTTCCCCTCTTTAACTGGCAAACCTGCACTTGACTTTGAGGATGGAGTTTAAATGCCTGCTCCTTTTCATAGCCTCCTCTGGCTCTTCTCTCCTAGTCCCCTCACTTGTCTTCCCAGAGAACTCTGTTCCTGGCACCTCTCTGCCCTTCCTGAGTTGAATTCTAGCTATTTGTTAACATGTTTTCTCCTATGGCTGTCCTGAGGCTCTCTCAAGGACAGTGACTCAGTCATATTCATCTTTGTACCCTGGGTTGTCAGCTCAGTTACTGGGACACAGAGGGAACAAAAGAATTACTACTTTAAACTACACAGAAATGCATCTACTTAAGGAAAACTTTGCTCCAAGTTCCCAAATGGAAAAGCCAATGAAGGAGTTGTTGTTGTTGTTGTTGTCGTTTGCCCCTAAGAGTATAGCAAAGGCCCCCAACCAGCCAGTTTTCATTCTGAATGGTAAAGTGTCATTTTACAAGCTGCTGCCACGAGCAAGCCTCCACGCATGTCGAATGCACACTTGTATGCATGCACACACACATAGGAGCTAGAAGGAGCTGGTTGCTCTATGGCAAGAAGCAGCAAAGAAGATAAGATCACCATACTGCAAAGGAAGGTAAGCCACGTGATGATGTGGGTAACCCCAGGCACAGATGATACCCTCAGCGAGGCCCAGCTTAAATCTAACCACATCAACTTTTCATGAAACAGACATGAAAAAGTAAGACTAAGACAATTACAAAAAAGGTGGTTTAATGCCTTCTTGCCTCGATGGTATCAAAGCTATTGGCTCCAGGGCTACACTTGGGGAAACAATTCTTTGAGATAAGGAGATGAACTATCTGCTCAAAAGAATGTGCAGGAAGCCAAGGTAACTGGGCAACACATAATGAAACGGTTTGTGGCCAATGAGCCGTCTAAACAAAAATATCCCTGGTAGGCATCAGTTGTATAAGTGAAGGAAACCAAACCCACCCTTGTTTCAAAGTGAAGACTTTGTGGGTGCCAGTGTGTGAGTGTGTGTGTGTGTGTCCTCACTAAATATTATAGTTAAAGTGAAATTCACAAGTCCTCCAGCTGTGGCTGACACTGGTATAAAATGAAAAGGTTGAGAAGGTGAGACTAGTTGTCATACAGCAACCTTGAAGTGCCTTTCCGGGTGGCACTGCCTGCTATGTGAAGGCTCATTTGCTGAATGACCATCACTACGTCAACACAAATTGAGATCTCAGCATTGATTTATCGGTGTGTGTCCCAGAAAGACACACTGCATTTCAGCATCACGGTATTCTGATGTAGTTAGGTTCTGAATTCTCTGAGCCACAGACGATGGTATGTTTCTCCTCTCTGAAGCTCTGCTAATGCCTCGTCCCTATTTCCCTGAAATATGGTTTCCCCCATCAGTTTTCAACCTTTTCGTTTCCCCAGGCAATCTTTTGATGATTCTTTAAGGTCCCCAGATCCACAGAATGTGACAGCTGGGATGAGCTTCCGGGGGTGCCGATTGGAAGCTTTACAGGCTCTAAAACTTGCTACTGAATCTCAGCTCTGGCATTAGTCGGTGTTCTTTGATTTCAGGTAAGTCACACAACCTAAATCTCAGCTTTCTCATTTATAAATTGGGACTAACAGAACCCATCTTCTAGTTGAGTTTGCTTTAGAAATATATGAGTTAATTCGCATTAAAGTACTTAGCACAATTATACACCTCAGTATGTGAAGCCATTTTTTTGTTTGCTTGTTTGAGATGGAGTCTTGCTCTGTCGCCCAGGCTGCAGTGCAGTGGTGCGATCTCCGCTCACTGCAACCTCCGCCTCCCGGGTTCACACCATTCTCCTACCTCAGCTTCCCGAGTAGCAGGGACTACAGGTGCCTGCCACCACACCCGGCTAATTTTTGTATTTTTAGTAGAGACGGGGTTTCACCTTGTTAGCCAGGATGGTCTCAATCTCCTGACCTCGTGATCCGCTCCCCTCGGGCTCCCAAAGTGCTGGGATTACAGGCGTGAGCCACCGCGCCCAGCTGTGAAGCTATTTTTATTACCACCACCAGCATGATCCCTTCAGACCCTCTTAATCTTGAGGTCCAGAGAGATAAAGTAACTTGTCCTAGGGAAATGAATCTTGGTTGAGACAATAACTATTGTCTCTGCTATACAATGATTAAACCAAAGATAGCAGCAATCGTAAGTGGCTGTCAGGGCTCAGGTCTACTCGCTTCCAGGTCAGAACCACATTGGTGCCCGTACTGTGATTTATCATTGCATACTTATTTTTTTCAGAGTGTAGCACTTGATAGGTACTGTATAAATATTTATTAATCAGCTGATTGCAAAGATCACTGCTGATTTTCAAAGCAACAGGTTTCTCTATCGTAACTGCTTCTCCTCCACACTATCACGTCCTTATAATTTCAGAACACCCATCTAGGAAGGACTCATACTAATGTGTTATCAGAGGGAAACATTCCACCCCTTTTTGGAATGCAGATATAGATTGCTCCAGATTTCAGGAACACTAATTAGAGCCACTGGTAATTTGACTGAAGCGCTAAAGCACCAAAGCACTCACAGAAGGCACCTTTGTACTCACACATTAGAGCTTTTGTCACTACATATCAAAAATGGTCAAGCTGCCTTTTGATGGTACCCGCAGGCTGGATGACAGGGTCAAGATGCCAGCCCACCAAATCCATCATCGGAAAGAAACTCGGGGCCAGCCCATCTCCTAAAAGCTGAGTATGTTGCACAGATTGCTGGTTCTAAATAGGATATTCTAATAAACATTGCTATTGTTTTTATTGTCTTGTGCAGTATCGAATATGCTTCTCACATACTAGACTTTATGCAAAACCACCATGACCTAAATGTTTAATTCAGATCTTTATTTTCTGTTTCATAACCCCTTTTAATATCACTGTAAAAATCTAAATGGATATACATGATGCTCTTTTGGTACCAAGCTTTTTGGGCTATACTTTTATGGTTAATATCAGGGTCACAGCAAGAGCTCAAGAGAGCATGGGTATAGCTTAAAAGTGCCTGGAATATACTTCTTGTCCTAGCAATTGATACCCTCTCATTGCTTCATTGAATTTTTCCTGTTCTTAACCTCTGCCCTTGTTTTCAGTAATATTAGTATAATGAGTTGAATAAATGGCCCTATCTATAAAGAAATGGGAAAAAAATCGGGCTTTGGCTGAAACTCCCTTGAGGATTAAAGGTATAAGGGTGAACGCAGAGGTGAACTTAGATATCTATGAAATAAACAGAGACAGGGTGTTTCTCGGAGGTTGCAGCCAGGCAAGAGTCTAATCAGAGTCTGTGGCTGAACCTCATCAGCTTCACCAGAGGACACATCCTTTCTAGAATCTCCTGTTCCATCCCCTACTTCCTGTGGCCTACTCAGAACCTCTGGAATTGGGGATGGCTGATGGGAGTGACAGGTGGCCCATATGTTCCGTGACAATGCACTGTTCATTGCTTTTCTGAACACCTTTGAGTAGACTTTGCACTGGATTCTGAGAACAGTGCCTAGACATGTACTATCCAAAAGTAGCCACCAACCATATGTAGCTGTCGAGCACTTGAAATATGGCCAGTCCAAATTGAGGTATGCTTCAAGCATAAAACCCACACTAGATATTGAAGATGTGGTACAAAAATGAATATAAAATATCGTATTAATAAGTTTTCCATATTGATACCACGTTGAAATGATAATACTTTGGATAGATTGGGTAAAGATAAAATGTTTTATTAAGGTTAATTTCAGCTGTTTCCTTTTACTTCTTAACATGTGGCTACTAGAACATCTAAACTGACAAATCTGATTACATTGTATTTCTACCAGACAGCACTGCTCTAAACAACTGCCAGAGAAACTGTCTTCATCCATGTACAAGTTAGCCCAGTGAGAACACAACTCTCCAGCCCTCTGCCCACGTTCCACTGCACTCAGAATGAAATCTGCGCTCCTTCTCTGGCTCCCGCAATGCAGAGGGACCTGGGCCCTGCCTCCCCCTCCAGCCCCCGCTTGCTGCTCACTTCAGTCATGCTGGCATTTTCCTCAGAATCTGCAGGCTTCTGCCAGGTCCAGGATCTTTGCAGCCTGTCCCCCTCATCTGTTTTTGTCGTGTGGGTCTCCTCTCAAGTGGCAGCTCCTGGGAGAAGCCTTCCCTCACCTCCTGTGGTAGGAAGAATAATGGCCCCCAAAGATGTCACCTCCTAATCCCTGGAACCTGTGAATATGCTACCTTACATGGCAAAAGAGACTCAAAGGAGGAAGAATTTTGAGATGGGGAGATGATCCTGGGTTATCCATGTGGGCCCCATATGATCACAAGAGTCCTCATAAGGGAAAAAGAGGGAGGAAGGGGAGTCAGAGAGGGAGGTGTGATGACAGAAGCAGAAATTGGAGAGATGCAGGGCCATGAGCCAAGGAATGCAGGTGGCTTCCAGGAGCTGGAAAAGCCCAAGATACGATTCTTCCCTGAAGCCTTCAGAAGGAATGCAGGACTCCAACCTGTGTTAGTCCTTTCTCACATTGCTACAGAGAACTACCTGACACTGCGTAATTTATAAAGAGAGGGGGTTTAATTGGCTCATGGTTCCACAGGCTGTACATGAAGCATGGCTGGGGAGGCCTCAGGAAACTTACGATCATGGCAAAAGGTGAAGGGGAAGCAGGTACGTCTTACGTGGTGGAGCAGGAGAGAGAGAGAGTGAAGGGGGAGATGCCACACACTTTTAAACAACCAGATCTCATGAGAACTCACTCACTATCGTGAGAATAGCAAGAGGGAAATCCACTCATAATCTGTTCACCTCCCACTAGGCCCCTACTCCAACAAAGGGGGTTATCATTCAGCATGAGATTTGGACCGGGACATAAATCCAAACCATATCACAACCAATTTTAGACTTGTGACCTCTAGGACAATGACAGAATACATTCATATTGTTCTAAGCCAAAACATTTGTGGTTATTTGTTATAGCAGCAATAGGAAATCAATATACCTCCCAACCTGAGACTGTGCCCCACCCATGCCCCAGCTCCTCTATTCCATCCTTCTGGGTTCTTCTTTTTGTATCCTTTGCTGCTATCAGACTGTTTCTAATTTCTTTGTGGATTTGTTTACTTGTGTATTTTCTGTCTCTCCTGACTAGAATGTGAGCTCCCCTAGGGCAGAGACCTCCTATGTTATGATTACCTCTGAGTACTCTTGCCTTTGAACTAATGCCTGACACATAGCAAATGCTCACTGGTATAAATAAATGGTTGAATGAAGAAAGGCATGACAGACAAGTAGCTCTTTGAAACATTCACTTATAGCCAATTGGATATCATCTGAAAACTTTTAGGGAAAAAGTACACCCCAAATATTAATAGATGAAACGGACAACATTGACAGATACAGATATTGGACAATACTTGCTATTTACGAGGTACCATGATGATGCTGTGGAGATACAAATAACTTGATGATCCTCCTACAGTCTCCACTGAGAGACAAGCATGGGCACATCATAAAACATGGCCAAAGTATGGTTTTAATTGTTGGGGCCAAACGAGTGGTGGGGCTTTAGGTATGAGCAGTGATGTGCTGATAAACCAGCCTGCAAAACAACAGCGAAGATAAGGGTCTGATTTGCAATGTTTGCCAATTTCTGTGGTGTAAATATTCCTACAGTGATTGATTTCAAGCTACCATTGCGATGTCTCTGAATGTGGAGCTGGGAAGAAACATGTACACAAGGATGGTTTTGTTGAGGAGGTGGGATTTCAGTTGGGCCCATCAGGGTTGGTGGGATGTGGATGGCCTGAGAATAGAGGAGGAGGCATCTTGCACACAAAGGGAAGAATCTCTTCAGGGCTAGTGAGGTGCGTCTCAAAGGCCCCTGTGGCTCCAGTGGGTTTCCTGTCATTGAGAGAAACAGAAATGAGCAACTAATGAGACGTCATCATGAAGAGGACTCCCTGGAAAGATGCAGGAGCAGGGAAGACATAGATAATTTTCCAGCCCTGTGGTCATTTTAACAAGCATGGCGGTATAGCTAACGCACAGGCTGCCAAATCCCAGGGAGGAGAATCAACAGTCCGTGTTCATGGAGCTGGTCCCAAGAAATCCAGACCTGAATCCAGGCTGATGCCCTCACTCATTCTGCCTCTCACATGTTTAGGGTCGAAATAACATGCAGCTCCTCCAGCCCAAAGATGAGCCAGCAAGGGAACTTAGAACAACCCTCTTTGGAACAGTTCTCAAAGTATACCTCCCTGAAATTCCCCTCCTCATCCATGACTCAACCCCTCTAATTTGCAGGCATGGGAGGTTTGATTCTGAGGATATTAAGGTAGTGTTTAAGATGCTGGTGTGATGTTTAAGCGGGGGGTCAGATGGTACCCGATTCAAATCCTGACTCCACATGACTCCTGGGGAGGTTACTTGACCTCTCTAGACTTTGGGTTCCTCATCTCTAAAATGGGGATAATAATGATATCCTCCTGAGAGGGTTTGGAGCAGATTATATGATGCCTAAGAGACACCCTCTCCTGTGCCTGGTGCATGGTAAGTGCCCAATTCATGTGCACATTGATGGTGATGATCATGTTTTCCCCCTCTTAAGGCCTTGCCAGACAGAGCAGAGCTGGTTTCCAGCAAGCCCCTTTCCCATCCATAGTCACCTGCCCATCAACTTGCTCTGAGCAGGGAGCCCTGTAGACAACTGGTGCAGCATCCTCCCAGCCCACGTCTTCCCTGCTGATCACTTTAAGAGCATGCATTCTTCTGTGTTCAGGGTGAGATGTTTTCCTTGCTTTGGGAATGTTTCAATGAAAGACAAGGATAAGGCCATTACGTGAACACAGGGACAACAACGAAAACAAGACTGCTTTCTGAAAAGCACCAAAAAGCCTTATTTTGCCTGAATGGCCATTATTTTCATTCTTTTTCCCTCACACAAAGCACCGGAGCACATTTCATTCAGTCTGTTGCTGAGTGAGTGGGTGTGAAGATGCAGTACAAACAAAAGTGGTAACATATTGCTGTTGTCAGGACTCTTGTTAAGCGCTTTGCGAGGTGGACCAAGCTTCCCTGCTAGCACCACCGCTTGAGTCATCAGGAGCAACGATGTACATATACACACATAAATAGAAAAACCCTCCATAATCCTTGACATGGCTACACGGCAATTTATGAGCAGGAGCTGGATTTCAAAAGTCTGCAGAACATAAAAGCACAATTTTCTTCTAAGATGACAGCACCTTGTCAGCCGCTTCCACAATCTTATGTGTGGATCCTGCCACCTTGGAGATGCAGTTCCTTCTGTGCAAGAAGGCAAAACTGCTCCATTCCTCTGACACATTAGGGCCCCTGGGTGTGAGCGTGAAAGGCCTCAACGGGGTTGCATGTGTTGGCAGCCAGGTGCCTGGAGAGTGGGGAGGACATGTGAGGTCCCAGGGTGCTGGGGTGTTCTAGGTCCCAGGCTATCCAAATCATACCACTCAAAGTAGGAGAAAACCTGCTACCTCCTACTCTGAGTTTGCTGAAAATAAAAAGCAATTTTGAATAGGGGAAGGAGGTAAACCTTGGCACTTGCTTCCTTTTGCCATGTAAATCTTGGCATTTACCATAAACTGTCCTTTCTTAAAGACAATTCTGTGGCTTTGGTTTATGGCAATATTATATGTGTGTGTGTGTGTGTGAGAGAGAGTGTGTGTGTGTATGAGTGAGTGGGTGGGTGAGAGAGAGAGAGAGATTTTTTTTTTTTCCCCACAATAGTTTTCTTCCTCCAGCTTTTGTCAAAAAGCTTACTCTACCAATGACGTAAGTTCTGAGAACTTTTCTTCCGGATCACTGGATGGTTCTGAGGAAGTAGGAAGTGTGTGCTGATAATGTCTCAGCTCCCTGAAGGGCAGGATTCCCCGGCCATGTTCCCCATCAAGTCTCCAAGGTATCCATGTGTGCCCACATTGTAAAGTATTTACTGAGCGAGCTGGGGAACAAGCAACACTATTGTGACTTTTTCCAATTTCACAATCCCTGACAGGCCCTGTCAGAGGGATCCCTGCCCCGATGGCACACCAGCGCTTGAACCTCAGTGCAGGGCCTGTCCCTATGTGATTCAGCCAGAAGAGCATCATGTTTAAGGACACCATCATGGGTGTTCTTATTGAATACCAACGATGTGTCTGGCGTGGTCGGGTGGGTGACACAAGGGTAAGGTAGTCCATGTTTGGAGGCTTATAGGAGCTAACATCATACATGCTTTGAGCCTCTTCCCACCTTTCCCCAACCCATGTCCAGGGGTTGGCATCCTGCCTTGGTATGGGCCAGCTGCACAGCTGTGCGTGATGCTTGGCAAGTTTGTAATGTTCACAGTGCCTATAAGCTCCAGTCCCGTGTCTATAAAGTGAGGATAACAACTCCTAAGTTGCAGGTTTGTTGTAAGGATTAAATGAAACTATATACATAAAATACCTACCATAGGTCCTGGCACACCGTAGGTGCTTATGAAATTTTCATAGTCAGCTTCGCTTTGACAAGTAGTGAAAAAAAGCTATCTGAGGAAACAAGATGAACATACAGAAAGCAACCTGGGAATATTTTATAGTTAGCAAATAATAAAGAACTAAGTAGAATAAATAATGAGACCTTTAGAATAGGCTCAAGCTGTCTGCAGCCTGGAAGGGAAATGAAGGATGTGGGGTGAGTCTGCAGCAAACAGTATCATCAAGGACAAGGACTGGAGATGGAGCTTGAAGAGATGGCCTAAATGGCTGTGGTTCCTCTCGGATGACAAGATTTCTGGTGCAATAAATAATGTCATTTGAAAAAAAAAAATTCAAGTGCCTGATTCATCTCATGGGATCATGGGAGTAAAATGAATATGAGAAGGAAACATGGGCTGGTCCAGGTGGGACAAAGGCCCTCTTCTGCTGACAGCATCTCCCCCTGAAAGATTGCCGGTAATATCCTTTGTGTCTGTCGCTGTGGCAATTAGTAATGACCCCCAGCTTGGCATTGAGAGCATTCCTTTATAACGAGAGCCAGCCAGACACAATCTCTCTGCTCAGAGTTCAGGGCGGAGGGGGAGAACCAGGCAGATCCACACGGTACACGCTTCCAATTAAAAATACAAACAGAGGCAAAGCAAAATGAATGTCACAGAAAAGAAAGTGCTGCCACCCACTCTTGGCCTAAAGGTCACTGTGCCACAGCCTTGGCCATTATCTGCAGCCGCAAAGGTCAGGGGGGCTGTCTGCATTGCTGGGGAGTATGTAGGCTTTCATAAGGTCTCAAAATGACTGTTGCTCTGACACCAAAATTAGTGATAAGCTCTCAGCAGAAGACGATAATAGAGAAATGGAGTGACTGTAACCTTTTCCGCCATCTCTCTTGTCGGTTCCATGAAGCAGAGTCACAAGGCATAAAACGAGAAGTTTCCACATTCTACAAAAGACTACAAGATTGCTGACTTAATTGGGTGCGTAACAAATGGCTATACCACTGCCAACAAGAAGACATCAAAAAGGAAGGAGAAAATAGCGATTAAAACATCTCATGACAACCCTTTGAATTTGGAAACTGGCTCCAGATATACCTGGACAGGCCTTGATACAAGTGCAGGGAGCTAGCCATGTGGTTCCATTAATATTCCAATCATTGTGGCCCAGCAAGGGCAACCATGCCACTAACTAATTTGTTGAATTTCAGGAGAATTTAAATATAGGAAGAACTGGAAGAACACTGGACTTGGAGTCAGATAGACCTGCATTCAAATCTCAATTGTTGTCCCTATTTGATGGACAATATTATAAAATCTTTTACCATCCTTGTACTGTAATTCCGCAATGTTTTCATCTGGAAATTTAATGACTTTAATACCTACTGCACAAGGTCCCAGTAAAGATTAAATGTGAGGAAAAACACCGGAAAAGTTCTTAGTAAATGATCAGGTACAGTGGGGCGTGGTGGCTTACTCCTGTAATCCCAGAACTTTGGGAGGCCAAGGCAGGTGGATCACGAGGTGAAGAGATCGAGACCATCCTGACCAACATGGTGAAACCCCATCTCCACTAAAAATACAAAAATTAGCTGGGCATGGTGGTGCGCATCTGTAGGCCCAGCTACTTGGGAGGCTGAGGCTGGAGAATCGCTTGAACCCAGGAGGCAGAGATTGCAGTGAGCCAAGATTGCACCACTGCACTCCAGCCTGGCGACAGCGAGACTCCATCTCAAATAAATAAATAAATAAATAAAAATAAATGATCAGGTACAATACAAATACAAACATAGTTCGAATTCAAATACAAAAATAACTTGAATCATTATTATTATTAGCTAGTAATATCATCCATTATCCCTGAGAAAATCTCTACTCCTATCCACTCTGAGGTAACGTTGTTTTTCTGTATTTAGGCCATCCAGGGAGAAAAATTTTTGCTGTTGATGATAAACAGAATCTGCAAAATGCTACATGCAGAACTATTTCGTTGGGTTGATATATAAAACACTAAAGGAAATAAACCAAGGCACACAGCACACACATGAACATATGGCTGAATATGGCCTTTAGTAGGTATCAGAAACAAAATTAGCAACTTGTAGCACTTCAGCTAAGCTTCCTAGCAACAGAAATACATAAATAACAAATACTTATGATGATTATCCCTAAAAGTCACTGGAATATTAGCATGTGATATTGGTCCCTCCAAGTGTTCTCTAGCTCAAGGCAATTGGCATTTTTCAATTACTTAGGTAATAAAGTATTTGATGTTTAAACCTGCCAAACATCGAGGACGAGGCATGAATGATACTTTGGCAGTTTAAAGTATTGGCCTCCTTCCTTTCCAGAAGGAAATCAATCATTGAATCACCACTACTCCAAACTCAGAATCGCCCAACATAGCAATGTGGGTTTTCCTTCTAAAGTTCTGTGCCTGTCCCTGTTAAACAGGTCTGGAGAAGATGCTGGTAGTCATTTTGAGCATCGCACAGTAACTGAAAGGAGCTGACAGGCTCAGAGGCTGGGCAGAGCTTACGATTGTGCTTGTCTGTGTGGCTGACCACATGGGGGATGCTCTCGGCACTGTTTGCTTTATTAGCCCGCATATAACTTCTTGGGAGACACAGCCAATTTGGTAAGATGTGGGAGAAATCTGTACTTTAAAGTTTCCTGGAACACTGGGTATCAAAGGAATGAGACGTCTCCTGGCCTTTCATGTTGCAAACTAGATGGAGAGACACAGCTTAGCAGAACAGCTAAAGCTTAGGATCAACTTTTACAGTAACATGGAAACCACATGACAGATTGTATAGGCGCCTGCATAACTTCTGACTCACTCCCCAGGTGCTTCTGTTCTCTATAGCTACACAGAGCCATGTTGAGGAGACAAGACCAGAGCAGTATTATTCCACTTGGTGAAACTGGTCATATTTAGTCATACACTTATGAGGGAGGACAACAGCAGAATTAGAGGCAGTGTCTGAGTTTACTCTGCCTTTGTGCAGGTAAAATGTGACTCAGATACCAGAGGGTGAATGTGTGGACCCTTACACTTTATTATTTATTCTCTTGCAGTGTTTGCTTTTATTTATTTATTTATTTATTTAATGAAACTAAGTCTCGCTCTGTCGCCCAGGCTGGATTTTGCGGTGGTGCAATCTCAGCTCACTGCAGCCTCCGCCTCCCGGATTTAAGCGATTCTCCTGCCTCAGCCTCCTGAGTAGCTGCACAGGCGCCCGCCACCACTCCCGGCTAATTTTTGTATTTTCAGTAGAGACGGGGTTTCACCACGTTAGCCAGGCTGGTCTCGAACTCCTGACAACGTGATCCATCCACCTCGGCCTCCCAAAGTGCTGGGATTACAGGTGTGAGCCATCGCACCCAGCCCTGTTTGCTTATTTTTTTAAAAAGCATTTATGCATTAAATTGAACTAATATTAAATACAGTGTAGATTTCTGGGCTAACCTCATATATACTGAATCAGGAATTGTGATGAAAGGCCTGGGAATCTAAACTTTCAGCAACCTCAAGGGATCCTTAAACCCACTCATGTTAAATATGGTGGCCCTGCTGATCCATCCTCAACAACCACATCCCTGAACAGATCTGAAGATCATCCCTACCAACTGGGGAAACTGATGAAGTGGAAAAGGAAAAGTTAAAAGACAATGAAAAGAGCTCAGGTAAAACTATCTTCTTGGCATATTTGAGGCCACTATTAAGTGGCATAGAACGTTTTGCTTCTGAAGGTGGAAACCATTCAGATGCCTTCCACAACTCAATATTTTCTTTTCCTCTCAACCCTCCCCCAAGTAATAACACTGAATAGAGTTCACCTTTCCAGGTCTCTTCCTGTCCAACCACTCACCTGTTAAGATTTAAAGCATGGTAGCAGATCTCCTGAATAGAATCTCTTGGGGTGAAGAGGTGAGATCCATCACGATTTTAAAGAATCACTGACCTTTTTTTTTTTTTCTTAGAACTAGAAGAGTCCTTAGATATTATCAAAATATTTACAAGACAAAGATAAGTCATCGATGCAAATGAATTAATACTTTTACAACTTGAAAAAAAATGTATAACATTTTACATCATGCTTGAATCAAGGGGGAAGAAAGAGTATGCTGTAGAGTGTGAATTCAGGTGACTCCTGGCAACTGCATGTTTAATTCAAATAGAGCAAGAGAGAAAGTGCTGCCTCTTTTCTGGACAGGGAACGCTGCCTGAATGAGAAGAGTTTTAGCTGACATTTCAGAGGTGGAACCTGGACTGTCAGAAGCATGTGTTGGTAAGGACAGAGAGGGAGAAGGGGTGCTATTCTGGGGACAAATTAGTTTAGGAGAAGGCTCAGAAGAGAGATTCACCAATTGGGTAAACCTTGAGTCTATCAAAAGAGGAAGGATGAGGAATAATGGGAGAATGTCAGAAAGACAAAGGAAACTCTTGTTCCTAATCTGTGCGTAGAACACTGGAAGGATGAGCACAGAGGAAGCCATCGTTGCTTCATTCATTCCTCCACTCTTCATTCAATAAACGTCTAGTGGGAGAGCATCCAGGGATGAATGATACTTAGTTGGCACCTATAAGGACCTTGCAGGCTCGTGGGCCAGCCAGAAAAATAATGAGAGACATTTTCATTATGGTGGGACAAGGGCTATGATGAATAGTTGAGGGGCACATGGGTGAAGTATAAATGCAGACAGAACATGTTAGGGAAAGCTTTCCAGATAACATGGCACTTCCCAGGGCTTGAAGAGAAACAATGAACAGAGATCTGAACCCCAGGGGGAGCTACCCGGCAAGTCAAGTTCCCACGAAGAAGCCCGAGACTGAAATGATCTTTGCTCATGCACCCCAAATGGAAGTAAATGTATCAGATGTTGAGTCTTTGCCCTCTCCACCTTGAACACCCCATCCACACAACACAACATGCCAGGCTTTGGAATGAAACCAGCAGTGTACACTCAGCCAAAGTGACTGATGTTGCTTTCCGGGTATTTGTAGCTGAAGGTATGCCTACTCCTTTCCCATACAAACAGAGGAACTCAGCTGGCATCAAGACTCAGCCTCAAAGCATCCAGCCAAGCAGAAGGCCTACCTGGCTGCCGCACACGCCCTGCAAAATGGCACACAGGTGCTATCATCCAGCTAGCAGCTTCAGCCGTGTAACCAACTCCAGAGTGTTGACAGCTGCAGTAAAACTCACTTGGAGTTCAACATAATTAAGCAAAATGATTAGTACCGAAGAGAAGCTGGCAACAAAGAACTTTGGTTTCTGAGGCAAAATTATAGGATCCCAGGATATTAGAGCTGGAAGGAGGTCTTACAGATCACAGCCAGCCACCTCCATTTCACAGATGAGAAAGTCAGGCCAAGAGAGGTGAACTGAAGGGCTGAGGATGACAGAAGAAGCTACACAGTATCAGGGTAAGAGTGAGGACTCTGAGATCGGTCACACTGGGGTTTGCAACCCAAGTTTGGAACTCACTGACTTCAGGACAGCACCTTGGTCTCTCTAAGCCTCAGTTTCCTTTCTGAAGTTTGTGTTGCTATGAGGATTAATTGAAGGTTATTGCAGGGCCTGTTGCCCATGGCCAGTATATAACGTTACTATGGAGAGTCAGAACACGGGGTCCATGGCCTTGCTTCACCATGTATGAGCTGTGTTTCCCTGGGTCTCAGTTCTTGTACTTATGAAATGGAAATAAAGATGCTAGTACCTGCCCTAATTATTTGCCAGGATAGGTGGAAGGCTTGTGGGTGAGAGCTGTGTACACTTCTAAGCAAGTTTTTGTTATTACTATTCCCATTATGGCAAAAACACGTTCTGGGTCTTTCTACTGGTAAGTGGCAGGGCCAAGACAGGACACATGCAGTGAAGAAAAAAGACCAGGGACATTTTCTCCCAGGCAACTGATGGACTGCAATGTTTGGACTCACCCAGTATGGTTCAGAAGGTCTGATGGGTCAGTGATGAGCTCAGGCGGGAGAAGAAATCTGCAGTGTATTCAATGCCAAAGGGTCTCATTTCTGGGTGGGAGGGACAGCGGGGATGGGGTGAAGCAGGGGTGGGCAGCAGGAAGGAGAGGAAAGAACCTGGGGAAATCAAACCACCTGCCTGGGTTTCACTCTGAGTTTTCAGATTCATTAAAAAGAAAGAAAATACACACACACACACACACACACACACACACACAAAAGCACAAAGCAAAACCTCAGTTTGGTCAATCCACAAAAAATGAAAGACAGGGCTGCAAAAAGTGCTGAGAATGGGATTGCTCGACTTTTCACAGCTTCAGCTGGCTTACAATACCCTCAGCTTGGTGCTTCTCCCGAATCCACATCTCAAACGCTCTAATTAGATTGTGCAGCCGAAAGAAGGCCCGGTGCCCTTGGAAATAAGTGATTGCTTACTTGCCACAGGAATGTTCTGTGCTTTCATAGGCTTCATCTTTTTTTTTTTTTTTCCTGGGGGCTTGGGAATGAATTGGGCAATTTCTTAGGTGTCTGCTCCACAGAAAGACGTTGAGCTTACATTTGGTTTCTCTTTTTACCTAGGTTCTTGCCTCTGCCTGAAATACTCTTGGTCTGGCTTCCTTACTTGCTCACCTGCTCACCTCTAAGACCCAGTTCAGGGCTCCCACAGGATCCATCCACCTAAATCCTTACCAGGGGTGCCTGTGGAATGGTTACTGTTTACCTGTCTTCCCACCAAGAGATGATCCCCTAAGGACAATGGCTTTGTCGTCTTCATCTGTTCACCTTTGTGTTCCCTATATTTGGCATGGCGCTTTGCACCTGGGGCCTTGCAACTCAAAGTGTGGCTTATGGCTTAGCAGCATCAGCCTCACCTGGGACCTTGGGACCTTGGGACCTTGGGACCTTGTGAGAAGTACAGAGATCTCGAGCTCCACCCCAGACTTACTGAATCTGAATTTTCTTTGCCTTTTTTTTTTTTTTTTTTGAGACAGGGTCTTGCTCTGTCATCCAGGCTGGAGTGCAGTGGCACAATCATAGCTCATTGCAGTCTCTTCGTGGGACTGCCCAAGAGATTGTCCCATCTCAGCCTGGTGAGACTATAGCAACACGACACCCGGGTTTTTTTTCTTTCTTTCTTTCTTTCTTTCTTTTTTTTTTTTTTTTAGAGATGGGGGTCTCACTTTCTTGTCTAGGCTGTAAATTTTCAGTTTAACAAGTTTCTTATGTGATTTGTGGCCACACTGAAGACTCACCAGAACAGGGTGGGGTGGGGAATACTTAATCAATATTTGTGGAATTTACCCGATGAAATCCAGTTATTCCTGCTGAATTTCTCTCTCCTCCAGGAGGACATAGCAAACGAGCTGAGGAAGGTGAATGCTGCAACCCTCTCTCCTCAGCCCTGCAGCCGATCCCTGACATAAACTCCTTGAAGTTCAGTGGCCTCTTTCCATGCACCTACCACCTACACCTGCTGCTTTCAAAGAAACCACAACCTGGACCGGGAACAGAACTGGACGTGCCAAAATGCCTGAGGACACTTCATCGAATGTGGCTGGCTTGATGGGAAGCTGGCATGACTAGAAATGTCAGGAGTCTTCCCTCTCGAGGTTTCAAGCTTTGTGTTTCTGACTCAATGGTCCGGATTGAGATCAGATGAGTCAAGTTCAGATGACCATGCAAACCTTTAGATGGGGCCTAAAACCAAATCTGTGTTCTCAAACCATTCCAAATGTGTTCATCACCAGTTATAGTTTACCATACCACCCAATCCAAGAGAGTGCAGTCATTTCTCTAATAGCAGATGCATAATTTTCTCATCAATGGAAAATCTAAGTGTACATCACAAGGTCAAAAGTTGCGAGAAACTTGACACCTTCGAGATTGTGCCAAACCTCAAGCT
Organism: Homo sapiens; assembly: GCF_000001405.40. Taxonomy (NCBI): domain Eukaryota; kingdom Metazoa; phylum Chordata; class Mammalia; order Primates; family Hominidae; genus Homo; species Homo sapiens. Next base: position 60,860,411 of record NC_000015.10, read on the forward strand.
TGCAGTAATAAGGGCTCTCAGTCAAACCTTCTGAGAATGAAGTGTATTTGACCCAACGTTTAGCATAAGCAAGCACGTACTATGCTGTCCCTTTACGATGGCTGAATTCTTGGCTAGACTATGAAGGAACACAACAGCCTAAGCAAAGCCTATATAAAACATCAACCCACGGTCATGGCCCAATGAGATATAGAGATATTGTTGAAATCCAAGAAAGTGAAACAAAAATCCTGAGCCTTATTCGCTAAATTCCCTTAATTGTGACACACTAAACAAGTAACAGTCATTAGTTCTAGTATCATGTAAGTACAACATTCTAAAATGGCTACTACAGATATCAAAAGCATTAATTCAATGTACACTTACTGGGCACCCACTGTGTGCTAGGGGAAGTGTGCTAGGGTAATGGAGATTCACCATGGAACTTCCTTTTATTTTCCCTCACTGCCTTTCTCTTTTCAAATATTTAATGACCATCCACTGCGTCCCAGAAGTTGCCAGGCCTGGGGCAGGAGATTCTCTCTCCTTAAGGCCCCTGTGTCCCAGCTGGGAGTGACAGATACATCAACCAATAAATAACATGGTGGGAAAAGTCCATTAATAATGATGTGCACACAGTCCTTAGGGGTATCCTTGACCATCATGCTCCAGCTTAGATCTCTGAAAACGACCTTTTGGCTGTTACTGAGGATGTCAGCAATAAAACTGGATCCTAAAGAAACCATTCATGATGATATATCCTTATTGGAATTGACAATGCATGAGGAAATCACACATGTAGGTCCCAACTGATAAAGCATTATCCATCCATTAAGTTAGACAGGAGAGGTGGCTTAATGTCAATAACATATCTCAGAAAAAAAATGTGCTTATCTCTTGATTTTTGTAGATCAAATCCCACTAGAGGAATTGGGTATGTTTGTAGACCCAACCACTTACATTGATAAGGCAGTTTTCAAAGTGCTTTTATAAGTATTTGCTCATTGGGTCCTCAGAGTAACCCTGGAGGTAGCTGGTGGCTCACCAGTGTGGCATGGTTGTGATGAGGACTACTGTACCATGCTCTTCGTCAAGCAAAAGGCAGACAGTCACTCTCCACCTTTTTATAGATAGATTGACTGATTGATTGAGATGAGTCTCACTATGTTGCCCAGGCTGGTCTTCAACTCCTGGGCTCAAGTGATCTCTCTGCCTTAGCCTCACGAGTACCTGAGACTACAGGTGCGAGCCACCATGCCTGGCTCATTCTTCATTTTAAAAGCATAATAAATACTCTTTAAAAATTCCAAGGAACGAGATGTCCCTCTAAACTGCCTTCTTCCTCTTCGTGTAATTTGACATTAAGTGTCCTGGTGTGTTAAGCTTGCCTCTATTTAAATAGCCCTGCAGAAGGCCATACCACTCAGGCTTAAGGGGACAGAAGGTACTCTGTCCTGGAAGCATCATGACACTAAAAGTTCATTAAGATCTCTATCCCAGCTATTACACTCCTAAGGTCACTGGGCTCTCCTCAATAGGTATATTAAGCAGCAGCCTCAAAAACAGTCCTCAGTTTTAGGATGCAAGGAAAATAATTCACGAAGGTGATCAACTTTAAGTTCAAATTATATTCACTCTAGATTTTATCATGGCTCCTGCCCATGAATATACCATCTTCCATTCACATCTAAGGCAACTAGTTCAGGGTGAGAGGAAATGGGCACTTTATGAACATCTGCTATATACAAATCTTTACCCACCTTTTTCCTCCTTTAGAATTTTTCTAACTCAGTGGACTCTCCATGATTCAAAGGAAGTCCTTGATTTTCACTCCTTCTCACAAGGTTACCTCTTACAGGTAACAGTACCCTCTTGCCTGCAAAGGTCAGGACAAGAGGATAGAGGAAAAAGCTAAGGGAATCTCAGAACCGTTTATGTGCTAAAATTCTTAGCTTAGATGTATAGATGGACAAGGAAAAGTGGGCAAGAGAAAGTAAAACTAAAATTTAGGCAAGGAAGCCAATTACCCAGTAAAGAGGGAGGCTAGCATCCTAGCATGAGAGTATCAGACCAGACTATCTCAGACCCTTAGTCTTGTGGATCAAGGCACTGATGGAGGGCACTGTAGAAAAGTGTTGAAAGCAATATGGCAGACACTACTGGATTGGCAAATTGCATCCGCTCCTACCAAAGGATCACACTCCCAGAAGCTAAAGGAAAGAAATGGAGAGTGGGAGGTGTATTTTGGGTAAAAAAGAAAAAGAAGCGCTTGTATGAATTTTCATGTTATTTCAGTGAAGTCATAATAGAACAGCTTCCCTTCCCAGAGCTTGCCCAGAACAGCTATTTAAAGGGGGAGTGAGAACTGTACAAGCTTTGACTAGATTCTGAGGTCGGAGCCTTAATTAGAGTCACAATTGTATTGTACATCTATTTGTGTAACTGTTCAATTAGGAGTGTAATAGCTGGGACAGAGATCTTAATGAGCTTTTAGTGTCATGATGCTTCAAGACTGCCCTTTTTTGGTTGTTGTTATTATTAAGCTTTCATATAGGGGCTTTTCCTCTCTGCTGTCCAACTGTGTGGTTCTCCCTTCAGGCAGGTTGAAATGCAAGACTGAGTCTTGCTATATCTAAACTTGGGCATTAAAAATGGGCTGTCTTCCCCTTATCATCTTCATGATTAGCTTGTAAACAGTTTCTTGGGTCTATCCTGTTATCAACAAAAACTCTAGGAATACTGGAATATTAGGGCCAATCTTTTACAGTTGAGATAATTGAGATTCAGAAAGATGAAGTGAACTACTGGACACAGCACAGATAGTGACAGAGCCTGGGCTTGCACATTAGTGTTCTGACCTTTCAGGAACAAAACAATCACAATGCCTGTACATGTCATAATAAGGTCATTCTAACACTACAATGTACACCAGTACCCAAACTGGATCATTCATTTAAAAAAAATTCATTCCCGAAGACATAGTTTTTGTGGTCTTAATAGGTATTTTACTTAATTTTCCTCTGCCTTTCACTACTTAGACTTGGGTACAATTAAAGATGATATTTATATTTTGTGTTATATAGAATGAACAGCACTCAAACACATTCTTATTTAAGCAAATCTGGCCTACGAAAAGCTGTATTCATGAACCCTCACCAAATAAATGGTGAGGATGGTTTTTTGTTTTGGCTTTAGAAAATGATTCTCTGCCTTAATTCCCTCACATGTAAAATAGGCATAATACTGCCATCTACCTTACAGGATTGTTGGGAAGATTAAATGAAGTAATGCAGTTAAACTGTTTAGTAGACTGTTTCGCAGAGCTTCAAACTCAGTCAATACTAGCTGCTTTTGTTCTTATTCTTTTCATTATCACAAAAGGGTGGCCAGAAGATTATGCATGCCAACTGTCAGAATCTTTTTTTTTTTTTTTTTGAGACAGAGTCTCGCTCTGTCGCCCAGGCTGGAGTGCAGTGGCACCATCTCAGCTCACTGCAACCTCCGCCTCCCAGGTTCAAGCAATTCTTCTTCCTCAGCCTCCCAAGAAGCTGAGACTACAGGTGCGTGCCACTGTGCCCAGCTAGTTTTTGTATTTTTAGTAGAGAGGGAATTTCACCATATTGGCCAGGCTGGTCTTGAACTCCTGACCTCGTGATCCGCCTGCCACAGTCTCCCAAAGTGCTGGGATTATAGGCGTAAGCCACTGTGCCCAGCCCTCAGAATCATTTTTTATATTTTGTAGGAGGAGGCGGACAACTGGGGTGGCATGGTGGGGGTGGTTTAAGTGTTAATATTTTGAGATGATTAAAAAGGAAGAGAAAATGAATGTCAGAGCTTGTGAAAATGACTGTTGAGACAAAACAATTACTCTGTTATAAATTAATAATGCAATTAACTTATGATATGTTATTGAGTGCTTGAAGAATGGATAGCCCTCAAATATTCTTTTTAAAACCCATTTATTGCCCAAGATAAACTTAAGGGTAGTGTCACATTTTGAAAAATGTTATTTTATTGGCCATAATTTTTCACAGTTTCGATGGGGACTTAGTGACAGCCCAACACAGCAAACGTCCTTTCATGTTACCATCCTTGTTTTTTTTTTTTCTTTCTTCTAAAGCTAAATTGTCCTGGGACACTCCAAATGTGATTTATTTGTCCCAAGGCCAGTAGAAGTTTCCATGTAGGTGAAAATGGATGTTTGGCTAGTTGAAGAGAAACGGAAATGAGTTCTGCAAGCTGACTTACCCAGTGGAAATGGGTAAGTAACTCAGGAACATTATATCACTGTACATTCTGACTATAAGGAATTCTGGATAATTCATGTCCCTTATAGATACATATGAACTTACACATGATCTATCAGGAAGGAAGAAGACAGGAGCCCCATGAAGAGGGTGGGCATCTCAGTGCCAGGCCTTTGTGCTATGTGCTTTATTTACTCACTTAGTAATTGCAACGGTCTAGTGAAGCTTTAGGTTCCAAAGTCACAGAGCACCAAGTAACACTACCACTGGGATTTGTTCCACATTTGGTATTGCTAGTATTGTGGAGACTTTGTTTTACCTTGCCTCTTCCTTTGGGGAACAGTAGTAGGCATCCACTTTTACAAGAAAGTTGATGCTGTGAAGAGGAAATAAGAGGCCAGATAAATTCAAGGTAAAATTAATGAAGATATGTTTAGATCCTGGTTCTCCCATTGCCTGGTCCAACGTTCTTTCCACCACATTCCAGTCCTTAGGGATGAGGTAGAAAGAGAAAGATGTTTGATAGACCTGATAAACCCTGAACAGGGCTCCCTGTCAGAGAACTTGGGTTCCAGTCTAGTCTGTGAATTTCACTGCCTGAAACCTGGCTCTTTACTTCCTCACACCTGTTTCCTCATCTATCAAATGGAGAAGTTGGTCTAGAAGATCTCCAAGGTCCATTTCAGATCTAACACTCTATTATTCTATTATCTTTGTGCTCTGGTAAGTAGAAGCATATAGCCCTGGGCTTATTAATATTAACTGGGGCAAACAAGTGAAATTAGTTTATGAAAATAGAGCTGTGGTTTTTGCTTGGAGCCAAATCTGCCTTATGAGACTCACTTTAAGCATTGGTAATGGGATTGCTGATGGCTCCTTGGCCAGAACCTCAATGCCCTGCTGTTACACTTTCCAGGTGGTGCCAAGGGTGAGCGTCCTCTGTAGACACATGAAACTGAGGCATTACACAGTTTAAGTGAAAGGAATAAATCAAATCAGTTACATTCAGCCTGACTCATCTTTTGTCTATCTTTTCTCAATGCTTGTTCAGTCCAGCTCAGTACGAAGGCCAACCCTTCCTGGAAACAGCCCCTTCCAGTCCCAGCCTGCATTGAATGGGTTGCTTCACCCAACCACAGAGAGTTCCTACTCTCTACACTCATACCATTTATATTTTGGGACTCAGGCCTGTCTATATGTCTCAATAGCTGAGAGCTATAATGAAGATCGTTGTGTCAGGGGTAATGCTTTACGCCTTTGTTCAGGGGAGAGATGGGATATTAAAATTTTTTGGCCTAGACAACTTATCTTCTTTTATTTATATATTTTTACATGTGATATTTTGATACAAACATACAATATATAGTGATCAAAATGCATCACCCCAAGCATTTACCATTTTTCTGTGTTAGGAACATTCCATTTCTCCTCTTTTAGTTATTTTGAAATAGACAATAAATTATTATTAACTATAGTCACCCCTATTGTGCCAATGAACATTAGATCCTATTCCTTCTATCTAACTGTATTTTTGTACCCACTAACCATCTCCTCTTTATATCCACCTCCCCACTATTCTTCCCAGCCTCTGGTAGCCATTATTCTACTCTCCATCTGCATGAGTTCAAGATTTGTTTTAGCTCCCACATATTAAATATTTGTCTTTCTGCACCTGGCTTAGTTCACTCAACATAATGTCCTCCAGTTCCAAGTGATTTTGTGATTTATAACAAGACATATATATTTGGTCTTCATCCATTTCTGTTACTGAGTTCCTAAAACCCTTGGAATTTCAGAAGGGATAAGAGAATGAAGGCAAAATCATCATCTTTTATTGTTCATAACATACCCTTTTCAATTACACCTGCGTTTATATTAATGACTGCCCTTTAGGAAGCTCCTAAGCATGGGGGGCTGGTTGCCAGAGGAACAAACTGTGTGATTGGGACTCTCAGCCCCACTCTCCAGACCTCTAGGGAGGAGAGAGGGGCTGGAGTTTAAATTAGTCACCAGTGGCCAATCATGCCTACATGACAAAGCTGCCATAAAACCCAAAAGGACAGGGTTCAGGGAGATTCCAGGTTGCTGAAGACATAGAGGTGCTGGGAGGGTGGCATGCCCATCCCCTATATCTTGTCTTATGCATCTTTTCCATCTGGGTGTTCCTGAGTTGTATCTTATCTTTATCTATCTATCTATCTATCTATCTATCTATCTACCTACCTACCTATCTACCTATCTAGTTTCGAGTCAGAATCTTGCTCTGTCATCCAGGCTGGAGGGCAGTGGTGCGATCTTGGCTCACTGTAACCACTGCCTGCAGGGCTCAAGCGATTCTCATGCCTCAGCCTCCCGGGTAGCTGGGACTACAGCTGTGAGCCACCATGCCCGGCTAATTTTTGTATTTTTAGTAGAGACGGGGTTTCGCCATGTTTCCCAGGCTGGTCTTGAACTCCTGGGCTCAAGTGATCTGCCTGCCTAGACCTCCCAAAGTGCTACCACACTCAGCCTTTTTGTATAAACCTTTTTGTATCTATCTTTTAATATAAACCAGTAATTTAGTAAGAAAACTGTTGTCCTGAGTTCTTTGATCTGTTCTAGTAAGTGACTGAGCCTGAGGAGGGGTACTGGCAACTTCGAAATTATAGCTGATGGGTCAGAAATCACAGGTGACAACATGTAGATTGACATCTTAAGTGGGGGCAGTATTGTGCAACTGAGCCCTTAACTGTGGGATCTGATGCTATTTCCAGGTAGATAGTGTCAGAATTGAGTTTAATTGTAGAACACCCAGTTCGTGTGTGCCACAGAACTGAATTGTTATAGGAAAAGAAACGCACACATCAGGTGTCATATGTGAAGTACTGAGAGCAGTAGCAGAGAATCTTTCCTCTTAGGGTATACAGATGGGAGTTCATAGGCTATATATTTGACCTACATCGCCCTTTTTGCCAAGTTTATTTTAATGTTCTGCTCTTGGGTTCTAACAAAAGATGCATTAGAGCCTAAGTGTATCAATGTGCTAAATAATTAATATGTACTCTATAGAAATTTTGTTGAGGCTACAGCTACCAGGATCTCTTGATATTCTCTATATGAGATCCTATGAGAGAGTTTTCTCACAATTTCATTTCAAGAAAATGGCTACCCCGTTTTAATGATCATTTGATTAATAAGAACTGTGAATTGACAATGTCTCCCATTTTATTTTGGTTGCCAGGAAGTCCAGGTGAAATACGAAATAAATTGATGCACTCTTTCTTGTTCTATATAATATGTATAGTATATTTTTAATCTGGTCATGATAGTTTTCAATTTTACTTACACGTTCCCTGATCCTGCTTCTCTAATCTTATTTATATTTTGCCATTGTTATATATCAGAAGTTTCCTTCTATTTTCCCCAAATAGCTCTTAAAATAAGGTGAAATATATATAAATATACAAATAACACCCATAATTTGTTTAAATCTAAAATGCCTAGCATGGTGCCAGAATTTTAGCAGTTAATAACTACTGCTTGATTTATAGGGAGACACATTACACCTTATAGAGAAGCAGTTTCTGAGAGTCAGAGCTGGCTGGAGAAGAACTGCATGGTCCCTGTCACTGGAGGTATCTGTGAATAAACTAGATAAGCACTTTGGCTCACTTAGTTAAGCCTTGGTTTCTTTAACTGGAAAATGGCAGTAATAGCATCTCCCTTGGAGGTCACTGTGAATAGTATAAGTTGGTACATGTCAAGCTCTCAAGCTCTTAGCACAGGGACGCACATTTGAAAAAAGTAGCCTTTATTATTAATGAGGACTTGTGCATTGAAAGCTGTTTTATTAGCTTAAGTACACTTCCAAACCTGATGGTTCTGTTGGGCTAGCAAGCCCTCAGTCATCAGAAGAATCATAGACTTAGAGTCTTGGACCAACCCTGCCTGTGTGGCTACTGTGAGAGGGATTTAAACAGCAAATGAAGGACTGGATGGAGTGGCCTTTAGGCTTCCTTCCACCCCAAAGTGCGTGGTACTTCGGTTTCAAATCCATTCAATCAGAGATGGCATAAGGGTGTCTGGGAGAAAAAAAGGATTCTAATGTCATTTTATTAGAAGTTCTCCCTTCTTTCATGTGTAAATTTCACTTGGGACCTTATCAATTGGATATTAAAGCATTTTCCAGGGGGGAAAAACACTCAGTAAGAGGAAAATTGAGAAAATGTCTGAGAGCACTTCATGCCTTCCTGTCTATCTGTACATAAAGAGCTGCTTTCTTCACAGCTTTCCAAACACAGGTTGGCAACCTGATTATTTCCACTAGGCACAGACAGTACACTTCAAACAAGGAAGCTGACCAGAACCCATGCCAAACATGATGGATGTTCCAGTTTTATTACCATCAACCTCGGACCAAATCACTCCATCAGGCACCCCCCCATTATTTTACAGTATTTTGATGGTGGTATCCTTCAGAAAATGGGCCACATCTAGAAAAAAAGAACACATCAGTTCCTTATATTTTGGCTGAAATGACCATAAAATTGCAGGTCCTCAGTGCAGCCAAGGTAACCATTTTTTCCCACTGACCTTTGTGTAAGGAGTTGTCAGGCATCGGAATGTGGCTGAATTAATAGGTAGGACCTTTCCCAGAGATATAGAGGGCACAGGCTGATTTCGCGATTTTATAAACAGATTTTTCTTTTCCATGAAAATCCCAGGAGAGGCATCTATTACAGAGGTTGGGACTATAGGTGTCACCCAGGATAGGCCACAATATAGATTATCCAGGTGCACCTAACAGGAGAAGGAAAGGTGGTCTCAATAATGCAGGGCATGTTTCAGCTTAATACTCCTGAGTTCAGCCAACACTTTGGTTAGAAACATGATTGGAAATCTCCTGTTGATAGAGTCTCTCCAAATAGACTCTTATCAACAGGAGATTGCCAGTGGGCAGGTCTGATGGCACACAATGTCCGGCATGTGGCTGGTCACATAACAGGTATTATAAACATTTGTTAAAAGTTTAAATTTGCCCCAGCTGCTCTCAAGTAATGGCTTTTACAAGTCCCAGACTTCTAGGATCGAAAAATGCATAAGCAAGTGACCACTCCTCCCTCTCCCCTTGGAAAACCATAAAATGGACAAGAAAGTGCATAAGCGATGCTAGCCCTAAGGGGAACCCTGGCCCTGACACGTTTTGCCATCCTCCTCTTGTTCCCTCTGGCTTGGTAGTGCATCACTGTTCTTGCTTCCTCCACACTTATGTCCCAGAGGAGGCAACTTGACTAGGATACATTGCACCACTCAGAATTCATAATAAGATCAAGAAGAAGTGACTTGAGGACTCTTTGTGTTCCTTGGTTGCCTGCTTATCTTTTCTCACTGTGGTTGACTGGGCCAAGGAAAATATCTCCATGAAGTAGTCTTTGCAACAATGGTATAAGAATTCAATCAGACATGTGACTAGGCCTTCCTATTATTCATGATTTCAGTCATAAGTTAATGAGCAAAGCAAAGGTTATTCCGTTACTAGCCACAGCTGGCTACAGAAACCAGGTGCTATTTATTCAGAGAGTTATTGAACTGCTGGTATGTACCAAGTAGCATGCTAAGCACTGTGGGGCTAAATAAAGGTAAATTAAACAAACATCCTATGCACAAATTAATTATCCTATGAGGGGGAATTAGACACCTACTTACATGACCAGAGAGTGAAAAGTGCACCTAAGAGCTATGGACAGCGATTTTTGTGGATTTTAGAGGAGAAATAATGTCTTCTGTTTACAGGTATCTACCAGGTTGTACGGAAGAAGCAGTTCATATGTTGGTCCTTAATGGATAAAAGGCATCTGGACCCAAGGAGGTAGTGGAAGTGTAGTGAGAGTGGCGACAACCATAGAGCAGAGGGGCGTCTTTAGCTAGCAAATCTCTGTGGGAGGATACATTAGACTAAGAAGGCACTTGGCCATTAGATTACGTAGTCAGTTTATAACTGTATATGCGTGGTGACGCTCAAACACTTTTGCACAGAAACCTACTTGGCGTCACAAAAGCATAAGACCTCCTGGACAATGGCCTGCATCTTCCCCTCCCCACTAGGCATTCTGGTTGTCAGTGGTCACAGGCATTTTATGCTAGGCCAATCCTTACACTCACTAGTCACATATGGGTCACTTATAGAGTTGTTTAACTGTCCCTGTGACATAAGCATAGGCTTGCCTTTGGCAACTGTACAAGACAAGTCCTAATCCTATTGTTCTTTTCCAAGACAATCAATGTGATCTCTTGCCAAGAAGTATTTTTTAAACAACTTCTTAACTCTCTCAGTTACTCTACTAGTCCTGTTAGGAAGACACATCTGGTTTGCTAGACAATCAATGCAAGTTGGAGAGGTTTGATACTCATGCAAACACAGCCAGATCCTCTTTTCTCTAAAGTGAGAACTTTTAGAAATGTCTTCTTGAGCACATCGGAACAAGCATAGGAAACAGTAATTAGAATGGACTTCAATGCATAATAGATCAAGTCTACAAAAGGAGATGGGTTGGAGATATCCAGGCAACAGAAGTTTTGCACGTTTCCCCAAATTACATTCCTGTTGCAGATCAAAGATTTGTTTTTTTTTCAAACCACACCAAAGCACACATTTGGAAGCCAAACTCCTCAAGGGCACTTAAGAATTATTTGGTAACCTTCCTGTTAAATTTGGAGTTCAGCCTACAAGCTTAAGGTACACCAAATAATGGCCTTCACTGAATCGCTGCCCTAGCAAACAAAGCATTGTTTATGGGATTGGAGAATGACATCTACATGAGGTTTGAAGTATTTTATGTGCATAATGTGTTTCAAGGGCCATGGCCAGCCAGACTACCTGTAATGCCATTCATCAAATAAATATTAATATCACCAACTCAGATTTTGACTCTGTTCTTCCTTGTGGGAGCCATTCAACCTAGGAGGGTTGATGAGGGAAATATTGCCCCTATATTCCAAAGCTGAATGGTTTTTCCACTTAAGAAAGGAAGACTTTTCCCTTTTACAGAACTGGCTCTCTCTTGTCCAGTCTAGCCAGTTCAAAGCCTCTTATGTGAAGCAGTCAGCTTCCATATACCACAACCATGCATAATTAAAAACTTTAAGGATGTTAAATGCAATGCAGTATCCTGGATTGGATCCTGGAAACAGAAAAAGGACATTAGTGGAAAAAACTGGTAAAATCCAAATAAAGTCTGGACTTCAGTTAATAGTAATGTGCCAATGTTAACTTCTGAGTTTTGGCAAATGAATCATAGTTATGTAAGATGTTAACGTTGGGAGACACTGGGTAAAAGGTATGCAGAAACTCTCTGCATTATCTTTACAACTCTATGCAAATCTAGAAGTATTCCAAAGTAAACAGTTTATTGAAAGCTTTGTGGATGAACTTATGCTTTGGAGAATAACTCACTGGCAGCACTATGAGGTAATCTCTATCATAAAGCAAGTGTGCCATAGCAAAATAAGCACTAGTCTAAGAGGTAGGAGCTCCATGTCTGAGGCCCAGGTCTGTACATACTTTAAGCTGTGATCTTGCATTGGCCATTTAACCTCCTATAGAATGAATACCTACATCTGTGAGATGCTCTGCATCTCTCACAGGGGTATTAGGAAGATCATATACAAAGATGCTCTGGAGAATGCAATGAAAACCTAAAAGGATAACAAATTCAAAATGCGGTCTGAGCAAGACGTTGGGTATCTTGAGAAGGTACTGAGCCATGATCCGCAGGCAAACACAAAGGCAGCTATTGTTTGGTCTTCACTCTGGAAGTGGGACAGCAAGAGAAACTTTTCGAATGGTACCTGAGAGACCACACCAGGGTCTCTCAGGGTGCACAGAATTTAGCAACCAAGTATAAAGTAGGGCAGTGAGAACAGCAAAGGTTTTGCTTGACATCTCCTGGAATCTCTGAAACTGCAGAGTGGAATCACTTCTCTATTTAGTGACTGAAGAGGTGGTTCATACACAAGTAGAGGAATCTTGTGGTCCCAAATGCTAGCACCACCACTTGTTGATTTGTCATTCCAATTAACTAGTTCTTTCCTATGGCAGTACATCTGGTCTTTCTTGCACAATTCCCCAGCAACAACAATATCAAAGTCAACTCCTTAGCATGGTGCACAAGCTCCTTCACATCTGCCCCCCTGGCTCATCTCCTGCCCTCTCCTCCTTACCTCCAGCCATGCACCCCTATGTGCTGTTCCCCAAGTGCACATATTGTTTAGTGCTATGTGCTCTTCACCTGCTCTTCCTCCTCTCTGGGGTGCCCTTCCATATCTTCCTCACCAGCGCAATCCCTACTCAACTTTTCTTTTCCTAATTCCTTTATTTATGGGCTCCCTCTTTCCTCTTCTCCTTCTTCTTAGTTTTCGTTTTTCACATCAAGTGCCGAGTCTATAAAGATTCTTCCTTGATCTTTTGTCTCTCCCAGTCTCAGCTGGTGCCCAGAGCCTCTTGTGCCCAGAATTTCCCCTCACTCATGATTAAAGTGTTCATCTCAGATTCTGACTCTCTCCCTAACACATCCTCCACACCAGATTGTGGTCTTCTATGGGTAAAGGTCGTGTGTGTGTGTGTGTGTGTGTGTCTGTGTGTGTGTGTCTGTGTGTGTGTGTCTGTGTGTGTGTGTCTGTGTGTATGTGTGCAAGTTATCTTAATCATTTAGCCAAATATTCAGTACAAAGTAGGTTTTTGGAATAAATGAATGAATGAAGAAATGGTCATGCCCCTTAGATCTAGTCCAGAAGTATGCAGGTACTTCTAAAAGGCCAGGAAAACTTGGGATTACATGTTAAAAGTTACTTCTATTAGAATAATTTCCAAATACATTCATATAACTTGTGGTGAGCTCACACAGTTCGGTATTATTAACAATATGTACAGAGGATTTTGCAGAATGACATAATGAGAATGACAACATTTTATGACTAAGTACCAGATAATGAAAGAAAATTAATTAATTTGCTGCTAAGATAAATGACTATACAAACTTAGGGGGGAAAGCTGCCACAGCTATTATGTTTCTAAGTTTGTTCTGGAACATAAAGTAGCTTCCACCGAACAACTCCCACCTCCAATTAGCTGTATTAGCTCTATTAAGTTGAAATGCAGCTAGAGATATCCGGTTGCTGTTTTAAACATTCCCAAATAATACATTCTGGAGCAAAAAGCAAATTTTGTAGGTAATAGGTATAAAATATCAGGGAATTTATCTTTCACATAGTAATTCACAAAAGAAAGGGCAAATACAGAATGCAAAGCAGTCTGTCTATCCTTCTATAAATATTCGCCAATTAGCTTATAGGGAAGTCACTTAAAACAAATAACCTATTTTTTTCAATGTTAATATTAATTTTACCAAGCCAAGGCATGAAGTCCTGAAAAGGGAAGAAGAAAAACCTACAACAGCTGTTTATCTTAAATCTGGCATCCCTTTTTTGGCTCAAGAAAATTGATAAAAATCTCATTTTATAATAAGTTCACTGCTACATAAAATTTATACATTTGAACATTAAATTTTATGGGTTTTGTTTTTTTAGGGGAGTAGATTATACTAAAATTCTGCTTATTTGCAGACAAAGCTGTGTCCTTGAGGGTATAGTTGAAGTTAGAAACAAAATGTTTTATCTTATTTTTTTCAAAAATATGCATTAAGCATCAACTGTGTACCAGGCACTGTTCTAGGTGCTGGGAATACAGCAGTAAACAGAATAAACTTTCCAACTTTGTAGGGTTACATTCCAGCTTAGGGGTCAGTAAACTTCCATAAAGCATCAGCAGAGTAAATACTTTTAGTTTTGTGCCAAGACTGTCTTTTGTAAGACTCAACTCCACCATTGTGGTACAAAAGCAGCCACAGACAATACATGAAGGAATGAGTGTAGCTGTTTTCCAATTCAACTTTATTAATATAGAAAGGCATGGGGCCTGATTTAGCATGTAGGCCATTGTTTGCTAACTCCTATTCCAGCGTATAAAATTTCTTCTTAATCACCAAAACTAAGTAGGGGTATTACAGAATTTATGGAATGATTTACAGAATTATGGAAATTTAGAATTGAAAAAGGACATCCACTTATTTTAACCTTATTTTGCCCTGAGGAAGTAGGATCATGGTTAAAAGTGTGGCCTCTGGGGTCAGCCTGCTAGTGTACAAATTCTGCTTTTTCACTAACTATAGGTGATTTGGGGCAAGTTATTTAATCTTTCACTTTTTCTCATTGATAAAGGGAAGTGAATAATACTATCTACACCTCAGGAGACTCTTAGGATAATCCAGGTAAACATTTATCAGGGCATATGGCTCACAGGAAACTCACAACAAAATTCTAGCTATTCATCAGAACAACAACATCATCAATAACAACAATAATGGTAACAACAAAAACACTGAGACTCAGAGAGGTGACAGGACTTGCAGAGGGTCCCATAGCTAGACCCCTAGCTTACTGACCCCTAAGTTTACTGACCCCTAAGCTGGAATGTAATCCTACAAAGTTGGAAAGTTTATTCTGTTTACTGCTGTATTCCCAGCACCTAGAACAGTGCCTGGTACATAGTTGATGCTTAATGCATATTTTTGGGAAGAAAAAAAAAGATAAAACATTTTGTTTGTAACTTCAACTATGCCCTCAAGGACACAGCTTTGTCTGCAAATAAGCAGAATTTTAGTATAATCTACCCCCCTAAAAAACACAACCTATACAATTTAATGTTCAAATGTATAAATTTTATGTAGCAGTGAACTTACAAAATGTCCAGTGTCCAAGTCAGGATAGGAACTCAGGCTCTGTGCCTCCAAACTCAGGATCTCGTCTGATCACTTGCTGTCCTTCCTGGATCTCGGTAAATCATGTGATCCATGAGTAATAAATGTTGGGTATGTCTACAAATGGTAGCAGGACTCACTCAGTTCAATAACCCAGGGAATTCTAGAGCTGGGCTGTGCTGTATGGAGAGGCACTTCAGGGAAACAGACCTTTGAGAGTTAACCAAATCTTTCTGTTAGAAATGCGTCTGCTGTTGTCTCACCAGTATGTCCAACGGTGAGGATACCAGTGGAAATCACCCAGGAGAAGAATATGGTCATTCTGGGAATAAATTCTGCAGCCACGGTGGATGAGAGAAGCCAATCCCTCTAGATATGAATGAAGCCAGGCCTTCAGTAGTAGATTCACTGTGAACCAGAACGCCTGCAGGAGGTTAAACATTTTGGCTTTTTTCACCTGATGGCAGGCTCCAGTGGACCACCCAAGGAGCCCTTTGAAATACTACTTTTCATGGTAATTAGTTTCAAACTTTTGCTTGTTTCACTTAAGGATCAGGTTCTCTAAAAACTTCTTTGAAGACCACAGTTGTTCAGCGTATTTAATGTCAGTTATCCTCAAGGAAAGAGAAAAACCAGTTGTGAAAGCCAAGGGTTTTATACCACCACACCCTCCTGAAGTCCCACAGATTTCTACTATTTCAAGCAAATCAAGCCACAATAGCATAAATGTTCTTTCAAGGAACTTTAAGCTAATTAATTGTGAATGTGACAGCTAGAGTACAGAGAATTAATTTCCTGAGGTTGGTCTCCCCCAACCAAAAAATGTGTTTTTTCTGAAGTTGGCTTTCTGGGATCTGTCATTTGTGGGCTCTTACAGGAAGTGGGGGGGGGGGGGGGCGGCTAGGAGACCACCACACTTGTTGGAGGCACTCGGAATTCTTTTGACAAATGGTTTTGCTGACTTGAGACATCTGGGCCATATTGGGCTTAAATTTGATTTTAAAATCTTTCTTCTTAGGCCAAAGATAATGTTCTCTTTGGAAATCCTGGACATTACTGCACTGATGCCCATACACATCAACCTTCACACATTTTTTTAAAACCTTCGTTATCACATCAAGGCTATGTGATAAGAGTCACACAACTTCAGTCTGCCTGTGACACCATGGAGCACACTTGTTAGGATTTTTGCTGATTTTTTTTTTCTGAAATAATTTTTACATAGTACCATTTCCAGGTAATTTTCAAAGAGAAACTTCATCTAGTGTTTATGCTTCAATCATTCATATGCTTAATACAGGTGTATGGGACATCTTCTATGCCTGAGAGTTACCAGGTATCTGATATCATGAAAACATGGCTCTTTCCTCAAGGATTAGCGAGACAGACACCTAGTCACAATTCAAGATGCTAAGTGCTATTAAATTTTGTGGATATTGGACATATTTTCACTTGCGAGTGGGAGCTAAATGATGAGAACACATGGACACGTAGACGGGAACAACACACACTGGGGCCTTTCAGACGGTGGAGGGTGGGAAGAGGGAGAGGATCAGGAAAAATAACTAATGGGTACTGGGCTTAATACTTGGGTGATGAAATAATCTGTACATCAAACCCTATGACTTATGTAACAAACCTGTACTTGTACACCTGAACTTAAAATAAAAGTTAAAAAAATACTTTGCAGATATTGGGGAAGACTTTTTAGAAGAAAGGACATCTCAACACAAGGCTGAGAAGTAGTTCACCAAGGCAAGTAAATGAAAAGCACACATCAGGCTGAGCATGTATGAAATCCAGATGCAGACACAAGGACCTCTTAAGACCTAAGGTAGTATTACTGAACAATGAGAGCCTGGGTTTCTTTCACCTGCTTGGTGTGGTACACTCTTAACCTTCTCATCTACCTCTCTCTCCCCAGGACTTAGCATAGTGCCCGCTATTTTATAAGAATACAGTAATAATGTCAAATGAATGAATGAGTGTTCTTATGACTTTTTTTGGACACAAATGTTCTTCCCCTGAGATAGTAAGTTCTCTTAAGATAGGGTGTGAGGCTGTTTTGATGTAATCCAAAGATAACTTAACTGATTTAGTCTGTGAGTAAAAATGGCTGTTATTATTTTTAAAATCCAGGTAGATGTTATCACTCTCATTGTTATTATAACACTGTTATCATATCCAAGCATTTTTAATGAAAACACCAAAGTTTATCTTATAAATAACAAATCCATTACAAATCTAAGACTCTGTTAACAATCAAGATCCATATTAATGGAGTTCCTGACACTTCACTACTTCAGAAACACTAGTAAAATAAATTAATAAAATAAAGCAGTCAAAGCAATAAAAGAAAGATTTCACTTTCATGCTATGGAATTATGTCTGAATATACCCATAATTTCTTCCCTTTGCAGAAAATGGTAAAATTGCCTAAATCATAGATCAGTGGTGCTCTAATGAGACCCGATTTGGATTCACTTCTATTCAAGGCAAACTAACTGTATATAAATGCCTTGCTTTAAACATTCACAATATTATACAAACTATCCCACTGAAGTGAGTTTGGGCTGGGAAGAATAAGGTGTGGAGCCTAAATTAAGAATTTTCCAGCGTTGGCCAGGTGCGGTGGCTCACACCTGTAATCACTTTGGGAAGCCGAGGTGGGCGGATCACGAGGTCAGGAGATCGATGCCATCCTGGCTAACAAGGTGAAACCCTGCTTCTACTAAAAATACAAAAAAAAAAAAAAAAAAAAAAAATTAGCCAGGCGTAGTGGCGGGTGCCTGTAGTCCCAGCTACTCAGGAGGCTGAGGCAAGAGAATGGTGTGAACCTGGGAGGCGGAGCTTGCAGTGGGCCGAGATCGCGGCATTGCACTCCAGCCTGGGCGAAAGAGCAAGACTCTGTCTCAAAAAAAAAAAAAAAAAAAAAAAAAGAATTTTCCAGTGTTGAAGAGGACAGAGTGACTTTCTCCTCACCAGCCTCACCCTCTGGGGACACAGAGAGAGCTACAAATTTGGCATTACCCAGTTGGTGGCTGGTGTGACTCAGAAGGAGGGAAAATCATGGCTCAGAAACTGAAGATGTGTTGAAACCACCTTGATCTTTTGAGGCTCCGCCTGCTCGCCCTGCAGTGGCTGAGTCCTGACCATCCTCGGAGGTCACTCCTGCTCCCCGAAAGCTCTGCTCCTCTGCTAGTACTTTTTAGCCTTCTTAGCTAAATCTTAACTTACTATTATTGCTCAGACCTCTGTCTGAAAACCTGGGCCCTGCAGAAACAGCAGCTATTGGAAGCAATACTCCTGTAATGACCTACTGTGCTTATTTTTCTAGATGAAGTAAATTATGTCTGAGGTAATGTCTTGCAGGGCGTTAGTTAAGGAAAAATTCCCATTAGGTAGGCCTCCCTACAGGTATCCAGAATTGGTGTCTTATCCTACAATGTTTATTTTAATTTTCTTAATTTAAGCTCCTTGGATTCCAGACCTCCAGACCAATGGTGGATCTGCTCATCAAGTCCCAACTCAGCCACTCATCTGTCAGCTTGTGCAGGTTTTGGGACAGGATCTGAAGACCTCCATGACCTTTCTACTTCTTGGAGTCATGATTTCTAAAATCTGGCTGGCCTTGGTCTTCTTGGCTCCCAAGGTCCTCTACTGCCCAAGTTCCTGTGTCACAAAATCAACTGTTTCCATGTGTTAGAAGCATACACTTCATCTCCACTAGCAGCAGCAAAGAATGATCACCTATCTTTGTAGGGGAGCAGGGGTTTACTGCAATAGAGAACCAGGGTAGTGGGGCCCACAGTGCTGAGTTTCAATCTGTTGCTAGTTGCTAACCAGGTGGCCTTGGAGAAGTTTTTTTTTTCTTTTTTTAACCTTTCCAAACCTCAGTTTGTTCATCAGTAACATGAGAATAATTATGGTACCCATACATCATAGGACTGTTGGGTAGAGTATATGAGATAATATATTTAAGGCCTTTAACAGAGCCAGGCACACAATCAATGCTAGAAATATTAGCTGCTCGTGTTAGTGTTACTTAGAGAAGGGAAAGCAAATAACTGTCAAAAGTCAATAAAATGATACTCTAAACATCTAATTAAATGCAACCTGATAATCATAGAACTGTACATTTATATGATTTGAAGCATTTTTTCCTAAAAAGAACAGTTAGTTTCTATGATTAATTATTTAGATTACAGAAACAAATTTGAGGACTCACTTTAAGAGGACACGAAGTGGCACCAATGGAGATCAGACATCAGAGGATATCAATGAAATTTATGTCTAACAGGCTAATAGCACTGAGGGTTAGGGTCAGGGTTCTGGAAATTCCACTATATTAAAAGGAAATGCTTTTAAATGTTACTTAGCAGAAACAAATCATCTCCTTTTTCACCACTTGTAAAATAAGTCACAAACATAAACCTTCCACATCTACGTGCCATTTTAGAATGCTGTTTCCTTTAAAAGCACACATACAAGCCATCCCCATGAATGTGGGATTGTCACTGGGTCACTAGATAAAGGAGATTTATAAAATCTGTGACTGCATCTCCTGTAAGCATGCTTTGAAGAAGTAATCTACTCCTTCACCCATGGGTCCTAGAATATGGCCTGCACACAGACAAATGTGTAAGTTGTAAGGAGCAGTTCTGCCTCCCTCAGAGGCTGAAATTCTTTCTTCTGACCAATCACATCTCACCTTACTCTTTGGTTTCCAGGAACATTTAAGGATTAACTACTGGAAATCCTGTAGGTCTATAAGCCCATGTATTTCTATTCCCTCACCCACTCCTCACCCTGGCATTGGTTTGGCATCCACCTCTTCACTCTATCTTACTTTTGGTCCTAATTTCTCAACAATGATTTCTATTAGGTCAACCCTACTGTCACTTATGTAGGTCAAAAACCTTTGAATTTCACCAGGCACGGTGGCTCATGCCTATAATCCCAGCACTTTGGGAGGCCGAGGCGGGCAGATCACGAGGTCAGGAGATCGAGACCGTCCGGGCCAACACGGTGAAACCCCATCTCTACTAAAAATACAAAAATTAGCTGGGCGTGGTGGTGGGCACCTGTAATCCTAGCTACTCAGCAGGCTGAGGCAGGAGAATGGCTTGAACCCAGGAGGCGGAGGTTGCAGTGAGCCAAGATCATGCCACTGCACTCCAGCCTGGTGACAGAGAAAGACTGTCAAAAAAAAACCAATGAATTTCAACAACTTCATTTGATTCAACCTATTTTTCCCATTGTTAGTTTATGGATTTGTTGTAGGCCAGCTCAAAGCCTCCGGAAAAGGAGAAAATATATGCATATAGCAATAATCAGCAACAGACTGGTTTTTATAGATATTCAACATAACACAAAGAAATTAAATTTAATACGTGTCTGACCTGAGAAAGCCAGAAATAAAAAAATCCGCCGATGCATTTAACTTTTTTTCTTAGGGTATGCCTTGCTTTAAAGGTGAGGCAGGTACTAATCTACAAAACAAATCTTGCCACCTGACACCTCAGCCTCTATCTCTCACCCCTATTTTAACCTCAAGGCCTCTTCTGTAGACCCCATTATGGACTCCTCAATGGTTAGACAAATGCTGATCTAAACAAGGATTAATTAGAAGTGAGATGAAAACAATGCTCTGTACTCTGCCTTTTCCACACTGAGTCTTATGACTCCAAACTTCATCATGATCTTTGGACCCTTGCTGCACCTTTCTTATTGTCAGCCTCTGCTCTTGGACTGCACTTGTCTTTCTTCCCACTGCCACACCACACCCCTATGGCCTCCTAAGCTGCATGGCTCCTGCCATTCCCACATCTGGACACACTCAGCATGACTGTCTCTGCTGTTTCCAGCCCCACTAGAGAGAGACCCTCATCAGGCCAGGAGGCCCCAGACAGGCACCTCTGACCAGCCCTGCTGGGACCCAGTGCTGGCCCACCATTTCTCCCAAAGGGAGATTCAATATATTCAACTGTCCTGAAGTCTCTACTCTACATTGGATGAAACACCATTTTACCATGACTTAGAAAATCAGGATACGGCTTAAACTGCGAGGCTGGCCATTAGAGCTGAGGCTCAAAGCACATTTCAAAACCCAAAATGGCCACTCTGTCACTGTCATTTCATTTTTAGTAAACCTCTAGCCTTTCTTTTACCACCAAAAAACAAGAAGAGAGAGAGAGAGAGAGACAGAGAGAAAAGAGAGTGGGAGTAAAAGGGAAAGAGTTAGAAAACAGGGTGACTTTTTCTGAACAATGGTTGCATTAAAAAGTGTCCTTGAAGCAGAGAGACCACTCAAGAAGGAAATAACACCTCAAACCAGGGGGCCATTCACCAAAAAAGAGTTCACATTTGAAGCTCTTTGCAAAATGTTTTCGTGTGTCTGCTTTCCCTTGTTCATTACAAAACTGATGAAAAATAAAGATGATAAGTATGTTTATACAAAAAGAACCCATTCAATAATTCATCACCTTGTTGGCTTACAATATAACTACTCCAAAAGAAACGTGTTTTCCTACCCACTGACCATGAATGGATACCTGAGACTTAAATATGGCTCAGAGCATTGTCTTCCCGCGCACGTGTTGCGGAACTGTCCCCAGTATGCTGCCCGTGCTAGTTAACCCAGGTGGGGCTTCAGCCTTGATTTGCCCCACTGTTCTGTATCTTCCATCTCTTATGTCTCCCACTACAAAGCATGCTGGCGAACACCCAAAGTTTTGTTTCGTTGCAACCACTAAAATTCACTAGACACGGAATTATAGTATTTTTCAGCCTAGAATGGCATTCTCGATTAGGGGCAATTTTGTCCCCTAGGGTATATTTGGCAATGTTTGAAGACATTTGTGATTACGACAACTAGGAGGGGAGTATGCACTGACCTCTAATGGGCAGAGGTCAGGGATGTTGCTAAAAACATCCTACAACGCACCAGACAACCCTTCATGATAAAGAATGTTCTGGACCAAAATGTCAGTAGTGCTGAGATTGAGAAACTCTGGCCTAAGTGGAACACAGTAGTAAGCATCTGCTAGGCCAAAGCCTAGGGAGGGAAGGGATGACAGGATTTGCCTAGAACTACCCAGTTTGGAGGTGGTAGAGCTACATGCGGCACTCAGGTTAGGTAGTGCTATATATTTCCTCTACAGCATGTTTATTCTAAAAGGACTTACCCTTTAGATGGAGCTTAACTACACACACACACACACACACACACACACACACACAAACACACACACACGGTCTAGAAGGATACACACCTAGACGTAACTGGTGATTACTGCTGGACATAGGATTGTACTGATTTTCCCTCCTTGTTCTGATACGTTCAGCCAAGATTTGTTTGGTTTGTTACTTTTGTTTTGCTTTACAATAAGTACTTACTGATTTTATAAGCAGAAAGAATAAGAAACTATTTTTATTTTGAAAAACTATATAGGGAGGCCGAAGTGGGAGAATCACCTGAGGGTATGGGTTAGGAGTTCGAGACCAGCCTGGCCAACATGGTGAAAGCCCATCTCTACTAAAAATACAAAAATTAGCTGGTCTTGGTGGCAGGCGCCTGTAATCCCAGTTGCTCGGGAGGCTGAGGCAGGGGAATCACTTGAACCTGGGAGGTGGAAGCTGCAGTGAGCCGAGATCAAGCCATTGCATTCCCGCCTGGGCGACAGAGAGAGACATCGTCTCAAAAAAAAAAAAAAAAAAAAAGAAAGAGAGAGAGAGAGAGAGAGAGAGAGAGAAAGAAAGAAAACCTATATAAAATGCAGTTGAATTTAGCTTGATTAGTATTTATTGCCGGTGTGAGCACAGCAAGAACAGCATTACGAATCATAGGAAAAGGATGGATACGTGGTACAAATAGGGACTCTTTTGGAAAACTGACAACATGGATTCAGAGTATTAAATATCTAAAATATGGCTTAATAAATTATAGTTTGAACAAAATACATAAATTATATTAAAAAGTGTTTGTTTAACCCCAAATATATGCAAATGATGGAATGGTATGCAGCTGTTAAAGATCATGTTTTCCATTATTTCAGTGTTGATCTCCCCATTAAACTGAAGTCCATGAGGCCAGGGATCTTGCCTTTTCAATTCCTTCTGCATCCCTGGTATCCAAAGAAGTTCACACAGTAGGTATGTAATAATTATTGTTGAATGATTAAAATGAATAAATGAATATAGTTATCAGTGACAGTATTACAGATAATTAGAATCTTTTTATTTTTCTGTTAATATGTTTCTAAGATTCTCCAATAAGCATGTGCTACTTTTATAAATAGAAGATAGATTGTGTTGTTTGTGCAAAAAGTAAAGGAACAGAGAACTTAAGTAAAAAAGAAAAATGGAGTACAAAAGAGTATACGAAAGGGTGTTGAGTACTTGGAAAGCCCATTCCACGATGCAACTGAGGGATACCACGATGTGGCTACCATGGATTCCAAGTGTGGGTGTTATATTTAGCCAATTGACGGCCAGCACTCCTTTGTCAAACTGGTTTTCTCTTCCAGCATTCTTCTCTGATTTGAGCTTTTCTCCCACTGGTAACACCAAGAGCTAAAACAATGGAGAAGCTACAAATGAGATTCGTTGGTTATAGCCTCCAGTGGCCCCCACAGTATTGGAGGCATTGTGGCAGCCGTAGAGGCTGGAGGTGCTTTTCAACTGGATTGCGTCCGTGGCTGACAAATGGAATAAAAGAGCTATGCTGTGGTGCTCAAAATAGAACAGAAAAAAAAGGATCCCAAAGAGAGAAAGAGAGAGAGAGAGAGAAGGACAAGAAGAAGAAGAAAATGGCACAGACATGAGAGGCTAGCTTCTGGAACAACCTAAAAAGACCAATGTTAACCCAGACCCATGAATATGATTCTCACATCCTTTGTAGAATTTTTTTTTTTTTTCAAAAGTGCCTCTTTGGGACTGCAACCCTGAAAAATGTCATCTGCCCCTTTGCTGGAATGACTGGATACTTATGTCACCCAGTAGAAAAAAATGCCTGGTGATTTTATGTATATTTGACTACTTGTGGTTATCTGGGTGAGGTGACTGAAGAAACAAACAAATCTAAAAATATAAATCCACATTTGTGTATGGAGAGAGAGCAAAAGAATCTGAGGGAAAAAAATGAAAGAGGGATACAGGGAGAGAGACAGGGAGATGTGGACAGCCTGTATAACAGGGTGGGCCCCACAGTAACTGTCATGGGGTAGAGTTAGCAGTTACTGAAGTGGTCTGGAGTTTATTGACTCTATTAAGGTCCTATGTCAAAACCCATTCTCTCTTGCCTTCTTCATCCTCCCAAAATTTTGAGACAGTATGTCTTTACCAAGAGAAAAATCCTTTCCTCCTTCATTTAGAGCTATAGCTCAAGATGAAAACAGCCCCCAAAAGAGCACGGGAGTCATGAGTGTCTCATTGTTTTTGAGCACAGGTTTTAGGGACATAGAGCAAGGATGATTGGGAATCCAGGGGTGAGAGGAAGGTGGGAGTCACTGAAGAAATAACAGGCCCCCAAAACAAATGTTGTTTTCCTTATAGTTTGGACCATAGCAAGCCCTGTCTTTAAAAGCAGCCTTTTCATTTCATTCTATGAAAACAGCGTATATGACTGTAGTAGATTAAAGATGGCTATATATTTTTAACGCTCCCTTCAGTGAGAAGTGGGTTTGATTTCCACTGGCCTTGAATCTGGACTGGTCTATAATACTTTGACAAATGGAGTACAGTGGAAGTGATGCCATGCCCATCTGGGGCTCAGCCTATAAGAGAACTCATAGCTTCCATCATGTTCTCTTGTAGCCCTGATCTTCCACATGAGAAGTCCAAGTACTCTGTAGTAGAACCATGTAGAGATAACCTCAGAAAACATGGAGTGTGCAGTTGAACCCCAGACTTCCAGCTATCCCCGCCAGGTTACCAGATATACAAGTATTGCCATCTTGGACCCTTCAATGCAGCCTGGCTGCAGTTGAATACCAACAAGTGACTAACTGATGCTAGGCAGAACAGAAGAATTGCCCGGCCTAGCCCTGTCTGAATTCCTGACCCAAGAAACATTGTGAGATATAACAAAATGGTTGCGGCTTTGGCTACAGAATTCTGGAGTAGTGTGTTTTACAGTGATAGACAGTCTGGTCCAGGCAAGAGGATGACAATGTCTGTCTACTTTCAATGTTGGCTTTGAATCAAAAATATATATATTTCAGATAGATTGATCGACAGAACACAACTTGTAGTCTTTACGGAATGCAGTACAATGCAAATGCTATCTGTTTGTCTCAGCTCAAATCTTAGCCTTGCCATTTGCTCTGCAGTATATAACTTTGGCAAACTACTAACTTCTTTGAGCCTCAACTTCCTCATGTGTAAAACAAGGATAACAACATCGCCTTGATGGAATGGTTGGAATTGTTATATGAGAAAGCAAATGTGAAGCACGGAGCTCAGGAAGAGGTATGCACAGCCTGTGCTCCCTGAGCCATCTTGTCTGTGTTAACGTCCAATTTTCAAATCTCAGGCAGCTTCTCTGCTGCCTCATTTCCTGGTCACTCTGACTTTTCCTAGGGAATCACTTCCCCACTGTTTGTCTTGTTGACATTTCCACCTGACTGACTGTTAGACCTTCAGCAAATAGAGGGAATCTTTAAAAGAACCATATCTGGTATCCAAAAAGTCCTTCAGTAGCCGAGAAATTGTTATATGTGGAGATTACATTTCCCCCAAAAAATCAAAGAACATGGTTTTTTGTAAGGCAGATGATCTAAACACCCATAATATGAACATTAAAAAAAGATCAAAAAGGAGTTCTAAGAATTGAGATGGTAAAAATAAGAAGAAGGTTCTAACTCGGGATTTCATTGAAGTGACTGGACAAAGGTGAGCAGGTGGGGGCCCCTGGATATGTTTCCCATCTCCCGGTCCTACAGCTCACGAGGGCTGAGGCAGTAACTAGGTCTCAAAGGCTATACACTGCAACGTCTTTTGCCTACAACCAAGTGCAGAAATATCCCACATGAAAGGCCCGAATTCCATGCCTGGGTGGTTCCTGTGGAACCTTTCCTTGCACTTGCTTATGTTAAACTCCTTATAGAGTCAGCCTGCCAAGGGCCACCCAGTGACAACCATGGATTTCAATTCCTCCTGCAAAATATGTCAACCCATTTGTTTACTCAATATAGACAGCTTTGATCTCCATCTGAGGTGGGTCTAACAGTAATGAAAAAAGCAACTTTTCTTGCATGAACAATTGTAAGGATGATGAAAGAATCAAAACTCTGAAAGAACAACTTAAGACATTACTAAAAGGACTGTGTCCTCATCCAGGTTTTGCAATGGGGATATTTTATAGTTACAACTTCTTCCTAGACAACTGAGTCTCTTTCTGAAATGGTTTGGCACACCTGCTAAGAGTTTGTGGCATAGACTTGGAAGACGACTGAGAACTTTGAAATCCCTACCCTTTGCAAGGACCAGAGGACACTCACAGTTGCCACATTTAAACCCAACAGCCCACTAGAACAACATCATCTGTGACTATCTCTCTTGTGCTCCTCGGCTACAAGATCGTCTTCCTTGATAGTTTTTATTGCTTCTGGAAGTAATTTGCTCTTCATCAGGTTATCACAAATGAAAACCAAGACAGGTCAGAAGAAAGCTGGTTTCTTTGTCAGCAAGATACTTCCCTTTGCCAGAGCTGAGAGAGAGAGAGAGAGAGAGAGAGAGAAAGAGAGTTGGAATTAGAAAAAAAAGGTTTCAAGTCCCTTTCTGACATCTGTGATCTTTTAACAGAGATGTAAAGCATATGAGATTTGCAACCTTTCGTGGCCTGAAGGGATCCAGTTATTTGGCCAGTTGTGAAGACATACTCTTGTTCCTACTCGCACTGTCATGCTGTCATGGGGGGTGCATGCCTGTTTCATGATAAAAGGAAGCTAAACGGGGTTTTTACAGGAATTTCAGAAGTCTCAGAATTATTGAAGACTCATACCAGGATGAAACCCAAGTTCTTCAAACCAAAGTGAAGCAAATGTGACATATTATAGACAAGAGCAGAGGAGCAGGAAAAAAGAGAAAGAAATGACAAAGAAGCAGGCGGACAAAATGAATAGAAAAAATGGCATCTTTTCATGCATGTTGGATGTAACTCCTGGGACATCAATTTCTTTCTATGTGGTTATACGTTTGTGGTTATCTGGCATTTGGACGGGCAGAATGGAGGGAAGGGGTTTTTAAAAATAACACACTCTCTTTGGCACAGGACAGTACTAGCATGAAAGGTTGGTTGTTTCAAAGGACTAATCCAGGCTGTGGGGCTGTCCTGCAAACACTGAATCATGACCTTGCCGGCACCTTGCTGCGGGCATCAGCAGGAGAAGATGTGGAGGTTCCAGCAATGGTATTTTGTTCCACGTAAGACCAACCACATTCCCTCACATCTTACTTCACATAGTCTAGCACTCCGTGTAGTCCAATATGGGCATCTAAGAAGCAGCAGGCTAATAAGAGCCCAAAATGAAGAAAATCTAAAAATTAGCCCGACTTAGCCAATAAAAAGTAGCTCCAGCTAACCCAGCCAGACCTTTAGGAAAGAGCCCAGGAATGTCTCTCTCCATCCTTGCCCTGCTCCTCAACCTCCCCTTTGTTCACCAGGCTCCCAACTTCTCTTCTTGCCTCATACATACCCGGCCACGGATGCTGTCTCATCGGCTGGATGCACAACACTTCAATGGAGCAAGGGCTTTCTGTTGTTGTTGTACCTGCCCTCTTGCTCCATCAACTCCAGGTGAGTATTTCAGGGTCCCAGCTGGGCGGTCCCAAACCTGTCAGGTCTGACCACCCCACCTCAGGGGACACTGGCCTGACCTGAAGCAAGGGCAGCAGGCCGGTGGGCCTGGTCACCAGTCCCTGGAGAAGGTGTTTCTACCACGTTCTTTCAGTGTGGTGAAAAGGACATGTGTGACTGCTAAGGAAGAGTTACACGGGGCGAAAAGGGAGAGGAAGATTACGTGTGCACATGCACACACACACACACGCACATATACACATGCAAACACACACATGCACACACACTCACACTGGCAGTCTTCTCAGGGAAAGCAGCTGATGATTATGTTTCCGCAACTGAATAAAATCAAACCCAAACCACAAGGTAACAGCAGCCGTCTGGCCCGCCCTACACATGGCATTTCTGGGCACAGTGTGGCCGATTATATCCTTCACCCCACGGCTCTTTCAGCCCTGCTGTTTCTGGCTCTCCTCAAGATTCTCTTTCCCTTTAAGACATCAGGCGGGTGCTTGTCAATTAGAGTGAGCCACAGAGAAAAGCTGTCTGTGCTCCGGGAGAGGTGAACCTGCTTCTTGATGAGCCCTTCCTGAGCCAGCAGCAGGCCTCCTGCCCAGAGAGGATGGGGCAGAGAGATCTGACCAGGGGATGGGCAGAGGGAGCCTCACACATTCCTGCTCCGAGGAGTGGGAGGGTGGGTGGGGGCAGAGTAGGAGCCTTCACCACAGAAAAACAATGCGTCTTCAATTGTACAGAAAGCCACTGGGATCAGAAGCTGCTCACGCTGTTTAAGAGATGCTTAAGGAAAATGGGGCCACCTCAGAGGCACCTCTCCTGACCCTTCTCTGCCACCCCTAGCCCCGTGCTCAGGGTCAGAGTTGCCTCCCATGTCG
The DNA here is from genome assembly GCF_000001405.40 of Homo sapiens. Taxonomy (NCBI): domain Eukaryota; kingdom Metazoa; phylum Chordata; class Mammalia; order Primates; family Hominidae; genus Homo; species Homo sapiens. The sequence goes on from NC_000015.10 coordinate 60,889,122, forward strand.
CACACTTATGCTGTGTTTACCCCACCATTATCCTGGCTGCAGCTGACTACTTCCCACTTGAACTCCTCGAGGCAGGAACTAGATTCTCCGGTGCTGTGCTTCCAGCACCACGCCCAGCACAGAGAGGGGGTTCACTCAGTGCTTGTGCAGGGACTGACATCTAGGCAAGCTTCCTTTTGCAGAAGAGGAAACTGGTGCTTAGAGAGAAAGACAGGGAAGGGAGTGGGGCGGGGGGGGGGGGAAGGAAATCCCCCCTTCTGGAATACCAGGGAGCATGTTAGGCATCTGGCACTCATTTGTTCATTTTCCTCTCAGAACCCTGGTGAATTAGGCTTCACTGCCTTGCAGACTTCCTAGTGAGTGCTGGGACATCCATTTATTTGGGAGAGAACAAAATGCACAGTTGTACGAAGGCAAAGGCTGAACAGTTGGGGAGAGCGACAGTTGGAGAGAAGAGCATCAGAGGCCTCGTGGTAAACCCAAATGAGAGCTGCGCTGTGCGGGAGGATGCCTGGGAGGCACCAACGCCCCTGGAACTTAGATCTGGACGGCCTTGCAGGCAAAGATACACAATCCCCCAAGTTAAAATGTTGAAGGGCAACAGACCAAAACCAGAACAACACAGTTTCCACCTCCTCCCCTTCACCTTTGCCCATTAGCAGAGTTAAATTTATACCAGAGTTAAATTTCTATGTATGAACTCACACACAGAAACCAATATACACTACTACTGGAAACGTAAATCACGACAACTCTTTTGGATGGCAACGGACGTAAAAATAACTTAAAAATATAAAATTACTTGTGACACACAAAGAATAAGAGATTATTAAACAGCATCAAGTAATTTACCAACTTTGAAAATAGAGGAAAATGTATCATACATGTATTCATGTACTCTGGAAGGTTCCCTACTGAAGGCAGGCCCTATTGGGATTCTCGGAGTCTATCTTTCCATAGTAAGTCCCTGAGAGGTCAGTCTTATTTTCCAACTGTCTGTGCTATGCACATACGCATCCCTGCATTATATCAGTACTTGTTTAAAGTCACCTGATGTTAGAGCTGAAGGCACTTTCACGTTCATTTATTCTAACCCCCTTATTTTACATGTGGGAAAATTGAGAGCTCAATGAGTTTTCTCAAAGTTAATAGTGGAGGTGGGCCTGGAATACTGCATATTTCTAAAATGTCCCATTTAATGCCACTCTTTAACTACAGACCACACCAACTCCCCTCAGAAGAATGCAGAGTACACAAATTTTAAATAAGGAAGAAATTGCATGCTTGCCATCAAGAGGTGTACCGCTTGTCCACACCATCTCCGCTTTTCTCTTGCCCTGGAGGCCCCAGCAGCAGAATTGTGAGCACATAAGCCATGGAGGATGACGCTGCAGAGGAGAACATGTGTTCCTGTGGTCAGGGCATCAGCCACCATCGCCCTGCTCGGGGCCCCTTCACAGGGACCAGAGAGAGCAGTGGTGATAAGGTGTGGCCGAGGGCTGTTCTTTTTGAGCCATTTTAGTGATGCTGGGATGTTATGCAAGGAAATCTTTGGCATTGCAGTAATCCTGGATTATAAATAATTTAGCATATTTCTTTGTAAACTACAGGCCAGAATCCTTGCAAATAAGAAAGGATTAACTTTTTTAGAAGTACTTGCTCTTGAGACTTTAAGTTCAAGGCAGAACAATGCTTGCCGTGGTAATTCCATCTATTTTAAGATCACAAAACCATACCAAGTTGAAACCAGAGCAGAAGATATTAATGCAGTGCTCTCTCTGAAGTGCCCAATAGTGGGACGAGAAAGCTTTCAAAGGGAATTAAGTAGACAGAGAAAGCTCCCTGTTCATGTCCAAATCACAAGGAGGCGGTTGAATAGGATTCACAGTTCTCCGTGGGAAGGACCCACACCACAGCTAATGTTCAAAACAGGGGGGAGATGTCTCGGGAAGATCAAGGACCCAGAATTCTGCTGTTAGAATCAGCTGCCTGCCCATTAGAGCCTCAAAAGGACCCTCTACCATGTGTGAGCCAATATGATCCTGCAAATGAGCCCATTTTTCTTTTTGTAACTGGCCCAAACTTTATCTGAAGGAAGCTATCATTATGTAATATTTCCAAAGCACCCTTGATGTAAACTTCAGATCTGATATGTGGGTGTATGTATGTGCACGTGTGTGTGCACATTGTGTGTGTGCATGTGTGCAGTGGGAGAGGGTGAAAGGACAGTGAAGAGTCAGATGTACATACAAAGTAGAAAAACTGATGGGCAGCTGCTCTGAATATGCAGGAACAGAGAAGCATCCAGGGAGACCCTCAGGTCAAGGCTCAGCACCTGGTACATCACACAGACAACAGACATGAGAGGAACAATATTAGCTCCAGAGAAAGTCAGAGCCAGGAACAGTAGAAAAGTCAAACGGGCAGCAAGAGGCGGAGACTCAGAAACCATCAGCCAGTAAGTAGGTGGCAAGGCAGGAGCATGAAGGACTAGGACAGTCAGTGAACTGCACCTCCAAAGCCTGTCCTCCAGTGCCCACTCTGCTCTGGCCTCTGCCTGTCTTTCCAGCCTCATTTCCTGCTATTCTGCACGTGACTCCTTTACTCCACCAAATTATAAATGCAGCCTACTCTGCATGCTGTTTTCTAGCTTCTTGCCTTTGGTTTTTCTGTTCTTTGTGCTAAGAAAATCCTTTCTCCCTTCTCCTAAAAATGTATCTCATTTTCCAAGATTTAGCTTTATGGTCACCACCTCCTGGATGCCTTCGTGGCTTCCCAAACCTTCAGGGTGGGTTTAGTACCACTCCTACAAGCTCTGATGATATCCTGCCAATTTCCAAGCTTCCTCCAGAGGAAGATGACAAAGAAGTTTCATCTTTGAAAAAAGCTCTAAAAGAATTATGGCTGTTTGGGGCAGGCGCTGTGTTGAGAATGATTCCGAGGCCTCATCCAGAATCCATTGGAAAGACTGCTGCAGTCAGTTACGGATGCCTGCCATTTAAGGGTGTGGGTTGAAGTTTAGCCATTCCTGATGAGGCCAACATCTTCATTAGGCAGATGAGGAACCTGAGGCTGAAAGATGGGAAATGTCTTGCCCAGTGTTACAAGGCTGGGTAACAGCACACTCAGATGGGAATTCCAGGTCTTGGGATTCCTAAGCAAGTACTCCATTTAAATAAGATTCCCAAAGATTCTAAATCAGGAATATTGAAACTCTTAACATATTTTTAACTTTTTTCCAGGGGAGGAGGGTAATTATATAGTGAAGGAGCCAGTGAAGAAAAACTTGAAGCTTTTGCAATTTTGCTTGGACACCCACTCACCTGAACCCGTGCCTTATAATGTTTTCTCCTGCCCAATCCTCCAAAAGTCCCCGCCTTTATGCTTTTTTTAAGTGAGCACTGTTGGTACCACCAGTGTCTATTACCCAGGTTAAAATGAAGACTTCGAGCTGACTCTCCTGGTATCACGAATATACAATCAAAATGGATGCCTACACCTCTGTGTCAGGGAGGAAAAGTAGAGGAAGTTGAAGCCACATTTTCCAACTTCATCCTTCACTCCTTTCACTCTAGAGGCTGAAACTTTCCTGACAAAGAAATATACTTAGAATGGTTTCATTAGATAAACTCTTTCCCTATCTTACTGTGAAAGAAATTTTCCAGTGAGTTCCAGTTTCAGGAGGTTACAAGGTAAAAGGGAAGGAAAGTTGGCATGCTCCCAGCCTGACAAGAAGTTGTCGCATTACCATCAACGTCACATAAATTTAGCTGGAACATTGTATCGGATTCTATAATGCACTTACGTGAGCGATTAAATGGTGAGAAACACATAACATTTGCCTGCCCACCCCCTCTCCCATTGCCCTCTGCTTCTGTGAGAGTTTGGGATTCCAGATGAATTCTCCCAGCATAGCCTCAGCTTGCAAAGGGTCATCTAACCTTTAAACTTCAGTCCAGCAAAGCAGGCTGAAGAGAATCACCAGGGTGTCTCCTGTTATGTGCTTCAACATCAAATGACCTGCTTCACCAGGTTACCCAAGGACACAGCTTTAACCAAAGACGTGAGAATTCCCAGAACTGGAAGCAAATGCGAGCTGATGATAGGACATTCCCCAAACCCCCTATCCCAGGATGCTCGACAGCAATTAGCAGCCATGTCCTTTGTCTCACCTCTGCTGTGTTTTTAGCAGCTCAGTTTCTTCAGAGGACAAGGCAAGAGGGAATGGGATTAGGCTGGGAGCCCTGGTTTTCTGAGGGAAGAGGGTATTAAACATTTTCACTTGGAGTTTCTCTGAAGGGTTTCTGGACAACCAAACCCCCACTCCGCGCCCCTGCGAAACTCCTCCTGGCACCGCCCCTGACTTTCTATTTTCTTTAGGTGCCCACCTTACCCCTCCACAAGAAATCAAAGCAGCCGATATGCAGTTGAATTTCCAAGTGGATTCCCTTGTATCCGTTTGTCTGGGTGTGTGTGTGCGTTTTTAAAAAATTTTAAATTTTGGATAAGCCCTCTAAGAAAGAGGCTCCTAAGGGAAGCGGGGGCTGAAGGAAGGAAGAAGTGGGTGACAAAGCCTCTAGGGGATCAATAAATTCAGCTGCTCCTGTGTACAAGGGAAAGGGCAGTGCAGGAAGTCAGATGGGAGAAGAAATCCCAGAATCATAAATTTTAAAGCTGAAAGGATCTTTAGAGGTCACCTGGCATAACCTCCTCTATTTTATAAATGAGGAAACTAAAAGTCAGACATGCTAATGGACCTGCCCAAGGTTATGTAACTTGGCGATGAGAAAAGGAGGACCCAAACCCAGACCTCTCAAGTCCCCCGTCTGGGCCCCTTCATCTTCTTCACAGCCCACAGCAGCTGCCACCTCGGCCGAGCAGCCATTTTGATCGCTAAAGTGCCTGCGGGAAGACCCCATGGCCACCCCCAGACACTTCCCATGATGCTCCTCTCCTCAGAAGCCATGTCATGGCTGCCCACTCTCTCCAAAGACTCCCTCCACCAGCCACGCGGCCCGCAGCCAGAGTTCTTCCTGTGAAGAGCCCTCACCGCTTCACTTTTCATGTGAAGCTGGCAAAGCCGCTTCAGCGATCATTTTTTAACACGGCAGCTCCCTGACAAGAGGATTAAAGCAGGCGGCTTTCAAAAAAGTATCAAGAATAATTTAAAATGCAATATGTTAATGCTTGTCCAGAGTTTTGTACACTTTCGTGAAAAGTCATCAATCTCTCCCGCCACACCCTAACGACAATCCTGTAACTGGCACGGTTTTCTGACATTAAGAAAAAAAATTAGTGAACACAGTCATAAATTAGGACCAGAAATCTAACTGCAGATGAGGCTTCCGAAGTCACAAAGCAAAATTGGGCGTGGAGTCACAAACTGAGGATTTTTGAGGGAGTAGGTGGTGGTTATTTTGGAGGATGGTTCCTTTGCAGTCTTCCTGGAGGATGAGCAAGGGGATCAGAAAACTGCCGCTCAAACGCTAGTGTGCATCAGAATCACCTGGAGAGTTTGTGAAAACAGATTGCTGGGCTCCCTCCCTAGACTTTCGGATTCTGCAGGTCTGGGGCAAGGCCTGAGAATATGCATTTCTAGCCCGTTCCCAGGAGCTGATGCTGCTGGCCTGGGGAACCATGCTTTGGGAACCTCTGGGCTGAAAAGACACTTTCAGGCCTCCCCTGGTGTTAGGACTTCATTAAAATATAGAAGCAAGAATGTGAGGTGCAACTTAAACATCCCTGCACAGGCACAGCAGGCAAGGCGGGAAATGAAATCGCACAGACACCAGGGCTCGTTGTCACAGCATCAAGCAGTGCCTTAAACAGGGAGGTAAGCAGTGTCCTCCAGCTGCTACAGTCACCTCTAAAAAGATAATGCCTGTCTGAGCAAAAGCAAACACCAGAAGGCTTAAAAACCTGGGGTCCCCATGCTCATTCCTCAAGCAGTTGAAAATGTCTTTATGTAGAGAAAGTACAGTGTAAATAGAAAGTAGGGCTCGATTTCCACAAGCTCAAGTCAAAGAATCTGCTGAGAAGGCCACATGACACACGAAATGAAATCCAGGTCCTTGATACCCGGAGGCAAGAAAGCGAACGGAAGATCCAAGACAATCCAAAGGTTCCTGAATTTTTACAGTAAACAGTTCTGATCGGATTCACTTGCTATTTTGGAACATACATGAAGTTCATTAACTGGCATATATTAAAAAAGAAAAAAAATTAGAAAAAGAAGGAGCTGGAGGACAAATCAGTAATTGCTCCTTTAGAGCAAACCAAAGTTACTGAGAAAATCTCCTATAAAGGCTCTGTCAAAACAAGTCACTTAAGGATTAGTGAGAGCTAAATCCTCCGTCAGAGAGATTTTTCTCAACAGTCGTAAATGGGTTTTAGTATCGGAAAATCTTAGAAAATATACTTCTCCTGCCTCCACCCCCCTCTCAGAATGGCTCTTTCAATAGCTCGGCATCTTGTGGGAGCAAAGTATTTCCTTAGGCTGAGGCTTTTTATTTAAAAAATAAAATAAAATAAACTCTGTCATTCATGGCAAAGTCAGTGGCTGGAAATAACTCTTTACAGGCATGGAGTGCATGTTTCAGAGGCTTGCCCATACAACGCACATGGTCAAGTACAGCCTCAGCAATTTCCCTCCTAACAATTAGTATAAGCTAGGGCTCTTACTTTGACTTTTTACCTTGTTCCACTTTTGGTCTCATTTTCTTAAGGCTTCACTGCTCAATTTGTTCATTTTGTGAGGCAAGAGCTTAAAGTTCATCCTTAAAAATGCGTAGGTGATTCAGTTTTTTAATTAGAAAAAAGCAAACACTGCTAATCCCAAACCTTTTCAATGGCAGCCTTCTAGGGGCACACATTTTAATTCCATCAGTAAAGGGTCATCTTATTCATTCTCTTATAATCATCGTGGGGGCCCATGCTGTATTTCTGGGCAGTCTCTGGAGTCTATGACACTGGATTACAGAGGTCTGTCTCTGTTCATTAAGTGAGTGTTCAGAGAAGACCCACTCATCCTGTAAGCACTTAGAGACACTCTGGAGTTTGATCCTCATGAGAGGGTGACCTGGCAAGGCCATTTTCCTGTCTGCTTCCCAGATGGTCACACTCTTCTTTGTCTGCCCAAGCCTTTTTTATCTTATCAGTACTCAAAGCTAACGCATCTTAGACATCGTTGGTACCAATCAATGGAAAGCTAACACACTTGCACAACAGTCCATATGCGAATAAGCATTGATTTTACCCCCCTTGGTTATAGACTGCATTTCTAAACTTTCCATTTCCTCCATTAGACCCTTTAAAAACATCCATTTGTCAGACATAAATATTTCTCCTGATACCCACACAGGAAGTCTTAGTTACAGGCCTGGTTTTAGGCATTACTATACTAGGCCATTCCTTAGCATGTGTGACATGAGTGAGTAATCAGAAATCCCAACCCCAAAATATTTCCCTTCCCAATCTACCTTATACCCAAAATTTCACCACTGCAAAATCCTTAAGACACTTTCAAGTCCAGAAATACCCTTTTAATATTAAATTATTCTGAGAGGCAACCCATTAAGCCTGTTTAATTAGCAAGACTCTGGAGAATTTAGCTTTTTTTTTTTTTTTTTTTGGCTGCATAGCCAAGGGAATTTAGGGTTGGAATGACACAGGCCTGAGTGGAAATTCAAGAGCTGTCATTTCCTAGCACCATGAAGTTGGGCAAGTCACTTAACCTCTAAGAGGCTCAGCTCTATCACTTTATCTAAGTGGGGCCTGACACTTGGGTAGTACTCAATAAGAAAATTTCCTTTCTCATGAGGTGGCTGCTCAGGGAGAGATGGTCAGGACAGAATATCTACCCAAGGTTGAGAAGACAGAGGAGAAACCAGGGCACATCCTGGAGAAGGCAGCTTCAGGAGTGGGTCCTGGGGTCTGGGGTGGGGTGGGAGACGTTTTCGATGTTGTTTAATGGGCGGTAGTGGGACCAAGGAGAGTTCCAGTCACTTGGAAAACAGGACTGCAGAGTGGAGGCAAGAGCCATAGAAAAGAGAGAAAGCCCTAGAAGGGGCTAGGAGGGCCATCTTCTGCCACTTCACTCATCTGTGGATCACCAGGTCTACCCACAGTTTTACAAATTTCACTCCAGTTCTGCCCTAACTTATTACATATCAGGGCCTTTCACTCATTATCTCAAAAATGACATATAGAGATCTTTGCCTGTGGGGTTAATGAGTAATCAGGAGGTATCACATTAATCTCCATTTCACTCCAGAATAAGTTAAACAGTTGCCTCAAATCCTTCTCCTGTAGAGGAAGAGGGGTGTAAATACGAGGTAAATATGTAAAGAAAAGCATGAACCAATGACCTCAGTAATGGTTCCAGAGACCAGGACTCCCTATTCTGGGGGTGAGGATAAAAGTTTCCATGTCTGATTTACCCTTGCTCAGGGATGAACCCATGTTTCTGTATTCCACATCCACTGGATAGATGCCCTGCAGCTAAAGACATCTTTTTGAGCCCCCAAATTGAAGCCTTTGGATTTCCCTATGACATGTGAATTGTATTTATGTAGGTATTCTGATGAAATTGCACTTCCCTCAAAAAGATGAAACTTAAATGAAAGAGGATGAACCTGGAACATGTGCAGTGTGAAAATTTACACAGCGAAGGAGCTAAGTCTCAGCCATGATCAGTCTATTTTGAGCTTCCTGTTAAGCACCAAAGTGATGGAATAGGACAAAGAAAAATTGTACCCATAATAAATAGAGGATGACCCCTGTGAAAAGTAAAGATAGAGCCCATATTGGATTAGAAAAAGACTTGATATTTCCCTCCACCTTTACCTCCTTCTAAGTCTATCCAGGAGTAACAAAAATGATGAACATGGGATCTTAAGTAGTCAAAAAACTGTAAGATTAGGAAAGGAAGCTGTAATTGTTTAGAATCTACTATGTGCTAGGGATTTTAGGTGTACTGCCTCATGCAATAGATGAGATGAGAGCACAATGAAGAATACTTTTCTCCACTTTACAGGCCAAAGAAGCAGAGGCTCAGCTTGGCTCAACTGCATATCAGTAAATGACAGGAATAAGATTCAAACTGAGTTCTGATGACTCCAAAGAATGTGTGGGGCAGGGTCAGGATGGTCTTTAGGCTTTGGAGGCCTTCTCTTTACTGGAGGCACAGGCTTTGTTCTAGGTTGTAGGAAGAGAAGTAAATAAACTGGTAAATCTTTCTGTATAATTTTCTCAGGGTTGAAATGGTGGCAGGGGAGCTGGCCCCGGTGGCTCACAAATGCAATCCCAGAAACTCAGAAGGCTAAGGCAGGAAGATCGCTTTGAGAATAGCCTAGGCAACACAGTGAGACATTGTCTCTAAAAATAAATAAATAAATAAATAAATAAATAAATAAATAAATAAATTTAAATTAGTCAGGACTGGTGGTACACACCTATAGTCCCAGCTACCCTGGAGGCTGAGGCGGGAAGATCACTTGAGCCCAGGAGTTTGAGGCTGCAGTGAGCTATGATCATGCCACTGCATCAGCCTGGGTGACAGAGTGATACTCTAACTCTTAAAAAAAAAGAGAGAAATGGAGGCAGGAAAGGCAGAACTCTTCAGAAAACAAGGCAATGCATTCTGGCTTTTTTGGTTTTTGAGAAACATCACATAGGCTGGATGGTGAAGTGCTCTAAGAATATCTATTCAAAATGACTATGAAAAGGTTCTATCTAGCATACAGTTTTCAGGAAGCGGATATGAGGGCACAGGGGATGGGTTTGGGGTCAATGAATGCATGTTCTCAGGCTTACTAATAGATGAGACCATGGTAGATATTCCCTTGAGCTTCCAGAAAGCACCCAGCAAGTTAATGCATTCATGCCACTGTAAACTAGCATTTGAGTAAGGGGTGGTCCAAACACCCTACTTATGGAGGCAAAGAGCAGCAGCTCATCTGCAGACCACTAGGGGTTGTTCGCAATGCAACAGAAACCACGTCTTATCCTTGACAGGGCAGCCAATAGGTAATCATGTTTTACACATGTCATTTTCCAACTTCATCTTCTTTCATCCTTCTGTAGTATCTCCCAGGGAAGATCTCATAGAAGTAACTGCATATACCAGTTTCAAACACCCTCAATATGAAGAGCATGGAACTCTGCATTCAGCTACCTGGGCATGTCAAAAGCACATCATGCAATAAGCCAATGTTTAGTATATGGTCCAACATGGACGTGGTACCTTCACAGCTCTTATCTGATTGAAATGCATAGATGTGGATAGGAAATGACATGCTTACTAATTTTCTGAGAGGAAAAAGGGGAAATCCAGTATAGTGACTGAGTGAAAAGTTAGTAATAAAAGGTAAGTGACCCAGACAGGGAGTTTCCTGAGCAAGCATAACCCAGCAGTTTTTAGCCACACTTCTTTCATGGCTTTCTCTTCAAGTTAGGTTGACAGATATCTGATCCAATGCTTGGCCATCTACTGAAACCACCTCTTACCATTCCACCAGGTAAGGACGTCAGCAAAAAGCCTTTTCACCACAAGTAGCAACCTACTTTCCAAAACAACTCCCCGCACTTCAAACTAAACCAACGACTAAGTAAACCCAGATTAAATAGAGCTTTATCAGGATGGAGTTTGAGTAATCTCTAAATCAACAAATTCCAGGGAATGTGTGTACAGAATATCCATTATACAAATGTCAGACCACAAAGTCAAACTCTTTGTTGAGATGCTGTTAAGGCCTTCCCTAATACAGCCAATATAGCAGAGTGGGAGAAGCAGGGTCATGCTAGCTTCTATTCCAGAGCCTGTTTTTCCTTATGCAAAGGCCAGTAAAGCAAATTTTCTGCAGAATTATTTTAGTTGTTCCTAAAAAGAACAAGATAGCCTTTCCTCATTAGTCTGAATAGACAGCTCCTTTTCTGAGTTGCTTTAATTGCTGTGGGTTAAGCTTCACTATCACACATCCTCACAACCATAATACAACTGGCATCATTTGGCGCTTTTTGACTTGGTTAAGTACAAACTACAAAGTCCAAGATGGGAAAGGTCATTTATTGTCTGCCAGATGGGATGTTTCAAAAGGAAATGATTTAGTCACATCATTAGGAGAAAAGGGAAGAATTAAAATGTATGCTCACATACAGATTTCGGTACGCACACAAAATGATCAGCACAGGAAAACATAAACAGTAGCCCAACAGCACACAAGTTACAGCACACAAGTTACACAGACTTCCTTAAATGGTATCTTCTACATTGATGTTGAAAAATGTGGATTGCTATTTTAATACTGCTGTCATAACAGTCTAGTACAACTGGTAGCATGAGGCTGAATATGCCTCAGAGTCAGATAGAGCTGGGTCCAATACGGGACTCTTCACTTACTACTCATGTGTGTTTGGGGCATATATCTTATTTCCAAAACTGCCTTATAATCTATAAAATGAGGACCATATGGGCTGGGTGCAGTGGCTCACCCCTGTAATCCCAGCACTCTGGGAGGCCGAGGCGGGTGCATCATGAGGTCAAGAAATCGAGACCATCCTGGCCAACACGGTGAAACCCCGTCTCTACTAAAAATACAAAAATTAGCTGGGAGTGGTGGTGTGCGCCTGTAGTCCCAGCTACTCGGGAGGCTGAGGCAGGAGAATTGCTTGAACTAGGGAGGCAGAGGTTGCAGTGAGCTGAGATCGTGCCACTGCACTCCAGCTTGGGTGACAGAGGAAGACTCCATCTCAAAAAAAATAAAAAATAAAAAAAAATAGGACCATATGGCCTTCCTCCTAGGTTTTTGCATAGATATAATAAGGTTACATGTAAAGTATCTGCCCCTGACACATACTACTTCCTGAATATTATTCCTTTCCACCTCTCCTTAGGTGTGTGTGCATGTGTGTGCATATGTGTTTAGTATTGAAATTATGCCTATATGTAGAAGGCACACAATAAATACTTCTTGTCATTTACTCAGTAATGGACATTGATCATTTACCTTTTACACTAAGTGAGAAAGTCTTAAATGATCTTGATTCATGATTTTTTTTTTCTTTTTTTGAAATGGAATCTCACTCTTGTCGCCCAGGATGCAGTGCAGTGGTGCGATCTCAGCTCACTGCAACCACTCCCTCCTGGGTTCAAGCAATTCTCCTGCCTCAACCTCCTGAGTAGCTGGGATTAAAAACACCAGCCACCACACCCAGCTAATTTTTGTACTTTTAGTAGAGATGGGGTTTCGCCATGCTGGCCAGGCCAGTCTCGAACTCCTGACCTCAGGTGATCTGCCCACCTCGGCCTCCCAAAGTGTTGGGATTACAGGTGTGAGCCACCACGCCCGGCGATTCATGATGTTCCTAATGGTTCTGTCCATTTTTACAGCCCATCTCAGCTGAAAGAAATATCTAACAGTTCTGTTTATTTGTAAATTACACCCAAATAACTTAACAAGTATTTATGTCCTAACAACTTGATTTCTGAAAAAAAGAATACACATAAACTAAAAGAAAAATGAGTCCCATTCACTGTTAAATAATCGTAAGTGCTTAATAGTGAGATGCATGAGCCTGTTGGGCACTACGCAACTTCTCAAACTCTGGCATCAGGTTGGATGCCCTCACCCTTGTTTCCTGCTCCACACTGATTTTCACATGGTCCTGTTTTATAATACAGCAACTGACAAGAACTTAGCTTCTCAAAGGTATGACATCACTGAAAGAAAGTTATGCATTCCAGTAGTGAAACTGTGAACTACCTTGAGCTAGTAGTTCACACGGTGCCTGACAGATGTCAAGAATTGCTGTATTTTCCTCAACTATTTAAAATATTTCCTGGCACCCCTTTGAGGCCACTGCAATGTCCAGGGTGCCTCAGCTCACACCTTGGGAACCCGGAGGCTAATTAACCATAGTGAATCAGATTCATTTTCTATGCTACTACTGAAATATGAATTAGACAATATTATAGATAAAGCTGAATAATATGACTTGTTTTAATACAGTTCTAACTCGATTTTCTACTTCAATTCCATTCTTCAGCCATTGATATTTGGCTTTTTAAAAGCTGTCCTTGTAGTGTCATATGGTCACCAGATAAACTCTGCAGTGAAGGCTCTTTAGATTCAAATCTATGTTGAACTATTTCAATTTTATGATTTTTTTTTTTTAAAAAACAGAGAGTAACCCAAAGCTTACCAGGTGATCCTTCTTAGTAAAAGGGATTTGTGGGCTGTGGATCAGCTTCCCACTGATTCATCTGAGATGAAGACAGGACCCTCCATCCTGCAAAAATGGGTTTGAAAAAAGAAAGGAACTCTCCATTTACACGTGAGAATGGCTCAGCCCTAAGAATGCTGCTTGCAGGTTCACTGTTCTGCATTTAGAATCCAGGCCTAGAGAAGCAGCACGGCTTGCCTCTGCTGTGAATCAGACTCTATCTTGTGTTGTTTTAGAGTCATGTCTACATAGCTGAAAGATGATTTGGATCTTTTTCAAGAAGAGAGTGGTAAGGTGAGGTACAGTGAGGCAGAAGACAATGCTGGTCAATGCTTTAAAATCACTCTCTGAGAGGAAAACCCTTGGTTTCTACTCTCTGCTGATTTCTGTGTTAAAAATACTCCCACCGTGGTTGAACGAGGTCACTGAATTCAGAGTTAGGGAAAGAGGCACACAATCAGCTCTCACGAGCTGACTCTAGCCCTTCACTGGGCAGAACGCTTTTCTCCTCTTCTACAGCTGCCCACGGAATGCTCTGAATCTAGGGGCGTACTCCGCTGAAAGGAAGATTTATAAATGCTCACGTTTATTAGCTCCTAATTGAGGATATCTGCCAGACACAATAAATAAAGTTGAAAAACAGAGTGCTTTGGAGAGAAAGTAGGCTAATCCGAAGCTTTTTATTCAGGGGATGAATTCTGGTCTTCCTCTCTGTATATGGGACACTATCTTGACCTTTCTGGCTGAGTCTATTAGCTCAGAGGTGGCACTCCAGTGGTCAAGTCAACTGGCATTCATCAAGCACCAACCACAGGCTTGAAATTTATATTAGTTGTTTTGGAAGGTTCCAGGAGAAGACAATGTAGACTCCTGAGGAGGGGATGATGTAGGTGAGGAGAGAGGCTAATGGCACATGAAGCCTGCAAAACTGGGCTCTAGACTCTTCTCATTGCAGCTTCAGAGTAAATCAAGTAACACTGTCTGTCTTCCCAGAGGTACCCTTGGCAGAGACCAGCAGGATCTGTTGTTTCTACTGTTGGACGCGTTTATGGGCCCTATTGGCCGATTTGGCAAGCAGCTTTATATAAAATGTCTTCCGGAACCATCCTTTCCCCTGTGAGTCAGTCATCCTCAGAGTCCTAATTCTGTCCAGTTTGCATCAGGCCTCCTCAGTCTCTGTAGCCCAAAGCACACGATAGGGTACCAATGTTCAAGGCTCTGCTTTATTTTGAAATTCAGCTGGTGAAGCTATTATATTCTACCTTTCTCCAAGTAGTATGCAATGCAAAGTGGCAATTTTACACCGTGCTAGCCCAACATAAATTCACAGATGAGTGCACACCTTATTTGGAATAAAGAGAAACACAACAGTTATTAAAGGGGTGATTACCTTCCCAGGGACCATGAATTTAAAATTATGCAAAATCGGAGGTCGGTCTCTACAAGTTCACATAGTGATTTAAATGGGGGTAACAATGAATATAATATCTTCTAACATGTTAAAACTTCCACAGCAAACCTCTTATATAATGCTTTGTTGCTTCATTGATTTGATAAGTTTGTGGGGGTACATTTTGCATTCATATACGACGTATAAAGTATCTTGTTTGCTTTACAAAAATGAAACATCAATAATAACAATCCTCAGGTTGCTATGATTTCTCTGTCATTCATACTGAGTGCTCAGTGTCAGGAACAGCATTTGTTTTGCCCTTGAGGAATTTGCAGAGCAGTTAGTAGGTATCGGTGTCCTTTGTAGTGGTTCAAATAACATATAACTATCGTAATATATTTGAAATAAGCCAATTATTATGCCATTTGAACATCTATCCTCCTTAAGATATATCCTGGGTTTTACTGAAGGACTTCTCTCTTAATAACGTTTTTCTTTATGATATGAGCGTCCTGGCTGGAAGAGAGCTGAGCTTCAGATACATGGTGTTGGAGTAAGGAGAGAGTCTTTTCCCTCAATGGTTATTTGCATGGGGGCTAAGGAGCCTCCTAGTTGGGGAGGTGAACTTGAACTGTAGCAACAATCAAGATTCAAACATGCATAGACAAGTATGATGGCTTGAAGAGGAGACTGCAGGCAGAAGTCAGGAGACAGGGATGGAAAAGAAGGGTCACTGTGAGAGAATCTGGCAGGGCCAACAGACTCAGCCACAAGTCAGCAAGTAAATGGGGAGATGCTGAAATGGGTGAAATGTTCTCCTTCAGTATGGTGGCTGGTGTTTGAACTCATTTTACCCTCTCTTCCAGGGGCTGTGCACACCTTAGGTAGAAAGAGCTATACATGTGAACTGAAACAACTCTCTCACCAAATTCTAAGACACTTTGGGGCTCAAACTACTCTATTCAAACTACCCATCTAAATGAGCACAGAGACAGAAAACGTTTTCCTCACTTCAACACGGGCTGCTATCCTGTCACGGTAATGAACGACGGAAGAAGGCTGGTGGCTGGGGCCTTCTCATAACCATGAGAAGAAACAATAAAGAAAAATAGGGGTGGTGTGGTTTGGGGTGGTCAAGGCCAATGTTGAAGACATTGATACAGCTCAGAATAGCAGGCAGCATCCAATGGTGAGTGGAAGCCCAGATTAATTCCAAAACACATATAAAACATGTCTACCTCTTTGGGAACTCAAAAAATGTGAGGTTGGGATGAGCTGCATGAAGGACTGCATTACCTGAACAAACGGGTGAGGGCTTGAGGCTCTGGGGGCGCTCGTCTTTAATGTTAATGAGACTCATTCATACCATGGGCTGGGGAGGCTTGGAAATATTTTAGTTACATAAACTGACATCAACCCCTCTTCTTCTTTTAATTGATATGCAGTCTTAGCCCTGTTATCATCTCTGATCTTGACCATTTCCCTTAGCCACTGGGCAACCAATGTCTCCTTCTGAACAGTTGGGAGAAATGTAAATTCACTGTTTTTTCTCCAGAGCAGCCAGAGGTTCCTTAATTTGCATCGTTATATGAGTGCAAAGCATGATGATAAAATATGCAATTCTTAAGAAATGTCAAAGACAGCTCATTAGATCAACTTTTTTTTCTGTGTATTTTTTTTTCTTTTTAAACAGGGACCACTGTGCTTCCTTTCAAGTGACAAGAGTTGTGACAGCTGCTCTATAAGGTATTCAATGGTTAATTAAGACACGAGTGTCATTGCTGAGCTCTTTTGTGTTTCATAGAAAGCAGTTGCTAAACAGATGAAAGTAGGTCTGAGGCAAGGGGTAGCATAACTATTATTTCAATTAATAAATAGCTCTAAAAGTGAAGGAAGTGATAAAGCCCTCAAGAGCGTCTGTATCTGCCCCGGTTCTGTCAGGAAAATTAAACAGAGCACTTGTGATTGCCATTGCTTCTGTTTAAGAGATCCAAGCAAGTAGGGTCACCTGTGCTGAGCAGGTTAGAGCCGGCCTGGTTCTTGGGGCACCCCCTAGTGACATGTTCCTATACCCTAGGATATCCCTTTCCTTGCTACTGAAAGAAATGGTGCTGAATTCACCTTGTTCTTCCACCCTCATCATCCTTTATTCTCCCCCTCTCTTCTACCAAAGAAGCCCTAAAATGTATTTTCAGATAAATATCAGGAAAGCATTTATAAATATTTCAGAGGTGTTTCATAAATAAATCAGCAAATCTACAAAAAGACTTCTCTCTTTTAATGAGATCTTGTCTGTGGTATATCCCTTTTACTTGAGCATCATTAAAACCAGTTGGGAAGATTTTTATACTGGACTCTCTTTTCGGGGGCTTCATAATATATGAACAAGCCTGCTATGCGTCTGTGAAACATGTAGCCTCTTCTTCTGACAGATTAGGCAGCCCTGGCGCGAGGGAATAGCTTTTACTCTTTTTAAAGTAAATACTAATCAATAGCAACTGTACCGACAAAAACCTTCTTGCTGCCTAATTGCACCACAGCTACTCATAGACCCCAACAGAATTTTCCCCTAGATGTAACAAAATTAACTACCAGGGGCTGAGCTAGTGAATTATCACCATCTCTCTATTCAAATGTAATTAACACAACCCCCCAACTACCACATGTACCATTAAAGTACCATTTGTATGTGTAATTTTCAAACAGGGTCTAAAGGTCGTGCCCACATCAATCTTTTCAACACACACAGCTGCACAGGAAATCAAACTGGCAGGGAGGTGGTCGCAGCCATTCTAGGAAATCTCTCCCTCTCTCAGATATTGTTTGTAGTTTCTCTTCTGCAGCTTAATGCCCTCTGTGGTCTCTTTGGCCGTGTCAGAAATAGCCAGACTGTATCAGAGGCAAACAAGTGATTTAAGGAATTTTAGGAAGCCAATCTAGTACCCAGCCCTGGCCAATCCAGGGGCTAGCTATGCAGAAATCTTACTGATAGCTTGGGATGGATACTACGGCCACGGTGGTTAATAATAACTAAGATTTTTATTGTACATTCAGATTATAAAAAAACTTGTACCTGCATTTTTCAAACTCATTATTATTATTGGCAATTGTAGTAATACCAGGGGCTATATATTGAGCATTTGAGCTAAGAGCTGTACATCTATAGTTTGTCAATTAATCCTCATAACAACTTTATGAGTTAGGAATTATTTCCTCTATTTTAAAACCAAGGAAACTGAGGCTCAGAGTGAGTGTGTGACTCAAAATGCTCCAAGCAGCTAGAAGGAGGGAGCACCAGGGTTTGAACCCGATTTTCTGACTCTGAGGCTCGTTCTGACACATAATCACTTTGGGAGGGAGGTATCATCATCATCCTCAGCCCCCCACCAACATTATCATCATCACCACCATCATCATCAACATCATCTGCCTTTCATACATGAGGTAAACAAGGTACAGAGAGGTGAAGCAGCTTGTTCAGGGCTACACGGCACAGAAGAGTATGGAAGAAGAGGCTTGGAGGCAAGATAAAGGCAAGGGGCAGTCATTGGGGATTCATGGAATAGATGTCTCTCTAAATGTCTCTCATGTCCTGGTGGCCATTCCATCTGTCACTTTCAAAAGTCAGTGGAAAGAGCAATGTAAGAGGAGTCAGGAGTCAGGGGCCATCCACTCAGACCAGACACCAGCTGGGTGACCTTGACCTTGACATTCCCTCTCTGGGCTCCGTGCTCTTGATTACATAACAAGCTAGATTAGAAGATATCTCAAGTCACTTCCAGATGTAACATTTTAGGCTCTTCATTTGTGAATTATTCGTGCTAGAAGAGGCCATATGTGGAAATTTAACACAGCAATACTTTCTCAAAACTTCACCTGTAATGTGCCTGTTAGGACTCAGGCACCCATGTTGTCACAAAGCCATCTCTTGATAAAAGGAGGAGCCCTGGGCTGAGGATGCCCACATTTAGCGTTTTTTTTCTCAGAAATACTCTGCCACTCCCAGAGCCAACACGTACAAATAGCATTTGCTGCACACCCTCCACTTCCCATGTGTCATTTGGCAAGGCTGCCCCGCTTGTCAAGAGGGCTATGCAAAGTCACCAAGGTCTGTAACTCCAGTTAGAACTCAAACACTAATTTTTCAGCAGCAGAGTCTGTTGTGAGAAACCTTGCTCCCAGGTGCACAGTGAACACAGAGGGTCCTTCTCTAATGGGACTCCCTTGACTTCTTCCACTCAAAGACGCCTGGTTCCAGCCTGTGAGGCTGTGCATGGGGTCAGCTCCAATGCTCGGAACGTCCCGCCTCCACCCAGATACACACTGACCACATGTGTCTGGGGCTCCTGAGTTTTTCTCTGCCCATAGCTCACCCAGGGCATGAGTGCCTTCTGCAGTTTAGTTTATAGTTGATCCATGCTGGTGAGGCCTGCCTCTGAGTCAGGGCCACCATTAGCCTGGCCTTGAGGGGACATGCACCTTCATGCCTGAGCTGACCGTAGGGTGTGTGTGGAGGGGGCGCTTTTGGTGTCCAGAGGCACTTGGCATCACATTATATCCATTTAAATATGTTTTCCCTTGATTCTGAATGAACTGAGAGAAACAAAAAATACTAATCAAAATGGAATGCAAATATCCAAGGCTCCTTTCTCTCAGAAAATGCCCTATTTTCCCCCCTCCATGGTACTAATGTTTTAGAAATAGAAGGCACCTCTGGAGAGACAGGATAATACCAAATTTTCAAATCTGTAGAAAATGAGTACAGGGGTAGGCGGCACTATTAGTGCTACTAAAAATAAGCTTTGGGAAGCTACAGTAAATGGAAAAACCAGAAGAGTCATTCCTTTTTTAAACTGTACTGAAAATCCTGTATGTTCAGGAGCCATTTTCTCCAGAGATTCCAACAATAATACTTGGAATTCAATATCCATTTCTACAGTGGTCTCTCTCCCATTTTGTCCCCCTCCCTTCACCACTGCCCCAGTAATGCAGGCTAAATATTAAGCTTATTACCCCCACAGAAAGCGTGGTTCTGCCAACTGAACATTGTGCCAGATACCAAGAATTGAGGCGATTATGCCCTGCATGCTGCTTGGTATACTGAAGATGGGCGTTCTTTTACTTTATTTTTATTTCATTTCATTTTTTTTTTTTATTAAAGAGAGTTCTACTGTAGACAAACAACCCAGGGATTGTTTGAAGAAAAGGGATATCCCCTCAGACCTGGGGATGCATTTCTCCCTCAGTGGCTAAACCTCTTTGTCATTATTACCTCCAGAGAGAGACACCCAGGGATCTGCTCACACCACCCATCTCCAGGCAAGTTGAAGCATGTCCTGGAAAGCCACCTGAACCCTGGACAGCTCCGCCTGACTAGAGAAATGGTGGCAAAGGAATTCTTGCTGTGGTCCCAGCGGTGAGCATAACAGAGTTACCTCTCTCCACCCCAAATATTCAGACTGCAAGGACACTGGCTCCCAAGCTTCGACCTGCTTGGAGTTCCATTCCAGGTACTCTGCTGATGTCTCGGCCAGCCTCAGCCACAGACTCCCAGCTGAGCTGAGCTGTTCTGAGGAGTCAGGAAATTTGGGGGATTTTAACAGAGAAACAAAGCCTGGCACCCCATGTGTCAAAGCTCTGGATACTAGCTCTTTAGAACCTAGGTGGGCTAACGGGAAAAGTCAATGTTAGCAGTAAACCCAAGATCAAAACTTATTCCATGCCTTTCCATCTTCTCTCAAACATAGCCTTTATCGAACGATTGAACCCTCACACACATAAATAAATGGAGAAAGATGTACTCTGAAAAAAAACCATAGAAAATAGAGTCACAAGTTATTTATAAAGGGGAGATTTGTTAAAGTAGCCAATCTACTTCCCTCATTTTATAGGCAGAGAGACAGAGGAAGAGCAGGTTGAAGGTTCTGAACAGGATCCCCACTAAGCGTGGGTCACATTAGGGGACAGAACACTAGCATGGGCTTTTGCCTCCTAATTCAGCGTTCTCACCACCCTTGTTGTTCCATAGAGCCTCTGGAAAGAGAGTGGCCTCAAGTGGGACTGGAGTGAAAGGCCAAGATTGAGAACGCCTACCTATTTTTTACAAGGTGGTCTGGAATGTATTATTATTTTTTTTCCTTCTTTATTTCAGTCTGGGCATTTTTGCCTCTTAAAAGCAGCTAACCCTTTACCACGGAGGTGATGCAGAAATCTACTCATCAAGTAAGCCTGAAAGCCCTTTGATTCCTGCAGAAAAATCTATATGTGCCCTTCAGCCTCATAATTGAGTTGCAAAGGGGAAAAATAAAATTGTTTCCTGGCTGTGTGGAGCCATTCTACCCAACATGCCAATAAAAAGCAAGTGGTGTTTTTGTCCATAGGATGTCCAGGTTCAGAGTCAGATCCATGAGGCTAAACAAGGGCTAGGTTATTACCAACAAATGATTACACTCCAGGTTGTATTGAACAGAGTGAGATATGTGAACTCTTGAGACTAATTGGAAGGGGAAATGTCAATGTTGACATCCCCTGACTGGATTCCCTAAACCACAGTGGAAACTAACCCAGAATCTTAAAAATGCTGGCTTCCAGAAAGCCCTATTCTTATCAGGAAATGTGAATATTAATCCCAGGCAAGTCACTTAGCCACTACTGTTTTTCTTTGCCATCAGATAGTAATAGCCATCTGCGGTATCTTTTTTCAGAAAATTATTTGGAAGATCAAGTAAATAGAGTAGAGCATTTTAACTAGTGAAATACTCCTCTTATTCAATCACAGTTATTCTCTGCAGTATGTGGAAGCAGGTTAACACCATCTACCTCAAAACAACTTTGTGAAGTTGGGGGTCCCGTTTTAGACATGGGAGGACTGAGACTCAGAGAGTTTAGGTGGCTCATCTAAATTCACAAAGAACTTAGAGAGAAACAGACAAGGTACAAACCCAGATTGGCTAGTTCCATCTCATTTTCTCCATGGAATCACATGGCTTCTCTCTTGATACATGCAAAATGCTTTTAAAGGTTAAAAGAGTGATACTGTAACAACTAATTGAATTCATCCCCACACTGTCAGTCATGTCAATATTTAGGAGTTCACACTTCTCTCCATGGACATAAATCATCTTTATGAGGCTCTGGCTGTTTTTTTTTTGTTGTTGTTGTTTTTTGGGTTTTTTTTTTTTTTTTGAGATGGAGTTTTGCTATTGTTGCCCAAGCTAGAGTGCAATGGCGCGATCCTGGCTCACTGCAACCTCCGCCTTCCAGGTTCAATGATTCTCCTGCTTTAGCTTCCTGAGTAGCTGGGATTACAGGCGCCCACCACCATGCCCAGCTAATTTTTTTTTTTTTTTTTTTTTTTTTTTTTTTTTTTTTGTATTTTTAGTAGAAACAGGATTTCACCATGTTGGCCAGGCTGGTCTCGAATTCCTGACCTCAGGTGATTCACCTGCCTCAGCCTCCCAAAGTGCTGGGATTACAGGCATGAGCCACTGTGCCCGGCTGACTCTGGCTGTTTTTGTAACTACAGTAAGCTCCTCTGTGACGGAAGCTCCTAGTTGTATCTGATTCACTGGTGGACTGATGGAATGCCTGGACTAGTCTTCAACACACCTTCTGCTCTCAAGGCCATTTCCACGGCCATGTTTGAGAACATCAGATCAACCCAATTTTCTGTCATACTCAGTCAGTTGACTTTACTGGCGGACAAAATAGATAGTTGCCTTCCTGTTGTGATTTCTAGGATCTTAGGGGAAAGCCCTTCTTCTTCACTACCCTTCTATCCCTTCCCTTAAGGTTTTAAATCCTTGAATGAGGATTTTAAAAATCATTCTAGAATGAAAGACAGGTTTAAAGTGCAAATATATTAAAAAGCCAAGGACGCATTCTTTAATGAGTAAGTAAAATACTAAGCAATTCGTTTTGGGAGAAAGAAGGGCTAAAAGAGAAAAGTGTCAGGTAACGGATTTTTGATTTTTTTTTTTTTTTTGAAACAGTCTCGCACTGTCCCCCAGGCTGGAGTGCAATGGTGCAATTTCGGTTCACTGCAATTGCCAACTTCTGTGTCCAAGTGATTCTCGTGCCTCAGCCTCCCAAATAGCTGGGATTACAGACGTGCACCTGGCTAAGTTTTTTTTTTTTTGTATTTTTACAAAATACAAAAAAGACAGGGTTTTGCCATGTTGGCCAGGCTGATCTCGAACTCCTGACCTCAAGTGATCTGCCCCCATTGGCCTCCCAAAGTGCTGGGATTACAGACATTAGCCACCACAACCTGCCCAGTAACTGATTTGAGGGAAGGTCACAGAGGTGGAGAAAGGGCACAACAGGCATATTAGAAACTCCTCAGTTTGTCCAATATTTTGCTTAAGGCAATGCCTGTTAAACTCTCTGAACCAGACCAGGTGCAGTGGCTCACGCCTATAATCCCAGTACTTTGGGCGACCCATGTGGGAGGATTGCTTGAGGCCAGGAGTTTCAGACCAGTCTGGGCAACATGGCAAAACCCTGCCTCTACAAAAAAAGAAAGAAAGAGAAAAAAATAGCCAGATGTGGGGGGGCTGCATCTGTCGTTCTAGCTACTTGGGAGGCTGAGATGACAGGATCGCTTGAGCCCACGAGTTCAAGGCTACAGTGAGCTATGATTGCACCACTCTATTCCATCCAGCCTGGGCAATAGAGGGAGACCATGCCTCAAAAAAACAAAACAAAACAAAACAAAAAAACAAAAAAATCACCACCTCGCCGGGCATGGTGGCTCACACCTGCAATCCCAGCACTTTGGGAGGCCGAGGCATGTGGATCACGAGATCAGGAGATCGACACCATCTTGGCTAACATGGCGAAACCCCATCTCTACTAAAAATACAAAAAATTAGCCAGGCATGGTGGCAGGCGCCTGTAGTCCCAGCTCCTCAGGAGGCTGAGGCAGGAGAATGGCAGGAACCCGGGCGGCGGAGCTTGCAGTGAGCCAAGATCGTGCCACTGCACTCCAGCCTGGGTGACAGAGCAAGACTCCATCTCAAAACAAACAAACAAACAAACAAAACAAAACAAAACACAACAAAAAAAATCACCACCTCTAGGTGCTAGAGAAACAGTGTTTGGGGAATCCATTAACAGGTGTGATTTAAAAATTTTTTACAACTGCTTTACTGAGGCATAGTTTATATACCACAAAATCCACACATTATAAGCATCCAATTTAATGATATTTAATGATTTTTAGTAAATGTATAGAGTAGTACAACCATTACCATAATTTAGTTTTAGAAACAAGTTCAATTTGAAAAAAATAGTGCTTTGAAAAGGTATCACTGCTTGCCCATTATAGCACTATAGGGTTTATTCTTACTGATAATCTGCCTAAAGTAGGCTCCACAAAACACTGGGTAAGGGCAGCCACGCTTTGGAGGACTTCCTCTTTCCCTGGCTTCTGAGTGATTATGTGCTGGGATTCAGGAGTGAGCTCAGAGCTCACCACCTCGTGCTCAGGCTCAGGGAGGGGCCCTTGGTGTGGACATGGAAATCCCTGCCATGTCCATAGCCTCTATGCTCACCACCTGGAAAGTTACAGAGAGCTCCCAGTTACACCTCTGGTTTCTAGAGCCAGTAGAGCAAGCCTGTGATCAGCCCCTCCACCCCAGCCTCCTACAGCCACCTCTCCCAGGAAAGCCTAGAGGAAATTGGCCAACGTCTTGGTATTCCATTCTGGTTGCCAAGTGCCCTTATTGTTTTTGCATTTCTAAGAGACTGTCAGTACAACTTCCCCCGTGACTGCCACGTGACAGGCTGTGCTGTCCTTTATCTCAGGGCACCAAATGACTTACTTCATTCCAGGTCTTTCTGTTTCACTGTGAGTCAGGTGGAAAACAGAAAGGTGGCCCTATTTTAAGGGAAATGTTAAAACAAAGACAATGCTGTGCTTTGCTGGCATTTGTTAGCAGCAGACACGGTTAAAGAATGGCTATGGGCAAATATTTGGATGACTATAGAATCTGCTTAAATACTATGGATTTACTGTATAGGGTGTCAAAGTAACAACTGTAGAGTTAGAGTCTATTAAAGGGGGTCTCAACAAAAAATATTTATGCCCTTATATGCATGCTGCTTTGTCTTTTGAAAATTATCTTTCCTGTTTTTTCCATCTCATAGTTCCCTCCAAACAATTGACCACTCCTTTTGCCATGTCACTGCTTCCTATGGAACTCAGTCCGGTGGATTAAGTGTTTCTGTTAATGTCTGTCTCCCTTTCACACTGACTTTTGTATGAAAGGGACCGTGCCTCTTCACCTCTGTAACTCTAGTGTATACCATGGTGTCTGGCAATAGATGATCTGCACTCCATTGACTGGGAAGAGGCTGTGAAAACAAAGACGGGTGCACGTTCAGAGCAAATATTTCCTGCTTTGGCTGTGCTAATTTGCTGTACTTTACACAGTCAGGGAATGATGTGTGATCATTTGTTGAATTAAGAAATTGTTTTGGACTCAAGAAGCACCAAATGTAAACTGCAATGTCAGACTGCGAGAGAAAGGGTGGGAGGCTTTGGGGAAAGGGCTTTCCCAAAGTGCTTGCCCATGGGGAGGTGAGGGGGAATGCAGGCTCCTAGCCACAGAGAATGAATTCATTAAGTCCACCACCATGCTTTGTGAGAACCAGGCAGCCACTCCTCCTTACATACAACCCCAGTCAGATCTATAGCCATGACAAGAAATACAAAGGTGTGCTTTCTATTTGTGGTTTATGGAATTGCCTTCGGGATTTGACTTTTATCTACCATGTCCACTGTTCTGCCTCCAAGACCTATCACAGTACTTGGCACACAGAACGCAGTAAATATTTGTGATGCAAATGAATATTTCATAGTCCAGCTGGCTTCTTTCCCATGTTTTTTTTCTTTAACTGTGCACTAAAACCACAGTGTCCCGGAATAAATTTTCTATTGAACATCTCACTTGACTGGGAAGTAATCTGTGAATGTGATAAAGAAATGGAGAGCAAATCCTTGGAAACCAAGGCTTGGGAGTTCCATCATTTAGGAAACAAAAGCAGTCAAGACTAAAAATCTCAGACATCGTAAAGTGATTACTCACCTTCTGAAAGACCCCAGAAATATCAGAGGACACCGGGGGTCAGTGGGCCATCCAGGAAGAAGCTTTGGTGAAGGGGAGGGCACTAATGTTTCTTTGGCACTTATTGGGTATTGGGCCAAATGCTTCCACCTTTCATTTCGGTACTCACAAGAAATCCTACCAGATGGTCATGGTGATCATGCCTTTCCGAATGAGGAGGGGAGATCAGAGAGACTATCTATCATACCCAAGATTGCCCAGCTAGAAAGTAGCCACACCAGAACTTGAACACTAGCCTATCTAATTCTAAAAACTCAGCTTTTTCCAGCCCAATATGTTCCTCTGGATTTTAAGTCCCAGGAGGGCAGAAACAAGGCTATGGGCAGTTATCTCTGTAGCCTGCTCTCCCCAGCATGGGCCAGAAGAAGCATCAAGACATGCTTTCTGAGCTGCATTTCAGATCATGAGCATTGGGACTTCTTTCCCCAATAAGTGGTCTGACTGAATCCTGGCCACTGCCTCCACAGGCACTCACCTACAGAGTGCTGGCCCTGGAGGAAGTTCTCAGGCAGCACTGATTCCACTGGGGGGGCACAGGCCCCAGTGCAGAGGAGGGGCTCATTCTTAGGCACATCACTTCTCCTCTCTGGACCTCAGTTACTCATCTAAATTGACATGATTTGCCAGATTGTTTCTCGGCATTGTCAAAGTTTCCATGGTGGCGCGAATACTCTATTTCTGCACAGTACAGTACGTTCACCACTAGCCACATATGCCTACTGAGTACTTGAAATGCGGTATGACTTAAGAACTGAATTCTTAATTTTATATCATTTTAATTAATTTAGATTTACATTTAAATAGCCACATGTGGCTATTGGCTCCATTATTGGGCAGTGAAATGAGGAAGCTTCGGCTTGAAGAAGTGGAAGAGGAAGCAGCATAAGATCAGAATTCTAGCTCGCTCGAATGTGGGTTCAAATCCCAACAGGCTGTGGGGCCAAGAACAACATATTTACACTCTTCAAGTCTCAGTTTCTTCTTCTATAAAATGGAGATAATAATGGCTTCCGCATGAATTTGCTGGGAAGATTAAATGAGATAAAGCACTTAGCACATTGCGCTTCACATAATAAGGGCTCCTACAGGAAGGCTATTAGAAAAAGTTCATAAAACAGCAGAGACATGGGGGTGTTTCTTTCCCTGATTAACCCATTATTTCACTCACCAACATGTCACATCTCAAATTGACTGGAAGGAAAGAAAGGTTTAAAATCCACTGGGTGGGGCACTGGAGGGGGAGGTGAGGAGTGATGGAGACAAGGCAGTTCTGCCGACTTTACACTTTTCCCAGGGCTGTTCCTGTATGTGTCGTTTGACTGATTGGGTCAAATTACACAAGATCTAGCTAGATATTCAGATTCCCTCCAATGCGTCTGTGTTGTGTAATCCTCCCTGCCTTGTAAAGGAACAGATCTGATTGGCCAGGGATTGCACAGGTGGCAACTTCACTGAGATTCACAATGCATTGGAAACAAGGGAAGAGACCCTGGTATTCTATGACAAACGTGCAGACAGTCTAAAACATCAGGACAACATTTTCTATGTGATTTAGCTGGTATTTCTGAGCTGGAATAATTAAACAGAGATCTATCCACTTGACTAAAAGAGGAAGCAGTCGATGAGGAAGTCAGTCCCTAGCTCCCTTTGCCCCGAAATATGCCAATTCTGAATATTTCGCATCAGCTTCCTCTTAATAAATAGCTTACCACTCATCCATCCCTCGAAAATATCATTAGAATTGCCTGGATATATATATATTTTTAAATACCAATGCCCAGGCCACATCACATTCAATTAAATCAGAAAAGGTGATAGGTGAGTATGACACTCAGGCATCAGGCATCAGTATTTTTTAAAGCCCCTCTTGACCCCCAGGTGATTCTGACATGCAGCTAAGTTTAAGGTCAAGTGTTAGAGATCAGGGTAGAAACTCAGGAGTTAACTGCACGGTGAGCCCTGATCTGTATCACACACTCAGGGCCTAATCAGAACATGCTGATGTTTCGCTTAGCATACATTGCTTATTGCAACTAGAATATTTCTCAACCAACATCCTTCTTAATAAAGTCTAATTTGGGCCAGTTCTACACTGTTAGTGTTGACAGGGAAATTCCCCATCGCACTGGTGATGGGAGGGGGTGGTGCTTTCAAATCAAGCCTTGAAGAAGTATCCGGCTTCCAGAGCCCAAAACCCTCAACAGAGGAGCTGCTTCAACAACTTCTGCATACTGCCACCTGGTGGGGCCTGGACCCAACTTCATCACAGCTCTTCAGCCTTGGGCACCTACCCGCCTCCCCAAACAGATGTAATTTAGGAAAATGTCATGCATTTTCAATCCAATTTACTGGTGCCTTCCACATTGATCAGACTTCCTTCTCCTTTTTCCTCCCATCTGGTTAATATAATTATTGCTTTTACGTGGCAAAGCCATTTTATGTAATAGCTTTGTTTGTTACTATGGTTACAAGTTTAGTAGCCCTTTGGAATATAAATCTATCATCCCTGAAAGTAGCTTTCTGTGTGTCAAGGTGCAGCCCTTATGTAAGGAGAGTAACAGCGTTAGTTTTCTGTCGTAAGGAAAGTGGCCTTTCTTGGTCTTATTTTTGAAAGTTCTACGAGCCTAGCCTAGACACTCCCGGGAAACTGCTGGGTGCTGTCCCACTTTTTCCCTCTGGAATTTTCCTAACTGACGAGGCATCCACGAGCAGCTCTATCTGGGAGAAAGTAGGGAAACGTCGGCCGAGGGGCAGCTGTGTTTGCTGGGCCAGAGCCCTCGCATTGCATAACTGGTGTTTTTCCTGGTCAGTGTACTCTTGGCTGATTTATTTACCAGTTAAAGGCAAGGGCTGAGAATATAATCTCTCAGGAGTTAAGTTTCTTTGCGTGTAATCCCTTTCCCTCACGCATCTGAAGCATCGGCCCTTATTTCCTGATGGAAGTGGAGTTATAATCTCCCTTTGGAAAGTGGTAAGAGTTCAGTGCTGGGTTCAATCTGCCACCCTCAAGTGACAAAGCGTGACAGCGTCTCTGCTATAGTGCTTCACACCCAACTGAATCAGACGCAGCCCTCTGAGCACAAAAGTGGGATGGCCTGTGAAGCTGGGCTTTCTTCCCATTCTCAGCCAGTAACAGCAAACCTTGGAGAGTTTATACCATGTGTCCCTGTACGTAACCTCATCTAATCCTTTCGACAACCCCAGGAGGTATGCATTGCCATCAAGTTGGCATCACTCCCATTTTACAGAGAAGGAATTTGAGGCTCAGAAGGATTAAGCACCATCCCCAAGTCATATAACTAGTGTGTGGGACTTAATGTCTTTGGAAAGTCCTGGTTGCTAACTTAACAGAGCCTCACTTTCCAGATTCAAGGAACCATGAGAAAACAAAGAGCAGGCAGTATCAATGCCTTCACTAAAGCCTTGATTAAGCCAAACTGAACAAACATCAACAATCTTCTTCCCTCTTCAGGAGAAAGTTACTGGTTTGGTAGGCCATTAGTGAATTTCCAGTGGCTACTAATTAACTAACCATGTCATTCATGTTTATTATCACAGAGCAGGTACGTATTTATTTACACCACTCACACGGCAGGATAATTTGCAGTTATATAATTTCATGGTAATTACGATTGGAATTGCCATGTAGAAACTGGGCACTTTGGAGATGCATGATTACCAACAACTAGCTACCTTGGAATTACCCATTAATGACATGATTAGTTGTGGCTTTGTAAGAAAATGTTGTTATGAAAGGGACTTTATCTTTTCATTCCCAATTGACAGAAAAGCAGGAACCTTGGAGATATCAGAAATATTTTTTTTCTTCTTCTGGCAGGTGAAGAATGTAGTTGTGCAGGTTTGTCCTGTTTCTGGGCATGTCTGGGGTGCCTTGGTGACAGGGAGGGAGCAGAAAGAGATGTGTGAGCTTGAGCAAAGGGTGCAGGCCCTGAGCTGTACCAGGCTAGTCTTCAGGTCTGTTGAGCCAGGGTACAGCCAGGAATTACCAACTTGTTAGGCAGAGAGTAAGGAAGCTCAGAAAGCCCGTGCTTGAGCTAAGGGGTACGAAACCCAGGAGACTGAATGACTGCCTGTCCTCTGCTCTGTGGGGACCAAGAGAATATAAGGAAGGCAGAAGCAGAGGAGGTGGTAGGTTCCATCTACTTATGATGCTACGAAAAGACATGCGGCTTATATAATATGCACTAGGCATGAACCACCCTGCCCCCAAATACAAAACTGGTCTCCAGACTGTATTTCTTGGCAACAGTGGCCTCCTTGGCTTTTCCTCCACATCCCCTTGAGTTGACTATCCTCTGAGGTTGCTCTTGCTATTGATTCTCACTGGATATCACTGGGCATGGGGAGGAGAAACCCACACAACGGGGTGCCTGGCATATGAAGAATAAGAGAAACTTTAGCTCTTAGAACTGCAGGAGACCCCTCGTTTAATAGAGGAGAAGCCCAGGGCCCAGCAGGGGTGAAGGAAGGTATGGTCCAATGTCACAAAGCAGATAAATGGCAGAGCCAGGCCTGGAGCCCACACAGGCCACCTCCGAGTGATTTTCCATAATGCAATTCCTTCATGAGGGAGGAGTTGTTGATGCCTCAAAATTGAGACTAGGCTACTATAGATAATACCTATATAGGGAGTGCCTCTGCATCCATTATAGAGGCTACTCTGGGATATTTAAATACATATTTTTTACCTGATTACGGCACCTATACAAAGACTCCTGTATCACATTCCTTTCACTGGTCAAGAGCAGGCAGACATTTGCACCTCCTGACCTGCAATGCCCCCCTACTAATAGATAATGAGAAATCTGAAGTCCACACTGATTCCCTTTTCCTCTAGCTGCTAGGAAGCTGAAAAATCCATCTTTTCCTTAGGTAGGAGTTTTCATTACGGTTTTCTTTTCCTCTCTTTTGCCTGATATCTGCTTTTGTTTTATATATTGTTTTGATCTTTTTGTACCTATGTTTTTAGTATAAAATTTCTGGATGCAGGTAGGGCTGTCAACTAATCAATAACAAATAAACAAATAATAATCTTCATGCTTGGTGTTCAACCATGCAGGAAATAAAATCTTATAGAACGTACAGAAGAGCCAGGAAGGATCACACACTCCACTGTGCTAACTGCATACGAAGGAGAAGGGGAAGAAGGCTCAGTTTTAGTGGAAAGGAATAGGAAAGAGAAGAGGCCTCTTCCTTTATCAGCTCCCTCACAGCTTCAGCAGCACTATCTCACCCCACTAACCAAACATCCAAAGGACTTGGAGGCAGAAAAGAAAGCTTCCGGAGACCTTGGAATTATGTATGCATCTATCTATGTATCTATCTATATATCTAAGTATCTATGTTTCTATCTACGAATCAGCCATTTTATCTTCCACCTCTATCATCTAAGTTAACCTTTCTCTAATATTTCTCTAAGGCTAATCTCATCATCTTTGTCTTAAAGAAGCAGACTCAGAATTAAGTAATGTTTTCAACGTCAAAGAATAAGTAGATCTGGGATTTGAACCTATGCCCATTTGTATGTGAAGCCCACATTTTTTCCTATCATATCACCCACATCCTCAGACCATGGCTGTCACCTGGAACTGTCAGTAGGCCACCCATTTTAGGTCTCTCTTAGGCCTAAAGTCACCAAGCTTTACCAGTACCCAAACTGGGTGCTAGGAACAACAGGCTGGGCACTAAGATATGACAGATGTGGATTACCACATACCCCAGGGAGAAGCCTACATACCATGGGTTCATAGTTAACAGCGAGCTATTACAATAGATATTGTTCATCCTCAAAGATGAAACTGTGATGAGACCATTGCTATAATATTGACAAATCTTCAGGTACACCAAATGTGAAGATGAATTTTATTGAAATCTTCATAACATTTTTCCATTTGCTGATAGTTTAAACAATTATGTTCATGTTTCTCTCTGTGAGATGACTTTTGGTGTCCTGAAATGACATGCTATTGTGTAAAACTACAGATGCAGGACACCTCAGTGGAGTTCTTTTCTTGCATTAAACTCACTTCAAGGAAGATTTATGAAGCCTTGAAGGTCTGGATTGGGCCTTGGGGCTCATGATCAACCCAGGACCAGAATATCAAGGCCTAAATTGCAGTCTTGGTTCTACCTCATAGCCTCCTAAGACCCTGTGTTATTCTCCAGTCTTATAGAACTAATCACATAAAGTGGTTAATTTCTTAACCTATTTGTAGAGACAAATGGGTGATAGAAAGAAAACTGGAGCTCCTGGTTCACATATGCCTACCCCATGCCCCTGCAATTCCACTGCCAGGATATATCCAACAGAAATCCATACTTATATCCACCTGAGGACATGTATAAGAATATTCACAGAGCCACTATTCATAAAAACCCCAAAATGGAAATACCACTAATTCCATCCCTAACAGAATGGATCAATCATGGCACATTTCTACCGTGGAACACTACATAGCAATGAAAAGGAAAGACCCATTGCAGGCATCAACATGGACAAATTCTATGCACAGAATGTTAGGCAGAAGAAGCCGTCCATAAAAGAGTACATAGCACATGATTCAATTTAAATGAGGTTCAAAATATATGCAAAAGTCATCTAAGGTGCTAGAAGTCAAGACAGTGGTTACCTCTGAGGAAGGGTAGTGACTGGCAAGGTCATGAGGTGGTTTTGGAGATGCTGATCCTATTCCATTTCTTTATGTGGGTATAGGCGATGTGTTCACCTACAAATTCATTGAGCTGCACAAATATGATCTGTGCACATTTCTTTGTATGTGTTATGCTCCAATACAATTAAAGAAAAAACAGGGTTCAATTCCCATCTCTGCCACTCACCATGTGGCTTTTGGAATTCACTTTACCTTTACGCTACATCTTCCTCATCTGCGAAACCAGCATAATACAGTTCACTAACAGGGCTGCTGTGAGGATCTAATAAGAAGCTGTGTATAAAACACCTAGCACTGAACCTCACACATGGTAGGTGCTCAATATATGGTCATTCATTTTTAAAATTTTAAAAATGTGATGGACAATATTGAATATACACAAAACTAAAGAGAATACTATAACAGACCCCCATGGACCCCGTCACTGAGCTTCAATAATTATCAGCCTATGGCCAATTTTGTTTTATCTGCATCTGTCTCCCCAACCGTTAAAAAATATATGCACAGTCTACAGATATATGCTTGTTTTTGCATATATACATCAGTTTGCATCTCTGAGAAATAACTCTTTTAGAAAACATAATTTAAAAAGATCAGTGGTTGTTGGGGCTTGGGGGAGGGAAGGGTGAATAGGTGGAGCACAGAGGATTTTGAGGGCAGTGAAACTGTTCTGTATAATACTATCATGGTAGATACATGTGTTTATAAATTTGTCCAAACCTGTAGAAGGCACAACACCAAGAGTGAACCCTAACATAAACTATGCAATTTGGGTGATAATGATGTTGGTTCATTGATTATAACAAATGTGCCACTCTGGTGGGGGATATTCATAGTGGGAGAGTGGGGGGAAGGGGTATGTGGAAGCTCTTTGTAATTTCTGTTCAATCTTTCTGTGAACCTCAAACTGCTCTAAAAATAAAGTCTCTTTAAGAAGATACTCACATCCATGATCATTAAAGACTACTGCTACTATCCTATTTCTTGTCCAGTTTTCCTAACTCATAAATATATTTTCACAACTGTTTTGCTCAAATCAAGATCCAAACAAGGTATACTTAGTATGCATTTCTTCATTCTTAATTAATTCAATGTCTTAACAAATCACAGAGTCAATAGATAGGAAAGCTGTTTATGACTTTGGCCACCAATCACATAATACTTTGTGAGGAGAGAAAAAAGGGTATTGTCATGAAGCTTCCTAAAAACACCCAGAGTTTCTGTCTGTAACACTCTTCTGAATTCTTTAGAACCATGGATGGTTGCTGTCACTGTCAAAACTACATCTAATACTATAAAGGAAAGACCCTTTAACACAAGACTGTGAATACAAATGGCAGAGCAGATACTATTGTCACACATATATGCAGAAGAGATTCTGTAAGGGGTATTTCCGGGAAGACAGACAAGGTGTGATATCTGGTGTCACTGTGTGTATGAAAGAAGCATTTTAAGATCCTCAAATAAACATACCGCCCAAATTAAGGTGAAAGTAAAGCAGACAGGACCCACTTTTTGCACTTTGTATCTTTTCTCTCTGCTCTTTCAGCACTGCCCAAAGAAGCTGTCGTTTTCATCTTGCACACAGGATGCCGTCCTCTGAAGTCTGAACAAAGGCCGGATCACATGCCTAAGCAGTATTTTACCTTGTGCTGATTCCTTAAAAAAACAGATTGTCTCCTGGATTGCATGCATCTAGAAGTTCTTACCACGTTTTATTAAACAACCAGCTAATGCTTCTGCTTCCTCTAAGGAGATCATGAGTCCCCCCACTCCCGAACAAAGGGCCTTCATTTTATTCATCTGTGTATTCCACATCCCAGCACAGCACCTGGCACATAGTGGGCCCTCAAACAAATGTATGTGGGATAAATGAACAGATGAGAGTGAAAAGAGGCTGTGACGAAAGCACTGGACGGGAAGCTGGAGACCTGAGGTCATCTAGGCCCCTGACACTCAGAGTCACTTGAGTCAAGGCACCAACTTCCGTGGGCTTCCGATGATTTCTAGGGTCTCTCCCAAGTCTTTTTAAAAAAGGCACATAATCCTAAAATGTGCTTACTTACTGCTTTGCTGTGTTGATCCACCTAGTGACTTATATCTAAAGACTAATTGCTAAACAAATTACTGAGGCCTTTCCGAACGCTCCACAGCAACAAAACTTTGTTTTTCCCG
Source organism: Homo sapiens (assembly GCF_000001405.40). Classification (NCBI taxonomy): domain Eukaryota; kingdom Metazoa; phylum Chordata; class Mammalia; order Primates; family Hominidae; genus Homo; species Homo sapiens. Next base: position 60,923,732 of record NC_000015.10, read on the forward strand.
TTGCCCCATACCTTCTGTGTCATTTATGTTCCCACTACAGATCACAGTGGCAACAACCCCACCCAGAAGAGCCAGGAAAAAACCCTCCCCTCTAACTCACCATAGGGCTTGCCATGTGCTAGCTGTGGTTCTGCTAAGTTGTGCTGGAAGCTGGAGTGGGCAAGGGCTCAGAAGCCTTCTCTTTCCCCCTTAGTCCATGCCTGGCCCTGCTGTGGGCAGAGCTACGATGACTGACCATGATCATGTGTGAGCACGGGGCAGTGTGTTTTAAGGGGTGAGCACTGGCAGAGGTGGGTCCAGAAAGGGCCAGCCCACTGAAAACTTCCCAAGTGGGTGAAACTCACCTTGGCACTTGCTCTCCTCTCTCCTGCCCTCTATCCCATACCCCATGTGTAGCATTCCATTCAAGAAAAGAACTCTGACTTTCAGCTTGTTGACAACTTATCTCCTGAAGGTGTTAGCTGACAACTTTTCTGAGGCAGAAGATGTGACCAATATAGGTGCTGGGAGAACGGAAGGAAGGGGTTGAGTTACATTTATTCAGTACTTTTTCACTCATTTAAAACTAAGCACACAACTGAGAGGAGTACTCTTCTACTTTTAAGAAATGTTCTTATTGTATCACTGCCGCTAATATACGCTTATAGTCTAAAAATATAGAAACAGATTTGAACAAAGAAGAAAACTAAAGTTACACATACTATAGTCCTTTAAAATTTTAGAGCCTTCTAGATCTTTTCATATATTTATAAGTGAATATATTTCTTACGTGCCTGTAATCATACTTCTGCTCATCCGATTTAATGTAATTCTATTGTATCTGTAATGGAATAGAAATTCTTGTCCTTGGATAAGTCACTGGCCCTTTCTATCCTCAGATTCCTCATTAATCAGTAAAGCACGAATACACAGGAAAATTAAGTCGTGAAGCACTAAACCACAGGGCGGTGCGTGGAGGCAGCCAGGCCATGTGGTGGAAATACTGTGAACTATAACAACCATAGAGATATGAGGAGTGATTATTGATAGGACACATTACCATTTCCAAGGATTTAAAGGTAATCAGGCCAGGCACAGTGGCTCATGCCTGTAATCCCAGCACTTTGGGAGGCCGAGGTGGGAAGATCACTTGAGGTCAGGAGTTCGAGACCAGCCTGGCCAACGTGGTGAAACCCCATCTCTACTAAAAATACAAAAATTAGCTGTGCGTGGTGGCACATGCCTGTAGTTCCAGCTACTTGGGAGGCTGAAGCAAGAGAATCCCTTGAACCCAGGAGGCAGAGGTTGCAGTGAGCTGAGATTGGGTCACTGCATTCCAGCCTGGGTGACAGAGCAAGCTTCTGTCTCAAAAATAAATAAATTAATAAAATAAAATAAAATAAAATAAAATAAAATAAAATAAAATAAAATAAAGGTACTCTAACAATTGAGGAAGTGCCTCCTTATCACATCCTGACAGGCGGACCCTTGCTGCAGCCACAGGTGTAGACTGCTCTCTCAATGGCATTTTTTGAAAGTTGTCAGTTTCTTGGTGCTGGAACCTCTCCCAGCTCAGAAGTTGTCACCTTCAGACTATCTATCTTCTCTAAATGGGATTGGCTTCGAAGAGAATATTTGAAATGTCCCCATATTCAAACTGAAAGGAGACAGGCTGGACCAGTAAGACCAGCCAAGAGATGTTGAGTTACACATATTGTTTGGGGCCACAGAGCCCTACTCTGTTTCTCCTCCACCTGTCTGATCCCACAGTACTAACAATACATTGTCTGTAGGCCCAGTTGTAAAGACTCTCGCCCCTGTGGACTGGCTGTCCTCAGAGGGGAGTCAGGGAATCCCCAGCGGGGCTGTCATGGAGCTTTGGCCCAGCAGCCCCACAGCTCACTCAGAAATGCACTGCATGCCTGATACAGTGAATGATCATCAGACCGGCCATTGGCGGCTGAGCACTTTGCCTTTCTGGGCTTCCGTTTCTTCACTGGAAGCATGAGGGTGTGGAATCCAAGGACTATCAGAATTCCTTCCTGCCCAGATGCCACGAACCTGTACGTTTCTGTCCATTTTTGTGTTCTGCTGGTACTCAGGACAGTGCCTGTAATAATGCAGGTACTTTGAAGTATCTGTTGAAGGAATGGGTGATGAATAAATGGGTGGAAATTCTGTGCTTACGATGAGTGGAAACACAACGGTTGGTGGGAATTAAACTCTTAACACATCACATGGTGACCAAAAATGCTGAGGCCATATCTGGCCTGCATGGTCTGACATGATTGGAGGCACCCCTGAAGGTGGGAGGATAGAGTAGATTGAATGAGAACTGCTCTTGAACAACTAGGATACAAGGCTGCTATATGAGGGGCCAGAAAAGATTGCATCAGGGCCTGGAGATGGTAACATTCATGACAGGTATACATCTATGGTTTTGGAGGCATCTCCATATCTGCATTTCTTATAAGCTTGTGCATATAGTGACACACAGCTATTCGAAAGCCAAAAGTCCCTCAATCCAATGACATTTGGAACAGAACCTGGAGCATAACCTGGAAGGCACCTGCAGCAGAACCTGGAAGGCACCCTATCTGACCTGGCATCAGCTGACACCTGGCTGTCTACAGCTTTCCATAAGCCCTTGCCAAAGTCTCACACTCCCCAACAGGCCCATGGACTCAGCAGTACTTGGAGACCGAGTCACTGGGTAGATTATAGAGTTATCCCAGCCCCCATCTTGCTCAACCCCAACCTTGGGTGCATTGACTTCCCAGTGAAACAGAACATCGAATGACATTTTAAGCACAGTGGTACATCTTCTCAGAGAGGGTATTTGGCTATAATATGCTGCAAACTTTAAAATGTGCATATACTTTGCCTCTGCAGCTTCATTTCTAGGAGATCATTTGAGAAATGCACAAATATATATGCACATGGATGCTCCTTAGTCTCGTTTATAAGAGAAAAGCTGGGAACAAACTAAATGTCTATTACTACATATCAGCTGAATACATTATGATTTACTGATGAATGAAATATCCCGCATCATAAACATGACGCATAAAAATATCACAAAAGATGTCCACAAGCTACTATATCATTGACTAAATAAAACTGTCTATATGATGTAATTAATCCATGTATGTAAGTACATCCAGATAGACTGTACAGAGAGAGATGACTGGAAGGATCCTCATGGAAGTTTTAATTTACTACCTGGCTCTTGAGATTTGGGGTAAATTTTCCTCTGTGCTTCCTATTTTTCTTTACAGTTGGAACACTTCATGATAAGTGTGTTGTTGATATCAGGAAAAAATTATTATCATTTTGAAATAAAAAATAATTTTATTGGAAGCCTTGGAAGGGAAAAAGAGTGGAGATCTCTCCAAACAGTTGAAATGAATTTCTAAGCAGGTGCACGCTAGTCACACACATCCTTCCCACCTCTCTGACCAGATAGGAAGTGCTCAACACATGTGGACCAGTTCCCTACTAGCTGCCAGGTAACCAATACGTGAAGCAAAATGGGGATTCTACAAAGTGAGAGTCCTAAGGAAGCTCTATCCTATGCGATATGGAATGGAGGCAAAGGATGTGTCCTACTGTCATCTGTAATGTTCACTTCCCAGGACCCAGCCATATACTTGGCAGTAAGTAGCTGATGAACATTCCAACCATTATTAAATAACACTTCTTTCAATTTCGAATATAGTCTTTGCAGCTTCCTCTTCCTTCCTACTTCTAACTACAGGGGAACATAAAAACCTGAAAACCGTCTGACTGTGGTGGCTCATGCCTGTAGTCCCAGCACTTTGGGAGGTAGAGGTGGGTGGATCACTTGAGGTCAGGAGTTCAAGTCCAGCCTAGCCAACATGGTGAAACCCCATCTCTACTAAAAATACAAAAAATTAGCTGGGTGTGGTGGTGCACATCTGTAATCCCAGCTACTGGGAAGGCTGAGGCATGAGAATCACTTGAACCTGAGAGGTGGAGGTTGCAATGAGCCAAGATCACACCACTGCACTCCAGCCTGGGTGACAGAGGAAGACTCTGTCTCAAAACAAACAAACAAACAAACAAAAAACACTGAAAAACCTAATCCCTGCAGAATGCAAGCGTCAGATTTTGAGACCATTCAGTCCGATGTTCTCATTTTATAGAGCAGGATACTCATTCTGGAGAAAATAATTCAAGTTGGCTATTGACAGTGTCTGGATTAGAACCACAGTCTTCCAGCCCTGTTTTCTCCTCACCTTCCTCACAGCCATGCCCTTGTTTGGGGCCCGTGCTTTCTCTTGTTTGGACTACTGCAACAGTCATCAAGCAAGATTTTCCTCCCATCCTCCCATCTTCTCCAGGTCACATTCCCTGGCACTAGAGAATCTCTCTGGAACACTGAACTGCCCTGCCCATATCTTTTCCCTGAATAAATCCCTTTAAATGTTCCTCATAGACTCCAGGACAAAATTCAGACTCCCCTGCATCTCACATGAGCCTTTTGCAACATATTCATGGACCACAGTGGCACCCTGAAGAAATAATCTTTCACACACAACAGCTGGAAATACTTCATGTTCCTTTATTGTCAAGTAAATGAGGGTTTCTTCCAAGGGACTATCCTGTAACTACTTAATTTAAGGATTAACTAAAACAGGAAGTGCTAATCAGCTCCTGAAAACACAACCAACATTCTAGGCGGGAAGCTCGTGGAAGCCAACAACAAAAGCATTCGCGCTCAGTATGCCTGCCTTCCCCTTGGAACCTAATACATGGTAGGACCTCAGTAAACACTACTTGCCAAATGAATAGACTAAGTAATAATCAGAAGTGGAGAGGTTAAACTAATACAATGGGCAGTGAAAAGAAAAGCTGTTTTTCGTTTTCTTATACCCCTTAGAACTGAAAAAGACTCTGAGTTTGTCCAATTCGACTCCCTCATTTCACAAGGAAGGCATCTGAAGCTCAGAGAGACAAAGTGACCGCCCTAAAGTCCCACAGCATGTTCATGGGAGAGTTAGGACTGTGCTGGGAGCTTCTGATGGTTTCCACTGTGCCATGCTGACTCTCCAGGCAAGTCTAAAGTAATGCTGGCAATAATGCACAGAGCTCTAGGCACAGGCTCCTCTGGAAGGTGCCAGACAGCATACAGGCTGGGGCACCAGGTGTACAGCTAATCATCCCCAGAGAGGTTTACCTGAGCTTCCAAAGGGTTTTTTTCTTTTCTTTCTTTCTTCTTCTTCTTTTTTTAATCTTGAATTGTTTGGTGAAGAGTGTCTCAAGCCAAGGAGCAGACACACTTGTGTGCCCCGCTCCCACTCTTCCCTCCTTTGTTCTTTTCTTTGAGCTGGGTCCATTGGAGGAGCATTGTATGGTGCCCCTGCTGGGTCTACAAGGCCCCTTTTTGGTTCAATTAATGAGCCATAAATAACCCAATGAAGGTGTCAACAAAGAGGGTAATTTATCATACCTTGTCAAGACGGCAAGCTTTGTGAGGCAAGCGCTCATTCACAGTCTGGTGCAACATGTTAAGATTTATTCCTGGCCAGGTCCCTCCTCCTCCAGCCCTCCCTCCCCCTATCAAAATTTATCTTTCACAGGAATCCTCACAGGTGTGCTGCTTTGACAAATAAGCTATGAAGTCTGGTATTCATCACTGGCTGGTCTTTGTTGAGAGGAAGGCAGCGGGAAATAAATTTATGTTAGAGGGAAGGTACTTGTGATTCAAACACACTCAAGGGGAGCAACGAGGTTATTTCCATCCTCCTGGTTCTGCAAAAGGCGAGAAGGAGATAATGCTAGGACAGCCACTTTCTTCAGTTTTTACTACTTGATGGAAGAACAGCCAGGACTTTACTGAGATGCGCACTTAGCTGTCAGTCTGGAGGCTCCAGTCGCATTCTCTTGAAAATGTTTGGTTGGGAAATCTTACAGTGGAGTAGAAAGTGCTACAAGACATCTGATATGCCCAGAATCGCCATATCAGGAGGTTTTCCCGCTTCGCTCTTCAACTTCTGGCTTCCCTTGGAGTGCTCATCCTGAAGTGTGAGTTTGCATAATAGCCATCTGGGAGTGCTTGCTAAAATACTGATTCCCAGGCCTCCCCTCCAGCCCCCAGAGATACGGACCTGGGAAGTCTAGGGAGGAGCCCAGGAATGTGTATTTTGACAAGCTCGCCTCTGTTCTTGCCTTCAGACGCATATGGTTTATGGAGCACATTTTGGATCAACACGTGCTGCTTAGAGTCTCTGGTGCATGCCTCTGAACTTTCTGCAATGATGGAAATGCTCTCTATTTGTGTTACTTAATACTGCAGCCACTAGTCTCTTGTGGCTGTTGGGCCCTTGAAATTTGGCTAGTGTGAGAGAGGAATGGAATTTCTTAATAGTATTTAATTTTAATTTATTGAAATTTATATAGCCATGTGGCTAGCGGCTACCATTTTAGATGGTAGAGCTCTAGCCCATCATTCTGCATAGTAGATACAGACGAAAAAGCTCAACATAAGACCTGATATGCCAGTCTCCTCCTACTCTACCCTATTTTCCAGCTAAGAAATACTCCAAGTCCCTGGAGTGTGCCCTATTTAGTCATTTCTAAACAGGAAGAGGGAGGAGCATATCCTCCCACCTCCATTCTCAAGGTCTATATAAGCCGAGAGACAGAAAGATCCAATTTCTTAAGTGCCTTCCATGTGGGACGGTGGGAGGCATCTTTGAGAATTACATATGGTCTCCCAATACAGGGAGGGAAGACAAATATACAAGTGACCCAACACCAGGTGGCCCACTATGAAGCTGTAGAAAACACCTATAGATGCAAAGTGCCAGGAGTCCTCAGCCTCCCCTAGCAGATGTGAACACTTCCGGACACCAGCCATTCCCTTCCCACTTTGGAATTAATGCAACAGCCTTGTAGCTCATTATGCCCAATTCACTGAAGGAAGTTAGACTTCTGAATTCCTTCCTTGAAGTGTCCAAGGTAGGTTTCCCACTGTCTGCCCTGTTGAGATGGGACCCACCTCTGTGGTTACACTTTGTATGTGGTGACTGTCATCACCTGCTCATCTGCTCACCTGTAGACTTTGAGGTCCGTGAGCAGAGATTCCCAATCATTTATCTCTGAGCCAAGAGACCGACCCTGGTGGGGCAAAACCAGTATGTTCTAAAATGAAATGGCCTCACATCTGCCTATATGAGGCCTCTTACGTCTTGCTTAAGGATAAAAGTGGCCCTTGAAAAACAGAAAGTGGTCTGTTCTCTGAGGGTAAAAGGGTGTAGGTGTTCCCTTTCTACAGTGTTATGAGAGGGACTTACCCCTTAAATGTGTATTTTAAATGGCAGGGGGAAGAGGGGGAAGACCACATGGAAGAGTGACTGGTCCAGGGTCTGGGGAAGAACTCCCTGTCTGTGAGAAAATTCCACCTGGGAAAGAGAAGGTGAGTCTGCCTAGAGCAGCAGATAGGCTCCAGGTCCATAAGTGGGGCCAGGCAGGCTTACAGGAGTAGGAGGCACGGAGGCACATTGGGAGGTAGGCTGTTCACTGCCCAGAGGCACAAAGCCCCTGTCCCAGAAGTGAAGGGCAGCCTACAGGCCTCCACTGGATGCCCTGCCACCCACGAACAGCCCCTCCCTGCCCAAGCACTCTTCCTTACTCACTCCTCTGGCTCCATGGGGAAGCAGAATCCCAACTCATAGCTGCAGGAGGAATAGCTGAAGAGAGAAGAGGCCTGGCTTCAGCTTCCAGAGCTAAGCCCTGCCAATCTCCCAGACTCCTGCAGTCTTTCAAGTCTCCGACATTTGATTACTCCTTTCTTCTCATGAAGTGTCCTTATTTTGCCTCTAGAAAACAGGCACTGGTATCAAGAGTTGCATGGCTGATGCCAAGACTTAATGCTCCAGAGTGTCTTGCACAGGGCCAAAGCTGCCTCTTCTGGCACACACAGAGTTCTACAGAAGGGCCCCCTTATAGGCCACCAGCCACTGTGAGGACCTCATAAGCAAATGTAAGGGCAGGAAGAGATGGGACATGGTCTGGCAAAAACCTCAGCCTTCTCCCTAAGCTCTTCTGCCTTATGAGGCTGATAGCTCAGACTCAAAACAGTTGGCTGAGTTCTCCAGCTAAATATTCATTTCTCCAGCTAAATATTGATTCCTTCAATATTAACACCATGTCAGGGAGCCATGTTAAGCCATTGCCTCAACTTGGCACTGCAGCTAAACATAATGAAATGCCAGAAATTAGGGTCTAGAATTGATTATGGTACCAATTCTAATCCTGAATTCTCAAAGCAATATCTAGAAAAATATTGAATCAAGAGTTTTTTTTTTTAAATGAAGATCCTATACTGGAGGGAGATGGGCAACTTCTATTTGGAATAACAAGCAGTATCAATGTCTTTGAATTCACCTTGAAAACCAATCCTTTGGAGTAGAAAGAATTCATGGTATTTGAAATGTCCAAGATTACTAATGAGGGGAAAATCTGAGGGACCTGAGAAGGTGGGGTTGCTTGAGAAGCAGTAAAGCTTCTCAAAGAAGAAATGGAGATGCCATGAGCAGCTGCCTTGGACCAGATTCCAAGGCAGTGTCTTGTAAACTCAGCCACGATTAGGGCTGGGTCATTCTGGACCGTCCTAAAGAGAAACCATTAAAAACCATTAATTCCTTCAGATATCACAGCTGCTTACTCATAGTAGCTCATTCATAGGTAAGGAAACTGAGATCTCCCTAAGATCAAATAAGTAACAGGTATGTTAAAAAGTTTCATTTGTTTACGTGTTACTACCAAGGGCCAAGTTTCTCCATGTAGTGCAAGGAAATAATTTCTGTGCAACAGCTCGAGATATGCAGCTTGAGTTTGCCTGAAGCCCTGGCACTGTGAATTGCGGCTCCTTCAGATCTTGCAAGCTACCAGCGATTTGGCGGGGTGGGTAACTGGTTGGGAAACCTCCCAGGAAACCACAGCTCCTGCAAATGACTCAGTAGGTGGTTCCGACTTCTCTGAGTCAGAACCAAGCCCATGGCCCAGCCCCATGCCAAGACTCCCTGGCATTGTTGAGATGCTCTGAGCTTGGCTGGCATGTGACACTGAGGACCTCTGGTGTTTGTCTGCAAAGGGATGAATGCTCTTTCTGATAAGGAACCAAGGAGTGTGGAACAGAAAAGCAGCTGAATTCTCTCAGTGGCCTGGCTCTCTCTTGCCCCCTCAATCCCTGAAGAGTGTTGATGGCTTCCTACGTCAGACAACCTTTCACTTAAAAACTTACTCCTCTTCCTTACCCAGGAGTTTCCAGGTTGCCCCCCACAGTCATGAACTTGCAGACACAGAATGCTTAGTTCTAGTATTGATTCTGCTGCTTCCCAGGGCTGTGACCCTGAGCAAGTCTCCTACTGTGGGCCTCAAGTATTACCCATCCCAATTTCATCATCAGCCCAATTGTCCTCTAGTGCCATGATGATCATACTAATCTTCCAACCCAAATTCTCCACTGGCTCCCACTGCCTATGGAATCATGTCCAGACTTCTTAGCCTGGTATTCAAATCCCAATCTATCTTTTAAGCCTCAGCTTCCTCTATTATTCTCCCTGTAGCCTACGTTCTCAGCAAATTGGACCACTCACTCTCCCTAAATGTACTGTGCATTTCCCATTCCCTGTGCCCTTGCAGTGCCCTTTTCTTGAGATGCCCTCTCCTTGCCTCTGGAAATTTTGCCTACGCTTCCAGGCTCAGATCAAATGCGACCTCCTCCTCCAAGCAGCTTCCGCAGCTCTTCTCTTGTGAAGCCCCCTTGATCTCTCACATCACAGTTTGTTGGTACCTTCCTATTGACATAGAACGCATTATTCTGAATCGCAGGCATTTGTGTGGATGACTTCTCTCTCCTCCTGGATGGCATACTCCTAAAGGAAGAGGGGTGGGGGAGGATGTCTTATTCCCCTTTCAATTTCCCATCATGCCAGGGTATACACATCTGTACTAATGAACAAATGAATGAATTTAGAAAATCTAGATGGATGTTCTAAAATTATCTACAGCTGTGGTATTTCATACCAGAGGTGGCTGCACATCAGTAATAAAAACCAGCCCAGACACAAGCTTTTCATATGGGAAAAAGCAGAGGCACTGGTGCGATCCATTCTGTTGGCCATGAAATGTCTTTGGGTGTGTGCACACAGACTCCCACAAACCAGATGCAACATCTGCTTTTGAAGGGCCCAGAGAGGCTGGGCTCCCTCATTTCTCAAAGTGATGAGAAGCGCATTGGAGTCTTGCAGCTGACAGTCGTTCGGTAAAGAAACACCTACTTAGCATAGCCCCAGCTCCAGCTCCACACCATATGCATCAATAGGGGTGGGTCACAGTGCCCTCTTGGCAGTAAGCCAGGAGGAGATTTGAGGTTTGGTTTTGCTGTGCTCAACAGGCAGTCCTGATCTACATTAACAAGTCTCCTGCTTCCGTGTGACTAGCTAACAAGGAGACTGCTGCCTGCCTCATGCAGGGAGACCTTTCCCAAAGCTTGGCACCTGCCCTATGCTGGCCCAGTGGAGGCCAAATGGGGGAGCAGAAAGGAAGACATTGCTAAAGTTCTCTTTTCCACTTTCCTTCAAGAGACTAGACCAGTATTCTCAAACTTTAGCAAGGGTCAGAGTCCTCTGGAGGGCTTGTAAAAAGAAAAAAAAACAAAAACACAGATTGCTGGGCCATAACTCCAGAGTATTTGACTTAGTAGCTCTGGGATAAGGCCCAAGAGTTTGTTGTTGTTGTTGTTGTTGTTGTTGTTGTTTGTTTGTTTGTTTTTTTCTGATATGAGGTCTCACTATGTGACCCAGGCTGGTCTGGTCTTGAACTACTGGCCTCAAGCAGTCCTCTTGCTTCAGCCTCCTGAGTTGCTGGGATTACAGGTATGAGTCAATGAGTCATCACACTGGCTCAAGAATTTGCATTTCTAACAAATTTCCAGGTGATGCTGATGTTGCCTGTCTGGGAGCCACACTTTGAGAACCACTGTATTGGCTACTCCAAAGAAAGGCAAATGAAAGCCCTCAAGCCATCACTGGCTGGACAAGAGGTATGACTGTCTCCCTGCCTCCAGGCTCTGCTCCATTACAATCTGTCCTCTACTTTCCCACAGAAAGCACCTTTCTAAAGCACACATCCACCTATGCCATTGGCTGCACTGCCTGTTCCTTGCCTATAAAATACAAACTCCACAGCCAAGCTTATGTTGTCTAAGCCGTTAACTGTGTGCCAAGCACTGTTCTAAAACCTCTACACATTATAAGCTCATTTAATCCACATAATTCTATGCAGTAGGTACTATTATTATCCCCATTTTAGAAATAATGAATCCCACAGGGGGCCCTCAGGAAATATTTTCTGAATGAATGAATAAAAAGATGCTCACAAGCATTTACACTGTGTACTACAGAGGACTATTTCCATGCCAAAGGAAACCATCAAAAAGTGAAGAATTGGCTTGCCAACCAGTCATTTGTTCCTGCACTACACCAAATAACCCATTTGCCTGTAATTGGCTGGATATTCTGGCTTTGTGTAGACATCTCCTCGCTGGGAGAAAAGCCAGAGTTAATCCTTCACAAAGGGTTGTTTAATAATAACCAGAAACTGGAGGAGAGCAGAAAAGAACACAGTGATCCCACACAAGCTGAGGAAAATGGACTGTTCAAACCCACAGTGTCCATGCTGCCAGTAAGGGCCCTTGGTGTGGCCTGAGGTTTCTTAATTTTTATTATAAAAATAGAACATGAATATGTCTCTCCTGATTATCACCACCAAATACACCAGTGAAAACATCTATGGCTACATATTACTCTAATGCAACACTAATGCTTACACTGGAACAGAAAATCAGGTCATTGTCGAGAGTCTATAAATGGACAGCCCTCTCCATCCATTACTTATTTATGTTTCCCGCCTTTTGCTTAACCGGCCTTGAGGCCCAAACAGAGAAACACACCATACATAAAGTTACCAGTCCAGATAAATAAAACATCAGACTCAAATTGGCAGCTTCATCCTTCATTGCTTTGGAGGAGGTGGACTTCAACAGCCAGATGCTGCACAAATGATCAGCAAAATGTGACCCTTTGAGACCGCAGCAGACAAGTCATTCCTAAGACGTGTATCTTCCCAAAAGTTAGCTTTGCCCTTTTTAGAGAACATTCTTGTTTACTGCAGACAGAAGACAATGATCCCAAAATAAGTTTGAGCCCAAATCTCTTTGAGTTGGGCAAACTGAGACTGACATTGTTGAATTCATCACCAGTTGAAGTCAAGGGTTTCCCCATGTGGCCGGCCCTACAGTTACTCAGCCTGAAGGCTCATCATGGTAATATTACCCATGGGAAGGTCTGCATAGTAACGAAACCATCAGAGTCCCTGTGCAAAGTTCCAGCAGAAAAACAATGATGCTAGGACCCAATCCTATCTGATGGCCCAGAGGTATCTATGGCCCTGGGGGAAGCCCTTCTTAGTAAAAGGAAGACCCATCTCCAGGAACAAAATGACTTGCCTTGCTCCTTACAGTCTTCTGTCTATCTACTCACAGCAGCCATCTCTTAGATTGAACAAAGTAGGATGCTTTTACCTAGTTTTCAGCTTAGCCTTGTGCTAGGCAACCTGTGAAGTGGCTCTGATGGAGAGAGCTGGTGTAATTAGCAGCACAGGGCACGTTTCCAGAAACAGCCTGGATGGAGAAACAGAGGGCACCCTTGCACACCTGTCACACCTTCAGCCTCTGCTCAAAAGTGTCCACCTTCTTTGTCCACAGTAGCTACAGAAGTGAAAATGTTTGCCTCGGCATCCTCTCCATCACCGTCACCATCACCTAGCCCCCAAACGGGGATCACAGTGCTCTATCCACCCCTGAGAGCAACTGTGTGCAGTCACCAGCAAGGATGGTTCTGCCAGAGTGACGGGCACTGCCTGTGACCATACAGTGGCAGCAGTCAAGAAACAAGCCCTTCTGCTCAATACTTCATCTTTTCCTGTGTGCTGAGAATTAAGTACCTCTTAGCTAGTTAGAAAAACTAGCAGTTATTATTGATGAAATGTGTAAGACAGACATTTTGTTAGGGGCAGAGGAGAAAATAGTAGAAATGTCCAGTCGTTGAGGACTGTCTGTAAAACCATTCAAATCAAACCACTTCAAGAAGGATAAAGCACTGTGCTGATGTAAGGGATGGTCATTAGATAAGAGGAGTATTACATCTTATGCTCTGTGAAGGAAAGGGTATAGGTCTTATATTTTTTTTTAATCCAATGATAACAACTGCAAACATTTACTTAATGTGTGCTAGGCACCATATGGAGTGCTCTATGTTGGATTATCTCATTTCATCCTCACAATTTTATGAGGAATATATCATTATTATCAACCCATTCAATGGATGAGGAAACCGAGGCATACAGCTGGCAAGTGGCAAAGCCAAAGTTAGAACCCAAAAGTCTGACACCAAAACTCAACCTGCCCCCTCTGACACAGAAACTTTCATGGAGCTCAGTGAGAACTTTAGGACCAGTGTAGGCACTCTCTGAATTCTTCTAGATAGCACTGAGCTTGAGTATGGTTGTTGTTTAAGAGTATTTACTGTCTGGGTGATTATTCTGGCTCATTTCATAAGGCTTTTGTCTTGGTGAGAAAGCACTCACCATCTTCTAGTTGGAAAGCCAAGGTCTTCCAACCTTGGGAAAATCCTGCCTCATTATGCCAAGAGTTACCAAACAGCACAGGAAAATATTATCACAGATTTCCTGAAACTGGGTGAGATCATTCAGTTCAAAGCCTGCACAATTCTGTTTCATATGCACTGGGGGCAGAAAAATGTATGATTGGTCCTTAGAGCTCATTCTCATGGGTGATTCCACCAGTTTCCCAGACTCCAACTTGGGTCTTCCCAGTAGTGTCTGCTACCACCAAAGACAGTAAGGTGCAGTGGAGGGAGTTCTGAACCAGAACACCTGGTTCACGTTTCAGCTCCAACTACTGTTACAGTTTGTGTGACCTTGAGCAAATCACCCAGCCACTCTGGCCATCTGAAATATTATCAGTCAAATGGGGATGCTGATATTTGTGATAATGTTACATAAACTTGCCTACCTCAGAGGCTCGCAGTTAGGACCAATGAAGATTCTATATGTGAAAACACAGGTTAATACAGAGCACAATATCAGTGATAATAGCTAATATTTCTTTTCTTTTTTTGCTTATGATGTGCCAGGAACCTCATGAGGTGGATCATATTATCTGCAATTGCTGGTGAGGAAGAGGAAGGAGAGACTCAGAGAACGAAAATTAGCAGAAGTAGAATTTGAACCTAGGTTTTTAGGTTCAAGATAGGTTTTTCCAGCTTGTGTACACAAGCTAATGTTGCCCTAAAGGGAGTGAAAATTGATTTTTGAGGGCCAAAAAGTTGCTGTTTTTATATATAAAGTACAGATATACACATCGTACATAAACAGACACATAGTGTATTTGTATCTGTGGTATTACAATCTCATGGGGAGAGTGATTAGAAAAAACAATGTCTAAAACAGGTCTGTAGGAGGCAATAATGAAGAAAAATTTGAGAAATACTGGTCTATCTTCACCCTATCATTCCATTTCCCATAATTAATAAAGATGATCATTGTTACCATGACAATTAAGTTTCTGCAGTGGAAGGTTGCATGCTGTATTCAAATATAGTACCTGTGAAGGTGGTGGCCAGTTTAGTTGCCACTGTAGATGATCTAGCTTAGAGGTCGTGTGCAAAGAATTCAAATACCTTCACATTTAAATTCTAAAGTGTAAAACTTCTGCCAATCAAAATTAGAAGGTAATGTGGCATTAATGCTACTCACTCTACACCCTGGATACAGGTACATGGTTAGATCAGTTCATACAAACTAGAGGAGGGAAACACTCACTTAAACATTTTAAATAAGAGGGAGGCAAGAAGGTTTGCTTGAGGCCAGGAGTCTGACACCAGCCTAGTCAGCACAGTGAGACCTCATCTAAAAAAAATTTTTTTTAATACTGGGAAAAATAAAAATGATAATTGGTGCATTTAGAACATTAATACAAATCTGCCTAGATCTGCCACTGGGGATACAGATTGCTTCTTTTCTTTCGGCTACTGAAAAAACTGGAGATTTGTGTGTAAACTCCGAGTAATATCTGTGAATTAAATAAAAAGGCACTGGCCCATGCCCGGCTTCTTAAACAAATCAGGCTTATTCATGCAACATGCTTCCAGAAATGTGTTCAAGTCCTGTCACCAGTGATGGCTCGATCAAAGTTATTTGCTCAGGCCATTGCTCGTTGGTCCATTTCAACTTGCTACGTCCTGTAGCCATCTTCCTCTCTCAGACCTCTTCCCTCGGCATCGCAGCTCCTGACCTCCACTTTGGCCTTAGTGCTCCCTCGGAGACTTCTTGTCATTCCAATCATGGATTCACTCACTCATTCACTCACTCATTCATTCATTCCATTCATTGTATTATATACAACAAACTGCGACCTTGTTCCCACCATGAACCAGGCATTCTTTCAGCATGGTAGCCCTGCCTCTCAGGTCTGAGAGGTCCAACTGTCTGGGCCAGCCTTGTCCAGATTCTCTACTGGACAAAGGGGGCTGGAGAGGAGGGGCATGCAGTCATCAGAGGCTTCATTTTGTACAAATTGCCTTTGAGGTGTTCTTCTGACTGGAGCACAGCAGGGACGCACGTGCTCACTTGCAACTCTGGGCCAGGCTGGTCCTGAGGTACCTGTGATAATCAATCCAGTTGCCATAGCGGCCTTAAGTGTTCATTTACCACTATGCGACCTGGAGCAATAATATATTATGCCTTTCGCCAGAGGGAGCCGTGCCAGCCTCAGCACAGGGCGGCCGTGTCGGCCATCAGTCACCACTCCCCTTCACAACCTTTTGTTCCCCGCTCATTATGGTGAATTATAACAGGGGGACAGCACATTTTTCAGGAGAGTTTCTCCTGTTAAGTCTGAGAGCTAACTCTTCCCGGGTTGTTCCAAGTCGGCTGTGCTAGCCCTGTACCCCTGCAATGTTTATGCACGGGACAGTGCCGTTCACTGGACTTCCCTCTTTTCCCTCCTCTTGCACTTAGAATGGCTGAAAAGCAGTGTGTGTGCACATTTCTACAAGGCAAGATAAAAAACCACTCCAGTGTATTTACTATAAATATTGGATACTGCATTTTGTTGCACTCTGTCATGTGCCCGAAGGCCTATCCTGGTGGTAAATTACATTACAGAACACTAAATAGGCCATCATGTCAGCTTTGAGCCTTGGCATTGCTACTTCAAGATGAGTAGAAGATCACTTCCAAAGTCACACATGGGAGGATCAGGGGCCAACACCTCCAACCCTATCAGCATTTTTTGAAAATGTTTCACTCTAATAGTGATGGTGAACATTCTAAGATCCTAAAAATTAGAGGCTGGGTCACAAGATTAGATCACTGAAAGAAATTAAAGATAAAATTGTTGGCTAAGATGATTTCTAATAGCCCCAAACCAGAAACAACCCCAAAGGCCATCAATTGGTAAGGAATAAACAAACTGTACGTCCATACGATGGAATACTATTCCAGTAATAAAAAGAAATTATAATACAACAACATGGATGAATCTCAAAAACATCCGCTAGGTGAAAGATGTTGAACAAAAAAGAATATGTATTATATTATTGTATTTAGATAAAACTCTAGAAAAGGCAAAATACAGAGACAGAAAGCTGATCTGTGGAAGCCAGAGGCCAGGTTGCAGGGGGACGGGATTGAGAGCCAAGAGGCCCGAGGGAACATTTTAGGTGAGGGAACTGTTCTATGTATTGTTTCAGATGGTGGTTATGGTTGTAAACAATAACCAAAATTCATCTAACTGTATGCTTATAACTGGATTACATTGTATGTAAATAATATTGTAGTCAGCCTGTAATCCCAGCAGTTTGGGAGTCCGAGGCAGGTGGATCACGAGGTCAGAAGATTGAGACCATCCTGGCCAACATGGTGAAACCCTGTCTCTACTAAAATACAAAAAAATTAGCCGGGCATGGTGGCGCGTGCCTGTAGTCCCAGCTACTCGGGAGGCTGAGGCAGGGGAATTGTTTGAACTCGGGAGGCAAAGCTTGCAGTGAGCCAAGATCGCACCACCGCACTCCAGCCTGGCAGCAGAGTGAGACTCTGTCTCTAAATAAATAAATAAATAATCATAATATTTTAGTCAGTGGAAGAAAAGGAAAACAAATGTTGACCAAGGCAAATGGCCATGATTTTTCTCCTATGTGATAGCAGACCTGCAAGAAAGAAGTGGTATTGTATAGAAAAACAAGTTATACTCATTAGACAAAATCAAATGAGCCAACTTTGTGAACCTAAGCTTGGAGACACCAAACACTTCATAATTTTTATGGCATGGTGATAAGCTATTACATATACCAACCCTGGGATGGAAAAGCCTTGTCAGTTGCAGTTCAACCTCTGGTTAATTCAAGCTGGGTCTAAAAGGCACTAAATTGAGTGTGGTTTCACTTCCTTGGACTTCAGGTTCCTTGTCCTTGAAGTGGAAGGGTTGGATGAAATGGTTGTTAAAGCTTCAAAATGATACAACTGTGCCAGTCTTTGCTCAACTCCAAGCTCTTTAATGTGTTGGCGTCTCGCGATTCCATTTAGCTATTAGGACCCCAGGGCCAAATCTGGCTTGTCCCAATGTCATTGTTCTACAGAACCGGGTGAAGGGGCCTAAGATACTTGGAGGAAAGTCTACCAGTGCCATGGTCAACAGTGGGCCCTCCCAATGAGACAGCCTCGGGCTGAGTTCCCTGTCTGGACACAGCAGCCAGTTTCTATGATGCTTTCACCCAGAGGTGTTCTTGGAAGATCTCCAGTGTACTTTATTTTTAGTTCCTTGGTGAGTGCTCACTTTGTATTCTAAGAAAACTTTTAGATCTCAAGACAAGGAATTTTTGATCTCACTTTTTTACGCAATTATGAGTCATTCCACATGTTAGCATTAGCAACCCAAGACCTCCCTCTCCTCACTGATCTATCTTTTTCATCTCTTCAAAGATCCTGGAGGTAAGGAAGGGTTTTAAATGTTTGCCCTTGAAAAGAAAAGACGTGCAAACCGGAAACTGGTGACTAGCACTGCTGTTGTTACCAAGAAATAGTTTTTAAAAGCAGACATTTTAGGAAGATAATTGTTGATCTTTGCATTACCCACCAGTCCAGTGAGCAGGCAAATCTCCTATGCATAAAATCTGCTAAGTCTTCAAGCAAACTCACCTTTCCTAAAGGATTGAATTAAAACTTAATCCATAATATCTTCGGAAGATTCCCCCTAATTTTTTAAAAACATGGAATTTTTTTTTTCATGTGATAGATCTGGTTGAAAACCAAAATATCAGCAAAAGCCACAGCTCATCATAAACGTAACTATCTATGGAGCCCTTACATAATGGTCAGCTACTGTGCACACAGTAGATCTTTCAGACCTTACAACTAGATGTGGAAACTGAGTCTTAGTGAGTTTATGTCTCAAGGCCAAGGCTGCCTCGCCTGTAAACAGCAGAGCTGGGATATACACCCTTATCAGACCAAATCCCAAATCAGTGCTCTTCCCCCTAGTGCTTATTGTCAAATTCTGGTTTGTCAAATTGTCAAACCAGAACCAGGTTTCCGTTTTACGTTTCTATTCATAAGGCGAATTATGTGTGTTAAGCAAGATGTTCGGCAATTATTTGCCCATGGATGAAAAGGTGTATGCTTAGGTTTCTTGTATCTTATACTTTGCTTCACATTAGGGATGTAGCCTCAGGCACACATTCATGTGAGCAGTGACCTGTAATCAGTTTATAAGATTATCACTTAAAAGAATTTTCCTGTTACTGATGATACTTAGAGATTGGCTGTTAGAATGCTGTGTGAATGTTATATGCATATACATACAAACATGTTTTCTCTTTATCCTTGATCTTCCTATCCTCCTTCAAAACAAACACCGTCTTTAATCTTTAGGTTTATGTGCAAAAGTGATAATGCAGACATACCCTGGGATGGAGGTGGGGAGGACACAGGCAACTGGGCATAAGGAGAGATAATAAGACACAATTCCAAGGCTGGCCTTTGCTGGCCTTACACATTCTGGAACAAATAAAGCTAACAATATTATCAAGCCCACGAAGCCCTGTTAGAGTTGAAATTGCAGCTCACTGAAGGTCAAATTTATTAGATTTTCTTTTCTGCCTTCATAGAATGGTTGAATAACAACTTCCTATTTTTAGCATGAACTCTCCTTTGTAATTGCTTCACCCAAATCAAGAAAGCTGGAGTCAGGGTACCTGTATCCATCTTTGCTGGCATCATGTTCTAAATCAAGTCCAAGTAGCTATGCATAGTAGCATCTTCTTATTTTGAGACTTGGCCCTTCAACTAGTGGTTTAGAAAGAAAGGTGACTTTGCTAGGATGCTGGGGCAAAAACCAGGGTGCTGAGGAAGACTGCCAGGTTCTGCAGGACATTTTAAAAGTACACTGTCAGGTTTGGGGTTTAACCTCTCACATGTCTTTCTTAATTTTTTTTTTTTTTCACTTTTAAAGTTAGCTTAGGAACGTCAATTCTGATTCTATTCAATCTTGTTCTGGCTCTTGTAGTCACTCTTCTGAGGCACTCTTGTTCTTTGCTGTATCAAGGTCATACTTAAAAAGAGATGTTATTTCTTGATCAGGGTTTTGAGAGGATTACATTTTCAATGTGAAGGTTCAGCCACTGTTTTAGAGGACTGTACTAATGAGCATAAGACAGAAGGTCTTGGCCCAATGTGGACCCGCATTCAGTTCTATTCTCCAAGGATGACATCTTTAACCTCAGCCAGCTATTTCGCAAAAGTGAGTAATGGGTCGGCTGGGCATGGTGGCTCATGCCTGTAATCCCAGCACTTTGGGAGGCTGAGGTGGGGGGATTGCCTGAGCTCAGGAGTTCAAGACCAGCCTGGGCAACACGGTGAAACCCCATCACTACTAAAATACAAAAAATTAGCCAGGCGTGGTAGCGTGTGCCTGTAATCCCAGCTACTCGGGAGGCTGAGGCAGGAGAATTGCTTGAACCTGGGAGGCAGAGGTTGCAGTGACCCGAGATCATGCCACTGCACTCCAACATGGGTGACAGAGCCAGACTCCATCTCCAAAAAAAAAAAAAAAAAAAAAAAAGTGAGTAATGGGTCAAAGGGGACCAGATGAGAGCATAAATGAGCATAAATATATCACTTCTATTAACTAAACAAACCATAAAATGGAGGCCTTTTGCCATAGTCAGTCAGTCGTCCATTATCATGACAGGAAAAATCACACATATGCTCTCATATGAGTTGTCCATCTGTCAAAGAATTTGTATAAACCGAAGAACAGTAACATGCACTGAAGATGAAAAGCACCTGGGGAGCTTTAAAAATTCCTGAGGCCCAGGCCACCCTGGTCCCACCTGGGAAGTCTGATGTAACTGGTCTGAGATGGAGCATGGGCATCAGTATAATTTAAAAGCCCCAGGAAGATCCTCCCATGCAACTAGAGCTAGAACCACTGGTCTAGACCCAGTTGGCCACAGTGAACACCGTACTAAGGGCCAGGGACTCTGCACAAACTGCCTTAATGGGTGGAGTTACAGGTGGTAAAAAACAGAAAACCGTATACAATAAGCAGCACGGAGCGAGATGCGGTGGCTCAAGCCTGTAATCCCAGCACTTTGGGAGGCTAAGGCAAGTGGATCACCTGAGCTCAGGAGTTCAAGACCAGCTTGGGCAACATAGTGAAACCCCATCTCTACCACAAATACAAAAAAGAAAAAAATGGCCAGGTGTGGTGGCAAGCATCTGTGATCTCAGCTACTTAGGAGGCTGAGGTGAGAGGACTGCTTGAGCAAAAGGGGCAGAGGTTGCAGTGAGCTGAGATCATACCACTGTACTCCAAAAAAAAAAAAAAAAAAAAGCAGCATGGCCCAGAATTCCTGTCTGATGCTTCCCATATTCCCAGAGGGCAATACACCATTTCCAATAATCGTCCCTGCAGAAGGATAGAAAAATGTCAGCAACAAGAGTGACACTTAAAACTGCACCCCAGACTCCTGTGGTTGAGATGCTGCATGCCCAACGTGGTCTGACTTCCCACTGACTGACCTAGGCATAGCACCAGGTGGAGCATGCAGACATATCAAGGTTTCCATAGGGTCCACAGCTCAGAGATATAACAGATGCCCGATAGGAGCAAAATGAAAGATTGAAACAAAAACAAACAGCCCACTTTGGTTTTAGAGCAGAGAAAGCTAGGAGCTGATTGGCTTAAGAGCAGAGAGGAGGAAGGCTATAGTTTAATATACCCAGCAAATCCAGCAATATGGGGCTGGACCACCCCATATAGATAACCTATAAAATATAATTTCCCTCCCCACCCTCTCTCTGAAAATCCAAACTCATGATCACATAAACTGCACAAATCATGGGAAAGAACAGGAACTCTCATCTCTCTTTTTAAAGGAAAATATGTATTCCACGGTTCCTGTTGGCACGAGCTGGACATTACAGGGCTGATATCTCTGGGGACAAGGCACAGTGCTGGCTTCTTGCATGGAGGCAAGTGGTGCCAACTGGCCAGCATACCAGGTTGGCTCTCTTCCAGGACACAGTGGCTTGCATGAGCTCCCGTCAGGGGAAACGTTGTTATATCATGGCTGCTGCAGACAAGAAGATGATGGAAAGGATAAGGCTCTCCAGGCTACAACTACCGAGAACAGTGCTTGTTAGAAAAAATACTTTTCACCATTAGGGGAGGAAAACGGCTCTTTCTCCAAATTCCTCCCATTTGCTCCCCATCCCTGCCATGCATAACAATATGTTCCATTCAGAAGTAGTGTTAGAAATAAAGGATTGCAGACAAAACTGTACTTTGGAAAAGGGAAAATAATTGGTTCACTCAAGGGGCACTTTTTTGGCAAACCCAAGGCAACTCACAATGGTACATATGCTTGTCTATCCCAGTGCACATGATGAGACCTGAAATCGAGAGGTCACTTCTGTTTGTGGGAAAGCCAGGATCACTTAATTGGCCAGAAGAGCCAGAAGCAAGCTAACCTATCAACCTAGCTTTTAATCTATGAGGCAGAATCTATTCCCTGACTTTTTCACACAGGTGATGATGCTCATAAGTTCTCCCAGCAGCTGGGCAGACTGACGAGTCAGGAATGTACCAGGTTCCCCACCCTGAGTTCAGGCTGGGCTCACTCTAGCACTCAGGTGGGTTATATGCAGGAGAAACCAAGGAACCTCCAGGAAGAAGATGCATTCCAAGGGGAGAGTGAAGCCAAGTGCACCTTTCTGAATCAAAGATAATGAGCCAGGATCAGCGGGTGTGCTGAGGGTGATTCCGCACAGCGTCCCCCACCCTGAGTGTCCTATGTCCCATGGGAGAGCAGCTGCAATTGCATGGATGAATAAAACCAAAATGACTCCGACTCCCTCTCCCTCTCCCTCTCTCTCCCTCCTTCTCCCCACGGTCTCCCTCTCCCTCTCTTTCCAGGGTCTCCCTCTGATGACGAGCCGAAGCGGGACTGTACTGCCGCCATCTCTGCTCACTGCAACCTCCCTGCCTGATTCTTCTGCCTCAGCCTGCCGAGTGCCTGCGATTGCAGGCGCGCGCCGCCACGCCTGACTGGTTTTCGTATTTTTTTGGTGGAGACGGGGTTTCGCTTTGTTGGCCGGGCTGGTCTCCAGCTCCTAACCGGGAGTGATCTGCCAGCTTCGGCCTCCCGAGTTGCCGGGATTGCAGACGGAGTCTCATTCACTCAGTGCTCAATGTTGCCCAGGCTGGAGTGCAGTGGCGTGATCTCGGGTAGCTACAACCTCCACCTCCCAGCCGCCTGCCTTGGCTTCCCAAAGTGCCCAGATTGCAGCCTCTGCCCAGCCGCCACCCCGTCTGGGAAGTGAGGAGCGTCTCTGCCTGGCTGCCCATCGTCTGGGATGTGAGGAGCCCCTCTGCCCGGCTGCCCAGTCTGGGAAGTGAGGAGCACCTCTTCCCGGCCACCATCCCGTCTAGGAAGTGAGGAGCGTCTCTGCCTGGCCGCCCATCGTCTGAGATGTGGGGAGCGCCTCTGCCCCGCCGCCCCGTCTGGGATGTGAGGAGCGCCTCTGCCCGGCCCCGACCCCGTCTGGGAGGTGAGGAGCGTCTCTGCCCCGCCGCCCTCTCTGAGAAGTGAGGAGCCCCTCCGTCCGGCAGCCGCCCCTTCCGGGAGGGAGGTGGGGGGCCAGCCCCCGCCCGGCCAGCCGCCCCGTCCGGGAGGGAGGTGGGGGGCCAGCCCCCGACCGGCCAGCCGCCCTGTCCGGGAGGGAGGTGGGGGGGTCAGCCCCCACCCGGCCAGCCCCTTCTGGGAAGTGAGGAGCCCCTCTGCCCAGCCGCCACCCCGTCTGGGAGGTGTACCCAACAGCTCATTGAGAACGGGCCATGATGACGATGGCGGTTTTGTCGAATAGAAAAGGGGGAAATGTGGGGAAAAGATAGAGAAATCAGATTGTTGCTGTGTCTGTGTGGAAAGAGGTAGACATAGGAGACTCCATTTTGTTCTGTACTGGGAAAAATTCTTCTGCCTTGGGATGCTGTTGATCTTTGACCTTACCCCCAACCCGGTGCTCTCTGAAACATGTGCTGTGTCCACTCAGGGTTAAATGGATTAAGGGCGGTGCAAGATGTGCTTTGTTAAACAGATGCTTGAAGGCAGCATGCTCGTTAAGAGTCATCACCACTCCCTAATCTCAAGTACCCAGGGACACAAACACTGCGGAAGGCCCCAGGGTCCTCTGCCTAGGAAAACCAGAGATCTTTGTTCACTTGTTTATCTGCTGACCTTCCCTCCACTATTGTCCTATGACCCTGCCAAATCCCCCTCTTCGAGAAACACCCAAGAATGATCAATAAAAAAAAAAAAAAAAAAAAAAATGAAACAAAAAAGGGCCGTTTTCCAGAAGTCATGGGTAGCACCTGGCTAGTGCAAAGTGCAGTCTTGGGTGCTGTGCTGCCTGCAGCCTCCGCAGTGGGAGATGGTACCTAAACAAGGTATTGGGAAGAGTTGCAGCAGTAATGGCATCATTAACAGGCAGGGCATGGGGCCTTGGGGCCTCAGGGGCAGCTATTTGTGGGCATCAGAAGTGGCATTAGTGCTATCCACAGACAACAACACCACCCCTATGGCCACCTGTGGGCATCTATAGGGGTGGATGATGCCTTGATGATTTCCTTGGATGTCATGGCTAAGCCATTGTTTTTTGGCAGCTGCAGCTTCTGAAGATGTTACTGAGAGCCACAGAGAAAGTGAAGACGGCTAAGACAACCAGGTCATGCGAGACATGCCCAAGACGCCCAGATTGCTTAAAAGACATTTGGGAAAGGGAGCATTTAAAGTTCTTTCCAGAGGATGGATGGGGACAAAACTACCTGGAGAGCCTATTTTTTATTCCCAGGCAAATATGACTGAAAAAAAAAAAATCACAGGTGTTAAAGAAGAAAAATAAAATTGGATGAAAAAATGTCTCTGCTTTTTCTGGTGATGCAAATACAAGGCATCATCCATTTAGAAGAAATAAATACATTTTTTCTTTCCACTCCAAAATGCCAACATTTACAAATGAGTTATAGAAGTCACTTCTGGAAGGCAAAATACTCTCCATGGTTCATTTCCTCAGTCACTCAACAAATAGTAACTAAAAATAGATGAAGTTCCCAGCTAGTGCAAATGTCTGTCAGGGATAAGTAACAACAGAAACAACAATATATAATTTATGCCAGACTTTTTTACATGAGCAACCTCATCTAACACTTATGACCCTACTGTGACAAGTACCATTTTCTCCTATTTTAAAGATGAAAAAACTGAGGCTTAGACAAGTTATGTGACTTGGTGAAGATAATAGAAATATTAAGGGAAAGAACAAGGTCACACATTTGGATCTTCCAATTCTAGCCCTAGATTCTTCCCATCCCCCACAACAAATATAAGATACGGTCCTATTCTCTGCTTTCAAGAAACAGACACAAACCCATTAAAGAACTAGAAACTAGAACCTGTTTCTATTCTCTCCTGGTTCTAAAGGATGGATGCAGAAGAGACTGATAGTTCAGGCAGGAGAGGAATCAATGGAAGCTGGAATTGTCAAGGAGTTGTTCCAGAGCAGGAGAGATATAAGGATCTGAACAGGCAAACAGGAAACAGGCAGAGTTGAGTAGAAGTATATTCTGAGCGGTGGACAAGATGAAGAAATATGAGCTTTCTTCCTAAGGTGTGCTGGAGTGATGAGATACAGCACAGTAGTGGTGTCCAGTCCTGCATTCTTTCCTTCCCCAACATCTCTGAAGCACCTAGCATGCACCAGGCACCTTGTTACACCCAGTAGCACACACCCCCTATGACATGGCCCCTTCCCCGTGAAGCTCACAGCCTAACGTGTTGAGGCAGCTGAACCCCACGTGATTCCCAGCCCAGCCAAACTGTCTCCTACTATCCATGATGAAAACATCAGAAGTTGCCAGGCCAAATCTTGCTTGGCTTCTCAAATCAGGCTGTTTATCAGCACTGCTTCACACAGATAAAACCTCTCAATATGGAGCTAAAGTGGAAAAAAACTCAGCACGTAAAAATAAACTGCCCAAATCGTGTTCCCTCCCCACTCCATTCAGCGCCCAGTATCACTACACACGTGAAAATGCCACACAGCCCTGGACCCGAGCAGCAGAGCAGCTGCTGTGTGTGGACACAAAGTACAACTCAGAGCCCTCTCCACTTCTGCTCCAATTGTCGTAGCCTCGTCTGAACTCTGAGCTGGACACTCCACTGCAGGATACAGAGCATGAATTGAGAGAAAGCTTCCTAACCTTCATATTGTCAACTGGTGTCTTGCTGCATTTGCCACAGATCCCATAGTGTGGTGTTAGAAATGGTGTTGACACACTCCCACATATCTTTAGCATTACATTTCCCATGTTGCTCCTCCTTATATCTTTATCTGCACTTGGTTTATAAGTGAAATCAACTGATAAGGCTTCCATTTCATACCATCTGTTATGTGTCACCAACGCTGGTTTTGTAAAAGAGATGAGAAGGATCTAAGACTATTGAAACTTTCACAGTCATTTCCAGCTCGGTAGGCTAGAAACTGAATCTTAAAGAGTCACTGGACATACTCAAAGAAGAACTTCCCACTCCAAGACACATAATTGTCAGATTCACCAAAGTTGAAATGAAGGAAAAAATGTTAAGGGCAGCCAGAGAGAAAGGTCGGGTTACCCTCAAAGGGAAGCCCATCAGACTAACAGCGGATCTCTCGGCAGAAACCCTACAAGCCAGAAGAGAGTAGGGGCCAATATTCAACATTCTTAAAGACAAGAATTTACAACCCAGAATTTCATATCCAGCCAAACTAAGCTTCATAAGTGAAGGAGAAATAAAACACTTTACAGACAAGCAAATGCTGAGAGATTTTGTCACCACCAGGCCTGCCCTAAAAGAGCTCCTGAAGGAAGCGCTAAACATGGAAAGGAACAACCGGTACCAGCCGCTGCAAAATCATGCCAAAATGTAAAGACCATCGAGACTAGGAAGAAACTGCATCAACTAACGAGCAAAATAACCAGCTAACATCATAATGACAGGATCAAATTCACACATAACAATATTAACTTTAAATGTAAATGGACTAAATGTTCCAATTAAAAGACACAGACTGGCAAATTGGATAAAGAGTCAAGACCCATCAGTGTGCCGTATTCAGGAAACCCACCTCATGTGCAGAGACACACATAGGCTCAAAATAAAAGGATGGAGGAAGATCTACCAAGCAAATGGAAAACAAAAAAAGGCAGGGGTTGCAATCCTAGTCTCTGATAAAACAGACTTTAAACCAACAAAGATCAAAAGAGACAAAGAAGGCCATTACATAATGGTAAAGGGATCAATTCAACAAGAAGAGCTAACTATCCTAAATATATATGCACCCAATACAGGAGCACCCAGATTCATAAAGCAAGTCCTGAGTGACCTACAAAGAGACTTAGACTCCCACACATTAATAATGGGAGACTTTAACACCCCACTGTCAACATTAGACAGATCAACGAGACAGAAAGTCAACAAGGATACCCAGGAATTGAACTCAGCTCTGCACCAAGCGGACGTAATAGACATCTACAGAACTCTCCACCCCAAATCAACAGAATATACATTTTTTTCAGCACCACACCACACCTATTCCAAAATTGACCACACACTTGGAAGTAAAGCTCTCCTCAGCAAATGTAAAAGAACAGAGATTATAACAAACTATCTCTCAGACCACAGTGCAATCAAACTAGAACTCGGGATTAAGAATCTCACTCAAAACTGCTCAACTACATGGAAACTGAACAACCTGCTCCTGAATGACTAGTGGATACATAACGAAACGAAGGCAGAAATAAAGATGTTCTTTGAAACCAACGAGAACAAAGACACAACATACCAGAATCTCTGGGACACATTCAAAGCAGTGTGTAGAGGGAAATTTATAGCACTAAATGCCCACAAGAGAAAGCAGGAAAGATCCAAAATTGACACCCTAACATCACAATTAAAAGAACTAGAAAAGCAAGAGCAAACACATTCAAAAGCTAGCAGAAGGCAAGAAATAACTAAAATCAGAGCAGAACTGAAGGAAACAGAGACACAAAAAACCCTTCAAAAAATTAAGGAATCCAGGAGCTGGTTTTTTGAAAGGATCAACAAAATTGATAGACCGCTAGCAAGACTAATAAAGAAAAAAAGAGAGAAGAATCAAATAGACACAATAAAAAATGATAAAGGGGATATCACCACCGATCCCACACAAATACAAACTACCATCAGAGAATACTACAAACACCTCTACGCAAATAAACTAGAAAATCTAGAAGAAATGGATAAATTCCTCGACACATAAACTCCCCAAAGACTAAACCAGGAAGAAGTTGAATCTCTGAATAGACCAATAACAGGAGCTGAAATTGTGGCAATAGTCAATAATTTACCAACCAAAAAGAGTCCAGGACCAGATGGATTCACAGCCGAATTCTATCAGAGGTACAAGGAGGAACTGGTACCATTCCTTCTGAAACTATTCCAATCAATAGAAAAAGAGGGAATCCTCCCTAACTCATTTTATGAGGCCAGCATCATTCTGATACCAAAGCCAGGCAGAGACACAACCAAAAAAGAGAATTTTAGACCAATATCCTTGATGAACATTGATGCAAAAATCCTCAATAAAATACTGGCAAAACGAATCCAGCAGCACATCAAAAAGCTTATCCACCATGATCAAGTGGGCTTCATCCCTGGGATGCAAGGTTGGTTCAATATACGCAAATCAATAAATGTAATCCAGCATATAAACAGAGCCAAAGACAAAAACCACATGATTATCTCAATAGATGCAGAAAAAGCCTTTGACAAAATTCAACAACGCTTCAGGCTAAAAACTCTCAATAAATTAGGTATTGATGGGACGTATTTCAAAATAATAAGAGCTATCTATGACAAACCCACAGCCAATATCATACTGAATGGGCAAAAACTGAAAGCATTCCCTTTGAAAACTGGCACAAGACAGGGATGCCCTCTCTCACCACTCCTATTCAACATAGTGTTGGAAGCTCTGGCCAGGGCAATTAGGCAGGAGAAGGAAATAAAGGGTATTCAATTAGGAAAAGAGGAAGTCAAATTGTCCCTGTTTGCAGATGACATGATTGTATATCTAGAAAACCCCATTGTCTCAGCCCAAAATCTGCTTAAGCTGATAAGCAACTTCAGCAAAGTCTCAGGATACAAAATCACTGTACAAAAATCAGAAGCATTCCTATACACCAATAACAGACAAACAGAGAGCCAAATCATGAGTGAACTCCCATTCATAATTGCTACAAAGAGGATAAAATACCTAGGAATCCAACTTACAAGGGATGTGAAGGACCTCTTCAAGGAGAACTACAAACCACTGCTCAAGGAAATAAAAGAGGAGACAAACAAATGGAAGAACATTCCATGCTCATGGGTAGGAAGAATCAATATCGTGAAAATGGCCATACTGCCCAAGGTAATTTACAGATTCAATGCCATCCCCATCAAGCTACCAATGACTTTCTTCACAGAATTGGAAAAAATACTTTAAAGTTCATATGGAACCAAAAAAGAGCCCACATCGCCAAGTCAGTCCTAAGCCAAAAGAACAAAGCTGGAGGCATCACACTACCTGACTTCAAACTATACTCCAAGGCTACAGTAACCAAAACAGCATGGTACTGGTACCAAAACAGAGATATAGATCAATGGAACAGAACGGAGCCCTCAGAAATAACGCCGCATATCTACAACTATCTGATCTTTGACAAACCTGAGAAAAACAAGCAATGGGGAAAGGATTCCCTATTTAATAAATGGTGCTGGGAAAACTGGCTAGCCATATGTAGAAAGCTGAAACTGTATCCCTTCCTTACACCTTATACAAAAATCAATTCAAGATGGATTAAAGACTTAAACGTTAGACCTAAAACCATAAAAACCCTAGAAGAAAACCTAGGCATTACCATTCAGGACATAGGCATGAGCAAGGACTTCATGTCCAAAACACCAAAAGCAATGGCAACAAAAGACAAAATTGACAAATGGGATCTAATTAAACTAAAGAGCTTCTGCACAGCAAAAGAAACTACCATCAGAGTGAACAGGCAACCTACAGAATGGGAGAAAATTTTTGCAACCTACTCATCTGACAAAGGGCTAATATCCAGAATCTACAATGAACTCAAACAAATTTACAAGAAAAAAACAAACAACCCCATCAAAAAGTGGGCAAAGGACATGAACAGACACTTCTCAAAAGAAGACATTTATGCAGCCAAAAAACACATGAAAAAATGCTCATCATCACTGGCCATCAGAGAAAAGCAAATCAAAACCACTATGAGATACCATCTCACACCAGTTAGAATGGCGATCATTAAAAAGTCAGGAAACAACAGGTGCTGGAGAGGATGTGGAGAAATGGGAACACTTTTACACTGTTGGTGGGACTGTAAACTAGTTCAACCATTGTGGAAGTCAGTGTGGCGATTCCTCAGGGATCTAGAACTAGAAATACCATTTGACCCAGCCATCCCATTACTGGGTATATACCCAGAGGACTATAAATCATGCTGCTATAAAGACACATGCACACGTCTGTTTATTGCGGCATTATTCACAATAGCAAAGACTTGGAACCAACCCAAATGTACAACAATGATAGACTGGATTAAGAAAATGTGGCACATATACACCATGGAATA
The DNA here is from genome assembly GCF_000001405.40 of Homo sapiens. Classification (NCBI taxonomy): domain Eukaryota; kingdom Metazoa; phylum Chordata; class Mammalia; order Primates; family Hominidae; genus Homo; species Homo sapiens. The sequence goes on from NC_000015.10 coordinate 60,954,102, forward strand.
CTATGCAGCCATAAAAAATGATGAGTTCATGTCCTTTGTAGGGACATGGATGAAATTGGAAATCATCATTCTCAGTAAACTATCGCAAGAACAAAAAACCAAACACCGCATATTCTCACTCATAGGTGGGAATTGAACAATGAGATCACATGGACACAGGAAGGGGAATATCACACTCTGGGGACGGTGGTGGGGTGGGGGGTGGGGGGAGGGATAGCATTGGGAGATATACCTAATGCTAGATGACGAGTTAGTGGGTGCAGCGCACCAGCATGGCACATATATACATATGTAACTAACCTGCACAATGTGCACATGTACCCTAAAACTTAAAGTATAAAAAAAAAAAAAAAGAACTTCCCATAAATGTGAGATGGGAGTAAAATCTTTACAAGTGGATGGTGAAAGCAATTGTCTTATGGAGGTCTGTCTTATGGAGGAGTGCCCTGTTTGGGCCCCAGTGGATTTGGTATTCATCACCTATTGACCTATGTGGGGTTTCTACTGGATTTAACAAAAGTGAAAGAAGCCTGTTGCCAAAAACTTCAAGGGCAAATTCTATTAAACCTTGAAGTTTCAAGTGAAATGCCAAATCTTCTTGAACTATTAGGTTGTTGCAAAAGTAATTACAGTTTTTGCCATTAAAATTAATGATTCCCTAGACTCCAAGACCAGTTATTTTTGCTGAGCTCTCCAAGCACTTGAAGGGCCTCATTCAGCTCTCATTACATTCTGGGCAGATGGTGAGCTTCTTGAGGGCATGGACTTGCTTTATTCCTCTTTGCAGTCATCCAGTAATGACAGACTGGATGACTCAATACATACTTACTGAGGAAAACTGGGCATTTTTCTCCAGTTATGTGTTGCTTTGACTTACCACATTAACATGGGTTTTGTATCTTTTTAAAAATCCATCTTAAGGCTGGGCGTGGTGACTCATGCCTGTAATCCCAGCACTTTGGGAGGCCGAGGTGGGTGGATCATGAGGTTAGGAGTTCGAGACCAGCCTGGCCAACATGGTGAAACCTCGCCTCTACTAAAAATACGAAAATTAGCTGGGTGTGGTGATGCATGCCTGTAATCCCAGCTACTGGGGAGGCTGAGGCAGGAGAATGGCTTGAACCCAGGAGGTGGAGTTTGCAGTGAGCCGAGATTGTGCCACTGCACTCCAGCCTGGGTGACAGAGCAAGACTCCATCTCAAAAACAAACAAACAAAAAAATAATTGTAACGTGTATGTGTTATTCAAGATTGCTGGCATTGTCTCGTTTTAAAGTACTCATGAACATTAGGAAATATGATAATACATACAAAACATATAGTATATTTCATTATATAGTAAGTACTCAATAAATATCAGGCAGACCTCCATAAGACCTCCAATTGTTGTCATTCATAAGGTTACCCTGGCATTGACTTCATGTCTTTAAAAATTCCTGGTTCTAAATGCAATACAAATATTTTTCAAAAGATGCTAAATATTCTTGGGAATTCAACACAATAAGAACTCACATTTATACAGTGCAAAAGATTTTGTGAGTCGATTTTTACAAAGTTACAACTGCTGTCTTTTGCTGGAGAAGAAATGGAGACTTGGCCCCCATATATGCTCTATTCAAGGTCACAGAGCCAGGGTGGAGCAAGAGGAGTCAGGCCCAAACAAGAATGCTGACTTCCAATCCTGACAGTCCCAACGCCTCTCTAGTTCTTCCTTGCTGCTTTCCAACATTTTTTTAGTTTATCCATTTTGTGTATTCCACTGAGAAAAGGACACTTTATAGACGTATATTCTGCAAAGAGGTCAGATGACATCTGAAATTGCAAAGCGGTAGACAAAGCTTTTGAGCAGGATGGTATATTATTGAAAACAGTTAGAAAATAATGAACAACATTGTAATCGCTGGCACAATTTTAAAAAAGATTGCTTTACCTGGTTTTGTTTCCTTTCTGGTTAGATAATTTCACCAGCCTGTTTGTAACAAAAAGAAGCAGGGCAAGCAGATTCTCTTGCTGGAAATTTAATAGCATGAAGTTCAGTGATGAATAGAATTATTTCTCTTATTTTGATCATGCTTTGCCCACAGTATGAACTCAATAAACACTTGTTCAAACAAATTATTATTACAATGACTTGTTTTTTTTTTCCACTGGGCAGTAATAACTTTAATTTGTATAATGCTTTATAGTTTACAAAACATATTCTTCATGTATTACCATTTAATTCTCACAGCAATTCCAAAAGGTAGATACTAATTTCTTCATTTTACAAATCAGGAAGCAGACGCCCAGGTAAGACAGGTAATTTGTCCAAGGTCAAAACTGCTCACAGAGCAAGACCTGCTAGAAAACAATGACAATTTAAAAGAAAACTGGTCTTTTAGGGGAGGAAGTATAGCAGAATGGGAAAGTATAGGAGCTTTGAACCAAACCACCCAGGTTCAAACCATGTCTGTACGATGCACTAGCTCTGTGATGATGCACAGGTTTCATAAATATTCTGTGTCTTGGTTTCTTCATGTATAAAATGCAAGTAACGATAATAGCTGCTTAGCAGTATATTAGTTTGTTAGGATGACTTATATGAAGTGTTTGGCATTTATTGAGTACTCATCTTAAGGACTCAATAAATAGCTATTACTGTTACAATGATTACTCTTTCTGTCCTCAGAAAAGTATCTTAGTAGGCCCCCTCATCCTTTCAATTATCAGTACATACCAGTCTATTATAAATTGTAGAGGAAGCTGTGAGTTAGGGACATAGCTCAAGCACTGGAGGTCCTCCGTGTGAGTCTTGGTCCCACCTTTATCAGCTGTGAGATCAGGAGCAAGTTTTCGAATCTTTCTGATGGCCAGATTCTGCATCTATGAAATGGTATCACTCTTGTCCTATCAGCCTCACAGTGCTGCTGTATAAGTCAGGTGAGAGCTGAAGGGAAGGCACTAGGTAGTCCATTCATTCACTCATTCATTCATAGCCTGTTGGCAGTGTGCCTCCTAAGTGCCAGGCACTGTGCTAAACAGTGGTGATTCAAAAATGAGTCAAGACGATGGAGGAGACAGACGGGTAGAATGATAAGTAACTGTATTAGAATATGCGTTCAAGTAAGGTATTATTACAATGCACTTATACTGAAATAGACACTTTGCGGGCTATAAGAGTGCTTTAAAAATGTGAATTCAGCCCACATTCTCACTGCAGAGAAAAGACTAAAATCCTCTCAGCAACCACATTCAGGAACTTTGCCAAGAAAGGCAGGTGAGGACTCCATTGTGCCTGTCATCCTTCAGCATGGAAGAACTAGTAACTGCAAGGGCTATGATTGTAGCTGTTGTTCCAACAGTTCTGTGACAACACGTACCTCCTCAAACACAATGCAACAGTGAGGCCTAATGTCCCAGGATTTATTTTCATTAAGTCGATGCTTATGGAACACCTAATATGTGACAATCACTGTGCCTGGTAAATAATGTTGGAAAGAACACTTTGCTCAGTCCCTGAGGGGGCTATAGTTCAGTGAGGCAGAGATGCACATATACTAATTATTTTGAAATAGCCTGACTGGAGGTCAGGAAGGCTTCCTGGAGGAGGTCACACCTAATCTTAAAGGGTAAGAGCTAGTTAGCTAGAGAAAGGGGGGACAGTATGACAGAAAAGAGAAGAACATAAAGAAGATAGAGACTGTTCTAAAAGAGTTAATTATCCTAGTGAACTGCTACATTTTCTTCTCAAATATAAATACTTGGTCCCCAAATATAATCATATTATGTCCCGTACTTTCCATGATTTATCCTATAAGGAGCTTTGTAAACATAACTAATACTCAAAATGACCTATGAGGCATGCTTGATTTCAGAGTCTTTTTTTTTTTCCCTAATCCAGGATACCTTGAAATGAGAATAATTAGCCAACTGCTTTGATTCAATGTCTCCTTTGAAATTGTTCGTCTACTTTATTTCTTCAATTGGATAAATAAATTATTCAGAAACCTGACTATGGGAGCACACAAATCTAAAATCTGAGCTAGAATTTTGGTGGGCAAAAGTTCATATCTCATTACAGAAGATGTTTGATATAAATATTAATTTTCCTAAAGTGGTGATGGCAGAGATTTTATACAAAGGATGTTCATATTGGATTAAACACCAGATTCAAATTACCTGAGCCTTTGCGTGCATGGAGCATCAAATTCCATTTCATCTTGATAAGAAGCTGCCCTGGAGAGTCATTAGGGATTTAGCAGGCTAATGTGGTCCACTGCCCCCTTACCAAAACATATGACTGTCTAAAATATTATTTATGCCTTAACTGCCTTGCCTAGAGGTGGAGAGGAAAGTGGGATTTTATAATATCCCATATAATATAAATTTTGCCCCTGAAACTGAATAACTGTATATTAATTGCCTAGCGTAGATGCTCATTCGATTATACCCAATCTTCCCAACCACTCTGGGAGGCTGGAATTTTATCCCTGTTTTAAAAATGAGGAAACTGGAGCACAGAGAAATTAAGTATCTTATTCAAGGTCAAATAATTGAGACTTAGCAACCATTGTTGTGAATAATAAAGGAAATAAAACGCATGGAAAATGCCTAATCTGGTGACTGACAGCTAAGAAATAATGGCAGCCGTGGCTGTCATTAAGAAAATCTACCATCCACAAAAATGTATGGAAAGTACATTTGGAATGTGTCCTGTGGGAAGATGATTCTTGATTGTGGGTCAGGATATGGCACAATCTGAGACGTCCACTCAGTAGGTTTGCACAGCAACTTGGCTCAGGCACATTCTTAGGTGGCTGGCAAGGAAGACCTCACAGAGGCAATGGCCCATACTCTCTGCACCAGAAGAGCAAGAGTCCCAGCAACCAACTCTCTGCCAACAAGCCAGACATCGAAACTCTTCAAACACCATCCAAGTCTGAAAACTGCACACCTATTAAAGTTGTACCTGCAAAGAGATCCTTATGGACATATTCCAAGGCTGTAGAATTTTGGAAACTTCAAAAGCTAGAACTACCAGCTTGCTTGGTACAGCCATTGCCATTAGGTACTTTTGTGTAAGAGGAATAGAAATTGTTTCTTTTCCTTGCTTTTATGTCTACTGGACAGAGGACTATGGCTGCTTGACTCAGTGTAACAGAGTGACAAGTAGGAAACTGACCCAAAGAGATCTAACAAAATATACATTAAAAAATCATTTTCCTGAAACATTCAAATAATTTCAAGTATGTGGCATCTTAGCCTGACTAGTCTAAATTCTAGCACTCTGAAGGAAGGGCTTACTGGAGTCCTAGTTCAACCACGTACCTGATAGTGACTTTGTTCCAATGTCTTTATCTTTAAACTAACGTATTAGGCAACATCAGTGTGTCCTGAAACACACAAATGTTGAAAGATGTTTCCAGGAGCCTTAAAATAAAAGGGTTCTTTACAAAAATAAACAACAACAACAACAAATCCTATAGATATGGCTCATGTTTGTATCCTTTCTTGGAGAGTCACCGTGCTAATGGGAGCATATTAAAGAGCCTGAAACTCCAGATGCAGACATATTAGTGTCCTTCAAGTCATCATTTCCACATTTAGTGGGCCATGAAGTGTGACACCTTTAAACACCCTGGGAAACTGGTAGGACGCATTTGAAAAAACACCGGATTAAATGGTCCTGAAGGTTCTTCTACTGCTGCATCCCATGATCCTCCAGAGAAGGCTTTTTTTTGTTTTGTTTTGTTTTGCCATAAAGGTTTATGGTAGAGACATATCTGTGAAAAATCTCTCAATTCCTCTCCCATCTAGCACTTGTGGCCTCCTTCTCATCTCTCTTTCCTGGCCTTGGGGTAAGGGTGCGGGCTTGCCATGCAAGAGGAGGTATCCTCTATACTTCCCTATAGCCAGTATAGATTGTAAAACTTTCCTTTGAAACCCCCTAAATAAATGAAAACAGGATTTTTTTTGTGTGTGTGTGGAATGAGGAAAAAAATTGCCTGAAACTAGGATATGAGGTTCTGGACACTTCCTGGTTTACACAGCCACCTGGCTTTACCTCCCTCTCATTGCTACAAAGACTAGATTGATTTTGTGGTCCCTTCCCACTCCAAAATTACATGATGCCATAGAGACATGTTAAAGAAGAATCTTTATCATAAAATCATTAGCTTACGGCTGGCACATTTAACAAGCATGGTGCTCTCATGCAATTCCTGTAGCAAAGACAACCTCTACAAGCAAATGAGCCAGCCATTTCTACTTGTTCTCCTGAAACCATCCTCAAAGGTGGGGGACTCTCTTAGGAAGTAGCAGCTGAGATAGCACTTGAGATAGACACAGATTTAGGCAATACAATTGTCCATCTGATTAAAAAGAAAATACCTGCTCAAAAAATAGTCTTTGGCCTACTGGAATGGCTAATTAGGAGTCTGTGCAGCTGATCTACTGAATGGGGCAGCGACTAGAGAGTTACACGATCAGGAGAGATGAATTGCAGACACACCAGTTTCTCCTTAAAATCCATTTTCATCATGTTACACTTTGGCACACAAATCTTTTTTTTTTTTTTTTCTAAAAACAGTTTTCCCTCTTTCCTACTGCACGAAGTCCAAATTCCTCCAAATGACTTCTACGGGCCTCCAAAGGCTGGCTTCACTTGATCGCCTCTGGATTTTAACACATTCGCTTCACTCTAGACTGTTTCACTCTTTGGTCTCCCTGCATCACCACCATCATTCCTCCTTTTTAGCTGTGTGCTTTACAGGTATTATTTCAAATAACCTCAAAGCAACCCAAGAGACCGACACCATTGTTATCATTCCCATGTCATAACTGGGAAACTGAGGTTAAGTAACTTACCCAAGGTCACACAGATAGCAAGCAGCAGAACTGCGATTTAAGCCAAAGCCATCTGTCTCCAGTCTTCACTCTTAACTCTCAGTTTATATAGGCTTTATTCATCTTCTTTCCCAAGTCTGACCACTCCATCAAGGTCAAGGGCAAATCTCACCTCCTTCAGGACATTCTTAGATCTCTCTGGCCTCTCACCTGGCCGTTCCATTTGCTACACTTCCCCACATAACATTTCTTTTCTCATGTTGTGTCATGCTGATCTCTGTGTGCATGGATTCTGATTGGACTGTTAGTCACCTGAAGCTGGGGACCAAATAAAGCATAACTCCTATATCTGCTACAATGCCCTGCATGATGTAAAAGGTACATCATGCACAACAGAAATCTGTTCACAGAAGAGTTCTCTGATGGTCCTATAAAGGCATTGCTCCAGCCTCAATCTTCCCACCTGAGATACAGGTACACCTGGTCCTTGAAGCCAAGATTCACAAAGATAAAAAAAGGTAACAAGAAGAAAATGTTTATCACCCATTGATATACGTGACAGAGACTTAAAAGTCAAGTGCCGATAATATGAAGTAACCACACTTGTGTTGCCATAAAGCGTCTCAGCTGCTACTTTAAATTTGGCCTAAGATATGAATGGGCAGGAGCCTCTTTCCTTTGAAAGACTTTCCCGGCTCTGAATGGGCCAAAGGAAAGGAGGAGGGAGGAAGAGGGGAAAGAAGCCATTATGGCTTTAATAGTTTAATCCACCGATATATGTTGTCGACCTGGCCGGCCTCCAGGAGCACTGAGAACCGCCAGCTCAAGCCAACACAAGCACATGCTAACTTGATGGGCAGTGTAATGAGACACAGATTGTATAGCTGAATGTAGGCACAAAGCCCTCATCAGGTTTATGGTTCCTGGGGTCCCAGCCTGAAAACAGTAACTGACACAGGCACCACATGCGCTGGGTTTAGACATATAAACACGGAAGGCCTGCGAATATATATGTGAAAGGTGCTGGGGTTTGTATTTGTTTGGCCCAGTGCATGAGCTGCAGATGGGCAGATTCTGTTGGAACATTGAAAGGTGCCCCGGTCCTGACCGAGTGCTGTTTTCTTCTTACTGTGACCACGAGGCGAGAGAGTGAGAGTGAGCTGCTTTGAATTCCGAGTATCTTTGCTTTTCTGGAAGTTTTAAAGTTGAGCTTTCTTCTTCAATGCCTTCAATTATCACAGTGCAAATGATTATATTCCCAGCACCTCCACCCAATAGCTACAGAAATTTGGCATTTCCTGTCCTGACTAGAAAATGACCTGGCACAGACCGAGCGTAAGCCTGGCTCTTCAGCTTTTTTCCTGATGCAGCCTTTAACTCATTTCCCCTCCCCACTTTCTAACTGCTAGAGAAACAAGAGATTAGTGCAGATGGATGGAAATATTTTTTCCGCTTCAGCACTTGCTGTCAGAACCAAGTACTAAGAAGGTTCTCAGACAGTGTCTCAGGCAACCTGGAAATTCCCAAACTCATCTTAAACAATATTTACCTGGTCCCAAAAGGAATGCACAGACCAAAGAAGCTGTTTTCTTCTGAGAGCAGCCCCTCGACATGCCACTTAGAGTTCTAGTCGAGGCTGGACTGCTCCCCGCTCTCCTCCACTTTACCCTAGCTGTTTCAGAGCTGTCCTTGAAACATTAGCACACCATTTTAGAGACCATAAAATGAACACTTGGCAGCCTGAACACGTCCACCTGCCCAAACATGAATGTTGCTCTTCACTGAAAATCATGGTCCCCAGGAGCCAAGGGTTGTAACACTCTGTTGAGAGTGGTGGCATGGTCTTTGTCTGAAAGGGCTGACAATCAAACTGGGAAAACACAAGCCTTGCTCAGAAGAATTGGTAGCAAGAGATAAAGGCCAAGGAAGTCATAGAAAATAGGTGCACCTTATGTTCAAAGTAAGTGGTTGCAGGAGATTGGGAAGACAACATGGAGGTGGTACCATTTGTGGTCATGAAAAATAGGTAGGGTTTTAAAAGGTAGGAAGAGAGTATTACTTTCAAGGGAAATAGCTTAAGTAAATGTATCTAATCACCTCTATGTTCCTACTACCATGATGCCTATAAGCAGCAATCATACTGTGTACCAGACACTCAGATGCTCTACATGCATATGCATGGTACATAGCGTAATTCTCAAGCTTATGAGGCAGATATGACTATCCCCATTTACGCTTCGAAGAAATTGAACTTTTCAGAGGGTAAATGACTTGCCCCCAAGCTGAATAGCCAATGGGTAAGATCAGCTCTGATTCTAAAGTGTGTGCTCTTAACTGCTCAAAGGCATAGAAGTTAGAATGTGCAGATGGTGCAGGGGAGCCCCTGTTGCAGAGCACAGGCCTGAGGCATGGGTCATAAGGCACTGTTGACTAAGCAGAGGTCTTAGGCCTGAATAGCAGAGATGAGGAATGATGGAGGTGGATGATGGAAGCAATGGTTGAAAAGGGCCAAGTCTGCAGGGAACCTACAGAGGTTTATGTTAATTTCTCTTGGGCCTAGAGCAATTATCTGGGTGGTGGTGGAAAGGATGCTGGCATTATCTAGGTTGTGGCCCCTTGGCCTCCTGGACGGGGTAAGCCAATAAAGAAATTGCACTTATTTGTGAGGTTTCCCTTGCATTCCTCTGCTCCTGTGCACCTGACTGCTGAAGGCATCCCCCTCAGCTTCATCTGAAGCCCTTTCTGAGCACTATGTGTTGATGAAAGTGTTCTACTAAATGCTATAGAACTCAGCGGGAATGGCCCAGTTAGCTCTGCTAGCACATTCCAGGAGACTCTGGCAGACAGGTGTGGATTTCAGCCCTGGCTAACATGAACAAGCTCAGGTTCCTCTGCAGTATCCTAGCCACAGTAGGAACTCTTCACAAGCTTTCTGGCTGGGATATTCAAGGGGAGGTTCATCAGTGGGTGGCTTAAAGCCAAAGATTTATATCAAATTATTCCTTATGTCTAACTTAAGGGAATGGAGAGACATGAAAAGCAAGGTGGATTTAGCACCTCTTATTTGCAGGCAGCAGTGTACCTTCATTTCACACTTTCTCTCACATAAAACCCCTGTTGTCCTGTAAGATAGGAATCATCTCATTTAATAGACTGGGAAACCATAGCCCAGAAAGTCTTAATAATTTGACCATGGTCACATAGCTGGTAAGTGGTATAGTCTGGTTTCAAGTAGAAGTTCATCTGATTCCTACCCCTGAATGGTTTTCCCATTCTGTTGAAGCCATGTTGGGGCTCTATGGAATATTTTTGGTGCCTGAGGCATTAATATGCCTATCTGTATAAGATGAGGTGTGGTGTCCAGATGAAGAGGATACCCCTGGGTAGCCCATTTCTTTATGAAGCAGAGATCCCAGTTTGAGCCTTACTGCTACTCACCCTAGGATTCGGGTATGGCTGGTGGAAGGTTGGGGAGGCTCTAGGGTGCTTCCTGGGAAAGCCCTCCTCTGAAAAGAATGAGTCTTGAGAGGAATAGTGTGAGGGTGGGGATGGAGCAGAGGGGAGAGGGTCATGCTAAGATTTCATTCTGCTCCTTTCCTTGTAGCCATATACCTGAGTCCTGGGGAGAGACAGAATAAGATGGCTAGTAAATACTCCAGGGCCCTGGGGAGTGTAGGGAGGGCAGTGCTGCCTTGTGGCAAATGCAGGTGAGTACAGCCAGCAAGACTTGGGGTGAGATGTCCTGCTGGCACAGCACACTGTGGCCTGAGCAGTTGCCAAGGGAGCTTATGAATGCACTGGGAGGAACTAGTTGAGAACACTGCTGTCTGTCTTCAATCACTGCAGCCCTTTGGCAAAGAGCGCCACAGTTGCTGATGTGGGAGGAAAGGGAAGTGGTGGCTGGAGTGGCCACTGAGAGGATGGCTTCAGAAGCATATGCAAGTGACCCTTCTGGGAGAAGCAGTGGTGCAGGGGCAGTGGGTAAGGAGAGCTCTTGTTTGAGACTCTTGGGAACCATAAGTTGCACTGAATTACGCCATACTAATTATGCTATGGGGATGTTCCCTGGACCAAAGAGAAGCTTCTCTTGCTCTCTCCCTCCCTGTAGCAAACATTTATTGAGTGCCAACGATGAACCAGGCATAGATTAGGTTCTAGAGATTCTGAGATAACTATAGGATGAAGTTATCCCTCAATGAAGATACCTTCTTAGTCCAACAGGACTAGGGTATTATGGGCCTTGGGTACTGCAGTGATCTTTAAGCCCATCAGCACCAGTGGAAGCCCCATGTCCCGCCACCAGTTTTTGACATCTTGGAGCTCATGGTCCACCCTTCCTTCCCAGCATCATTTTTCAATACCCTGTCATAGAGCATCCCAGCAATAGAACACAAATGGCAAAATATCACCCTCTTCTCAGTCCTGTTGCTTCTCTCACCACCTAGTTAGTGTCCTGGTGTTGTCCCAAGGCCCAGTAGTCAGGGCCCAAATCCAAATGTAGAATTAGCAATGGTCTCTGTACACTGGGCTTAAAACTAAATTCCAGCATTAAGGAAATGCCTAACTGTATAATTACATGAGACACAGAGAGTCTCACATTGGAAGAACTTAATATATCTGAGCAGAAGAAGAAACTAGCCCAACACAAAGCCATTTTACATCTTTGTAAAACAAGACAATTCAATAAACATGACATCAAGGGGAATGAGTCCTCTGGAGAGGGCAGAAGCCTCTTTCACATTGATGAAGCTATTAAGATGCAAAGAAGGTTGCAACTTGATTTCTCTGTTTGCAAGCGCTATTTTTCTCCCCAAGCACTGGTTTCTTTAATTTTCTTTTTTCCCTGAAACACTAATTATGCCAACCTCTTTCTCTACTCAAAACCTGACCAAACCTTCACCCTGTCTCACACTTATGACCCTACTACGAACCCTCCCCAATCAGGCCAGTCCATTCCCTGTCCATGTGCTAGAATTTTAATATATATGTATTAGTTTGCTAAGGCTACCGTAATAGAGTATGGCAGCCATAACCAAGTAACCATAACAAAGTAACCACCCAGTCTGAGTGGTTAACATGACAGAGATTTACTGCCTCACAAGGCTACAAGTCTGATATCAAGAAGTCCACAGACCTGGTTCCTTCTGAGGATGGTGAGGGAAGGGTCTGTTCTAAGCCTTTCTCCTTGGCCACTCAATGGTCATCTTCTCCCTCTTTCTTCATATCACCTTCTCTCTGTATCCACATTTCCTCTTCTTATAAGGATATCAGTCCTGCTGGATTAGCACCTACCCTAGTCACTTCTTTTCACTTAATTACCTCTTTAAAGACCCTATCTATAATATGGTCACATGCTGAGTATGGGGATTAGGACTTCAACATATGAATTTTGTGGTGAGGGGACACAATTCAACTCATAATAATACTCTCTAGACATGGCTTTCTGATTGGTTTCTGGAAGATGAGTTTTATTTCCCAGCTGGCTCGCACATTCCACCAATGTGATTCATTTCTGTTTTCACAAAACTTAATGGCTAGTTGACTTAATATTTAAAATTTGTAAGCTCCAAGAAAGAAGGGACTGTACCTTTCTTGGGAGCCAGTGCTAATCCTAGAACAATATCTGGCACATGGTAGGAATGTATTAGATGAATGAATAAGTAACCAGAATGTTACACAGTGGGATTACATCCCTCTGACCTTCCAGAGACTGGCCTTCTTTCTAGAGAACAACCTGACCTTGGCTTTCACTGTAAGAGAGAATGCTTCTACATTTCTGATAAACCTGGTATGTTGTAAATATGTTGCATCAGCCACAGAAGTAAACACATGCTAGCAACAACAGGCAGTCAAAATACTCTTTAAGTGTGATTGAATAGAATTCTGATTATACAGTTTAGCCAAGGAAGTCGGTCCAGCTCAGCACCAATTTTCACTGTCAAAGCCAATTTGAGCAACTTGGGACTGAGGTTTAAACTCTCAACTGCCATGATGTTTCTGCAGGGCCATGAATCGGTGTCATAGCTTTAGGATATTCCACTCTTCTGCCACCTCAGCAGAATGATCCTGGAAATACCCTAAAGCAGTGCATTACCCAAAATGATTATCCATGAGTCCAACTGGGACCAACTCCCTATCTTCTACAGGGCATGGAGATAGATTCTAATTAGTAGCAGAACCTGAAGTTAAGAGTTCCTCAAGACACATCATGACTTTAAGTCCTTGCTATTTGTGTATGTATATAGATACTTAAATATTTTTTGTAGATTTTTTAAAGCATATGACATATAATTTTTGTTATACATCGGCATATATATTTATGCATTGACAGATGTACCATATTTATATGCATGTTTACAAATATATGTTTTCACGTATCATGTGTTCTTTTTAGCCTCTACTTCATTACCCCTACCCCCAAATATTACCAATTAACAGAGAATTTGAATTGGGAATCAGCATCAACAAAATGTGACAACATCGAATGGAGCTAGGAGGGACAGAAGCAGTTAAAGCAAAGAAGTGCCCATGTCCCTGGTTATGTCTATCATTATGACGTGCTCCTCTCCATCCAAAATGACTGACGGGCCTGTAATTTGTTGTTGCTGTTGTTTTGGCACATATTTGCAGAAACAAACTTGTTCATGGTCCCCCTGCTGATAGCTCAACCATGCAAGTGCCATAGGAAACAGACTTTGGCATTTGAGCTGCTCACAGTCTGGGTCATTCATAAAAGTTTAATTTTCTAAAAATATTCAGTGAGGTGCTTTTCCTGAATGAGATGACTTCTGGTTCATCAACGTATTTATGTGAGTAAATAGAAGGCAGATCAGTAAGTCAGGAATCTAATCAGCTATCATCCAGTCCATCTGGTTTAATTAGAAAGCCCAGCCGCTCACAGGCACCTTTTAGTAAAAGGCTTCAGTACTGGTTCCAGAAAGGCGGGGGTGCTTCTGAATGTGGTTACAAATGCTTGCCATCTCCCCTGCCTCCACAGAGCCCCTTATCAAACTCCCATCACAGAACACACTTGAAACATATCAGTGCATGCCTCTTAAGGGCATGCAAATGAAGCTAAAATGTGGCACAGGGGAAACACCACTGAACATCACGGCCAGTCCCTCAATTCATTCGATAAGCATCAACTTAAGCACCAATAATAAATATGTATTGGTGCTTACGCTATTCCAGAGACTGTGTGAATGAGCTTTGGACTAACCCTGGTTGGGGAGATCAGGACGTAAACAGATAATTCCCAAACTCTGAGATGCACTCTAAGGTATTGAGGGAGCCCCAGGACTGGAAACCTGCTGAGCTGACTCTGGAAGGGCACTTGGGAGCAAATATGGACAGAAGGGGAGCAAGGAAGGTTATAGCCAATAGTCCTTAAACATACGCATGCACCAAAACCTTGGTGCATTACAAATTGTGGGTCCCACCCTCAGAGTTTCTGATTCAGGAAATCTGGGGTGGGGCCAGAACATTTTCGTTTCTAACAAGGTTCCTGCTGATTCTAATTCTGCTGGTTTGGGGACCATACTTTGAAAATGGGCTAATAGGGCCAACCCAGGCTCACACTGGAATCAACTGGGAGCTCCAACAGCTACTCAAGCCTGGGTCTCCTCTCTGGAGTTTGTGATTTAATTGGTTTTGTATACAAACTGGATATCAGGGATTTTGTCTGTGTGTTTGTATTTTAAAAATGTCAAACTTACAGAAAGGTTGCAAGCACAACATAAATCTTTTTTTTTTTTTTATTAACTGAGCCATTTGAGAGTAATTTGTTGTCTTGATGTCCCATCTTTCTTTGTAGTGTATTTTCTTACAAATAAGAACATTCTCCTACATAACTAAAATATAAACATCAAAATCAGTAAATTCGCATCAGTACATTACAACCACTCAAGTTTTGGCAAATGTACCCATCATGTTTTTGATAGCAAAATGATCTAGTTCAGGATCACAAGCTGCCTTTAGTTGTCATGTCTCTTCTTCCTCAATCTGAAACAGTTTATCAGGCCTCCCTTGACATTCATAACCTTAACACTTTTGAAGATTACAAGACTGTTATTTTAAAATACGTCCCTCAATTTGGATTTGTCTAATGTTTCCTCGTGATTAGATGCAGCTGTACATCTTTGGCAGGACTATCTCAGTAGCAACTTCTTACTGTACCCTATGAAGTGGCCCATGGTTTCTGTGTGTCCCATTACTAATGATGTTTACTTGGGTCACTTGATCAAGGTGGAGACTGTCAAGCTTCTCCACTGTAAATGTACTCATTTTCCTTTTGTAATTAATAAGTCCTTTTTGCAGAGTTCTTTGAAATTATGTAAATACTTTGTCATCAAACTATCAATTCATTAGGTAATAATCTGTATCACAGGAAATCATGGTTTCCTATTTTGTATATTAGGTTATAATCTGTTACTATCATTATTTCTTTGAGACCAGTGTGGGCCCTTCAATCTGGCTCTGACTTCTGGGTTTTTAAAAGCTTTTTGGGTGATTCTAATGTGCAGCCATGCTTAAGAACCACTTCTCTAGGTAGACCAAAGCACCTATATTCAAAGGATATTCACAGGATTGCAGGCAACATGCAGCAGCCTCAGGGAACTGCAAGGTTTTCAGTGTGGCTGGTGGACAGGATGGAGAAGGAGATGAAGACAGGGAGAGATTCAGTCTTTAGATTCATCTGAGCCCAGACAGCCTGATCATCATTATCTCCGATGACAGCATCCTATCCCTCTCTACACACCAAGCTATCACTCCATACACGATGGTGGTACTGCCTCACAGTTAGGTACATGGTTTTCAGCATAAGGGAGGGGGTTTGAGTTCCTGCTCCAACACTTCTTAGCTCTGCAACCTTGCACTAGTTTCCTGTTATGGGCTGAATGTTTGTGTTCCCTTCCAAATTTATATTTGGAAGCCCCATTGTGGCTGTATTTACTCATGGGGCCTTGAAGGAAGTAATTAAGGTTAAATGTGGTCCTGTGGGTGATGCCTGAATCTGATAGGATTAGTGTTTTCGTAAGAGATACCAGAGAGCTCATGTATGTGCACTCTTGCACGCGCACTCTCTTTCTTTCTCTCTCTCTCCAAAAAGAAGCGGGGAAAGAAGAGGTCCTGTGAGCACACAGCCAGACGGCAGCCGCCTACCAGCCAAAAGAGGCCTCAGAATGAAACCTACCTTGCTAGCACCTTGATCTTGCACTTCTCAGCCTCCAGAACTGTAAGAAATAAATGGCTGTTGTTTAAGCCACTCAGTCTATGGTATTTCCCATCTGTAAAATGGATACTAATGGTCCTATCTCATGGAGGTCTTGTGAGGTTTAAATGAGAAGGAAACAAAGTACTCAGCATGCTCTCTGGTTCTCAGTAAAGGCTTAACGAGTGTCAGCTATTGCTTCACTTGTCCTCAAACACACCCTGTACATTCCCACTTCTCTGCCTTTGTTCATCATCAGTTCAATTCCGCAAACATTATTTCAGCAAGTCCCCACTGCGTGCCAGGCATTGTATGAGGTCCTGGGGATATAGAATGCAACAAGACCTCGTTTCAAGTCCAAAGCCTAGAGTGAAGATGCTCCCCACTGCTGGCCTTGGTGAAGCTGTTTCAGATTCCATTTGGAATAAAGGGACTGATTCACAAGAGGAAATAGGAACTTGGTTTGAAACCTGTTTCACAGCATTGGGCTGCTGAGAAAATGAGTAAATCATAGGATTAGATCCAACAATTTCTCATAGTATCCCTTGGTTTTATGATATTCATATGGTAATAAAGCCCTCTCCCCAGCTTACCAGTAATTATCTGAGGCCCTCCAAACTAATACGGTTGTGTATTTTTTCCTTGACGATCACAGAGATTTTTTTTCCCTTTGTGTTGGTCTCAGGTATAAGAAAATCACACTCTAAAATGAAAAGAACTGTGAAGCAATTAAGCAAAAATGGAAGGGCCTTCCTATGCTCCAGTGAAATTCAGACAGGAGAGAGACAGAAACATTCCTGAGCCACGTGCAATCATCACTTATAGCAGGGGTTCAACTGACTCATGTTGGAAGAAAGCATAGTCATAATTTTATACTTCCTTTGGGGGCATAAACAGAGAAGTACTTTCTTTGTTTTTGGATGAGAACTAAGTTAGGATGAGGGAGTCAAAATGAGTTTGAGAAGATAAAATATGAAGAGTCCAAAATGTCACCCAAAGTCCATATTGAAGCATGGAAAGGGACATCATGCCATGTGTTAGAGGAAACTCAGCTTTGGCTTGGACACTTTTACAGAAGCCGCCCTCCTCTGGACTCCCCTAACACTGCATTTGTATCTCCACTACTGCCTTTCCCGATTTCCTCTTTGCTTTAGAGTGTTTGAGTATGTTCCCTCCTAGACAGTGAGTTCCTTAAGGGAGAAATTCCTCTCTCATGGGTCCTTGCTGGTGTCTCCCATGGCCTAGCACAAAGCAGGTGCACACTCCCCACTCCCAGGCCCGCATGTCCCTAACTGCAGTGGGTGGCTGGGCACACGGAGGATGCGGATGTCCAACATTTGGCCTTGGATCCAGACATATCGTGCTTTTCCCTGCTGCTGGAAATTCCCACTCTGTATGGTTTTTCTTAATATCTCTGTGATTCTTCTCCTCACTCCATTGCAATCCTTAAATATTTTTCCTCTTCCCCTGTATCATTCTCGACCTCAGAACTAACCTTTCTGTTTATAGCCACCAAGCTCCCTTTTCTTCCTTTCTTAAAGCATTTCTGCAAACCTCTTAAAAGCTCTTTTACAGACATGAATGGTGGATGAAAGACCCTGCGGAGGTGTTCACTAAAGAGTCACATTCTCCTTCCTTTTGGCCAGTAAGAATGTTTAGGAGAGATGTGGATGTTCCTTCAGTTCACAGGCAGAACTTGCTCACATTGGGCCAGAGAGAGG
The DNA here is from genome assembly GCF_000001405.40 of Homo sapiens. Lineage (NCBI taxonomy): Eukaryota > Metazoa > Chordata > Mammalia > Primates > Hominidae > Homo > Homo sapiens. Next base: position 60,971,858 of record NC_000015.10, read on the forward strand.
GTGTGGAGCTCCTGACACTGGCCCTCCCACCATTGGGCTGTCTGGGCCAGGGCAGTGGTTCCCAAGCTGCATTCCCTGAAACCTGAAGCTTCCTTGGCCCTCCAGGCCTAAGGAGAGAACAAGAATGGGAGAGGAGAGTGGATGGGGTCATGCCTCCCGAATTCATGCTTCAAACACAGCCACTCTGCCTTCATCTGTTGTACAGATTAGGCTTCTCTAAGAGATCCGGGAAGAAAATAAAAATGGTGCCACTGCTCAAATATTTTGTAAGCCATTGGAGTAGTGGGAAAAAACAGCCAGTCAGATCAATTGAATGTTGGCAAATCCTTCCTTTAAGGGTAGATTGGATTTGCATATTGGAAACCATCAAGAGCCACTTGGAGTCAAGCCTGGTGAAAAAATAATGTGAGCACAAGGAATAATAATACCACTGGAAGGCAAAACAACAAGGACAACAACAGCATAAAGAGCAGGCTGCAGCTATGATATAAAAATACGCATGTGTATGTGTGTAGCTCACGAAGCACTCCCGGGAGAAACTCCCCAACCAAGCATCTGTGATACTGTTGGAACAAGCACATAAACTGACCTTACAAGGTGATGACACTGAAGCTTGGAACTCACTGGTATGCATAAATTCTCCTGTTCGTTATGAGTATGGCTGAGTGTTCGTTATGAGTATGGCTGAGTGTGTGTATGCATGTCTCACTGCACGTTTCACTATTTTAAAATAAAGTCCAAAATTTCTCTAGTCTTTGGAGAAAAAAAATGCCTCGTGGTGTTTAGTCTGGATTTAAATGCTGCTCCAATGCTTACTGGCTGTGTGATCCCAGGAAAATCATTTCAACTTTTCTAAGCTCAGTTTCATCATCTATCAAATGGAAATAATAATATTACTTACTACATAGGGATTTTGAGAAGTTTAAATGTGGTAAAGCATGTTGATTCGTCAGCATAAGGACTGACAAAAGAATAAGTTCTCTTAATAGTTGTGGCTCTTAGTATTATAATTGCTATTATCATTATCCTCTGACCTGAGTATACCTGACTCCAGCATACCTGGCCAGAATGCATTCAAGATCCCCTTCTCTCTTCAGTTAATAGATGAGGTCTTTAATTGACTGAGAAGCATTTGGGAGAAAAAAAAAAAACAATCAATGAGGGGCAACTTTGCTAAGTCATCCGATGACTCATGGGAAATCCGGAATTAGAACAAAAAGTAGAGGCAGTTTGGTCAGCAGGGCATGGGGAGGACACGCATTTAAGCCCCATGTATTTTGGTGTGTGGAGACGTTGAAAAAAGAGGTAGGGAGGGTCCTGGAAAGGAACATGAAAGATGCTGAAACCTGAGGGCATCTTAAAATCACAGGTTCACTCAGTGTCAGAGTGAGATCTGTGAGAACCCTCATTCTAGTCTACACACCGTGAGGCCCAGAGAGGTGAAGTTTCCTGCCCAAGGTGGCCCAGCTCCTGGGTGGATGAGCAGTATTTAAGCACTTGCTTATCTCCTGATTCAGGAGCCACTGACTTTTTCCTGCCACCTACCCAATTTCTCTGCCACCCAGAGGGCTCTGTCTGAGCTAAAAGGGTTTATGAGGGTCGGGCAGGGTGGCTGAGCAGCCTTCGCCCAGTGCTCTGAAAATGCTCTGGTTTTTCAAGTCTGCAGCCTCAAAGCGTAGCCTGCAGTAGTTCTCCTGTCTCACCTTCTACTAAAAATGTTCACTCTGAAACTTGTAACAGTGGTGACCTCTGACAAACGGCACATCCCAGCTGTTAACATTATTCGGCTTACAACAGAAGTTGCCCTCACGACCCTTGTAGCCAGGCCCAGGGAGGAGGTGACACTGTCAGGGCCAGGCCTCAAGAAGAACAAAGAGAAAACTCACCTTGGCACTCAAGGTCTGGGAACGGCTGGTGGCTCGATCAGGCTCCCTGCAATCACTCCCTTCTGTAACCGTGGGTCGGAGACATGAATGCTGCCTCTGGACTCGCCAATTAGGCCCAGCCATGGGGCTGCGGAGCCCCACACAAGGAAACCCTATTAGCAATTAGCTGATGGAGGATCACTTTATACCAGGGCTTATTTTTAGCACACTGTCACCTTTTCACTGGGGCCAAACCTTTTGTATCCAATCCATACCTGAGTTGCAAGACATTGCATTTCAAACCTCTGTTAATTGACTTCATTAGTTAATGTGCTGCTCCTTGAATCCCGGGGGTAAATGAGCAGATGAAGAAGACTAATTTAAAGAAAGTCTGCAGACAACAGAGGAGGAGGGATGCCCCTGCCCCCACCCTGGCCCCCGTGGAACCCACGTCAAGGAGCATCAGATTCTCCCCAGGCTTAACTCCATTAGTCATCCCTGAGTCCTCTAATGAGCTTAGGTTATTTCCTGTTTTTCCAGGTTTTGATGAAGGGAGCTGTCATAGGAAATATGAAGACTGTGTCTGTATCTGAACCCCAAAGCAGCTCTCTTCACCAGCACCCCCTTGCCAGCTCATTTCAGTTCAGTTGTTTCACCTCTCAGGCTCCTTGTCTATACATTGGGAAAAATTGCTGCCTCACCCATTTCTCCCCTTCACACAGCCAGCCAGGTAGTTCTGAGGAGCAAAGCCCTGCTAAGGAGAGTGTGATTAGCTCCCTGGGGTGATAATGGAAGTCATTCACTCTGCTTTTTCTTTGTGGCTCCTAAGTTATCAGGACCCTTAAGAGCCAAAATATATGAAAAATTTGTTCTGGAGTTTTAGCCCTCTAAAGGCCTCATTCATTCCACGTGCACTGAGTCTGTGCCAGGTTCCTTGTAAGCGGACAGGTATAGAGAAATCCCAAACAAGGCCCCCCAAAGCCACAGATGAGTGGCAGCATCATACAACTTAAATGCCAGGGCCTGGCCTCATCCTAGAACAGCCTCCACCCCAGCGTGGGGCAAGGGGACCACCGTATCAGGTAACTTTTCCTGAAGGAGGGGCCCTCACAGCTTACAGAACCTTTGCAAACAAAGATTCAGCCAGTGAAGAAAGGGAGGTGGCTTTCCTAGGCGTTGAAAAGAGGATGGGGAAAGGCTGGCACATCTGGGGAAGGGCAAGCAACACTGTTCGGCTGGACATGGTGAACAAGTGTGGACCTGAAGAGGTGGGATCTGGGCAGGTGGGCCAAGGCCAGACTGCAGAGAGCCCGGAATCTTTCCTGAATGGGAGGGGAGCTGAGAGGCTACTGGGATTTCAACAAGGGAAGAAGCATGATGAGGCACACGTCTTAAAAAGATAACTGTGGAGAGAGTCAAGGGCGGAAGGGGCCTGGGCAGGGTGAGCACAGATGCCCTTGGAAGCTGCTGCACCTAGCAGGGCTTGGGGAGCAAGTCGCCTGGGCAGGGAGTAATGGGGGCCTAAACAATTTCAATCCGTCATAACATACATTGTGAAGATATGCAAAGCTTTAGAAGTGAGATCCGAAAAGAGAAAGCAGGCAAACCGAGTACTGGGTGCCTGATTCTAGGAAGGTGTCCCGGTCTGCCAAGTTCCTTCCCAGGCTGAGTCCTGTCACTGTCAAGGCATCTTCCTGGATTTGTCAAGTAAGGCTTGAGCTCTGACAGACCTTCTGGAAGAAGTCCATTTTCAGTTTGCCAGACTTAAAAAAACAGTAAGAAAATTGGATCCTAGAACTCACTCTGGAGAACACTGAAATGAACATGTGGGGTCCTATTCAGAACATGTTTGCCTTGAGTGTATGGAATCTGGGTCACCTTCACTGAAAGCCCCTCTCCCTCGGAGGCTAAGCTGGATTTCTGGGGCCCTCCACTTCTCTCCAGGAAGTGAAGGTAATCATGCGTATGTGTGAGGAGTCAGAGGATGAAGAGTGAATGAATGGAAAATAACTGATACAGTGTTAGGCTGGGCACAGGAAACGGGAGACCCCTAACAGAGTTCCCTGATTCTTACATGCTTGACATGTGTCCCCTCTTACTTCACAGCCACCAACACTAAACACATGCACACGTGCATACATACATGTGCATACACCCACATCTCAGTTCCAACTCTCAGCTAAGAGTTGGCATTTGCATTTTGTGAGGTTTTCTTGGGAGGGGACCTTTCCAGAGAGCCACAGATCCCCCTACACTCATCTCTTCTCCTCACCTACCAGCAGGGACTGGCTTGGGCCATATAAGCTGGAGGACTCATGTAACTTCTCTTGCTTTAAGGTACTTTGCTGGAGGTGGAGCAATTAATCCACAACTCAGCCCAGGGAAGCAGACAGCAGATCGTCATTTCACTAATGAGATTGCTGAGCCGTGGCTCGGAGTGCGTGGGCCTGGCCAGGTGGAGACTTGATGCTGGCAGGAGGGGCGTTAGAATCCTCACCTACCTAAGCCTGTGGTGGAGCAAACAGCCCTGCGGGACTCAATGCGTGTAACCCTTGGATTTTCACCCAACAGTTCTGCAAGTCTCTTTCCTCAAATAAACCATCCCCCATCTGCATAATATGGAAGCTAAGTAGATCGCCCACAAAGAAAAGAGAACAATCCTGTATAAAATGAGGAAGCCAGACTAAATAATTCCAAAGTGTCTTTAGGCAAATGCAGACCAGAATACAGCATACTGAAGATGGATCCTTCTAGACCCACTCCTTCTGCTTGTCTGGAAAGCCCAGGCCTGCCAGCATCAGCGGCGACATTTCAATTCTGCCAGTTTGATCAGACCACGTGGATTTTCTCTCTCCAATACACCAGCTGATAATGAAGAGACAAATGTTAGCTAAGGCAGCCCTGGTCAATCCCAAAGTCCTTAGATGCAAAAGACAGGGAAGGTGCTAATCATCTCAGGAGGAGACCCCAGACGGGCTCATTAAAACCATTATAAGAAATCCCTATCTCCCCCACCACACCTCCAAGGAAACCCTGACCCTGGTGAGTGAGCAGGGATTGCAGGGGCTTCCCTTGCACCAGTTCTTTTGGCTTAGGAGGGAGGACATGGCCCAGCTCACCCACCACCTGCAGCAGCAACAGCAGCAGCCATTACCTTTGAAATAATCCTCGCTCGCACACCAAGTATTTGTTATGAGTCTGTGCCTGGAAGTAAATATCACTTCTGTTTAGGTGACCATGTGTCCTGGGTTTCCCAGGACAGTCTGGTTTATGCCTGTTGTGCTGACACACATATGATTAGTACCTACTGCCATGCTGAAAAGCGTCTTGTTTGGGCAATAATGTATGTGGTTACCTAAGCTCTACCAAGTTGTTTCAAAACTGATTGGAGGGAAAAAAAAAAAAAAAACCTATAGCGCCACCAACAATTAAATTATAAGATTATTTTTCCAAGATCACAGTGACTCAAAGTTTTCCCTCATAGATGTTATATATTTAGTTTGAGGTACTGGTGGGGAGGGGGTCGTAAATGCAATTCAGTGTTATAAGATTAGACAAGCAAGAATGGTATTCTGTAGCCTTACGAAATCACAAACACATGTCAGTCGTCAGTTTAACAAAGGATCCTCTGTTTAAAAATAAAATGTTATGCTAAAAACAAATTACATTTAAGTAAGTATATAATTATACTTATTTTTAAATGCTTTCCTATGAAAAGAAAGGTTTTCCTGTTTTTTTAATGAGATACCATTCGATAATATAAAATTAACCATTTTAAGGTATACAATTCAATAGTTTTTGGTGTATTCACAGTTGTGTATGACCATCAAGACTATCTAATTCCAGAACATGACCCCAAAAAGAAACCCCATAGCTGTTAGCAGACAATCCAATTCCCTCTCCTTCATCCCCTGGCAACCACTAATATATTTTCTATCTTGATGACTTTGCCTATTTTGAACATTTCCTATGAATGGAAGCACACTGTATGTGTCATTTCATGTCTAGCTTCTTTCTCTTAGCATAATGCTTTGAAGGTTAATCCATGAGGTAGCATGTATCAGTATTCCCCTCCTTTTTATAGCTGAATAATATTCCTCTGCATGGAGATACCAGATTTTGCATGCCCATTGATCAGCTAATGGACATGTGGTTTGTTTCCACTTTTTTGCTATTACAAATAATACTGCTATAAATATTCAATGTACAAGTTTTCATGTGGACATATGTTTTCAATTCTTGGATATATACCTAGGAATGGAACTGCTGGGTCAAATGGTAACTCTATGTTTAATTTTTTGAGGTACTGCCAAACTGTTTTCCACAGAGGCTGGATCATTATACATTCCCACAAACAATGATTACGAGTTCTAATTACTTCACATCTTCTTCAATCTTTCTTATTTTCTTCATCATCATCATCATCATCATCAAGATCATCAACATCATCATCATCACAATCATCAACATGGCCAGCCTAGTAGGTATAAAGTAGTACCTTACTGTGGTTTTGATTTGCATTTTCCTAATGAATAATTTTCATGTGTTCTTTCATGAACATCTTTTTGCAGTGGCTTTTTGTGTATCTCCTTTGAAGAAATGTCTATTCACACCCTTTGCCTATTTTATTTTAATTTAATGATTCAGTTGTCTTTTTGTAGTTGAGCTTCAAGAGTTCTTACATATTTTGGATACTAATCTCTTACAAAATATCCTATATACAAATATTTTATCCTATTCTATGGGTTGCTTTTCACTTTCTTGGTAGTGTCCATTGATTCACAAAAGTTTTTAGTTTTGTTGAAATCCAATTTACCAATTTTTTTCTTTTATTGCTTATGTTTTTGGTGTGACACTTAAGAAACTATTGCCTAATCCAAAGTCCTGCAGATTTATACCTATGTTTCTTTCTAAGAGATTTATAACTTTAGATTTTACATTTAAATCTTTCATCTATTTTGAATTCCTTTTTTGTACATAGTATGAGGTAAGGGTCCAACATTATTCTTTTGCAGGTGGCTATCCAATTGTCCTGGCAACATTTATTGAGAAATTTCTCTCCCATTTGACACCCTTGTTGAAAATCAATTGACCATACATGTATGTATTTCTGTGTGGACTCTCAATTCTATTCCATCGGTCCATATGTCTATCCTTATATCAGCACTACACTGTATTGGTAACTGTGGCTTTGTAATAAGTTTTGAAATCAGGAAGTGTGAGTCCTCCAACTTTGCTCTTTTTTTTTTTTTTTTTTGAGACGGAGTCTTGCTCAGTAGCCCAGGCTGGAGTGCAGTGGTGCGATCTCAGCTTACTGCAAGCTCTGCCTCCCAGGTTCACACCATTCTCCTGCCTCAGCCTCCTGAGTAGCTGGGACTACAGGCACCCACCACCATGCCTGGCTAATTTTTTTTTGTATTTTTAGTAGAGACGGGGTTTCACCATGCTAGCCAGGATGGTCTTCATCTCCTGACCTCGTGATGCACCCGCCTCAGCCTCCCAAAGTGCTGGGATTAAAGGCGTGAGCCACCGCACCTAGCCCTTGCTTTTTTTTTTTTTTTTTTTTTTTCCAAGAATATTTTGGCTATCCAATGTCCCTTTCATTTTCATTTGAATTTTAGGGTCAGCTTGAATTTTAGGATCAGCTTGAATTTTAGGGTCAACTGCAAAAAAGCAGCTGGAATTTGACAGGATTGCATTGAATCTGTATATCAATCAGGGGAGTATTCTATTTTAATAATATTAAGTCTTCCAATCCATAAACATAGAAGATGATTTCTTTCAAAACTCTTTTGTAGTTTTCAATGTATAGGACTTTCACTTCCTTGGTTAAATTTATTCATAACTATTTTATAATTTTTGATGCCATTTCAAGTGGCATCACTTTCTTAATTTCATGTTTGGATTTTTCATTGTAAGTGTATAGAAAGACAACTGATTTTTGGATATTGATCTTATATCCTACAACTTTGTTGAACTCATTAACTCTAATAATGTGTGTGTATGTATGTGTGTGTGTGTGTGTGCACGTGTGTGTTTCTTTAGGATTTTTTAGAAAATCATGTCATCCACTAATAGAGGTAGTTTTAACTTCCTTCTTCTAATCTGGATTCTCTCTTTCTCTCTTCCACTTCTCTCATTTCTAACTCTCTTTCTCATCTAATTGCCCTGGCTAAAATTTCTAGTAAAATGTTGAATAGAAGTGGTGAGAGAAAACATCCATATCATGTTTCTGATATTACAGGGAAAGCTTCCAGTCTTTCACAGTTAAGTATGATGTTAGCTGTGGGTTTTTCATAGATGCCTTTTATTAGGTTTAGGAAGTTCCCTTCTATTTCTAGTTTGTTGAAAGTTTTTATCACGAAAGGATGTGAGATTTGGTTAAATCCTTTTTCTATATCTATTGAGATGATCACATGGGTTTTCCCCTCTTCATTGTATTAATATGGTATATTGCATTGATTGACTTTCATATGTTGAACAAACTTTGCATTCCTGGGATAAATTCCCATTAGCTATAATGTCCAGCCCTTCTAATATGCTGTTGGATTCTGTTTGCTAGTATTTTGTTGATAATTTTTGCATTTATATTCATAAGAGATATTAGCCTGTAGCTTTCCTTTCTTGGGATACCTTTTTCTGGTTTAAGTATCAGGGTAATACTGACCTCACAGAATGAGTTAGAAAGTGTTCCCTCTGCTATTTTTTTGGAAAGATTTTGAGAAGGATTGGTGCTAACTTTTCTTTAAATGTTTGGTAGAATCCATTGATGGAGTCATCTGGTCCTGAGCTTTTCTTTGTTAGAAGTTTTTTCTTGCTAACTCAATATTTACTTTTATAAGTCTATTCATGTATTCTATTTTATCTTGAGTGTCAGTTTTGGTAGTTTTTATATTTCTAGGACTTTGTCCATTTTATGTAGGTTATCCAGTTTGCTGGTATATAGTTGCTCATTATATTCTCTTAAAATCCTTTTGTATTTCTGTAAAATTGGTGGTAATGCCCTTCTCTCATTTTTTAATAACTTTACTACTTTCTTTTATTTCTCTTCATCAGACTAGCTAAAGGTTTGTCAATTTTGTTAATCTTTTCAAATAACCAACTTTTGGTTTTGATGATTTTTTTTCTATTATCTATTCCATTGATCACAACTCTAATCTTTATTATTCTTTTCTTCTGTTTGCTTTAGGCTTAGTTTGCTTCTCTTTTTCTAGTAACTTAAGGTGGAGTTTAGGTTATTGAGTTCAGATTTTTTTTATGTAGGTCAGGTGTCATAGTGACAAACTATCTCAATTTTTATTTATTTGGAGGTTTCTTAACTTCTCATTCACTTTTGAAGGATAATTTTGCAAGATACAAAATTCTTGGTTTACAGTATTTTTTTTTTTTCAGCACTTTGAATGTCATCACACTGCCTTTGGCCTCCATGGTTTGTGATGAGAAATCAGTTGATAATTTTACTGAGGATTTCTTCTATATAATAAGTTGCTTCTCTCTTACTGCTTTTGAGATTCTCTATTCGTCTTTGATTTTCAACAGTTTGATTATGATGTATCTCAGTGCAGATCTATTCTAGTTTATCTTACTTGGAGTTCATTGAGCTTTTTGTATGTATAGATTGATATTTTTTATCAAATTTGCAAAGTTTCACCATTATTTCTTCAAATCATGGTTCTACCCCTTTCTCTCTCTTCTCTGAGACGCTCTTTATGGGTGTATTGATGGGCTTAATGTCCTCCGGTCTCCTAGGCTCTGTTAATTTTTCTTCATCTTTTTCTTTCTTGTTCCTCTGACTGGATACTCTCAATTTACCTGTTTCAAGTCTTCTCATTCTTTCTTTGGTCTGTTCAAATCTTCTGTTAAGCCCCTCTAGTAATTTTTTCTTTTAGTTATTCTACTTTTCAATTCCAAAATTTCTATTTGGTCCCATTTTATAATTTATATCTCTTTATTGGTATTCACTATTTGGTGAGGTATTGCTCTCATAACTTAACTCTTTAGACTTAGTTTCAGCTTTTTGAATATATTTACAATAGCTGATTTAAAGTCTTTGTCTAGTAATGAACTCGTTTTCACTTTCTCACTTTCTCAAAGACAGTTACTGTTGATTGCTTTTTTTTTTTCTCCTGGTATGTGCCACTGATGTTTCTTTGCATGCTTTGTAATTTTCTAATTGAAAATTGAAGATTTTGAATATCATAACCTGGGAATCAGATTCTCCCTCCTCTCCATGGTTTGCTATTATTGCTGTTATTTTATTTGTTGTTTATTCACTTTTCCGAATTACTTCCATAAAATCTGTATTCTACGTCATGTGTAGCCACTGAATGCTTAGTTAGCTTAGTGGCCAATTAATATTTGAATAGAAATATCCTTCAACACTTGGAACTAATAAATCATCCACTCCTAGCCAAGGGGCTCTGTGTCCATTGTGTGTGGGGGTGGGAGGATACCTTCAACACTCAACCAGGCAGTTTACTACTCAGCCTTTGCCTTCACTTCCTGATTATGCGTAGCCTAATGGCCAGCCAGAGTTAAGAGACTGGGGCCTGCCTGCATTTTTCCTGAGTGTGTGCACAGCCCTGGACATGTGAATGTTCTTCTAAAATCTTAAGAACATGTAGGACCTTTTCAAAGACCTTATTCCCTACAGCATGTCATTCCCTAGACTTTGCTTCCAAGTTTTTTGGCTAGTCTATTGTTTCCCCCAATTGTTATCCATTGCCTTAGACAGTAGAGAAGAATGTTTAGACCGTGCTCCCTTGGGAGCAGCTTAGTATAAAGCAAGTTCTCAGTCAGGAGAGATAAAAACATGTGTCTAGTAGCATGTCTTCAAGGCAGCCACCAGATAGATCAAATTAGAATTTTCTGTAAATAAGGTCCATTCTGCTCCCTCATATGCCTGCACTGGGAATGTGGGTTGTTATTTCAAGGCTGCTGCTGAGCTGGGGATTGGAGTATGGGATTCAGATAAGTTAAGACACCACAGTTTTGCTTTTTTCATTAAGAATTGACTAAGGTTTTTTGTTTTTGTTTTTAAATAAATGCTTCCCAGAGTACTTCAAGTATTTGGTTACATTCCAGAGTTCTGAAAAAGCACATTCTGATGGTTATTGCCACTTTTTTTCTAGCTTTTATAGAAGGGTGAACTTTTGGGATTCCTTATTCCACCATTTTCTCTGACATTACTTGTTGTTTTGTTTTGTATTTTCATAAAGGCGAGGCACCTCCTGCTTCTCCTGGATGTCATGGGAAGCCAGCTACCTTTATAGACCTTGAAGAAGACTGGCGGGTGGGGAGTGGGGGTTGGGGGTTTCTAGGTATAAACCAAAAATTAAATTCTTAGTGCCACCCCCTACTACAACCAACTGAATGGCCCCTCCTCTCAGCCAAAGGGATTTCAAAGAAACCTGCAAAACTAGTTCAGGCCATGATAGGAAGGAACCAGGAAAGAGTGGTTGGACATGTTTCATTATACTCTGTTCCCTTTGGCATCCAGGCACAACTGACCAGCATTAACAATAAAACAGAGATCTTAAGACTAACAAAATAGACTCTTTGTAGCAATAAGATACCAAATTCCAGCCTGATGCTAGTATAGCGTCACATGACATAGCAGGTGCTGAAAGTATCAAAGTGTTTTACCCCAAAATATATTTCTTTGTCACATTTTGAAATAGCCCTGCAAAGCTGTCTCTGGTGGGGAAAATTTACATTCTATAGAGAATCCTCTTCCCTTTCTAGTTTTTTCCTGATCTGGGAGAGATTTTAACTAAGAGTCTGGCACCTTTTAAGGTCTGATGAGAGACATACACCCTCTATTCTGTCTGAAGCCTGCTACCCAGAGGCTTCATCTACATAATAAGAACCTTGGTCTCCATAAACCTTTATCTTAACCCAGACACTCCTTTCTATTGATTCCAGGTCTTTAGATAAGAACTCTTTCAACCAATTGCCAGTCAGAAAATCTTTGAATCCACCCATGACCCATAAGCTCCCACTTTGAGTTGTCCCGCCTTTCCAGACTAAATAAACGAATGAATACATACCTCAAATGCACTGATTGATGTCTTATGTCTCCCTAAAATGTCTAAAACCGAGCTGCAACCCAACCACCTTGAGCATATGTTCTCAGGACCTCTTGAGACTGTACCTTGGGCCATGGTCATTCATATTTGATTCAGAATAAATCTCTTCAAATATTTTACAGAATTTGGCACTTTTTGTAAACATAGAGAAGAGGCAGAATTCATAATTTTTGATTTGTATATTTCATAGCAAAATTGTAACTCTGCTGTGTTTTTAACTCCTAAATACTCCTGGATTGGTAATATACTGGGGATAATACCAAAAACTGTTTCTGAGAATATGTTAGTAGGATAAGAACCAAGATGTGAAGAACAATTACAGAGTTTCTCATATACAATTATTTTCTGATTCACTTTATAAGAACATATAGCACCCCGATTGAGTAATGATAATTAACAAGATGCTTTTGTTCCTTTAGGTTTTAAAAATTACACTTTCCCTATGAAACTAGATTTAAGCAATGGAATATCTTCAGGATAATACTCACAAAGAGAGGTTGGAGAAGGGTGCATTCTACATATATTTTTGTTGTTTTTAAAAAAGAATCGTGACAATAGTAATAGCAATTAATTGCTTTTACCAATAATGCTACTAATTATTTTAATTATTTAATATTAGTATAATAATAATAGTTATTATTATAATTACTACTGACAGTTACCTACTTACAAGTCTTATTGGAGAGAGTGGGGGAATGTGGACACATAAATACACACTATCTAATGTCTACAAACAATTTACACAATATAGGAGGTAACATACACAAATAATAAGGCACTGTCTGTAATAACCAGTGCTACTCAAAGTTCATTTGGAGCAGAGCTGATTTGCAAGCTTGTTGTTATTGGTTTGAGACAAGATAAATACAGAAATTGAGAGTAGTGTTTAGAAACTTACAGCACTTTGACAATGGGGCACATACCCTCCAAAGTGAAATGTGTTGTCTGTGACGTTTAATAATAATAAGCCTGGGCTTGGACTACATATGTCTTTTTTTTTTTTTTTCCTGTTTCATTCTTCTGGTAACTCATTTTGATTATTTCCTTCTTTAACAAAAGTATTGGTCTGCAATGAATTGGGAGGGAGAGGGGAGGAACTAGTTCTTCACTATAGACAAATGTCAGTTTAGAAGATCTATGCTGTTTGGTTTGGGAAATGAAAGGTTTGGGCTACATTTATTGTTTGAATTTGGAGGGACAGAGAGATTACTAGGGACTAGAGTGGTTTGAGCAGGATTTATGGAACAAGTGTGACTTCACATTGTTACAAATTATAGGTGAAGAATGAAGGAACATTCCAGGATCAAGTTTCCTAAAATTTGGAAATAAACTGTGGAAATTCTCCTAAGGTTTGTATCTTTCTTGTCTGAATCTAAGAATCTTTTTCTATTATGATGAGTGAGATCAGGAAATGAATTAAAATATTTTAATTTCCTCCTTGGTTTTGAAGTTCTTTAAAGAAGGGATTTAGAATTTAAATAGTATGGTTATTAGTATCTTTGAGTGAAGGAGAAAGCGTAAATTAAATGTCGTCTCATTTTTTAAATTAGGTAGAAAAGCTTACTCCCACTTAAGAAAAAGAAGAACTAAATTAAAATTCGTTTCGCCCTGAGAGCAATCAGTATATCTAATCCAAATTGAGAAAAATGAAATCCTTTTTAAATTTTAGTACCTGTATGTTCAAAAGCCATAATTCTGTTTGGAAATCTATGAAGGTATATTTTTCTCACATACGAAAAATTAATCTTGTGCTAGGTAAGAAACTCATCCTCTTTTTTTTTTTTTTTTTTTTTGAGATGGGGTCTCACTCTGTCACGAGGCTGGAGTGCAGTGGCACGATCTTGGCTCACTGCAAGCTCTGGCTTCCGGGTTCAAGCAATTCTCCTGCCTCAGCCTCCTGAGTAGCTGAGACTACAGGTGCGCGCCACCATGCCCAGCTAATTTTTGTAATTTTAGTAGAAACGGGGTTTCACCATGTTGGCCAGGCTGATCTCAATCTCTTGACCTCATCCGCCCGCTTTGGCCTCCCAAAATGCTGGGATTACAGGTGTGAGCCAACGCGCCCAGCCGACATGTTTTATTTAAATCAAGGAGTTCTCAAAAATTAAGAGTTTATCTGAAGATTTAAATTAAAACTTCCACAGTATTTGAAGGCTGTGGGAACCACAACGGATCCGAATCAAGTTACTTAAACTTAGCAGTGAAAAGTCCCTGGGCCCTAAGAAGCTAAGACTTCCTGGTGGTCCCACAGCAAGACATAAGTAGGTGGGACTAGAATATAGGACCCTGGATTGAGAGTAAAGGTAGTACAGTCAACTGATTTCTTCTTTTTTTTTTCCTGGAGACGGAGTCTTGCTCTGTCACCCAGGCTGGAGTGCAGTGGTGAGATCTCGGCTCACTGCAACCTCCACCTTCTAGGTTCAAGCCATTCTCCTGCCTCAGCCTCCTGAGTAGCTGGGACTACAGGTGCACACCACCACACCCAGCTAATTTTTGTATGTTTAGTAGAGATGGAGTTTTACCATGTTGGCCAAGCTGGTCTTGATCTCCTGATGATCAGCTAACTTCTAATCCAACATCCTTACTTTTATAGTTTCCTATCACTACAATTAGCCCCTTCAGACATGTGCTTTTCGAGTTCCTGAACAATTTGAGGCCACCTCTTCATTAATTGGCCAAAGTTGTCAGTGATCATACCAAGTTAGACAGAGGTGACCGGCTAGGTGAGAAGCTGGTAACTGTCTTTGGCCATGGGAGCTTTAGACATGGGCTCATCTGAGGACAACACAAGGTTATCAGGGACAGGGTGAAGGCTTTCTTTCAAGTTCACAGTGCCCAGACACACAGACCCTGAGTTTTTGAAAGGCTCTGAAAGTGCTTAGATCATAAAGCACACATCACATGCTGTAGTTGTTGTCATTGACCTGTGTTTGTCTCTAACTGCATGAAAACTCTCAAAGCTGTCACATGGGGGTCAGGCTGGGCCAGTAGGATTGTAGAAGTACGGACCAACTTCCACGTTTTCCTGAAGTATCTGCTCTGTCTCAGTTTAGGGGGAGACAGAACCACCTAGAATCACTGACACCTTGATTCAACACAATCCGCAGACCGGGTGATTAAATAAAGCACTTTGGTTTTTTCATATGTTTGTTTGTTCATTTTCTTTGCCTGTCCTCCACTCAAAGCACTTTGGATTCAGCTACTTCGGATGTCCAGTAATGCCAAACATTCCTGGAATAAGACTAAACTTGCCTCTCCATGGAAAGACTGGTAATCACATAACAAGGGATATGATGATATTGGTAGCATGCTGAGGTCAGCTGGGTAGACTGATGCTCAGAACAGATTTCAGGACTAAAGACATGGGGTTATAATGTCTCATTATTTCTTCCCATGCCACATGGATGGTGTCTCCTTATTGTTGGGCACGTCATTCTCACCTCCGTGCCTTGGTCCCAGCTGTTCCTTCTTTCCTGGAGGACGGTCTGTCTAATCATAATTATCCAAGACAGACTCCAGATTATCCAAGTCTGCTTATTCTTCAAAGCTCAACTCAAATCCTACCAAAACAGTACTGCATGATGGGAAAACCATGGACTTCGAGGTTGACCAGATCTGAGATGGGCAAACAACCTCTCTGAATCACAGATTCTTTATCATAAAATTCTGGGTCATAGTGAGGATTAGGGGTGCTCAAAAATGGTAAGTATTACAACTTTCATTATTCCAGCCAATTACTGATGCCCTTCTCTCATTAATACCAAAAACCTGAGACTTATAACCACATCCTTCAGGATGTGTATGATTTGTACAACATTTTGGGGATTTCATCGTCTCCCCAGACATTCTTGAGGGCAGTGAAGGCACCTCACTTCTTTGAAACAGAGATTCAGTTACACTGAGTATCCACTTAGGGAGCCCTTGCTTTGTGATAAGTACTGGGCTGCCTTCATTTAACTCTCCAAAGAGTCCTGAGGAAGCAATTTTTATCTCAGTTACAGACAGGAAAACTGAGGCTCAGATTTATTGGTTGCATGTCCAAAGCTGCACAGCTAGCAACTGGCACTCTGATCTTGAAGGCAAGCCCTCTTTACCTACAAGTGCTCTCCACACAGAAGGGGCTCAAGTGCAAATACTGATTGATGGGCTGGATCCCACTCATATCGCTGGTCTAATTGCATCCTTTTCTTCGTGGCAGCTTGGCCTGCTGTCCCCTGGCTGCCAAGATGTTCTTACTCACACTGCTCTGCCTTCACTCTTGCCATTGTGTTGAGAATCCATCAATACAAAGCTGTACAATTCTAAGTACCCAGGAAGTGAGCAGACCATATTGCACAGGGCAACTAAGTGGTAAGAGTGAAAACAGCGTAGCAGACGGAAGCCCTAAGCAGGTCCTCCAGGCCAGAAGGAGGGTTGGGAGAGGGAAGACACTGGGGGCAAGTGACAGATTACCTAATCCTAGAAACAGGTAGAAATATTAATTCCCTTTGGGGTAGAAAGTCAGAAGCAAATGTAGCTACAATCAGTCATAGCATGCTAATAGCCAGGAAGTCACATTTGATGCTCCTGGAAATAGACTGCTCACCTCGTAGGTCAGAAGGCAATTACCTCCATTCAGCTCAGGAAATGCCTATTTTTCAACCAGTGAGCATAATGTTTGGGGATTTTTGCTCATCTGTTGTTCCGCCTCCATTGGAAAGAATATATAAAAGTCATAGCCAAAGGCAAAACACTTGCCCCGCTGACAAACAGCCCATTGACCATGGCAAATCCTCTACTGCTAAACTATTAGAATTACGACTCGCTGCTTCCTTGGCAAATACCTGCCCTAGATGAAGTGCTCCAAACGCTGTAGCTGTCTCTGTCTATTCCCACCCCTCCAAAGACTCTATGATGTTTAAAGGCCACCTGAAACATTCTCAATAAGGTACACAATGCAGTTTAACAGACACTAACATCTTAAAGGGCTGACCTAGATTTATCTACTCCAGGTGCACAGAGATTGGTATGTGCACCCCACTCCCCATTTCCACTTACTTTTCAGTTGAAACTACTATGATCTCACTGTCTTTTCTTTTACACCGAAGGAAAGAAGGAATCATCCAGAAAGGGTGCGGGTTGTGGGGCGGGCACAGTGATAAAGGCAGAATAAAGAAAGAAAAGGGTATTTTTTGAATGTCCACCATGTATACATCATCCTGATTTAAACCTAATCACCTTCAGGGAAAAGTATTCTTATTTTATTTCTATTCAGGTGAAAGGTCCATCAGATGCAATTAGCCATTTTAAAGTGCACAATTCAGTGGTATTTGGTGCACTCACAATAATCTGCAACCACTACCTCTTTCTAGTTTCAAAACAGTCTCATCGCCCCTGAAAAACAACCCATACTTATTAAGTAATTGCTCCCCATCCCCTTCTCCTCTCATGTCCTCTTAATGACTAATCTGCTTTTTGTCTCTATGGATTTGCCTATTATGGATATACCATATAAAAGAAATCATGTAATATCTGAACTTTTGTGTATGGTCTTTCTTTTAGCTTAATATTCTCAAACTTCATCTAAGTTGTAGCATATATCAGTACTTCATTCCTTTTTATGGCTGAATAATATTCCATTGTATGTAAAAACCACTATTTATGTATCCATTAATCAGTTGATGGATATTTGGATGGTTTCTGCTTTTTGTCTATTATGAATAATGCTGCTCTAAATATTCAAATTTCTGTGTGAATATATGTTTTTCTTGGGTATATACTCAAGAGTGGAATTGCTGCTTTACGTCTGCTTTAAGATGGGGAAACTGAGGCAGGAACCCTGCCTGAGGTGATTTAGCTTGTTCGTGGTAGAGTCAGGATTGGAATCTAGTCCAGACCACT
Organism: Homo sapiens; assembly: GCF_000001405.40. NCBI lineage: Eukaryota > Metazoa > Chordata > Mammalia > Primates > Hominidae > Homo > Homo sapiens. The sequence goes on from NC_000015.10 coordinate 60,989,691, forward strand.
CCAAAACCACTTTTTTTACTTTTGTTTTTATAAGAAAAGTAGTCCATTCACAGGTCCATCCACTATACTTAGAACTTCTCTGGCTAAAAATTCAGTGAATAACTATTTTTGTCAGAAATTACTAACTTTTACTCTCCACTCAAACACCCTGAGGTCGAGTCAGGATTGGAATCTAGTCCAGACCACTCCAAAACCACTTCTTTTACTTTTGTTTTTATAAGAAAAGTAGTCCATTCACAGGTCCACCCACTATACTTAGAACTTCTTTGGCTAAAAATTCTGTGATTAATTATTTTTGTCAGAGATTACTAACTTTCCACTCAAACACCCTGAGGTCATATGATTAATACCACTAATTTGAACTCATGGATCCAATAGTTTCATTTGGTTCATGCTGAGATCTGAGCTTTTTGTTTCCCAGGAAAATCAATAGCAGCAGACTTTATCTTGTTAGATCAAATATAACTTTTATTTTTAAAAGCTCCAATTATGCCCTAATGCACTGTTTATGTACTCAGAGGGCTTAATGAGATAATAAATGAAATTTTAATTTGACAATTAATAGTATAAAAGTGTTAGGATATTTTGAAATTAGGAAGGCTTTTGTGTGATTTTCTTTTCTTATTAGCCCTTGTTTTAGGATATAATTATACTTGTGTCACATTATGACTGGGCAGCAACTCAATTATTAAGAAGTAGAAAAATGAGTAAATTTCCTACTCCTGTGCCTTTTGTAGCAAGTTATGAAAACAAAATAAAAAGTAAAATGTAATCAGAAATGCTAAGAAATGGTGTAATTCTTTCATTTCCAATCATTCCCGGGTAAGAAATGGCTGATCAAACAGCCAATACCTTTATCATGAATATTCTTCAGGAATGTAAACTGATAAGACAGCAGATCCTGGAAGAACTTGGGTTCTCGGAATGAGGCAACGGAAAATTTAAAATGTGTGAAATATGTTACATATACAATTACAAAGTCATTTCCTCACACACTGTGTATGCACACACACACACATCCAAGCCCAAACACCCACACCTACAGCATGAGTTTTCCAGGGTTCCAAAAAAGCAAAAATACTTGGACCATTATTTAATACACATTTACTCAATATTTGAGGGTGCCAAGCATGAAACATTATAAAGGAGTTAAAGTAGATGGAATCTCAAAATACAAGGCAAGCAAAAATCAAATTATAAACCTTAGGTTTAGCTAAAGTGAGTTACTGACAACTAAGTAAAATGTTCTTCATGTCACCAAATCCCAAGTAATCTTTATCTATATGTCATGTCTATTAAAAAAGCAAACAACTGTTTTTCAAACTAGCAAGAGCCAAATCTCTTTCATTTTTCATTTATTCAATAATCACTGGATGCTCACTATAAAAGTAAAATTTTTAAAAATGAATGGAAAACCCAGTCCCTGTTGAGAAGACACGGACTATACCCAGGAAATAATAAAACTTCACTCTTCTTCTCAGAACCAGGTGGCAAGAGAACAGAACTTCCTGTATCAAGCTGACTTCTAGCCAAAGACCAAAGAACAAATATCAGTAAAGCAAGTAGAAACTGTTTGTTGAGTGAGTGAATGAATGAATGAATGAATGAAATACCGCAGACAGAATAAAGACCGTCGGATTTACTTGGAAACTACAGACTGGGTAAGGGGAGACTCAAATGTGGGTTTTCAAGGAGGTAATAGGCTTCAGTTAGAGAGGTCAATAGAGGATGTTTCTGGATCACTTTAGACATGCAAAAATTAACTTGACAGGCAATACATATCAAAAGTCCTAAAAGCTTTAAGAGTGTTTGTGTCTTAATAACAATAATTCTAAGAGTTTTTGTTAAAAAAATGGCTCAAAAGATGAAAAAAGTTTAAAAGTAGTAAAGTTTTAAAAAATATAAAATGGTATTTAAAAGTTAAGACGGGGTGTTGGCAGCTCACACCTGTAATCCCAGCACTTTCGGAGGCTGAGGCGAGAGGATTGCTTGATCCCAGCAGTTCAAGGCTAGCTTGGGCAACATAGCAAAACCCCATCTCAGCCAAAAAACAAAAAACAAACAAACATTATCCGGCCTTGATGCTGCAAGCACCTGTGCTACTCAGGAGGTTGATGAGGAGGGAAGATTGCTTGATCCCAGGAGGTCAAGGCTATAGCAAGCCATGACAGCATCCCTGTACTCCAGCCTGCGTGACAGAGCGAGACCGTGCCTCAAAAATAAAATAAAATAAAATAAAATAAAGTAAAATAAAATGGTAAAAAGTTAGAAACAACCTCAATGTCTAACAATAAGAAATAAGAACATTATGGTAAATGAATAAATAAAATCAAGTCTTTGGATTTAAGGAGAAGCAGATGTGAAATAGTGTTAAGTAAAAAAGATCCATATGAAAATGTTGTTAGTACTATAATGTATGCTTTTACACATTATTGTATTAATAAACACCAGAGTTTCAAACAAGGAAGAAAAATGGATTCCTGCTGGAGGAAATGGCACAAAGAAGGCCCACGGGTTTGGAATGACGGAGAGAAGAGGAAAAAATGGAAGACTTGATTAAAACAATTTCAACTAGTTGCCAGGATTTAGGCCCCATTCATTTCTGGTTAAGCACGGAGCTATGATGAAGTTAACCTAAGATTTTAAGAAACACTGGCACTTACGGAGGGAAATCTAGGTACTTGTATTTCCTATGCTTGCCATAGGATAAAGGGCCTACACGACCCATACATTACAAATTTGCCCTTACAACCCATGTAGGGTAGGTCCTACAGACACAACATATATAAGAATGGGAACAAAGAATAGTCAAGACTAGATCTTCCTATCCCCCACAAGTGGGTATCCAGGCCTAGATATAGATGGCAAGCTACCGTGGGATCACTTCCTTCTCCTCATTGCCACTACAGTTCTGAGAGGGAAGCTTTACCTCCACGATCATCTACTCATCTGTCGTCATCCCTTGTCCCACAGTCAGAGCCTCTGACACCGTGGATGTTTTCAGAGAGCCATTCACACAGGTTACAAAGATACAAGAGAAGGATGTATATCTGGAAATCAGAATGCACCTGTAGACATTAAGTAAGTCAAAAGTCAATCTGTGCTTTAAATATAAAGTCTACTTCGGTCTGGTTTGAGTACTTAACTGATACTTAAAACACTGATACTTAAAAGAGAAAGCCATATAGAAAAATGGCTTTCCTGGATCCGCATACCAAAAAACTTCAAGTGCTTCAGCATGAAACTACTGATCCATAAATTGCAGAGGTCCCACCACCCACCCCCTCTCCCAAAGTGCTGGACTATTTTGAAATGGAAAGCATGAGCTTCTGATCAAGCTCTTCTGCCATACTTACTTGTCCTTGGCATTGGTTACTTAACAGTGTAGGTAATAGCTGTCTATTTACAATATTCTTATTATGTTAAGCTCAGCTCTTTCTTGGATAGTGGTAACATTTCCAAGTTGAAAAAGTACCCTGCAGGTCTCTGAGAAATGGCTAAATCTGTGCATTCTTCTAGCATGTGTCATGTCCCAAGTATTCTTCCTCAGGCACTTCACATATGGGATCTCACTGACCTTCATAACATTATTGTGGGGAAGGTATTACTGTCCCCCTTTTATAGACTGGCTAAGAAACTTACAAAGCAAGTTAACGACCTGGGATCGGCTGGGCACAGCGGCTCACTCCTGTAATCCCAGCACTTTGAGAGGCCAAGGTCGGTGGATTACCTGAGGTCAGGAGTTCAAGACCAGCCTGGCCAACATGGTGAAACCCCATCTCTACTAAGAATACAAAAATTAGCCAGGCATGCATGGTGGCAGATGCCTGTAATCCTGGCTACTCTGGAGGCTGAGGCAGGAGAATTGCTTGAACCCAGGGGGCGGAGGTTGCAGTGAGCTAAGATCACGCCACTGCACTCCAACCTGGGTGACAGAGCAAGACTCTCCATCTCAAAAAAAAAAAAAAAAAAAAAAGACCTGGGATCTACCTTAAATGTTGTAGATACATTGTTATGATCAGTACCGCATTTAATTCTCATTCAACCAGTCCAACTCCTTTTTCTAAGGAACCTAACTGCAATCTTTTAAACCATCAGCAAAATCATTTGGTATTCTTAGACACCCACAAACAGTGCTACTAGTAGCTTGGATAAAGACAATTTAGGGGGTGGATCCCTGTACACCAAAGGTAAATTGATAAAACATTTTCCCTATAATATTTACCTAGATACATAATTTTCAAAGGAAAATAAAATATAATCTCTATCTAAAAATTCTAAGACCTATAAAAGGGGCAAAAAACATGTGTTACCCTCATCTGGTATAAATGCACTAAGTAACTTGGTAAAACTTTGGGTTCATCATGAAATGAGTCTGGGCATATTAAAAATTCAATGTTTTGTCCAAGTTTGAACTGGACAAACAGGTTTATCTCTGAAAGCTACCTCAGATAAACAGAGGTCACTAAGAGTGGTTATCTAAGCTGTGTGGCATTTATTTATTTTTGCATTACAGATTTCAAAACAAAGAGAACAGAAGTGAATGGCACTAATCCTGATGGGAAAAGCCCTCATAATTTCTTCTTTATATTCCAAAAACTTCAGTGATTACACTTAGAGGCTTCCAAGGCGAATCTCCTCAAATGTAGTAGCTGTAACTGTAAATATTCTGCTACCGATTTTCTTTAAAAGAAACTGAATGTAACGTAACCAATTGTTTGTGTAAATAACCAGACCTACATCTCCATTCTCAAGCCTATTCAAAACCCCTCCCTTCTCCTTTGACTACCATTTCATGAGCCCCAGGAAAAAGGGGTCTAGGCCCATTAGCCTGGCTTCCTGTTGCCATCTCTGCCTTTCCCTGCTTCTTTGGGTACCAGATCTTTCTGTCCTTGTAGGAGGATTTGAGAAGGAGAAATCCTGTCCTCCTGCCCTGAAGCCTACATGATTATAGCCCAGGAATAGCGGAATGCAAAAACTGTGACCAGAAATCAAGTGGTCCAAGAGCGGGGAACAGGATGGTGAGAGGGCACTGTAGGTGAGATTGAAACCAGAATGAAGACAACTCAACATACGTCTTCTTTCAGGTCCTTCCATGCCCTAGCCCATTGTAACCACAGGCCTGAATGAACTCACAGGCCTCCTTGAGAAAGCCAACTTTACCAACCTTTTGAAGACCCTTCGTTTTAACAAGTGTGGATATTCTATTGGGGCATTGGGGTGTCAAGGGCCAGAAACTTTAAAAGGGAAAGAAAGAGAAGAAAATCAGGAAGTGGTATAACAAAGGCCTAATTACAAGGGAGGAGTGTCTCTCTACAGACAGGTCACTGGAAGGATGCCAATGGCTCTCGCCGCATAAAGGAAAAGATTGTTATAAAAAGATTTTTAAAAAAAGAAGAAGAAGAAGAAAGAGGCATGGCAGTGGAGACTGGGAGGGTGGGGCAGAGAATAGGGAAATGAATAAGAATAATGACTTAAAAGCTTTCTTTTTTTTTCTGGTTCTCTTCTTTCCTTTCCGCAGATGCTCAGCTGAGCCAGTGCAGCTGGCTCCCTGACAAATGTGGAAAAATCAGCCAATTTGAGCTGGTTGTTAGCACTCCGGGTACAGAGGCTCAGATAAATGAGGGCCTGCCTCAGGTGTGGCAGCTGAGCTTCCCGAGTGTTCTCAAATGATTCTCGGCCAGCGCGAGGCCTCCTGGCCTTCAGGGCCTCATGGGTGCTCCCTTCTATTTCCTGGCTCCACATTCTGATAGGCGTGACCTTGGAAGAAGCATCTTCCTCCATTTGTTCCTCCTCCCCTCCCCTTCCTCCCCCTGACCAGGTCTCCTTCCTTCAAACTGGTGGGGCTTCCTCCCGCTCACTTAGTAAAAAGCCTATAGCACAAGGTCTCTTGTCCCCAGACGTTTGAGCACAGATCTGATAGCCCAACTCAAGACCCCCTCAAAAATGCCTGATGTGTATTCCTTTTCAAATCACTGCATTGGTCCACAGAGTCTCGTGATATGCTGGCAGAATACCCTGGGGTTTCCCTACAAGACAGTGAAGGCTTCTTTGTAAGTGTTCACTAACACCAAATAGTACGCCCCACATATTTATGTCCTCATTGTTATGTCCACCACAGAGTATGAATATGAAAAAAGAACGCACATCTGACCATTCTGTTCAAGAAAAGCAGTCAATATTTTGAGTCAAGTTCAAGGGGAAAATCGTTTTCTTGCAGGTAGCTGTGAAAGTTCCTTGCTTATCAAATTGTCCCCTTTCCAGTGATTCTTGTTTATGCATTGATAAATAAAAAGAACAAAAATGAGGAACTAAGATATTTAGGAGCTTATGTGAGGAAAGTTTCTAGAGGGATGGAAATGATCTAGATCTTGTTTTTTGTTTTTTTTTTTTTTTTTGAGATGGAGTCTCACTCTGTTGCCCAGGCTGCAGTACAGTGGTGAGATCTCAGCTCACTGCAACCTCTGCCTCCCAGGTTCAAGTGATTCTCCAGCCTCAGACTCCCAAGCAGCTGGGATTACAGGCATGTGGCACCATGCCCAGCTAATTTTTGTATTTTTAGTAGGGACGGGGTTTGCACCATGTTGGCCAGGCTGGAATCGAACTCCTGACCTCAAGTGTTCTGCCTGCCTCGGCCTCCCAAAGTGCTAGGATTACAGGCATGAGCCACCACGCCCAGCCCTACATCTTGTTTTAATTGGTGGTTACATGGGTATATACGATTGTCAAAACTCACTGAACTGAACACAAGATCTGTATACTTTGTTGTATCTCCATTATATCTGATTCAAAATTAAAGAATTTTAGGTCTTTTGTTTCAGTAACACATTGAGGTCTACACCAGTACAATGAAGTGGCAGCTACAGTAAAAATGCACAGGGAATACATACATTGTGTCATATCATCAGTTACCCTTTAAATACAATATAATATCTTCAGGCCGGGCACGATGGCTCACACCTGTAATCCCAGCACTTTAGGAGGCTGAGGTGGGTGGATCACGAGGTCAGGAGATCGAGACCATCCTGGCTAACATGGTGAAACCCCGTCTCTACTAAAAATACAAAAAATTAGCCGGGAGTGGTGGCAGGCGCCTGTAGTCGCAGCTACTCGGGAGGCTGAAGCAGGAGAATGGTGTGAACCCAGGAGGCGGAGCTTGCAGTGAGTGGAGATCACGCCACTGCACTCCAGCCTGGGAGACAGGGAGACTACGTCTTAAAAAAAAAAAAAGAGTATCTTCAAAAGAACCTAACGTAATTTTTACACCATCCTCAAATACATTTTAGGAGCCTATAAAGTCCACAGTGGGTCAAAAATTTTTTTATGGAAGAAGAGATGATATTGGGGTTTGTGTGTGTGTGTGTGTGTGTGTGTGTTTGATTACTGCTATTCTTATAAACTGAAAACAAAATATGTTAGGTGCTTGAATTGGTTGTTCTCAGACGTTTTGATGTGGGAAGTACTAGCTGGGAGCTTGGAGGGGAGGGTCAACATAATTGGTTTGTTTGAATTATACTGATTTGCAGATTAAGTAAGAATGTTTGTGTGATTTAGGAAGAGAATGATAGCACTTCAGAGGTGAAAAGGTATCGGATTTATAGGGTCTATTCTCTCATTAAATCAATATAAAAATAGAGGCTCAGAGAAGGAAAACAATTTGTCTACGAACATACAGCTGTCTCGTGCCAAACATGAATCTTCCGAGAGTCAAGTCTGTTCTCCTTCCAGTTTTGCATTAGTTTTATTTTACATGACATTCTCTACAATATTTTAAAGAAAAGATATATTTATATGTCATTAACTTTCTAGAAAGTAATATTTTTATTAATATTAAAAACATCTTCAAAAATTGTTTTTCCCCTGAGAATGGCTGCTTCTCAAATAGTGTGTTTTAAAAAATTAAGATAGTCTACTGATATACTCAAATACTCACATTTATCTTCTTAGAAAGCACCCATGTATATCTTCCACATGATAGTTATGGCTTAAAAAAAATTCAAATTTATGTTGCTGCTGTCCCATCTACCCATCTCTACAATAGAAGATTCTAAAAAGTGATTTTGTCACCAGAAACCCACATTTTCTCCCATCTGGACCTTGAAGTTTCCTTTAACTTTGCTTTAGTGATTGGGCAAGTCATCTTTCTTTCTGTGGCTTTAAGAATTGCCCATGATAAAGTAAAAGAGCCATAACCTCAAGGAAACCATTTATTAGGCTTAATCAAAACATAATACTCTTGTTTATGTCTTCAACACATTGTTTATGGAGAGAGTGAGCCACAATGCACAGACACTATCACGATGCTCCGGTGAAGATGGGTGATTTAATGCCCAAGAGCACAACTGAATCCACTCTAGAGACCAATAGGTGTGGCTCAACCATAGCTTCAAAATTTCAGAGGAAGTTCAGAAACCCCATATGGGTTTGCTTTGCTTTTTCTATTCCTTTTAACCAAAGCTGCCTTCATCATGTATAATCTTTCTTTTTTTCTGAGACAGGTTCTTGCTATGCCACCCAGGCTGGAGTACAGTGGCCCGATCACAGCTCACTGTAGCCTCAAACTCCTGGACTCAGGTGATCCTCCCACCTTAGCCCCCTGAGTAGCTGCGACTACAGGCATGTAATACCACACCTGGCTGACTTTTTTAAAAAAAGCATTATAGAGATGGTGTCTCACCATGTTGCCCAGGCTTCACCATGTATATTTCTTTCTTTTTTTTTTTTTGAGACAGAGTCTGGCTCCTTTGCCCAGGCTGGAGTGCAGTGGTGTGATCTCAGCTCACTGCAACTTCTGCATCCCAGGTTCAAGCAATTCTCCTGCCTCAGCCTCCCAAGTAGCTGGGATTACAGTCACATGCCACCACGCCCAGATAATTTTTTTGTATTTTAGCAGAGACAGGGTTTCACCATGTTAGCTAGGCCGGTCTCGAACTCCTGACCTCAGGTGATCTGCCGGCCTCAGTCTCCCAAAGTGCTGGGATTACAGGCGTGAGCCACCGCACCCACCCCACCATGTATATTTCTGACAGCCTCTTCACAAGGCTGATAACTATGTGATATTCTTGACAGGTCCCCAGTGTCTCTCTCAGCTTGGCCAGGGCCCACCCACCTACCCCTCTGTAGAATCTCGAAACAACACCTCAGCATCCTGGGAGACTGGCATGATAATATTCGTTTTTCAGAGCAAGAACCAAACTGACAAGGAACAGCCATAGGAGGCTCAGATCAGGGCTATCTCCGCTCAGTGACAGGGAGGTCTGTCTCTTTGGGAGAGGTTGAAGACAGCTAAACTGGAGTGGTTGCCAGGGGGAGAGGGGGATCCAGAACACAATAAACAACCACACTGGATTCTGCTACAGTCACAGCATCCCAGAGCTAGAAGAGAGCCTGAAAATCATCAAGCATGGTGGTTATCAAGCAGTTGTTGCTGATGTGTTCAAGCAGTGGAATTCTTTTTGAAATTAAATCTTCTGTGGACCCCTGGCATAGAAAACAATTAAAATTGAGGAAGAGGTTGCTGAGCAGTGAAAACATCCTCATCGTTTGATAGAAAGATTCCTCTCACGGCATACGGAGCCCTGAAACACTGCTGTGGGAAGTTTCCCAGGCTCCATTTGAACATGGGGTTCTCAAAAGAACAGTGACAGGGAGCTCACTCCCACTAAGGCTCACTCCACCATAGGTAGCCCAGACTAGCAGAGGGTATCTTCCTGGCACAGACCTGGAATCTGACTCCTGCTAGCTTATATTCATGGATGTTAGCTTACCTTTGAGGCCAAATAAATTAGCTTGTATCCCCATTTCACATGGGAAAATCTTCATATATTCAAAACTAGCAGGTTGTCTTTTAGACATGCCCTTCATTACATGGCAGGCTGTGTCCATGCCCCATCTCTCCCACACATGTGCCCAAGCTCACCCCACCTCTGCCCCTGCCGCGGCCTTATCAAGACTTCCTGTACATCTGTCTGTGTGTGCTGGGGGCTCAGCCTTCACGAGGACCCAGAGGCTCCTTAGGGAAATCCACAGGCCCTTGTGCATGTGAACAATAAGGAAAGGAAAAGATTTTGCTTTTGGGTTCTTCATCCCCCCTCCCACCAGCTTCAAAGTTGACCCCACCCGTTCTGAATTGAGGGCGATGAAAACTGGCTTGTGGCCATTTAGAAGAGGATCAGATTCTGGAGGCAAATTCTAAACAGACTTTGCATGTGAAAAGAAAATAAAAACAGCTGAATTACAGACAAGAAATTAATCTGCCCCTTTCCCCCTCAAAAAAAGGCATCCTAACAGAACTACTTCAAGATTGCAAGGGGGACTTCCTGCACAGTAACATGAAACGTTTCCATCAGATCAACAGCTGGAAAAGCAAAGTTTTTTTTTTTAAGTGTTAACATTTCACAGTTACAATCGTTTAACAGATGTAAAATTATAGGATATACTTAGCGTTTAGGTTTTAAAAAATTATTAGCTAAATATCTTTTGGAAAATACAGTTGATGGTGAGTTCTTCTTGATGATGATGGCAAGAATATTTTAAATGTTCATTACACTAAAGAAAAATGTTCATTATACTAAACCATACTTTAATCAGCTTAACGTGTGGCTTACACAGGTTTACCTAAGATTAACTGGACATTTTAAGGCCTGGGAACAGATTGTTCTACTGACCAGCCAACTAATGTAAAAGATGAGAAGAACCAAGACTGGGAATGATATCAGATGCAAAGTGAACATCCCATAATCGAAACGGATAATGACACACTGGTGAGTGAAGGGACATCAGGATCACAGGTTCAAAGGCAAGGAGATCCTTGTCCAGGGAGCATGCCTGGGAGAGCAGGGAGAGGTGGTGTCCAGCCACTGCCCTTCAAGTAGGGGAAAAGTGAGTGCAGAGGATTGAACCAGAGAACAGAAGCTGCTAACCTGACGGAAAATAGACCTGGTGAGTGAAGGTTAGTGGAATTGGGGTGGTTTTGACCTCAGAAGAAAGAAAAAGGGCAATTTGATTACTATTGTCCAGCACATGACTGACCCTTATAAGAGGCTTTAGGGAAATTAAATGAAAGCAGGAGAAATTCAGGTGGCCATTTCCAGAGGGAGATCAGGCAAGCAAAGCGGGAAGTGATCAGCCAGGGAATTAGAGGACCTGGGTGGACCCAGCTTGTCACTATCATGTGGGGACACCTGAGATAAGCATCTTACCCTCTTGGGCCTCAGTTTCTTCATCTTTAAGATAAGAAGACTGTAGCAAATGACTATGAAGATTCCTCCAGCTCATGATGATCTTTTAATTAAAAATAAATGGAAAAAAAAGACCTCTCTTAACTGAGGTTAGTAAAAGTATCAAGCAGGTTTCTGAGGACACTCCATTTTAAATTACCTTATTATTGGGCAAATGTCTAACCCACTGGTTTCTTGTAAGTCCTTCCAACATTCTGGCCCTGGCCTGCTTTGTCCCATCCCAAGTTGCAGTCTCATCACTCTGTCCCTCACCACTGTGATAAACACAATAGTTACCAATCCATGGTCTGCTGGAGGAAACAACGCTTTTGAAAAATGAATTAAAAATCCCTGTGAGGGCGCAAGAGTGTGCTATAAAAAGGTCATTAATAACTCAACTTAGGGCTCAGATTCCCATTGGAACTATCAACCACAAAATAATCTGCTTCCTGGCTGAGTAAGGTAAGGGCTCCAAGAGGAGCACAAAGCCTTTGAAGCTGAAATGTTAAGAGTCAGAGGAAGAAAACTAACGTGATGTGCTGGGCTAGTTTCCTTGAAATAGATTTAAGCTTTACAGTGCCGCTGGGAGATGGGCATTTATTATATCTACCACTATAAGCAAGCAATCAAAATTCAGAGAAGTCAAGACGGCTGCCCAAGGCCACATGGGTAGATTGTGGAGTCACTCTTTCAACAAGTATCTCCTGAGTGCCGGCTCTGTCCTAGACACTAGGGATACAGTAGGGGAAGCCAACATGGTAACTGTGCTGGCAGAGTTCACTTTCTAGTGGGAGGAGTGAACAGCTGTAAAAGCACCAGTTAATAGGAAAGAAATATTTGATAGTGTGAAATATGACAAAAATTAAATCAAGGAATAGGACAGAGAGTGACTGAGGGGTTACTTCTATGTGGCCAAGGAAAAAAGAACTCTCTGAGGAAGGGGCATTTAAACCAAGAACAGAACGACAAGAAAGGCACAGTCATACAAAGATCCAGGCAAGAGTCGGCTGAGGTGGGCAGGAGGAAAGAAGACAGTCCTAGAGTGGAGACAGCCAACTTCAAACAGAGCGTGGCCCACGGGGGCAGCCATGAACAGGCAGGGCAGCTGGGGAGCTGGTGGCCACCAAATGAGCTCCTTTCTCTGCCAGGCTGTTGAGGCGGGCTGACTGGTTTCATGTCTGTCTTTCAATAGAATGAATGGGAGGGAAATAGAAACCATGTCCACATGACATTAGTACCTGCATCTAGGAAGGAGGACTTAGTCCCAGGAAGGCTGGCCCTCCCATCTGGCCACCCTGAGAGGTTTCAGTTCCCTTCTGGTTCATGTGCCAAGCTTACCTGTCAGCTTTCACCTCCCAAGGGATGCAGCGTCAGTGTGTTGAAGCTGCAGCATATGAACCAATAAAGCTACCTCTGAGTAACATGGAAGCAAGGTAGGAAGGCAAAAACCACATCCCACTGTGATATCATCAGCCATATTTCTTCCACATGGCAAGTTTTATTTTGTTTAATTTAACAATAAAGTCATTATATTAACTCGATTCAATAGAAGCAGCAGGGGGATTTCTCCTAATTTAATCGTGGGCTTTGGGGCGTCTTGCTCAGTGTTAAAACAATACCATATAAAAATATTAAAGGGATTGTATTATATTGAAAAAAATATGTTAGCGTCTCCAAATGCAGCCTACCTTTAATTTAGAAACTAGTCAGCCTACTTTTTACTTTATCCGAAGTGTCATCTAGTCAAGAGGGCCAATCTCTGCAAGCAAATCATGCCGCTTTAGGGTTTAAACTCCGCAAAGTGAGCATTTCATCCATGGAGGTGATGCTCCAATTTGAAGAGTTATTAGATACACCCAGCCAGGGAATATAAATAACTTGAGCTTACCAGTGTCACAGAACTGGTTTTCTGTAAGTCACTTGAAAATACAAGGACATAGGGCCGGGCATGGTGGCTCACGCCTGTAATCCCAGCACTTTGGGAAGAAGAGGCGGGCAGATTACGAGGTCAGGAGTTCGAGACCATCTTGCCTAACACAGTGAAACCCCGTCTCTACTAAAAATACAAAAAAAAAAAAAAAAAAATTAGCCAGGTGTGGTGGCGGGCGCCTGTAGTCCCAGCTACTCGGGAGGCTGAGGCAGGAGAATGGTGTGAACCTGGGAGGCGGAAGTTGCAGTGAGCCGAGATGGTGCCACTGCACTCCAGACAGAATGAGACTCAGTCTCAAAAAAAAAAAAAGGAAAAAAAAGAAAAGAAAATACAAAGACATAACCAACATTCTGTATCAATCTATGTATCCATTATATAGGCTATATAGTATGCAGTTTAAAACGAAAAGTAGTTCCTAACAATTAACCGTTATAAGAAATAATCTCCAAGCCTTTTAGAAGTCTTGAAGGACTGAAGAGACTATGTAATCTGCTGATTTAGTGATTTGAAATCTGGGGATTCCAAATTCACACACACATATACACACACACAATGGCTAGAGACCAAACAATGTTTTTTGTTCTCAGCTGGCAAAATGAATTAACAAATTCATTAATTAGGATGCTGTTTATGCTTGTACTGAATATATATGAATGCAGGCCCACTCAAGGATTCCAGCTGGGAGATGCCAACTTTTGAAATTCAAAGACAAACTAGATTTATCTTTGGTGCCTTCATAAGCTTATTGTAGTCACACTGACCATGTGGGTTTGTGTGTCTAAGTGAGGCCTGTGAATATTTATTTAACCAAGCAAGTTTTAAAGTCTATTTCATGTCCTTTCAACTACAAAATGCAAAACAAAAAGCTAGCCATGGGTGGTGGGAAGACAGAAGAAATTATCTTTATACAGGACTGCTTTTAGAAGAAGAAAGAAGTGGCTGAAATCTGGGGAAAGGTACAGATAATAGCTGTGATTCACTCCAGCCGTAGCTAACAAGGCCTTGTGCTTTTCCTGGTGGGAAGCAGATGGGAAGGATCTGGAACAGGGAGAACGAGTAGGGAAAGGAATAAGCCTTGGATACACCGCTGTTTCCCTGTCTCTCTCTCACATGGTCTTTCTCTCTCTCCCTCTCTATGAGAAATCTTTTTTCATGGCCCAAAAAAAAAAATGTTTGAGGAACAAAACAAGATCCCATTGTGGAGGGACTAAAGACACGCCACAGGGAGCTTCTGTCACACGGTTCAGATCCCAGAGTGAAGGGGAGTCAGACAAGAGGAGGTTTCAACTCTTGAAATCTTTGTCATGCATTTGCTTTCTTTATTGACAGTACTTACTTCTTGTCATGGAAAAGTGTAATTTGCCAAAAAGGGGGCAGTGGGGAGAGGGGAGGAGTAGAAAGAAATGGGGAGAGAGAGGAGAGAGAAGAGAGAGGGAGAGAGAAAGAGAGAGAGACAGACTAATACGTACAATACAAATAATACAGCAAGAGGAAGCATCCTATTATAGAATTCTTTATGCTTAAAATGGAGTCTGAATGTTTTTTTTTTTTTTCATCTAAAAATAAGCCTGCGACCTTTTGCATTTTTCAGGCCATAAGTATTTCTGCAAGGTCCAGAGTCCCAAGGCACATGGGGGCAGAGTGAGGGCTGTCTGGTCCAGGTCCCCGGAGCTAAGAAGTATACCTGTCAGAGAAGCAGCAGCCAGGTTGAAAGAGAAGAAATCCACAGAGGCCTGGGAGGGTACTCTGAACCCCCACTTCCTCTGTCAGTTATTGATTAAACCTCTTACACATACACACCCGTTCTAGGGAAGCTGAACTTTAATTTTATGCCTCCTGCAGAAAACAGAGATGGATACAGACATGGGTCCGGGAGTAAATAACACTCAGCAACATAAGAAGAACACACACCTGCAAACGTTGCCACGGTTAGATTTTTTAAAGTGTAAAGAAATGAAAAAAAATGTCGAACCTCACTTATAATCAAAGCTATGCAAACTAAAATGTGTTACACTTTTTAAAACTTATCCAATTAGCAAAGATGAAAAAGAAAGATAATACCAATGTTGATGAAGGTTTATGCAGACAGGCACTCTTATGTCTATTCAAAGTTGGAATAGAAATGAGTAGTCTTTCTGGAGTTAAATTAGGCAACATGTTGCAGATGCCTTAAATGTGCAGATTCTAGTGCAGCAATTCCACTTTTAGCAGCGTATTGTATCAGACATATGCAGTAGGATGTTCATCACAGCATTGTTTAGCAAATTGATGGAAACAATCTGAGGGTTCAACAATAGGATGATTGGTTAAGTCAATTGTGTTACATTCATACAACAGATGTGATTAAAAGTTATGCTTGGCCAGGCATGGTGGCTCATGTCTGTAATCTCAGCACTTTGGGAGGCCGAGGCAGGCTGATCATTTGAGGTCAGGAGTTCGAGATCAGCCTGGCCAACATGGTGAAACACCACCTTTACTAAAAATACAAAAAATAGCCAGTCGTGGTGGCAGGCGCCTGTAATACCAGCTACTCAGGAGGCTGAGGCAGGAGAATTGCTTGAACCTGGAAAGTGGAGGCTGCGGTGAGCTGAGACCGTGCCACTGTACTCCAGCCTGGGCAACAGAGCGAGACTCTGTCTCAAAAAATAAAAACAAAAGTTATGCTTACAACAAATACATAACTAATGAAATGCTGAGGAAATGTTGCTAACCTAAAAATGAAATCTGAAAGCTTTCTCTCTCTCTCTTTCTCTATAATATGTATATATACATACACACACATATATGTATTATCCATATCCATACAATGCTTATGTTCTAAGCGTATAGCTAAATGTACTTGCATTACTTAACACTCACAACAACACAATAAAGTATACACTATTATTGTGGCCTTTTCACAAATGAAGAAACTGGAAAATGAGAGAATGAAAACCTAAACTCAGGTGTAGTCCAGTCTAAACTATATAAACTTCCTCTCTTGGCCATGAGTAGGAGTGTGCGTATGTCTGTGTATGTGTGTACATGTGCCTTCCTCATGAATACAGATACTCTGAAATGTTCATAGTCACCTCTTAGTGGTAGGCTTAGAGCCATATATATATATTTTTTGTTTGTTTGTTTTGTTTTGTTTTGTTTTGTTTTTTTTGAGAAGGAGTCTCGCTCTGTCACCAGGCTGGAGTGCAGTGGCGCGATCTTGGCTCACTGCAACCTCCACCTCCTGGGTTCAAGCGGTTCTCCTGCCTCAGCTTCCCGAGTAGCTGGGATTACAGGCAGGCGCCACCATGCCCAGCTAATTTTTGTATTTTTAGTAGAGACGGGATTTCACAGTGTTGGCCAGGATGGTCTCAATCTCTTGACTTCGTGATCTGCCCACCTCAGCCTCCCAAAGTGCTGGGATTACAGGCATGAGCCACCGTGCCCGGCCGTAATATTTTTTTTTTATTGTTTTGTGCTGTGTGTTTCATGATTTCTACAGTGACCATGTATTTCTTTTGCAACTAAGAAAAAACTGCAATTAGCTTCTCTTTTGAGATGTTATTCTGATTATGATTATCTTCTGACTCGTTGGAACTCAGAAGGTGTCAAGAAGAGGGAGAAAGTAACTAACAGATAATTTTCCCCTGGGTGTACTCTGAAGCCCAGGAACAGCCACTGGGAAAAGTCTGCCCATGTGCCCTGGGAAAGGTCACTTGACTCCATGAAGTGACAAATAAAAGTGATAATGCATGTGTTAATAAAAACACCTGCTGCACACAATCCATGCTGTTGCTCCTTCCTCTGCCAGCCTCTGAAAGACACCAATTCCAGCAGTGGTATTCTCCAGACTCCCCATCAGACACAGTTGGAATTTTCTCAGGAAAGACCATGAACTTACAATCAAAGGGAAATACATTCTGCCTGAAGAATGCATTATCAGTGCTCACTAGATGCAACTGACTGTCCCTACTCTCGTAAGTTCTAACTCCCTTTGAATTATTGTCCTTGGTTTTTGGAGCTTATTTCTATCTCTATTACAGGGGTTTTCAAACTAGAAAATGTATCCTCTTGAAGTGTCACAAAAATCCTTCCTAGAATTATATGGACATAGATAATTCTAAGGAAATTAAATTCCAGAATCTCAATTTCCCGGAGTCTTTCCTAAATGTGTCTGATAATGCATTTGTGGTTAAGAGGTCATGCCAGTTTACTCATCTCTCCATTTACAAGCTTGCTTCTCTTACCTTCAAGCAGAAAGACATAATTTTCACCTATGGCAAATCTATTATAACTGCCTGTCCAGGGCTATGAACACCATTGGAGTTCTTGCCCCAGAAAGGACCAATTTGATATAGGGGTTAAAAGTAAGCCTTCTATAACCAAGACATTATAAATCCAAGGTAGGTGGTTGGTTGTTTTGGGTGTATAATTCAGAGGTTCAAAATGGAAATGACCTTGCTCTAATGAAACTCTGTTCCCATCACATAATTGATAGGCAATGTTTCTCACCATTTATATGATACGGACTAAAACAAGGAATGGAATTGATATTGAACCCTTGGCAAAAATAACATTCATCCATAGGTAAAAAAACTAATTGGAAATAAAGAACCATCCATCTCATTAAGAAATATATTTCTAATAGACATTAACTTCTATATTTAATAATTGTTTATTGAAATGTTCAATACGTTTGTGTTGTTTTGATCAAATTTGTTCTAAAAATCACTGTAATGATAAATCAATCTAGAAGATTTAAAAAATTACCTATACCTTTACGGTCATAGGATTTAAAAAATTTATTTACACATATTTTTATTACAAAGGATTATGACAGCATGATCAATGAAAGATTTTTAAGCATAAAAATATATAACATTAGGCTAATGTTATATAGGCTAATATTATATATTTTATATAACATTAGCCTAATGTTATATATTATATATAACATTAGGCTGTTATATATTTAACATTAGGCTGTTACATATATAAAAAATATTACATATTTATATATATAACATTAGCCTAATGTTATATAAAATATATAACATTAGGATAAAATTAGGATAATAGAAATTATCCTAATAGAAAATTAGGATAAAAGAAAAAAGATGTAGAAGTTTTGGGTATCAAAAAAGAGCTTGTTCGTGTATTTCTTTAAAAAATGAATGACAGCAAACATTTACACCAAAATAGTATTTAGATTTCACTAGATACATTTCAAAAGTGACAAGTTTTATTTTTAAATGTAAATATTTATAAAATGCCAGAAATTAAATCCTCTGCTATTGAACTATTTAAACTTATGATAAAAAAAATTTAAATGTCAAATTTTGGATAAACATGTGGAGGTATAAAGAATTTCAAAATTCTCTCTCTCTCTGTGTGTGTGTGTGTGTGTGTGTGTGTGTGTGTGTGTGTGTAGTAAATGAACGACAAAAAATGAAACCCACTGTCTAATGCATCTCATGACTATTCTTTTTCCTCCATGGGACCCAAGAATTTACTTTATTGGGTTTAAGGGGGCTAATGAAAATATTTGATTTAGCTCTCTAAAGAGATCTGGCCATATTCCAGCTGCACCCACAAGCCAGGTATATCAGCTGGGTCTCTCGAGCAGGTGATCAAGAACGCATGAACAGGAATGAGCACAGGTCAGCCCTGAGGAAGAGGGTCATGTCTGATACTGGGCTGTTCCCTGAGGGGTGGAATCAATTTGACTCACAGAAGGAAAGGAAAACTAAACTTTCCACCTGTGACTTATAACTACAATCAGGTCATTTATGCTATCATTTCCAAGAATGGAAGAAATCCTATGGAAAAAAATGCGCATGTAGATGGAATTCTTTTCCTTTGTACACATTTGACTTACCCCTTTTTAATGCCTTTTACTTGATTCCATTAGAAAAAAAAATCCACAACTGAGTACACTATGCTTTAGAAAAGCTGCATACATATACCCACTCTCAAACAATGAAAATGACTTGGAAATTAATGATGTTGATGTAGAAAAATTGCAGGAACAGGCATACTGCTTTTCTTCCTCTCTGCTGACTCTGACCAAGGGCAACTCCAAGGATAGAAAGTTATCCATTTGATGAAATTAGAAAGACACGGGGCATAGAAAGGGTCAGGTCCAGCCACTTACCACCTCTGATAGGATAAACATCCTATCAGAGTCTCGGTTTCCTTATCTTTAAGGTGGACTTTAAAACAGACACCTTGCCTACTGCTTCACAAGACTGCTGTGAGTAGCAAATACAAATGCGAATCTGAAAGAATGTCATATGCCATTAGTGATTCATCACTTTGAGTATTAACAGCTCTTCAATGCCATCGCTGTTAGAAGAAGAAACTTGGTGTTCTCCATCCCCTTCTTGGTCCTGATGCTGCCTTTCTTTCCCTATAAAAGTAGCCCATTCCGGGGGAGGGATGGGTAGGAAAGTTGCCATGGATTTTATTAAGATAGAGTAAAAATTTATTATAGGAAGGATGCACATTTCAACAAAAGCTTAGGGCTTGCAGCCCTCGTTTCACTCTAATGAAAGAAACTGCCACAACTCTGGGCATAGTCCTATGCTTAAACAACTGTGTTTAGCTTGGTGGAAATACACCAAGATGAAAGATGTCCACCTTGATTCATCCGTACGATACAGGAAAGAAAATCTGGCAAATTAGAAAGACATGGGGCATAGACTGTCTATTTATACCTATAAGGTCAAGACTAATCTTTAATTTTAATTCAGATAGATCGTCTTAATGAAGCTGTTAACAACAGTGAGAAATGGAAACATCTGATTTGTCTTGACTACGCTTAGACCTCACAAATCTTGAACTACAATCCACAGAATCAAGATCACTTAACACTTACTTAAACTGATTTCTGTAAGTAATGTCAAAGCTCTATCCTGAGGTAAAATATTATTAGTCCTGACATGATTAACCTGGGCAATTGACACATAAAAAGGATCTTAATCCATTAATTTGCTAATTGGTGTTCATTACTTTGGACATGGGCTTCGACATGTCAGCCTAGTGTTCATCTGTAGGAAATAAAGACCCAAACAGGGTATGCAACTGTGCAGATCTGACTGCAGCTTGGAAAAAAAATTGGAGTCTTCAAATTCTCTGAACATGAAAATGAAAAACACAACTAATAAACAGTTGTGTTGCCTTTTCTTCTTTGCCCCCAACTGTACTGCTTCATTTTTAACATATGTTTAACTGCTATTTTTTATTAAACTCATATTTAGGCAGGGAGGAACAAGCTTACCACATATGCTTTGGGTTATATGCTAACTATTCCTTGTCAGATGGTGAGTTAAAAAGAAAGACACTGGAAGAGTAGAATTAAATGTAAATCTGCCTTATGAAAATCCCTAGCTTTTGAGAGGAAACACTTCTATTTGAGAGAATTTGGGACAGGTAATTTTTCAGGGCCCCCTGGGACTTGAATCTAATACTATCATACAGAGGTTCTGTTTCAGGTAGAGTCATCTTGAGTCCCATCTGAGATGTCCCTGAAGTGCTAAAAATCATCCCTTTAAGAATCCATATCTAAGACGGTCCATATCCTAGACCCTATTCTTGGCTTATAAAGTTGTAGTGAAAATTAGTGACCTTGGTCATATTAGGACTTAGTTGCAAGTACTCTCTATCGAAGAAACAAAAGGCTGAGAGATCGATCACCTGGTCTGGCCAATTGTATGAATGCACAGGCATACAATCCAAACATCCCAGGGGTGTGGAGCTTCCATTCACCAGAACTGACCAGGAAGGGGAGTGTTCACTAGCAGATTATAGAAAACATGATTTTAATGTGCCCTCTCTTCAATATTTACTGTGATCCCTTGTGCCTCAGTTTTCCTACCTCTGAAATGGAAATAAAAACATCAATGAAGTCATATTAGGACTTAGTTGCAAGGGGGTGCTGTGTTATGCCCAGTGGACAATAAGAACATTGCATGACTTTAGAACCTGGAGATGAGGACTGTTGGCTGGGAGTACTCAAATAAATTTACTCCCTCAGGTTCTTCCCTCCTATTTCTACTTACATCAATGAGCCTGGTTCCTTGGTTCTGTTCTGCTGTTATTCCAAAACTCTCAGATTCCATGCATATATATTGATTAAGCCAAGCACATTTCAACTACATCATGTCACCTAAACATCGTGTAAGGCTTATATGATTATTACTTCATGATATAAAAAGATTCTGATGAAGTCAAGTGCGAAGGCAAAGGTCATTTAAGCAAAGGCAGAGGTAGGAACTGAACCCATATCTTCTGATTCCAAATCCAGCTTTCCTCCCACCCCCCTCATTCAACTGCACACACTTCTGGCTTCTTGTCATTTCCTTCCTCTCTCCATTTTGTATTTCTTTCCTTTTCCTCCACCATCTGCATCTTCTGCATTCTCTTCCTTGATCCATTCTCTCATGAGATCCATTATCTCATCACTCAATCTGTTTCTCTTCTATAGAACTGCTATTAAAGTTCCTGAATTCTAAGACAATTTTCTTAGAAGGATAGAAATGTGGGAAGGAACTCTAATAATGATATCCTAAAACTAATGATGTTAGGACTAATAAAATGACAAAAGTTTTGCTTTTGTTGTTTGATTTTAAATGTATAAATCTCACTTTAGGTATCTGTGAGCATAGTTGGCTTGAAAAAACAAAACAAAACAACAACCTGTAATCCAAAGAGGAAACACAGTGCCGTTTCCTTTGATTTTCTCAAGGGAGATATTGGCAAAATACTCTCATGGAAAGCGTATCTGCAAAAGCTTTCCTACGCATTAAAAAAAAAAGGAACATAAAAAGTATTAGCTATTTGACACTCATAAAGCAGACTGAATTACTCTAGGCATTGCTGGGTACCTGGCATTTACTACAGTCACTTGAGCTATTTTGATTTATGAGGGTTTAGCCCTCAAGCAGGTTAGGTTTAACTAAACTTGCTACCAAGTGCCCACTTAAGGATTCTTTCAGCAAACAAGAAGAAATATTCTTCACTTAGAGTTCATGCCACCAAGCCTCAAGCTTCACTAGTAATGAGGCACTCATTTCCAGAGAGCTTGCGCTCTGTTTTCTCCACAGCTTCCCTCAATTTACATCTCTATCAAAGAAACAAAGAGCTGAGAGATCACCTGGTCTGGCCAATTGCATGAAATGCATGGGCATGCAATACAAACATCCCAGGGCTGTGGAGCTTCCGTTCACCAAAACTGACCAGGAAGGGGGGTGTTCACTAGCAGATTATAGAAAACATGATTTTGATGTGCCCTCTCTCCAATATTTACTGTGAGGCTCTGTGCCTCAGTTTTCCTACCTCTGAAATGGAAATAAAAACATCACCTATCTCATAAGATTGTTTGGAGGATTAAATGAATTAATTCAAGCATAGCATGTAAAACATGTGCTAGAAGATGATATTAAGTATGCAGTAAATTTAGCTAATACTATCAACGCTTTCCCAATTTGTTCCTATAGGGCACCCAAATTGGTACAGTAATCTTTGCTGACAACCTTCCTCCCCATCACAAGTCTCACAAACACTAACTTGTTCCTCTTGCCTTATTCTCTCTCAATCCTACCCTTTGCTAGTCAAAATTAAGTTCTAACAAGACAACTGGACAGATGAATTTGTAAGCCACCTAAGGTATTTTCTCTCCCAGGGAAAGGAAAACTATAATTCAAACAAAATTCATGTCTCAGAAAGATTCTTAAGCAATCACTTTAATAATAGACTTGTAGGTTAGCAGATAAATGTTTTTTTGATCAAATATCCTTTCTCAAGTGCCTGGCAAACATTGTTTCACTAAACCAAGTTATCACTTTTTTTTTTGAGACAAGGTCTCATTCTGTCACCGAGGCTAGAGTACAGTGGTGTGATCTCAGCTTACTGCAGCCCAGACCTCCAGGGCTCAAGCAATCCTTCCACCTCAGCCTCCTGAGTATCTGGGATTACAGGCACACACCACCACACCTGTCTAATTTTTGTAATTTTTGTAGAGATGGAGTTTCACCATGTTGCCCAGGCTGGTCTTGAACTCCTCAGCTCAAGTGATCCGCCTGCCTTGGCCTCCCAAAATGCTGGGATTATAGGTGTGAGCCACCGCGCTCCCAGCCTCATCTAACTTCTTGATTCATCTGCTCCCAATTTTAATTACAATCACAGGCAAATGGTATCTTGGGATGACAAACTTCCCTGAAATCTTTCTGGGTACATGTCTTCAATTTACTTCATGGAGCACCAAACTATAACCACAGAAAGTGAATTCTCGTTCCAGACACATTGTTTATTCATTCAGTTGCATAGGATAAGTCACTTTACTTTTCTGAGCCTCAATTTTCTCATCTGAATAATGGAAACGATAATATGTATTCACATAACCACAGCTTGAGAACCAAATCCAGCTCGTCACATCTTCTTGTAAATAGAGTTTTATTGGATCACAGTCATGCCCATTTGTTTATGAACTGCCTCTGGCTGCTTTTGTTGCGGAGTTGTGACAGAGACCGCATGGCCCATAAAGCCAAACATATTTAACTATCTAGCCCTTTACAGAAAAGTTTGCTGACTTCTGCTCCGGATGACTGCTGTGAGAAACCAGTAAGACAACTGACAGGGAAGTGCTTTGTTACCTGCAAATACTGATGTAAAATGTGAATCTTTATTATTGCCTTTTAGATGTCTACAGGATTAGTGTGTCGCTCACCCTGTAGCTGCATTCTTCCTAGCTAAGCAATCCCAAACACCTTGAGCCTGTTACCTATTAGGCCAATTTAAAAAATTTCTCTTGTTGCCTTTGTTGTTGGGTGGGGTATTTTTGGACTTGCTCCAGTTTCTCCTATTCATTTTTCTTTTAAATTTTAATTAATGTATAGTATACTGGAAAGGTTATTATCTGGTTCTCAAGTAAAGTCTCAGTTACTATAGCCAAGAACTGGGTTGGCTTTTTTTTTTTTTTTTTTTTTTTGGAGGGTGTCTCGCTCGGTTGCCCAGGCTGGAGTGCAGTGGCGCAATTTCGGCTCACTGCAAGCTCTGCCTCCCGGGTTCACGCCATTATCCTGCCTCAGCCTCCCGAGTAGCTGCGTCTACAGGCGCCCGCCACCACGCCAGGCTAATTTTTTGTATTTTTAGTAGAGACAGGGCTTCATCATATTAGCCAGGATGGTCTCGATCTCCTGACATTGTGATCTGCCCGCCTCGGCCTCCCAAAGTGCTGGGATCACAGGCGTGAGCCACCGCACCCGGCCGGGTTGGCTTTTTAAATAACAGCTCTGTAATGAAGTACTCTTGGTCAAGTAGATACAGCAGGATCCAAAACCAGTTAAATCACTAACTGTGAACATTTGAGCAAATTATTTACCCTCTCTCGGCCTCAGCTTCCACATCTATAAAATGAGAGCACAAATTATACACAGCTTTGAGAGTTACTGTTGAGATTATTACAGTGTATTTGTAAGCAAGCTGACTTATGCAAAATGCCTGGCACATAGTAGGTCCTTAGACAAGGCTGCGGATGTGGCTTCCTCATGTCCTTGACAGAGAGACACTTTTCCATCACAATCATGCCCAGATGATTTTAAAATTGTGAGTCCGTCTATTAGGCATAAGTATCCTACCTTACATTTGTCCCTATTGAACTTCAACTTGCTTTTGATTTATTGAGGTCACTTTGACTTCTATTCCTGTCTTCTAAGGAGTTAGAATTTATGCTCTTCTGAATTTGTATTCTGTGAACCTCATTTCCAAAGGATGAAAGAATAAGAGAAAATACAGGTTAACTAGGGTCATAAGGCTAGCTGTCTAAGGCAAAATTAAGTGTAGATTTGACACAATTATTCAAAACCCAATATGACAAAATGTTTTGGCTGTAACTATCTAAGCCTTAAGAAAAAAAATACATTTTCCTATCAATTTTTCACTTCACACTGCTAACACAGACGAAGCCAAAGGGGTAGAAAGACAAATGGGTGGTCAAAATTAACAGCATGCTTAGGGAACAAGGAATAGGGAACCTGCGACTTTCCTCCCTGGCAAGCTCTCCCTGATTTTTAAATGCTTCTGCCTTACCAAGGTTTGTTTTGAGAGTGTTTTTAATCTGAGATATTTTATCTGCTAAAACCTTATTTTTTCTGCTCCATTTTCTGCATTTTCCTCCAGCATCTTTGATTCTCAGCATTTACAGCAAGCACCGGATCTCTCCTATAGCCCGAAGCTCGTTAAACTACCGCAAAATAAGATATAAGCACCTCATTAATTACCATCAGCAAGAGAATTAGTGTGCCTATCAATAAATATTAAAGTTGCACATTCTATCTCTAAAGAATGAACTTGCCATGCACAGGTACCGGATGCCTTCCCACCTGAGACAGATCTCAATCACAGAAGACAAGGAAAGCCCTGGCGGCAGATTCTATTTTAATCCAAGGATTTGGGGAGGGACTTTCCTGCCAACTAAGGATTAGTTCTTTTCCTTAGAGCCTTGTGACTTTGAAAACCAGCTAAAAATGCATATCAAAATGTAAAATGCCTAAATCAGCATTGTGGGAATCATTTAAAATATACTGACAAAGCTGCTCTTATAAGTTGAGATATTAATTCAAAATTTTTAAGTAAAAAAAATTAATTACATTGAAATACACAAAAAAAAATGTTTGGAAGAAAGGCCTTTTGCTCACCTGCAATTTCTAATTTTCCAATAACACAATAATTATACTAGTTCATATTTATTGAAGTTATTATGTAGAAGACGCTGTATTGAGAAGCGTAGGTGCTCATCTGTTCACCACCACAATGCCATGAAGTCTGTGCTATTATTATTTTACTCACCAAAAATGTGGGGCTTAAAGAGATTGAGCAACTTGCTATAGATCACAGATCTGTTTTTAAAAATCAGCTGCATACATGGGGGAAAGAACACCAAACAATTCTAAGAATATGCTCCAAATGATACAAAATTATATACCTGTAAAAGAGCTTATTGCAGTCTTAGGTTGCATTAATTGAAGAAGATGGTCCAGGAAAAAGGAGGTAATGACCTTGCCCAAATCCTTGGACCTCAGAATTCCTCCAGGGGTCTGTTTTCAGTATGATGAACACAGTTTACGTGGAATATGGATAAACCAGGGGGAACGTGGCCAAGACGACCGGAGGGCTTGAGTCATGATATCGGAGAGATGACTGCAGGAACTAGCAGTGGCAGCCTGGAAACAGAAGAGTATCAGGCTTTGTGAGAGACTGTAGACGGTGTAAAAACAAGAACATTAGCTGGGCTCCAGTTTCCCCTTTTTCTCTCATTAGTACCACAATGTAGAGTGAGTTATTTAACCTCTCTACATCTCAGTCTTCTCATCTCTAAGACGGTGCTAATAATGGCACTCTGCTTCATACAGTTCTTGAGGGAATTTAGATGAGATAATACAAATAAAGCACTGACCATTGCACCTGGCATTCGAGAAGCTCCTAGCAAATGCTAGCCACTAATATTATGGTTGCCGTCATCATTGCTTCTGTGGTTCTTAAAATAGAATGGTGATTTCCAAAATCACTGCAGAAAATGGTCTCCCAGGATAAACAGGTGGCATGCCAACAAAGACTTCATGGTTCCAAAGGTTTGGGAAATACCAACTTAGAGAAAGTTAAGCAAGATTTGTACTCTGTGCATGTGGCTCTCCAAGAAGAGGTAAAGTATATAACAATTCCCAGCTGTGTTTGGTTAGGATCATTTTTAAAGAACACTCCTTGGAAGGAGTGTGTTCTACGAGCTTTGGGTCCCATGACCACAGACGAGTCTACATCGTCATAAGCTACGCCCATCATCTGATGTGGATGAAGCACACCCCAGAGAATCTGCCCGGAGGTTTCGCGACCCATAAGGAGTAAAGAATAGCTGAATGTGGTGAAATGGGGAGACAAGTCACTGGGCAATTAGAAGTGTGAAAATGTGCCTCGTTGGACACAGGGTATGAGGCAAGCAGAGAAAACTGGTGGAGTAGTCCCCCTGGTAAAAGCTTACTTTTAAAGTAAAATGGCCCAGATAAACCTGATTTCATTAAGTGAGACCTGGAAATAAGGTTGCCCCATATATACTCAGCCGAAGACGTATGAATGAATAAAGAAATGAATGAATATTTTTATTCCAAAGTTACCCACTTTCCTATAAAACATATCATAAAAGTCACACCATTATTATTATTATTATCATTGATTACCATTACAGTTAAAATTATAAACAACATCCAAACGAATATCACCTGAGCCTTTCTTTTCCAAGTTGAATATATCACATAAAGCAGGCTCTTTTGATTCCTACGTTTTTATTTATTGGCTTAACCTCCAGGGCTCCATTGGAATAAGTAACACTACATGAAAACAAGTTCCAAATGTGAGAGATTCAACAGAACCCAGGACAGGCTTTGTGTAGACATGGATTTTCACATGCTTATTCAAAATATTTGCTGTCAACGGTACTTGGTGAAAGTGATTGTTACATACAGCATGGCTAACTTTTTTATGTAAATGAAATGCAAATGTATGCAATGTTATCTTTAATGCAGATGTAGCAGAAAGTATTAAGATATGCTGAGAGCCTAATTAGGTCCTACATCAAAAACTATACATAAACTTGACTCCAATATCTCAAGAACACAAATTGAGTCTAGAAATCCCAGTTTGCAAGCTTAAAAAAAAGATGTACATATATATTTTAAATCACAGTTCTTTTTCTTTTCCCTTCTCTAAGTCTGAACACTTGAAAGGATGATCTTGGACAGATATTTCAGCGTGGGGGAGGGGGTGTGGAGTGGGTGGGAAATGAACAAGTTTCTTTCTAACAAAAACCAGGAAGCAAGAAGAGAAAATCAGCCACGAGCCCCCCAAAAAGGCAAAACAAAGCTGTCTTGTGCTTTCCATTTTCATATGAAAAATGATGACGTGCCACAAAGCATATTTTTGCATTTATTTCCATTTCTAACCTTCCTGGAGACAAACACATGTGCATTCCTTCCTAATCGCTGTTACAGTAAAACCTTATGAACTCCAGGTCCACTAATTCTCCATGTTGATCCTTCTGACGGGGTGAGCGGAAGTTTACCTTTATTTAAGGAGTGAAAGGGTTGACAAAACAAATAAATATCATAAAAAGCATTGCAGCATGCCTGCTCAACCTACATGACATAAGCTCTTCTTAAGCACTTAGAAGCACTGTTCATATAGAAAACTATTCAACTGTCTTTTCTATTTACTACAATAGATCCTCCAAAAGAATGCTCCTATGTGATACTTTGTTAGCCCCTTATAATTTACTATGCATAGTAGAAAAGTGATAAAATGGAACATCTTCGTAATTGTCCATAATCCAGGCTCCTTACTAATTCTGAGGAGTCTTGCCTTCTGATTCCTCAGCAAAGTGTAGTAGGCTTAGAGTGGCAAGTACCGGGGGCCTCTCCTGGGCTCTAGCTGTGACTTGCTCTGTGTCCTTGGACAGCTCAGTGGCTTCTTTCCTGCTAGTTTTATGGGGCTTTTCTTTCCCCATTCACATTCTAAAATTGCTTTGGGAATCAAAATAGAAAAAAAAGGATGCAGAAACAATCAGAAAAGTATGGAAAGTACTTTATAAATGTAAGGTGTCACTGGTCTCTAAATTGTGAGGGCGTGTGGGAGCGTATGTGTATGTGTAGTGTGTAGCGTAGTGAAAAACTCCACATGCACAGGCATATATATATTTGGATTCATAAATATTTACAGGTGTATATACATCTGCATGCATGTATATACGGAGCATGCATGTATATACTGCATGCATGTATATATTGTACTGTGCTCATATATAACATGTGCATAGGTACTCATGGATAAGTACAGATGTATATATGACTATACTGACCTCAGAGCAATCATACATATAACACATATGAGTACGTATGTATATGATGATATACTCAAATATACACACATATATTGACACATAACAGACACACATCCTCATAAATGGTAAGGATGTATATGTCTATCTCTGCCAAGGCACACATTAAATGTGCATATATCTGAGCTAATTAACCTGTGCACCTTGCCACAGAGAGTACCTGAAATGGCCCAAGACAAAATCTAGACCTACGTATCCAGGCTGAAGGGCTTAAAGCAAACAGAGCTTATCCAGCTCTATTCCCCTCTGAGTTTTCTTCCATCTTATCTAATACACCCTCTGAAAAGAAGGATCTTTTTTAGTTCTGCTAAGATCCCCAAATGCTCTTAACATCTCCAAAGCTCTCTAATACAAAAGGACCCAGTTGCTGCAAGGCACAAGAATTGCACTGGCTTCACAGCACCACAGAACATGCCCAGCGGAATACATTACACAGCGCTCCACGCAGCTCCTCTGAAATTGATATTGCTGGCATCACTCGCCCCAAATTTCTAACATTGTCATGATAACCCCATTTGTTCTCAGGAACTGCTTCCCACATTTTAAAGGAACAGAATTTTCCCCATGTCTGTCCTTCATCATGCCCTTTCTTTAAAGAAAAAAGAAAGTCTTCCCCTGGGTTCTTCCTCCATTTTGTGTAGTAATTCCTAGTGTTGTCAGTCGATGATTATCAAGTATATACCAAACATTATTTCCTGCTAATATACAATCTGTGCAATTTTAACCAGGCTTGCACCTCAAACTGAGGACAGTGGAAGGTTTTGTCTTCGTGCTAAATAGTTTGGTTCAGAGGATAATCGTTAGAGATGCTCAAAAGAGGTGGGGTTGTTCTGGGCTGGAAAAGTTAGTGAAGGGGGGGAAACCTGTCCTGCCCCACTCTCACCTTTTCCAGCACTCCCCTCAAAAGAGGAAACCATTCAGCTACTTCAAGTCTCTCACATCTGTACTTATCCATGGGTACCGTACCTTCATGCACCTTGCTTCTCCTCTGTGCCACTCTCCTAATGACCATCTTCCCTCCTGATGGGGTTCCTGATGTCGGCCTGACCACCTCTCCAATGGCTGGTCACTGACGGGGCCTGCCTGCCCCCAGAATTCACCTCCAAAGTACAGCATGCTCCTGGTTCCTTTGCCACTTCTCAAAAAGCTTCTTCTGATTTCTGCTCCGACACCAACTTCCCGTCCTCTGACCTCCGCTCTTCTCTCTCTGTATCCTTCACCACCACCCTTCAGCATTAACCACTGAAGGAATCACTAACCTCTCTCAGAGGCTCCAGATTCACATTTGCAAGTGTCTGCTGGACATCATCACAGAACGTCCCTTTGTAGAGTATCAATGAAACCAGCTCTGAATGCTGCATCTTCCTTCCAAATCCTAATGTGGCTGCCACTGTCCGAATTTTGCAAGTTTGAAACGCTTCATATATGTCTTTCTGTTCCCTTCTCTTTAGGACTCCACATTAAGTCAGCATCTCAGTATCACCTCCACTTAGCTTCCCACCTCTGTCACTTAACATTCCATCCTCTCTCCTACTACTCAAGTTCAGACCATCCCACCTGCAGCCCAGGATGAAAGCACTCTCTTTGCCCCAGAAGTAGCTAGCATCTTACCATGGAAAGCATGCACACAATGGGGAAAGAAGAGCCAGGATTCTAGTTCGGAATTGCTGCTTCTTCGCAAACAGACTTTGGGCAGTGACTCAATACTTTTCAGGCCCAATATTCACATCTCTAAAATGTGAATGAGGCTCTTTTCTTATTGTTTATTGAAGATAATGATGTCTGGCTATTGTTACAACAACCAAGGCTTCCCTTCTCCAATCCAGATGCTTCCAAAACCTTCACCCTCAGAGAGACTGATCAAAGAATATCAACAAAAGGCCCTTCACATCTTTATTTTGAAAAGTATCCCAGGCAATCTTGGTGCACTATTAGATTTTGTAGTCTCTGCTCTAATCCATCATTGAACTTGAAGCTGGAATTCCCTTCCTAAAGCATAACTCAAATCACATTATTCCCAAACTGACAAAACTTCAAGGGCCCCGTATAATTTCCTGAGGACATTTTAGGCCCCTCATCTATCTTTTCTCCTTCCCAAATGGTAACAGACCTTTGTGCTGAATTAGGCTATTTATTGCTGCCTCTCAGTTATGATGAATTCAATTGTATCAGAAACTCAACTGACAGTGGCCTAAACAACTAAGCATTTACTTTTTTCCACATAACGTGAATTCTGGGGGCAGATGGCTTTGTGCTTTGCTTCACTGGTTGTACAAGGTCAGGGATCCGGGCCACAGTTGGTAACTCTCTTGGTCCTCCCCTCAAGGTGGGGAGATGACAGTAGCAGCTGCGGCAAGCACCAAGTTCACACCTGTGTTCCAACGCTGGGGACGGGAGAGGCCTGCAAAGAGAGGTCCTCCTCAACGCCCCCTCTCTAGTCTATTGGCCATAAATGGGTCACATGGCTACAGGGGAGGCTGGAAAAGTGACTGCGATGTTTCAGCCTCTATAGTGGGAGACTAGAAAGGCAGAGGCTCCGTGAATGACTATGAGTAACCAATTATTAGAAAACCCTAAATACACCGTCAGTATCACTGCCTAAACTTAGAATTGTCCTTTTCCAAACCTGTGTCTGTTTAAGTGATTATAGCTAACATTCAGTAAGTGCTTGCTATAGGCCAGGCAGTGCTTCAAATGCTTTATGAGTATTAGTTCTTAATATTTACAATAACTCTGAGGCAAGAGGATTATTCTAGCAATCGTACAAGTGAGGACATTGAGGCTGATCAAGGTTCAAACACAGGGAACCTGACCCTGGATCCCACACTCCTAGCCACAGAACAACACTGCCTCTCAAGGAACAGCTTAAGCATAAATCTTCTCCATGAAGAGGATCTTGCCTGCAATCCCCGGACCAGATGCACAATTCTCTTCCTTAAAATCCTCTGATGTACTTCTCCTATGGTGAGGGCAATGATATAATCCAAAGTAGGGCATGTCTGAGATGCACGGAAGCACTATCAATAATTACAACAGGAAAACACACTGTCCTATGCAAACAGGGATGTATGAACATCCTACCTGCGGTTCTAGCCTCCAGGAGAGTGCTTGTGTACACATCCAATTTCTTCTTACTGGTGCACTGGGATTTTGAGGGCGGGCACTATACATGAATGGTATATCACCTGGATGGGCTTCATATGGTGCTCTGCTCAGAATAAGTGCCCTTGGTCAAATAGCTATGTGCTGACCCAAGGGAGCCTTGAAAGGCTGACAGGATGTACTTACACAAGGGACTACAGGGTGGCATCTGTAAAGAGTGGGAAAGGTGAAGGCTCTAAATCAGATTTTGCCTGAATTCAAATGCTAGGTCAACCATTTGCAGGCTCTATGATTTGGGACATTTTACTTCACGACTATGTTGACTGAGTTCTCCTGTCTATAAAATCATGATAACAAAATAAATTTCCCTACAGGGTGTTTGGGACCACTGAGTGAGCTAATTGCATGTAAAATGCTTGACAAAGAAAGACTTCAAATTTAGGCAGCTATTAATTAATACAAACATGTTCATTAATTTGTGGGAAAAAATGTATATGAGTAGAACGGGGCACGGCAATTGTGTCACATGCTAAGGTACCGCAGGAAGATAAGTTTGGATTGTGTGTGTGGCTGCTGGGCTTGACCTTATAGGCACCATCTTTTTCCCAATGCTTTTAAGAACAGAGCTCAAAGTTCAGAGTGCCATCTTTGTTTTCATGCCAGTATTTTCAATGGTGCACACACAGACACACATTCTGTTGATGCAAAATCTGCTATGGACTGGGATGGGGTCATATTCAGAGCCCCGCCGTGATAAATAAGACTCCTTTCTGTACTTTTGTGCTTTCTTATTTCAAAAGTGGGTAAAAATGTGACCCCCTAGACACATTGTGGCAAAGAGTGTACAGATTTAAGTAAAATGGTTAACTGAGAGTTAACTGGTTAATTCTATTCTAAAACACGTTTGTGGTTTTGCTGTCTGGAGGTAGAAGAAAATGGTAGGTTGAACATAAATGCAGGTTTGCATCTTGTCTTTGGCTCCTCAGGTAAGAGATGCAGGGAGGCAGCAGTATCCCTAGTGGTAATCAATGTTTAAGAACTGACAGGCCGGGCACGGTGGCCCACACCTGCAATCCCAGCAATTTGAGAGGCCAAGGTGGGCAGATCACTTGCGGTCAAGAGTTCATGACCAGCCTGGCCAACAAGGTGAAACCCCGTCTCTACTAAAAATACAAAAAAAATTAGCTGGGCGTGGTGGCGGGCACCTGTAATCCCAGCTACTCGGGAGGCTGAGGCAGGAGAATCGCTTGAACCCAGGAGGCAGAGGTTGCAGTGAGCTAAGATCCTGCCACTGCACTCCAGCCTGGGCAACAGAGTGAGACTCTGCCTCAAAAAAAAAAAAAAAAAAAAAAAACTGACAAAACTTGTATTAGTCCATTTTCACACTCCTGATAAAGACATACCTGAGACTGGGGAAAAAAAGAGGTTTAATTGGACTTACAGTTCCACATGGCTGGGAGGCCTCAGAATCATGGCAGGAGGCAAAAGACACTTCTTACACAGTGAGAGTAAGAGAAAAATGAGGAAGATGCCAAAGCAGAAAGTCCTGATAAACCCATCAGATCTCATGAGACTTATTCACTACCATGGCAATGGTATGGGGGAAACCACCCCCATGATTCAAATTATTTCCTACTGGGTCCCTCCCACAACACGTGAGAATTATGGGAGTACAGTTCCAGATGAGATTTGGGTAGGGACACAGAGCCAAACTATACCACTCAGCTTTTGCAGGGTTATGGAAAGGTGGGACAATCTCAAGATCAGTTAGAAACCTTTAAGACAGCAAACCTGTTGCTGGTGTTGCTGCAGTGTTCCAGGTAACAGCTTTGGATATTTTTGTCTAAGCATATTTGGGTTTCCTCTCATGTGAGTGGACACTGAAACAAATGAACTAGCTATGAAAGATGCACCTTTATTCATTGTAATCTCAATCCCAACTTCTTCCTTTTCATCATTTCACATGGGATGAGAGACCTTATCACACTGTCTTCATCAGTAGATAACTCCCACTAACTCAAGAATAAGCAGAAGTATCCAATTTGTATACACTGATATATAAAACCATGGTATTCTCCTACTTACTTTGATCAACCCCAATTTGGCATGTCCAGTTACTGCCCTGGGGACCCATTAAGAGTCTATGGAAACAAAAAATGCATGAACGAGTGTTGGGAGTTGATTACAAGTCCAACCCTCTATAAAGGCCACGGCATACTTCTGTTTATTTAATATGCACAACACCAAGAGAGAGAGGTAGTAATTCAGTCTGCTGGGTTTCTCCACAAAATCTACCCTAAGGACACCAGCATAACAGGGGAACAAGTCAAACTGGGGTGGAAATCAGTTGGTATTTAAAAAAATTATACAAGTAGCATTCATCCTAGGAAAAAGCAGAACTTTCTTGGATCTCTTTTTTTTTTTTTTTTTTTTTTTTGAGACAGAATCTTGCTCTGGTGCCAAGTGCCCACGCTGGAGTGCAGTGGTTCAGTCATAGTTCGGTGAGGCTTTCACCTCCTACACTCAGGTGATCCTCTCACCTCAGTCTCCCAAGTAGCTGGGACTGCAGGTGCAAGCTACCATGCCCGGTAATGTTTTTTTTTTTTTTTGAGATGGAGTCTCCCTCTGTCACCCAGGCTGGAGGGGGCAGTGGCATGATCTTGGTTCATTGTAACCTCCACCTCCTGAGTTCAAGTGATTCTCCTGCCTCAGCCTCCCGAGTAGCTGGGACCACAGGCATGCACCACCACGCCCAGCTAATTTTTGTATTTTTTGTGGAGACAGGGTTTCACCGTGTTGGTCAGGCTGGTCTTGAACTCCTGACATCACATGACCTGCCCACCTCAGCCTCCAAAGTGCTGGGATTACAGGCATGAGCCACTGCACCTGGTCCTGGCTACATTTTGTATTTTTTATAGAGATGGGAGTCTCCCAATGTTGCCCAGGCTGGTCCTGAGCTCTTGAGCTCAAGCAATCTGCCTGCCTCAGCCTCCCAAAGTGCTGGGATTAAAGGTGTGAGCCACCGCACCCAGCTGGAAATTTGTTAGACCCCTTTCCGCACTTGATGTTAGACAACAGACCTATAAGCAATTTTATATCTTCTGGCTTACTTTTTGTTTGTTTTGCTTTGGTTTTTGTATTTCATGGTTGGGAGCAAGGCAAAAGTGCCCCAAGGTTTTCGGTGTTTAAGATCTCCGAAGTTTTAGGCCCAGATCACATATCTAATGAATCAAACAGACAGGACGCAAACCCATGCCTCCGTGACCCAAAGCCCCTTCATGTATAAAATGATGAGCCAGGGTCAAGCTCCAGGATGCCCCTGAAAGTTCTAGCCATTCTTATGGCATAGCACTGTACACTGGGACATGACTTAATTTCTCCACAGGCTTCTCAAATCCTAAAACACGTCTCTGTCCACGCCTGAGGCTCGGTATCACAAAGCCTTGTGAAAACGCCTCTCCTGAGAGAACTTTCAGCCCCCAGACAGCCGCTCATTCCCTTCAAGGGCTGTGGTCCCAGGTCCCGGGCCCTAGCTGTGCTTCAGTGACATGATTCAGGAGAACCTCCTCCAAAGCAGCAGGGCAAACCCTGTTATTTTCTGGGAGCTGTTGTCCTTGAGTCATTACCTCACACTCTTAGAACTTCTTCCAGTTTCTAGAGATGAAAATGCGACTCAGACAGTCTTTGTGACTAAGGATAGAAGAGAATATAAGGGTGAACACAGGACACCTTGTGGACTGAGGACATAAGTTCGTAAAAGCTCCCTGGGCTGATGATTTTAATACAAAAGAGCCACCAGACACGGTTCTGAGTTTAAAAGTAGAAGAAATCTGGTCCAGTGTAAATCAAGCTTATTAACGTAAAGAATTAGTGCAGAAAAATTAAATGAGTGGATGAAGAAAAAAGTTTGGAAGGAAAAAATAATCCTCCTCACTACCTTTTACCAAATGAGCGTTGGCAACATGGGTTGGAGTTGCCTTTATGCACATAATTTGCCATGCCTACATTCTTTCAGGGCCTACAATAATGTTCCTAGCCATGTATTTGAATTAACCAGGCCCAGAGGATAAAACTTTCAAATTAAACACATTCCTAAAGGATTTCAGGCTCATTGTGTATGCACCAAGGAAACATAACATCCTAAAAATAATACGTACACAGAGAGAAGCACATTTTCCATGAACATTAAAGTGGAATATGAATTATGACCCAGCTCATGGGAATAGACATCTGATTACATGCAAAATGGAGCTTTTGTAAATAACATCAGTCTTCGTGAGCTACCACAATTATTATCAACCATTTAATTTTATTCCCTAGCAACTCATCCATCGTTGTTAAAACTGTCCACTTTTGTTTTTTACCTTCTGATGCATGAGGCTCCGAATTTTATAAAGTTCACCGTTAAAGCTATGTAGATTACCAGCCCAACAGCGAACGAGTTCACGAAATTATTAGATTCACCAAAGCATATGCTGCATTGTATATCTGCTATTTTGGGATGTATTTTGCTGGTGAATTGCTAGAAGCAGCAAAATTACAACGGTAGCCATTCTGTTCACTTTTTATACAAAGGAATCATGAAAATGTGTTTAAACTTTCGGTATTTGGGTATTTAAGTGCAAAGTGACTCTCAAGAAAATCAAGTATACTTCTTTCTGTCTCCCTGGCCTGCAATCTTTGACACTATTTTATGAAATACCATCCATAATTCCAGTTGGTCTATGTCATATATAATACGCCTGCCTCATAAGTAGTAAAATAAGCCACTTTGTGCCTTCACCAATTCTATTTCACAACAAAGTCAAGAGACATGTTTATTAATAGAACTAAACTTTTATTGATAGAAGTTTAAACAGGAATAGATGAAGGATGCTGCCAAATGCATCCTTTGCCTGTTCCTATTTTAAACTCAAAAACCAGACACAAGAAGTACCTATGGCTAATCTTTTGTTCTGGGAGAAGTTGCTAGGTGGCACCTCTGAACAATGCCTTTAACACCTTATGGGAGACCTGACCTCATAAAATACGTTGTATTTTCTTTCCCTTGAAATTCCATTTCAGTCAGAGGTGAGGATTTTCATTGGCTTCCAGAAACCTTTGAGTTTTAACTGCATCAGGAGTAAGCTTAGAAAGCCTCCTGGCCTGCAAAAAAAAAAAAAGCTGTTGAATTTCACCATGCAGCTTCAACAGCATTTATCATTGTAACTGAGCTGTATTTGGTTGAATTATAAAAGCCTGTTTGTTTATGTCTCTTCTAATGGAATATGAGCCCAGTGTGGGCGAGGGTCCATTACTATCATATTCATTTGCATGCGCCAATAGTATTAGTTGAATTGATATTCACTGAAATGAAGAGAGGACTATTTAAGGTGCGAATGCAAGTTTATATTTCTAGTAAACATTTTAACATTTTAGTCCCAATTTCATTTTAGTCTTGGCCTGAAAACGTATTAACTGGGAGGGCTAGCCATACCTTTCTATTGGAGCCATTCATTTGCCCATTAACACAGAAGAAGTAGAAGAAATGAAAGGGCAGAGGTGGCTTATTCTGTTTTTAGCATCTACTTTGTGTCAGACTTTGGCTCGGCGTTTTGTTTATTTTGTGTCATTTGATCCATAACTATACTACTGAGATTGACTGAATTATCCCCATCTTTAAAATTAGGAAACTGGGACTCAGGGAAAGTAAATAACATGCTCAACTAATAAATGGTGGGATCCAGATCTATCCAGCTCCCAAGCTTGGGCCACGTCCTCTGCTCTGTTACAACAAGTATGCTTTTACTCAGGCATCATCTCTAACTTTCTTCTTTAATTCTCTACTTTAAATCTTGCAATTAATAGGAGATCCTAGATCTGCCAAAATGGATAGATAGTACCTAAAACTATGGTGGTTAACATGTGATTTGAAGTTAGAAAAACTATGGGATAAAGGCCAAATTACATTTTCTCTCAAAGTCTCAGTTTACCAATCTGCAAAATGGTAACAGGCAATGTCTATCTCCCAAGGTGGCTAGGAGAAATAAATGACCTTACAAACCTAAAGCCCATAGCACTGTGAGTACCTAACCCACAGTAAGTGTTCCACGAAGGGTAGCTACTGCCATTATAGCTAACCACTTGTTCAAGCAAAAATATTTCTACCATAAATTATTTCCTAAGAGAAAGTTTGCTCAAAAATATTTTTTTTCCCCAAATACTGACAAAAGCTTGCCCTGGGAATCCCATTCCTCTTCACATCTGACAGTAACCTGGATTTTGACAGCTCTGCTTCTGGCTCACAATGTATTCACATCAGGACCTGCTCTGCTTTTGCCCATCATGGTTACTTCTACATTTTTGCAACTTAATTCCAATAAATATATAAAATAAATGCTGAATTCTATTAATAAATACACAAACGGGTAAAGGCATGCTGGGGGCATGAGGAGGAGTTGAGTGGTTTATGGAGGGCCCTTCCTATCTCCAGCACAATAGAGACTATGCCAAGGAAATTCATACAAACGGTCTAGATAAGTAGACTGCCAGAAACAATCTGGTTTTAATGAACTAAATTAGGATTCATTCATTCAACAAGTATCTAATGAGCTCCTACTATGTGCGGGGCCCTTTGTTAGGTGTTAGAATATCATGGTGAGTCAAAGCAGATACAGTACCTGCCCCCTCTAGTTTACAGTCTGTTAGAAAAGACCAGCATTAAATTAGGCCAAGAATCAAGCAAACAAAAGTAGAATTGCAACCATGACAAATGCTAGCAAGGTGACAGACACAGTGCAGTAACCCTATCTAGCAGGATCTGGCCTAGTCATGCAGGTCAGGAAAGTTCACTGAGGAAGTGATGCTGAATTCAATATTTAAAGGCTGGCCCAAATGTCTATCAACTGATGCGTGGGCAAATAAAATATAGTCTGTCCATACAATGAAATATATTCCATCATAAAAAGAAATGAAGTACTGATTCACGCTAAAATGCAGAGGAAACTCAAAAACATTATGTTAAGGGAAAGATGCCACAGTATTGTATGATTCTACTTACATAAATTGTCCAGAACAGGAGGGATGGTGGTGGTGAGGGTGGTGGTGGCTGAAGAGTGACTGCTAGTGGGTATGATGGGGAGTGAGTGCTAGAGGATACAGGTTTCTTTTTGGGGTGATGAATATATTCTGAAATAAGATAGTACTGATGGTCTGAAGTAAGATAGTGGTGATGGTTGCACACCTCTGTGAATATATTAAAAACACTGAATTATACACTCTAGATGGGTGAATTGTGAGGTCTGTGAATTAAAAAAAAAAACATCTAAACACCAACCCGAACCAGATGGTCTGTGAATTATATCCCAATAAATCTATGTGAAAATACTGCAAGCCTAGGGAAATGACAAGCTGAGGAGCAAAGCTCCTGTGTGTGGTTGGAGGACACATGACGAGCACCATTGGAAAGACAGAAAAAAAAGGCCAGGGAGGATCAGGCCTGAGATGAGACTGAGGAGGGAAGCAGGAGCAAATCCACACAGGGCCCTGCCAGCCATGTTGATGTTCTGTTTATCCTAAATGCAATGGGTGGCACTGGAGGGCTTTAAGCAGGAAAGAGGTGGAGGGAAGAGGAAAGGACACAATGGAATTTACATTGTGAAAAGATCATTCTGGCTAAAGTAAGGAGTACAGACGGGAGGGAGTTGGAAAGCTTATGTGTAGGCCAGTTGAGAGGCTGCAAAAGTCCAAGGCAAAGGTGGAGGTAGCATGGATGGGCCGAAGTGAAGAGATTAGAAAGATGTGTAAGATGTTAAATCAACAGGACAGGGTGACAGACTGGATCTGAGGGTAAAGAAGGGGAAAGAATTCTTGTTTTCATGTTTTATAACAAGATGGATAGTGGTGGCACCCATGGGAGACAGGACACTGTAAGAGGCCCAAGATGTCAGAGGGAGACAATGAGTCTGGTTTTAGACATGGAGATCAAAGCCTTTGGTATCCAAAAAGGGCCACGAGGAAGACAGTGGGTGCAATGATTCCAGAGCTCACTGGAGAGGCCTGGGCTTGAGATGGGGATCTGTGGCTCACCTAAAGAGAGACAAGTGGAGGCATAAGT
Organism: Homo sapiens; assembly: GCF_000001405.40. Taxonomy (NCBI): domain Eukaryota; kingdom Metazoa; phylum Chordata; class Mammalia; order Primates; family Hominidae; genus Homo; species Homo sapiens. The sequence continues at coordinate 61,029,953 of NC_000015.10, forward strand.
ACGCATGATCCTGCCCCAGTGAGATGACAGGAAGGCTTGAGACTGAGCTCTGAGGAGCCCTGACACTTCATAGCCTGAAACTGCATAATTGGAATCTCATCATAAGACAAACCCAAAGTGATGGTCATTCCATGAAGTAACTGACCTAGAGTCATCATCTGTGTCAAGGTTATGGAAGTCAAGGAAACGCTAAGGAAGTGTTCACATTAAAGGAAACTAAAGAGACCTGACAACTAGATGTAATAGGTGATTCTGAACTAGTACCTTTGGCTATAAAGGACCTGATTGAGACAATGGGTGAAACTTGAACGGGGTCAAAGGATTTGAAGGTTATAATGTATCAGTGCTAATTTGCTGATATTGATGGTTGTATTATGTATATGCAGGAGAATATCCTTGTATACAGGGATTACACACTAAAGTATTCCAGGTATTGGGGCATGAGGTTGGCAACTTATTCTCAGATGATTGAGAAGAAAATTAAGTTTATCTGTACTAGTCTTGTTACTTTTCTGTAAGCCAGTGGGCATGACCCATGTGAGAGGTAGAGTGGGTTTTAGAAGAGAAGGAATAATCCATGGTGCACAGGTCCTGAGAAGGAAGAGTTGAAGCACAGGAAGTTTGAGAAGAAATTTAAAACAGTTGTCATGTTGTGTGAGAAAATGAGTCAATCAGAGAATTAGAAGATTGCCAAGCATATTTGGGGCCCATAACAGGATGGTGATTATGAACAAAACAATGCCGTGACTTTTAAGCACATTCGAGAACTGAAAAAAATGTAGCATCTAAAACAGATTTTTAAGGTTGCGTGTATATCCAACTTACTAAGCAAGTTTATTTCTAATAAAAGATAAGCTATACTTTATAGTATCTCTTCCCCATTAATTTTGAGAAAAACGCAAATGATTGTGAAGGATATTAGAAAAATATAGTTTAAAACTCACAAAACTATGAAAGTCAGTTTATGTATATGTATATGTGTGTATAAAAAATATGCATATGCACACATACACATGTATATTTCATTTTAATTAAAAAACCCAGGTTATTTAAAATATCATTATTCAAGTACTTCAAGACCAAAACAGTTGACATCAGTAACTGTTTAACTGAACTAAACTGAATTTATTTACAAATTGTCACTCTCTTGACAAGATTTGAGCAGTAGAAAGGGGTAAGAGAAACAACGGCATAAAAATATCAAATCCAAAAGTATTATTAGCTAGCTGAAACTCAATTATGATATAAAGAAAAATTCCTTTTGAATACCAAATTTTGTGAAACAATGGGATACTTATGAAAGTGTAATTTATATTTATTTTCTTTTCAGATCTCTAGGTGAAGGATGCCTTTATTTCACACGTCTTCATCTGGGATCTATAATGCTCAAAAGAGATTATGCCTCCAGTTTATTTATTTGCATTATTTCTTTTCTATTATATACCAAGTGGTAACACTCTTGGTCTGGTTTTCCTGAGATGCATATTTGAACCAGGACTTGACTTAGCTCAGCAAGCAACTAACTTCCTGGGATATTGTTGCTGAAGTTTTGTACTATGTGGTTGTGTGTATGTTCTAGACATACATGTATGAAGTAGTTAAAGTTCTTCTTGGCAAATTGGTGGTTGGGGGAGGATAAGGGTTACAACTATATCTACTGACTTTTAGAGGTATGCCAGATGTACTGTTCAGTGGAAAAAAATATGCATGGTATGATGCTATTTCCACACCAAAAAGAGAGGAACTCCCTATAAATGTGTATCCATGCATATGTACATCTGTATTAGCAAAGAGAAAGACGTGGAAGGATAAATCTGCTATTACTTGTTCCACGACGATGGGCAAATGGAGAGGATGACAGAAGAACCACAGGAATGGTTAGAGACTCTTCTTATGCAAAAGACTATATATAGAAGTTCATGTGTACTATGTAAAACTGTTCATAATTTTGTTTTCATTATCACTTACTTCTCTTCTGAAGAGTTGGAAGATATATGTTCCTCCTACCTAATCTGCCAAGGATGGTCATTTTATCGCTGATTACCTGATAGGGTTTGTCTCAAAATAGTGTCTTTTTGTGTCACAAGGGAAGTACACTGTGAAAGGGACTTATTGCACGTAAGCATGTATGTCAAATTCAGCACATGCTCTACCCATGAAGAACACTTCAGTTAATTGACTGGCTAGCAAAATTACATGCAGAGTACTTGAAATTACGTAGGATTCCAAAGAAAACCCTTCCAAGTAGCTTACATCACATTTTACCAGTTGTGGTTACCATTTGTACAGATCCCTTAGAAAGCTATAAAATGTGACCCAAATGTAATTTAAAGCCAGAAGTGTTGAACTGAAGAAGAATGGTATATCTCCCCCAATACACAAATCAAGTAGAATCCTGCAAATAGTGCCCTTCTGGGCATGAGACTGAGTCATATGAAATTTGGCTAAACTCACAACCTTGAAAGTGAATTAGAGAAGAGAAAAAATTAAAAGTTGGTTTTCAAACTATAAGCCACTAAGAGGTAAAAATCAAGAACTTCTATATTTGATCAACGGAGTAGACCAAAATTGCCCACTTCACCTTTTCACATGACAATCATATGGAGTGTAATCACACACCCAGGTTGGACCAAGGGTGGATATTAGAAACATTTTACATTCACAACTAAAGTCATTTTGAAAACAATGAAAAGAGGCCAAAGTTAAGTCTAACAAATGCTTAAGAGTTTTCTAACACAGCCCAGACATCTACCTATTCCTGCCCTGGCTTCAGCAAGAATTATCTTCATACAAGATCATAAACTAGGAAACTAGTTTTCATTTATGGGTCAAAGAGCAGTACAGGGGATCCTTCTGCATAAGGCCACAGCAGCAATTTGGAACAATAATAAAATAAGGAATCCTTTCTTATTACCTATGTCTATATAAATATTACATGCGTATACATTTATATTATGATAATAGCTATAATTTATTGACTGCCTACTATGTGTCAGGCACTTTGCCAGGTGCTTTAAATACTTTATGATACTTACTCCTCAAACAACTCTGCGAGGTAGGCATTGCCTTTCCTGTTTTACAGAGCGGGGAACAGATTCAGATCTGCAATTTGCTCCAAGTCACCCAGCTGTTCAAACCAAAGGCTATCAGATTATAAAAGTCCACGCTCTCTTGGCTATACCCCAAGGAGTTTGTGCATGTTGATCACTGAGCTTGGAACAAATTTAGGCTCCAGTCTATGGCTACAAAACAAACAGGAGAGGCAAAGCGGGTCTTCCATGAGGCAAGAGCTGCCTCAGGCAATCAGGGGAGAGTGCTGCTGAGTTTTCCTTTAGTCCAAATGTTCCCTCTGTTCTCAGATTGTTCAGAGAGGACTAATTCTCCCCAACAATGCTTCCAGTTCAGTCCTCACTTGCAAGCAAAACTCAAGAGCCCCAAATTTATAGCTTTATTCTGAAAAAAAAAACAAAAACCAGTTTTGCTCTCAGTGGGACCCTTCAAATTTGTTAAGACCTCCTGCCATTTTCTTTCTCCAAATCCATCACCAACCAAGTGAGAGACAGAGGGTGATTCATTCTTTATCTCCAAATTGACCTAGATAGTAGCTCCATATAAATAAGACACTCAAGCCTACAGATTTTATTAACTTAATAGTGGTTCTTATTCAAGTATTATTTACTTGCTATGGTGTCCAATTTGGTCGCCACCAACCCACATGGCTTTTGCACATATGAAATGTGGCCAGTCTGAATTGAGATGTGCTGTAAAGTGCATACATACACCAGATTTTCCAGATTTAGTATGAAAACAGGGATGTAAAATATCTTATCAACAAGCCAGGCATGGTGGTGCATGCCTATAGTCCCGACTACTTGGGAGATTGAGGTGGGAAGATTCCTTGAGCCCAGAACTTTGAGACCAGCTGGGCAACATAGTGAGACCATGTCTCAAAAAAAAAAATCTTATTAACTATTATTTTATATTGGTTACATGTTGAAACCAAAATATTTTGGATATGTTACGTTAAATAAGCTGCATTATCAAACTTAATTTCACCTATTTATTTTTATTCATTTTAAGGTAGTTACTAGGAAATTTAAAATTACATATGCCACTTCCATTATAGTTCAATTGGACAGTCCTGGTCTAGAATGAAGGCTTGCCAAAGCTATTTAAAGACTGTTAAAGTTCTGTATCATACACAGGCTCTTTTTGTTTCAGTTTAATCCTAGAAGGAAGAAATGTGTTGAAATTGCAGCTATATAAAATCCTTGATGGACTGAAACTAAGGGGGAAAAAGAGGAAGCAGGTGGGTTTGAAAGAAGGAAAAAAGGAGTATCTAGCATTTTCTTTTAAAAATGTCATTCTTGATTTATTTGGTGGCACAAAGTGATTTTCTTACGTTTCTCAGACTGCTTGAGTCAGTCTATATAGAGGCTATTCCTGGATCTTAGTTGAAAGCTGTTGCCTTTCTAATTGTTTAACTGATCACTTCTGAACGACAATTACAGTTCATTGTTATTCCCTGTTAAAAAACCATTGACATCCATCCAAAAGTTATAGCTTACAGGTCAGGGAATATTTATGTGATATTTATAGTCTGTGAAGAAAACCCTGGGGAACTGCCAGTAGGGAGGATTATTTACCAATTTCTTTTTCTTCAAGTTTGAATTTATTTGAGATTTATATCCAAAAGACATTTTGTAATCCTGTGTAACTCTGATGTGTGACTATAATTGTGCATGTTGGTCAAGTTCAAGGAAAAAAAAAATCTTTTTTCTTTTTAATAGTGGGGGCTGGGAACCCTGGTTGATTCCACTAAAAACATCACAGACCAAAAAAAAAAAAAAAAAAAAAAATCCACTCAAGGAAGTAGTGTTACATACTTGAAGAATTTTCTGAAGTTAGCCAAGAAAAATAAGCTACGATCAAGGAGGAAAAGCTGGAGTTTCAGTTTTCTGGAGATTGTACTTCCTGGTAACATAAAAACAAAAGTTAAATTCAGAAAAATTCAACTATGAAGTTAGCATCACATAAAAAACAATGGAAAATATTTAACTATGCGCATATGTTTGTACACAAACAGAAATAGATATAAACAGACCTTAATTAGCATTGTAGACTTTAATTATCTTTGTACAGTAATTGGGAATGGTTTTGTTCTGATTTATTCCATAATGCTTACTGTGTTCTGTTAACAACTCATTTTTTTCCCCTTCCAGCCCATAATAGAAGGCTTTTACTGCATACTTTATTACATCTGCTTCTCATTTAATGACCATTGTTCTGGTCTGTCAGAGCGAGTGGCTATACAACTTCCCAAATCTGCAAGATTAAGCAAATATTTTGACAATGTCTAGTTTCTTTTTTCCTTTTTTTCAAAACATACCAGATAAAAATAAAAAGATTTTTACTTACCCACACAACGTTAGGAGAGTTTTTAATCTAACGACAATAAAGAACTAAGCGGCAGCAAAATGTACTTCATGTGGCAAAATACATCAAGCAATTTTCTGTCCCATTTCACTTAAAAAGTCCTAAGAATCTGGTCTGAATCACACAGCTGGGGTTAATGGGAGCACTCCTGGACTGCAGGGAGGTTGTGGGCCCCTGGGCAAACCACGTGGAGACCTTCAAGCTTCTAGAATGAGACAGAGGCCTTCTGCTCATTTTGGAGGGCCCCGGCAGGTAAGCTGAATGATAGGTGTCTGAATCACTCACTATGAAATGTCATTTTTAAAAATGGTCATGCTACATACAAAATTGCAATACCACTGATGGCATAAGGACCAGGGTCATAACTCTCCCCAAAGAAGGTGGATACAAATACACAAACAGAAGCATTTCTAAGCAACTGGGCAGAGAGATACAGAGAAAAGAGGATACAGCGAAAAATCTATTAACCCATAGGCATTCATTAATTCTACAAATGATCTAATGGTGGGAAGCAGAAAATACACAAATAAACCAACAAAAGCATGACATGGACATAAATGCTAAGAGGGAATGGTATGTGGAAGATGCTGCAGTCAGTGGAATGAGGGAAAGGGGTTAAGAACAGATGAGCTTTCAAGAGACAGTCTATGCCTTTCAGAGTAGTTTAGGAAAAAAGTTACCGAAAGATAACTAGGAACAGAAAACAAGGTGACAGAAAGGACCGCATTAACCCCAGAAGCATAAGCCTCTTAAAACTTTCTGGTGGGGAGCCTCTCCTTGGAGGCAGCAACCAGGGAAAATTCCCGCAAGGAGGTCCTACGGGAGCAGCCAGAATTCTACTAGAAAGACAGGAAAGACATGACAGGGATGGGTCTGTAGGAGAGCATCGGCAAAGATAGCAAGAGGATGCAATCCTCTTTAGAGGAAGTAGAGGTTTGCCTTGTTGCTATTAGATTGCTTCACATCTCCATTGGTTTGCGTTTACTATAGGGCGGAAAGCACAAAGCAGGATATGTATGTGCTTCAGGAAGCTTAAGTGCAAGGCAATGGGGTTCATTTGTGAGCTACTGGCAAACCATTTGTATTTGGGGTGGGCGTCCCGTGCAGCACGCCTCTGGAACAGTCCCTTCACTGTTAACACCACTGACTGGGCCCTTAATTGGAGCAGGTCTGCGCGTTTTAATAAACATCTTTGATGAGTTCTCTGGACTGTTCCATTAAACACTCATTCTACCAAAAATGCCTGGTAATTCTCTCTAAAAATGTTTTCATGTTACCGCTTCCAGGTCTTTCTAAAGTTAGGCAGTACAAAGAAACAAAAATCCAAAAGACTTGACTTTAATTTAGAAGTCTCAAAGAGAGTGTTCACCCTAGAGCAGAGATTTCTAAAGTTGTAGTATTGGACTCGCTTGCCTCCACCCCCACCCCTGCCCTTCTCCCAAAACAAGAAAACAAAGCAGCATCAAAGCTTGAGGTACAGAACAGAATAAAACATGTTGGTGCAGATTTGCTGGCCTCGGTGAAAACAACCTGAATCAGTAGGTCTTGGGGTATCTTCACTTTTAACAAACACTACAGGGGATTTTGATGCAGTCAGTTCAGGAATTAAATTTTGAAACACACTTTTGTCAGGCGGCAACAGGGTAGATAGCTTAAGAATGGGGTAGGAAGCTAGACTATAGGAATTCAAATCCTAGCTCCTCTACTTCCTAGCTGTGTGACCTTAGGAAATAAACACTCTGTGCTTCAGTCTCCTTATCTTCAAAATGGGATAATGGGAGCAATGTGTAAGAATTGAAAAATATGTAAAGTACTTAGTACTGTGCCAGACATGTCGTAAGTGCATGAAAAATGTTAGCCACTATTAACAGTGGATTCATCCCAAAGTGATTTCAGCTAATGAGCCAAATTTGGGTAGAGGAAGTACGCTGAAGCAGATTCCAACCAAACCAATGAATGAATACAGCTAAGCATAAAATAGAATCCTTATTAGGTATCCTCCCACCATCATTTCAGTACGGTCAGCACCAGTCTATAAGCTGTACAGACATCCTATACAATATCAATCTCCTGTAGCACAATATATCCTAACAATCCTCTTGGGCACAGACGCAGCCACAGGGCAGGAGACAAAGCAACAGAACCAGCAAGCACGCACTCTGCTGCCTCACTTCATGGGAATCCCATTCAACACCAGTCTAGGAAGAGATGACCTTGGAATGCAGATCCAGTTAATTCAATTCAATGAGCATTTATTGAACCCTTGTGATGTATCAGAGATTCACCTAGATGCTGAGGATAATACAAAGAGCAACAAGAAAATCACCCTGTCCTCAAGGAGGTCATAATCTAGTGGGAAAAAGAGATACAAGTAATTGTAAGGCAAGGTGGCCTGAGATGAATGCTATAATAGAAGATGGAAGAAGGCCATGCGAACACAGAGTAAGTAGTAATTAACTCTGATGGGGGCAGTCAGGAAAGGCTTTCCTGAAGAGCAGACATAGCATGCCATTGTGAGAGATCAATAAGGCAAGCCTATGAAATTGTTTAATGACTTTATCATTCATGGAAACAACCCAGAAAAAGCCTGAGGGACCATCTCTGTCTCTGCATTAACATGGGTGTGTTTAAGATTTGATTAAATGTTTGTTGTTTCTGTAACATCGCATTTAAAAAAAAACCAAGTATGAACATTCGTCTATTATTCTGATCTTCTTCAAAGAGAGAAAGAGTCCTAGAAATACTTTTCTTTTTTCCAAAGCAAACCCTCTGCATTAATAGCAAAAGAAGAATGGCAAGTTATCGAACGTATTATGAACTAGTTAGCCAAAGCGCAAGTCTGGGAAGGCCCACATTTGTTTTATGTAGCAATGAGACAAAATATGAGAGTTTTTTTCTTCTTATATATGGTTGCCTCTTTCTACTTGACTATAATCATTAATAATTTCTTTGGACCAGCAGAGGAAACAGGTATTGATCACAATAAAACATTGCATCCACAAACACTTGCTATAGCAGGTTATGGTCTCCATGGAAACCCTCCAATAGAACCAATCTGAATTCAATTTCAGAAGTAATGAGAACAGATAATTTTACACTCAATCAATCACTGTCAGCTGCCGTTATCAGCCAATCAGTCATTATGTCAGTCAGTCACACTCTCAACAAACTTCTTCTGTGGCATGGTCAGATGAGAATGTTTTGACATCCAGAAGCAACACGAGAAAATTGGCTCATCTTTCCTGGCAAGATGCCAAAGACACAGCACTGCATTGTGTTTGCTAAGGCAATAAACAGTCCAATCAAAATACACTGTGGTAGCGGAAGATTCTAGGCAGCAATTTCAATAATTGTTATGATACTGATGGCAGAGACGTACTTTCGACCCAAAAGTCATACAGTTTAATCCTCTCATTTAAACATGAAGAAACAGAGCACCAGAGAAGTTCAAGTATCTGCCCAAAGCTGCACAGCTAACTGGTGGAAAGCCCACGACTAAAACATGAGCATTCTCCCCTTCCAGTGCTCATCCAGGATGCCTTGCTGCTGCTCTTCACTGCCTTCCTTTTTGAGGCAAGAGGGTAAAGGGATATTTGAAGATTAGGTTCTAATTCTAAACAGAGAGCCCCAAGCCTGTGGGAGACTCACGGGATATTTGTGAGGCTTGTGCTTTGGAGCCAACTCAAACCTCTTGCTGTTTGGGGTTAGCTCGTCCTTGGCCAAGTACAACTTCTGGTTTCTAAGGAGGAACAAAAGATTTTGAAACACTACAGGGCAACCAAATCACTGTTACAAAATGACATTTTCGATAAGTTTAGTGCAGGACTATCAAGAACACATGGACTGAATTCCCTAAAAATGCTTGGGAGAGGGAGGTAAAATTTGAGGGGAAAAATCTGGCAAAATACAGTTGGGCTCTTGTCAACCTCAAATGTTAGAAATGTTGGCATTTGGGAATTGTGAAGAATCTGAAAGGTGTCTGGTTTCTTTCTTTTTTCTTTTTACTGCATTATTGCTTTGTCCATTTCTCAGAGACAGTTCTCTGAGGCTGAGGTTCACATTCTTCCTTGGTAAAACAGATGGTTGGGAGGCCGAGGCAGGCAGATCACGAGGTCATGAGTTCGAGGCAGGCAGATCACGAGGTCAGGAGTTCGAGACCAGCCTGACCAACATGGTGAAACCTGTCTCTACTAAGAAAATACAAAAATTAGCTGGGTGTGGTGGTGCACACCTGTAATCCCAGCTACTCAGGAAGCTGAGGCAGGCGAATCACTTGAACCTGGGAGGTGGACGTTACAGTGAGCCAAGATTGCACCACTGTACTCCAGCCTGGGCGACAGAGTGAGACTCTGTCTCAAAAAAAAAAAAAAAAAAATAGATGGACCAGCTTGATAGTTTGCAAACTTCAATGTGCATGGGAACTTACCAAATCTGTTAAAAATGCAAATCCCCAGATCCCACCTCCAGACATTTTCATTCAGCAGGTGAGGCTGGGCCCAGGAATCTGCCTTTTTAACAAAGGACCCAGGTAATTCTGATGCACTTTCTTTGCCAATCAGTGTTAGAAAACATTGGTTAACTAATGCTATTTGGTAAAGAATTTGGGCCATTTTGTTGATGGTAGTTTTCCAATTACATTCCTCCCCAAACATTCCAACTTCGTAAATTGTGTGTATCACCCATATTACAAGAACATAATTCTAATGGCTATGATCACAAGCTTTGATATATATATATATATATATATATATATATATATATATATATATATATATAAAATATATGAAATATACATTATAGTGCCACTTTCTATTAGCTGTAAGTAGGCTTTATCTTAAATAGGTAGGTGGTATATGGGACACTAATACATCCCATCAGAATTTGTCTAAGGCAAATGAGGTGAAAAAGCAAAGCAAGAATATGGGTTCAGGCTTGAGCTAAAACTAGTAATTGCAAAAAGAACAGTTTGGAAGCTTTCACATGAAATGCTTGCTTCATTTCTCTAGTCTGCTTGCCTGACCTCAGCTCACGATACCTATTTTATCTTCTCGCAAAACATTGATATAAAGCTTTTTGCCTGTTTCTACATGTAATACTGATCTTTTCCCTCCATTTCCTTCCGGGCTTTATTTTTTTTTCTTTTTCTGATGCATTTCAGGACATTTGATGAGTCTTGGAGTGTGTTTAAATGATGACAAGCATGTGATGTGTACACTAGGTAGACCGTACACCCTATGAGGACAAATACAGTTCTTTTTTTGCCATTTCATCCCCTGAACGTGTCACAGTACCTGGCACAAAGCACTTAAAAATATTCATCGAATAAATAAAATGAATGAAAGGATGGATGGATGGATTACAGACAAGTAAAAACTCATCCATCTGGAGGCTGAATGAATGCAGATACTTCAAAAGATCTATACTTTATAGTCATAATCAATAATCACTCATTTTTTCAAAGGTTGTTTTTATTGATAAAACTCTTGGTTAGGTGTTGTTGACCCCACAGAAACCAAAAGCAACTATAGTATTTTGTAATTATGCCTTCCTTTGTAAAACCAGCTATCATATAGATTTTTCTTTGCCAGGCTTATTTCATTGTTGTTTTGACTGAAATGGAAATATTACTGGAAGCTAAAATAACTCATAGACATTGGGTGAACCATAGGGGAGACAGTCAGGAATGGGGAGATGGAAAAAAAACCCAAAACTCACCAGTGCAATCAGCAACAGATCCTCCAGAAGCCTGTAAAAATTAAGACAACTTTTAAAACTCTCTTTGCCTGTCATCACTACACACATCCCAGGCTCACAGTCTTTCTGCATCATGCAGATGACAGAGGTAACCCTTAGGAAGCTTAACTTATCTCACTGGTAGGTTTCACAGCCTCATGCCAGTGACGTCACAGAAAACAACTTTAAATCTTCCATGAAACAAGCAAACTGGAGGAGAGATGAATTCAATGAGCTATCAGAGGTGCTTTCCATCCTATTAGAAAAAAGGAGGAAAGCAGGAAGGAAGGCAGTAAGAAAAGGAGGAGAAATTAACATTTGTCGAGCATCCATTGACAACCAGGCGCCACACTAAACTCTTCATATTTTATCTCATTTGAAGCTTATTATATTTCCAGGGGGTGGAAATTCATTGGTTCATTTTATTTTATTCATTTATTTACTTTATTTATTTTAGAGACAGCTCTCACTTTGTCATCCAGGCTGGAGTGCACTGGCACAATCATAGCTCACTGCAGCCTCGAACTCCTGGGCTTAAGGGATCTTCCTGCCTCACATTCCCAAAGTGCTGGAATTACAGGCGCGAGCCACCATGCCCAGCTAGTATGTTCATTTTATAGATGAGGGAAATAGGGCTCAGAGAGGTTCATCCCCATGCCCCAACAGCTAATGAACAATAAAGCTGGGACTAAAGTAATAGCAAATATTTACTAAGGACTTAACGTCAGTCAGTTTCATGTGTGTTAACTATTAATTCATTGAATCCTCCTTTTAATCTTATGAGGTAGGTACCTCTATGCCCTTTTCAGAGGTCACAGAACAAACACAGAGAGGTTAAATAACTTGCCCAAGGAGTCACAGCTGATACATAGCAGAGCTGGGGCTGGAACCTGCGTGATCAGCATCAGACCCTCGTCTCTTAACTACCACACTCAGCCATTCTCTACAATAGCGTCTAGGTTGGCCTTTTTCCAAAGGCTAAATCCTTTCCGGAATACAACTTTGATTTTATGTTTCTAGAGAAAACAAAAAAGGCATACCTCAACAATAGCCTATTAGACTTTTCCAAGCATGACAAATCATGTGTATTTGTTATATATACAGATAGGCTATGTGGTCTTAATTAAGGTGACCATATAATTTATTGTCCAAACCATGAAAGAAGGTGCTATCAATAATTATCCAGGGACAACAGTGGTAACCTGGAACTGTTCCAAGATGGCAAGGGTGCCTGGTCACCCTAGTCCTAATGAATAAATACACACACACACACATACACACAAACACACAAACACACAATTAGATATCGTTACTTTCAGACACATTCTGATACTACCCGCTGGAGTACGGATGTGTAGTTAAATGCTTTCTAACACTGTGTGAGCCCACCCTCCTCCCACCTCAAGAGCTGCTAGCCCTTTCTTTACCTAATGCATTTCTTTTAACTTGTTTTCTCACAAAAGACTGTACGTAATTGGTCAGCCATGAGAGATTAATTTGTGCTTAGCTGGCTGAGCGGACACAAGATAACTCAATAGCGGATGATGCCAGTGCATGAACCAGCAGCTTCTCTCGATAAGCCTTCCTACCTACTCGGGACCTCGTCCCTCCATAGCCTGCTTCTTTGGGAATTGCCAGCCAAGTCCTTTACTTTATTTACCTCATTTTTGCCTGCCTGGAGAAATTCAAACTTGCAGTTTTTAAGTTTCTTCATGGGCCATTTTTCTTACGGAAATAGAAACAGTAGCAAAGACACCCAGACTCTCCCCTTCTAAAGCAATGCATCAAAGAGTGCACTGGGGTATGTGGATAGCAGAGAAACTGAGCAAGGGCAAGTTTATGCATATCCTTCATCCTGCTCACATTGTTTATAACTGCAGTCAGACACAGACAGCAGGCTGAGAGTGATGGACATGGCGATGACAATGGCGATGATGGTGATGGGAAGACTTCTAAGAACTTAAAAAGCGTTTTACACAGATGATCTCATCTAATGCTATCTCAGCCCTAGGTGGTGGGTGCAATTATCATTCCCATTTTAGAGATGGAAAAACAGATATTTACAGAGGGCAAACATTCTGCCCCACGTCCAATCTAGGTAACTTAACCTCAGAGCTAACACTCTAACCCACAGGGCCTGGACATTCAAATGCACAAGTCAACCACAGATGACAGAGTACAGGACAAATTGGACTGGAGAGATCCATGCCTCCCAACTCCTCATCTCACAGATGAGAACTCCAGTTCAGTCCTTTTGCCTCCTCCAGAAAATACTTACCTGTCAAGAACTTTGTAAAAATGAAATGAGAGAAGGTTAAAAACATAACCAAGAAGTGCTACATAAATGTTTTCTACTGTCACTAGACCAGCCCTTAAACGCTATTTCAGAATGTATTACTCTAATAGAGTAATTTTTAAATACCTGGACATCAGAGCTAATTGGACATCAGACATTGGAGCTAATTCCACCTAACCATAGAAATGCACTGTGGCCTGGGTTTATGCCTGTCATACAGTTCCCTCCCACGGCAGGTACATTTGCCACATCCCAATACACTGCCAGTAAAGATAAAGTACCTTCTAATATACTTATAAAAGCACAGAGTGCAGGGGCTAGGGACTATAGAAGAAGGCAGGAGGCAAGGAAGCAAAGGGTTTTATTTTTTTTTAATGTCCCCAACTCCTCTAACCTGGTCCCTTTGCTTTGTTTGGCTGGTACGACAGGTGGTGACTCTTAAGCACTGTGTAGCCTGCTCTTGTGTCCAGATTATCCCAAGCAGTCTGAAACTTCAAGAGAATTTGCAGTAATGCACAAGTCAGGATTTGGTTCCCAGAGCAAAGCTGTGCTCAAAGGATTGGACATCAGAAACAAACCTAAAAAGAGCCACAAACACGGACCCCAGGCTCCTCCCACCCCCTCCCTAACTCACCTGTAGGGTTTAAAGAGATTCCATTTTAATGAAGCAGGATGGGCATAACACTTGGGAAGGAAAGGAAATCTGGCCTACCCCAAAGCAATTAGCTTCCTCTGCTAGGAAGAGACTGTGCTTGTGTCCTGAGGTTTTTATTTCATTTTTCCTCAAGGGGATGGGAAGTTCGCTGGTCTAAGATTCATGCCTTTCAGACTGCTCCTCAAGTGAGGAGGCCACGTGGCCCTGTAACCCAAATGCCAGGCCCTTGGTATCACCTTCTGCTCCTCTCAGAGACACCTTGATGTCACCTTCCGCTCCTCTCAGAGTCACTCTGCCGAGTCGCCCTGTGATGAGGACATTATCTGGACCTGTGCTAATACAGTGGCTACCAGCCACCTGTGGCCACCGAGCACTTGAACCTGGCCAGTCCCAACTGAAATGTGCTGTCAGTGCAAAATCCACACCTGAGTTGGAAGTGAATAAAAATATCTCAATTTTTTTACATGAATTACACATTAAAATTGTACTATTTTGGATATATTGAGTTAAAAAATGTATCTCCAAAATTAATTCCACCTTTTTCTTTTCAATTCTTAAAAAACATGGTCACACAAATATTTAACACTGTGTCTGTGCTTATCATATATACGCTATATTTCCACTGGACAGCACTGTTCTAGACACTCATCAGGTATGATTGCTCCATTTCCCAGCAGCATGTGTATCAACCAGGAGCCTGCTAGAAATACAGAATCTCAGGCCCCATCCCAGACCTACTGAATCATAATCTGCATTTTCAGAGATCCCCAGGTAATCTGCATGCACATTAAAGTCTGTGAAGCACTGCCCTGGGGTCTAAAACATTACTTGGCACACAAGAGGCACTTGAGAAATATTTGTTGAATGAATAAATGAGTTATGTCTAGGAAGCTGCTGTACTTGGGGGCACTCGGGAAAATGTGAAGGGCTGTCCCTGGCTTTCTCCTTAGCTCAGTTAATATTGATATACTCATCAGATTAATCACCTTTCATTTTAGTAGCTGATACGGTTTGGCTGTGTCTCCACCCACATCTCATCTTGAATTGTAGCTCCCATAATTCCCACATGTCCAGGGAGGGACCAGGTGGGAGGTAATTGAATCATGGGGGTGGGTCTTTCCCATGCTGTTCTCATGATAGTGAATAAGTCTCACCAGATCTGATGGTTTTCTAAAGGGGAGTTCCCCTGCATATGCTTGCCTGCCGCCATGTAAGATGTGACTTTGCTCCTCATTCACCTTCCGCCATGGTTGTGAGTCCTCCCCAGCCATGTGGAACTGTGAGTCAATTAAACCTCTTTCCTTTATACAGCACTCAGTCTCGGGAATACCTGGGTTATAAACAGACCTCCGGCTGAATGTTAAGCACTTTAATGACTGAGAAGCTGGGGAGTATGGGGCAGCATCTTTCAATTGCTGCGCTGAAGTAAAAAGGCTGAGACAAGGACAGAAGGTGGGGAAGGTGAGTACTCTGAGGCACCCAAGCTGCATAGCACTGCTTGTGCTGGGATCACAAGGTGCCCAGATCATCCAAGGGGTGTACCAGGTATAGAGGGGAGAAGAAGACCCTAGAACAGGTCAGACAGTGCAGAGAATGAGGGCAGGCCCTGGCCAGGAGTCAGGGAGAGGCTGGGCCTCAAGGCATACTGCAGTGTCCAGCAAATCAAAAATCTGACAAGGGACTGGCCTACATCCCTACTCCCCATTCCATTCCTTTCTAGACCTAAAATCTCAACACAAACGGAATGTCTGATCACTTTAGCTATAAAAACACATAAAGCCATATTTTTCCCCCTTAAATCAGAAGCAAATGCTAAGGGAAAAGGACTTCGTGGCATGCAGAGAACAACAGGCACAACTATTGTCTCTGTCTCCTGGCAGTCTCCCCCAGACATCTGCAACCCCCACTGCAACAACCTCAGACCAGAACAAGAGAGGGCTGGAAGGTCGGTGGGGAGCAGAGAGAAAAGAAAGCAAGGACTGAGAAATCCGGGGACAGGATAGATCAACGGAGAAAAGGGGAGGAAGTGAGAGGAAGCAGTTAGGTCTCAGAAGTTCCACCAGAAGCTACATGTGTGCATGGGAGAGGGAAAGGAGGGCAGGGGAGGTAGTGGAGAGAAATATGAAGGTATGTCTTAAATAAATTTCCCTTTTAATTAGCATGAGGAAAAAGAGGAATCTACGTCTGGCTGGAGGGCACTGTACACACAGGATGGCCCTTGTGCAAACTCAACTTCCTTCACCCCATTCTGGCAAAACATGGTCAGCTCTTTCTCAGCTTTGATAATTGTCCTAGGGAATAGTCTCCGCCAGGAGAGGTGGTGGGGAGACAGCCAGCAGGTTTCTATTAGCCAATAAGCCTCTCACAAAGGGGAAGGTGGTCGTGGGCACATGGAACTGAGTGTCGCAATCATCCTGCTGCCACCATGCTGGAGCAGCTTAGAGATCCACCTGAGTGAGCCAGAGGCGAGCCGCAGGAAGGGTACTGCAGAGATGTTCATGCAAATGCAGGGTGATCCCCAGGTCCCTATACCAAGCAGCAAGGTGCCTCTGACAAATGTTGCTTAATATTTTTTAAGCAAATCAACAAACCCCAGCTGGACTGGGTGGAATATTACACAGCAGGATCCAGGACTGAACTGAGGAAAGGGAGCTAGAATTGATAACAGATGCCAACAGGCCTTCAACAGAGAGGGAAAAAACAGCCTTCAACAGAGAGGGAAGAAACAGCCTCCTCTGGTGTCAACCTGAAGTAAGGTTCTTTTGACTTCGAGGCTGCTCTGATGAAAAACGAGGACTCTTGGAGGTATTCAGAGCCAGCCTCCTGCCAAACAGCATACTTTGTCAAAGTGGAATTGATATTTGCAAGCTCAAGGCCCTTCTTGGAGAGCATCTTTTGCTCGAAATGGCTGCCTCGGAGTTCTCAACCGCTGAGGCAGCTCTACCTAGTCCTTCATTTCTTACCTTGACTGGGGCAACCAGCCGTTCCACAGCCACCTCTGGTGTGAAACCTATAAGGATTCTCTCTTTTTATTCTAGAAGGGGTCTGGGTCTCTGGCATGCTGAGCGGCCTTCAAAACCACAGAGGGCCTTCTTTGATGCCATGGATGAGTGGGTTCTGACCGTCCTTATGCCCAGCATCCAGGGATTTGCACTAGCTCTCTTCAGGTCACCTGGCACATGGCCTGGGCCCCCTGCAGAAGCCCTTGCCACACAGGATTAGGAAATAAGACAGACTGACCAGGGGACTGATTTGTGTTCCCTTACTCTCAAACGATTTCAAAAGGAAGACCAGTTTTCTCATTCTATACTCACATTTTTCCTGAAGAGGAAAGCAACAGGACTTGGGTTTTTGCAAGTGGGAGGGCATAAAATGCATTAACACCATAGAAGTGCCTCTAGAGGGCTTGGTAATTACAGCCTCAATGTGTTCTCTACCTTCTTAAAAGGGCAAATGGAACTTCTCCTTGGAGTGTCTCTTCCCTTGTTCTTGAGACATAAATCAGGATAAAGGTGTCGAGAATGGTAAAACAAAAACAAAAACAAAAACAAAATTCAATGAAAAATCTGAAGCATCACTCATTTTGCGGTATTGTTCCATTTTTAAAATGACTGTTTAACATTTTTCCCCTTTTTTGGCATCTGATAGTACACATAAAATTCCAATCCTTTATTGCCCCCAAATTATTTATATATGCAATAGACCCAGAAAGAGAAGCAGAGGAAGTGAAGTGTGGTCCTCCGGCCATGACTTTTTGCCTTGGTTTTCCCAGCTATTAAAAGGGAGATATCATCATTCATTCAACAAGCATTTCTTGCGGACCCATTTTCCACGACAGAACCATCCAAACCAAGACACTTCTTCCTATTGTGGCAAAAATGAGCAACGTTAAAACTCCCCAGAATGCAGAGGTGACTCACGTGTTTATGTAAGTAAGCATTTAGATATGGCTTTGGAAAAGAAAACACACACCTAAAAGAGGCTACCAGCATTTGAATAAAGTGTGTAACCTGGGTGTTCAAAACTGTACAACAGTTTCTGTGTACTTTAAGTCACTATCCTTCATACTTCTTCCCTTTAAATTCTATTTGAAACTAAATAATATCAACAATACTTTAAGTAAGATTATGCTGGTGTTACTGATGAAATTATATGCAGGTCTGCTTGGCCTGTTCTCATGCGTAAGCCTTTGATAACTTGTTCCTAGGTTATCCAGTTCTGCTTACCTGAGTACCCACTTTATCCCAGGAAACGAGACCTGAACACTGTGTCCTGGTTTCATCTTTCCAGTGAGCCAGGCCTTCTGAGGCATTAGCGGCTCAGCAAGACCATGGAGGTGAGAGAGGCACAGGCACACTCCAGATGCAGGGTCTCTGCCCTCTGTCAAGAGTCACACGGCAGAGAGGACAAGACTCCTGTCCCGGGGGAACTGTTTTTCCTTTTGCCCCACACCCCAGATATCTTCGTGACAGCCCCTGCCCTGAAAGCCCGGTGAGCGTCATGGCGGAGAAGCCAGCCTGTTTCCGATTATTCTGCCTGACAGGGACTATCTGCTGCTGTGTGCAGTTGTAGAAATGTCATAAGCTCAGGACTCAGGACACTTTGACGTCGAGTCCAACAGGACCCATAGAGTCCCCCTGAACAATTCTCATCTGTGTGGGAAGCCTAAGGGGTGGTTTTAAGTAGGGGCTGGCAGGAGAGTGAGGTCTGGGCTGCTTCTTTACGGCTCTTCAAGTGCCGGCCATTTCCTGGAGTTTCATGGGAGTCAAGACTTACTTTTGGCCTCAGACACAGTCAAGGATCATCCTGATGCAAAAAACAAAATCACCTTTGAACCTCTTCCTCCACACCATCTTCCACTTTGGTTTTCCGCTATGCCTTTGTACTGGGGACAAAGACTATCCACGAATCCTTACTTTAAAAACTGAGGCAGTGGCTCTGAATCATTCCCCCTTGGACACCCCCACACATCTGAACACCCTCGTGTCCCAACACCACATCTGCTGAAGTTGACTGGACCTGAAATGCTGGAGGCTCAGTGTTTTCGGAAACTGCGGAGAGTTCTCCTGCCACAATTCTCTTGTTGTCGTCAAAAGCAATTACATGTTTCAGATGATGAAAAGCACTGTCATGAAAAGCTGGCACAGCAGCCAAGGAGACAGATGTATTAAACCACACGGCTTCTCAGAACTCCCACTTACGTTGGAGCTCAGCACAGAGATGAGCATGGTGATATCCCCCCGTCTAACATCCTCCCATTTGGATTTAATGCATGAGGCTCGTTTCTGATGAGGTGCCAAATTCTTTCGGTGGACAAACACAAAGTTGCAGAATTCAGTGATCATACAAGTCCATGTCCTCAAACGAAAATAATAATACTATAAATGCAAAGATGCTACCATAAAAAATACAGTAGGTGGACTTTTGTGAGTCAACATAAAAAAATCCAGCATTTCTAACTGGTAGCATGAGGAGTACCAGTCTGCAGGATGTTAACGCACTGATAGGCTATGGACAATATATTCCACACTTACGGAAGTGGGGAAACTATAGGTCAGACAAAGCTACAGGTACTTCTTTCTTTCTTTTTTCTTTTTTTCTTTCTGAGATGGAGTCTCCCTCTGTCGCCTAGGCTGGAGTGCAATGGCATGATCTCAGCTCACTGCAACCTCCGCCTCCCGGGTTCAAGTGATTCTCCTGCCTCAGCCTCCTGAGTCGCTGGGATTATAGGCGCACACCACCACACCCGGCTAATTTTTCATATTTTTAGTAGAAACGAGGTTTCACTGTGTTAGCCAGAATGGTCTCGAACTCCTGACCTAGTGATCTGCCTGCCTCAGCCTCCCAAAGTGCTGGGATTACAGGTGTGAGCCACGGCACTCGGCCCAAGTACTTCTTAACTGCAGGACTTCTCAGAGGCTTTTAATATGGTAATGAGTGCTGTGCAGTGAGATGACTCAAATCAATATATAGCCAACACGTTTGATATGACCACAGAACCCATTTCCCTGAACACTTTTTATCACCTCCTAGAGCAGGGGTCAGAAAACTACTGCCCATGTGGTCTGATCTGGCCACTGCTTGTTTTCGTAAATTTTCACTGCCCACAGCCAACCTCATTTGTGTACATGCCGTCCATGGCTGCTTTCACACTGCAGCCGCAGCGATGAGTCATGAGACACGCACCCGTGGCTCACAAAGTCTAAAATATTTACTCTTTGGCCCTTTACGGAAAACGTGTACAAACTTTGTCCTCTGAAATATAGTTTGGGAACCTACTTCACTCATGATATCAATAATTCTAAAAAATTTCAAACAATTTTTAAAGTCAACATTGAGAAGTTTTCCATGGTTAGAATTTAATAATTACAGTCAATAACTCTCTTAAAGCATCGTGACAATAAAGTAGAAGGACACTGTGTAATTCTATATGGTCTCTGTCTTCAGGGAGCTCCCAAGCTAGTTTGTGAAAAAGAGAACTCAAGGCACAAACAACTGGGGGGCAAGAGATGTTCTAAACACTAAGAGGAGGCAATATGGCATAGTAGAAAGAATGCAAGCATGTGTAAGAGTAAAACATACACAGGGCGCAGAGTCACAAGAGTCAGGGGTTGGTCTTGGCTGTGATACCTTCTCCTGCGATAAGAGTAAGACCTGCTTTATTGAGCACTTACTATGTGCCAGGCACCATCCCAGTTGCTTTCCATGAAGGATTGCTCTTTAATTCTTATCATAATGAATAGGTACTATTATTATCCCAGTTTATGGGTGAGGAAACCAAGTCTTAGGTTGACTAACTTATTAAAATAAAGCACATACCTAGTAGGTGGTGAACAAGAGCCAAAACAAGTCTGTTGGTCAGCTAACCACCACGTTATAGTGGCTGCTGCTTAGGGGCAGCATATATCCTCTGCATTTCCCCAGAGGTGACAGAAGTAGTGGAGAGGGTAGTGCTCTCTAGGCTCTGACACACAGCCCATGTTTGCTGACTCAACAACCACACAACGTAATGCTATGGCACCTCAGGTGGCAGGGAGGGTATCGTGGGCTGGACTGATCTTCAGAAGGCTGCATCTGAGCAGGGTGTGGAAGGATGGCAGAAGGAAGAGGGGAGTGAGGCACTCAGGGTAGACAGAAGGTGATACTGCCACATCCTCCACTCAGAAGGAATCTGGAAGGTTTTGACAAATATGTACATTTTGGAGTGGGAACAGCAGAAAGTAGGGGCTGGCTACCTACTTTCCACTACCCCTATCCCCACTCCCCCTAGGGGGTGAGGCAGAGATAAGCACGCTTTGTGGGGCACACTGATCCACAAACTTGCAAGCCTGAGCTCCACTCAGCAGCAGCCTGGGCAGGATGAATGGTGGTGTGCAGGTGTTTGCGGCATGCATAGCTTCTCTTTCTCCTAGAGTCAATCCAGTGATCCCCTGCGAAAAGAATCCTCCACTTGACCTGAATGCTCTGTATTGGCACCTTCTGGACAGGAATCCTATCGGGTATTTCATCAAAGCATCCCACAGCAGTTTTAAGTGTGGCTCCATGAGAGTAAGACACCAGGACAGCTGTGCCACCTAGTGATGCTTGCCTGTACTGTCTGCATCCCAGAGAGTGGGAGAGGCTTCGGAAAGGACTGGTATTTGCTATTTTTGGCCAACACTTCTACATGCAAAGGAATCTGAAGTCTCCGCCTGGGCTTCAAAACATTTCTTGTGGCCTCACTGACCATTCCCGTGAGCCTCAGGGGACATGAGTGTCTTCAAGCTAAGAGGGAGCAGTCCAACTCTGCAGCACGAATTACCAAGGAACATACAACAGACACTTCCCCTCCTCCATTTCTGCCTTTCAGCAGAAAGGGAGGGTGCACCTCCTCTTACATCCTATTGTGGCTGCAATAACCTGCTTGCTTTCTTGTGCAGCCTGGAAGTCTTATGCACACAGCACCTGCTGCTTTCTAAACTAAATAGAAATGCTATCGTCTGCAGTCAGAAACAGAAAAGACAGAGGATGCCTGGTGAGGATCTGTCCTACATCCCAGAGTGCAAGAGTTAAAGGTGCTAACCATTAGTGTTATGTGGGTGCAGCTTATGCACACAGAGAATGATCAGTGTTTTCATTTAATAGGAACTCTCCTCCACTCCCAAACACAGCAGTGGAGGGAAAGGCCTTTTAAGCCTTATTAAGGTTGAGGAAAAACTCTGGTGAAATTATACTACATATTTTTGTTTCTTTCTCTATTTCAGATTCCTTGCAAGAGGTCCACTGGAAAGCTAGAATTCTAGAAGTCAGGATGGGAAAGCCTCATACGTAATGCTTTTGCTCCTTTGAATTACAGTTAACTCCAGTGGTGCCACTGACACTGCTTTCGCGTAGTGGTTCTAGTATCGTACGATGCTGATACAAGTAAGCTATGGCTATGTGTTTTCCGTAAGAAAGGAAAACATCACTCCAGGAGAGAAATGGAGGATGAATGATATTTATCAGATTGTAGCTTCTGAAAATGGATTTGCTTTACCAGATCAAAGACAGCCTGTTTCTACACATCACCAATTCTGTGGGAAACATTCCAGATATTCTGAGAGCGCATTTTGAGACTGAGTAGTTGGTTCCCTCACTGACTGTTTCTACTGTAAGTAATAGTATATTTCCATGCACTCTTGATTGGTATTATACAGTTCATCAATAAGACAAAAGCAGAAAAGAGGTACAAAGAGACCAACAGGGAAGAAAGACGCGAAGATGAAAACTTCAGCAGCATGCCACGTACAGTTGGCTTGGATGTACCCTGCACAAAAGTGTCCAGCCTGTACCTCGCTGACCTAGCTGTTCGCCGGTACAAGATTAAGGAAGTGACAGCTTTTCCTAATTCACTGAAAGTGCTTTGGGACTAAATTGTAGCACAGTATAAGTAAAGTATCCTAAGGGGAAAAGAAAACTCCATATTCATGATCCTTAATCTATTTTATTGATTAAAGATTTAGCCAAATACATCACTCCTGCTTTTGTCCCTGTAACAACCAATGCTGTGTTATCAGGAAGAGATAAAACCAGACCTGATCGGAGCTACTCAATCACTTGGTCCTGAATCACTCGCTTTTCACCCAAAGTCAACAGTCTTGATTCCTCATATTTTAAGGTGTTCATTGTAATGTACTGTTACTGTTTGCATACAGCTGTCAGCTGCAAAAACATTTTTTTTTTTGAACACAAAAATCAGGCTTTTGCCCCCCAACACCCACCCCCTTCCCGGGAGACTCCATGGTAGCCTACTGACTCACACTGACAAAAAGGACAAAGGCCCTGGGTTGTCTCTGCCGCCTGCCTGTCCAGATGTAATTAGGCCTCACACAGGTAACCCCTTGGGCAGCAGAGAAAGCTCAGCGAGAAGGCACGGGGTTGTGAATACAGTTTCACGATGATTTCCATGGCTGCCATGAAGGCTCTGATCAGCTACAAATGGGCAGATGCCAGGATGACCCTCCTGATTTCCTGGTCCCTCCTGGACCTGGATCTGGATCTGGATCTGGTGTCCAGGGAAGAGCAAAGACCAGGAGAAAGAGGTAGAATCCCAGCAACAAAGCCTGGGTATGCGGTCTTTGAGAATGCCTCAAGAAAACAAATTCTTGCTTCTCCCTTTTCAAGGGGCTACAGGGAGACGACACAGCTGATGGGTATTTTTGTAGCCAGATATCAAGTAGTGTTAACGTTGGGCATAGGTTCAAACAAATGTGCTCCGTTAAGAATCTACACAGCATGAAGAGTGTTTAGACTTCATGATATATATATATATAAACATTCTTCAGGGAGGGTTTCCTTCAGAAAATTCAATACTCAAGGAAAAGGAGTTAGGGACAGTTTATTTTGGTTATTTTCTTTGTTTGTTTTCTCCAAAGCTATTTCTTGAAAAAGGAATCCTTTCAAAGTAAATAAAGGAATCCTTTCAAAGTAAAATAGACTACATTACATTTTTATCCCAAAGCTGCTGGGTGGTAGGTGTGACTTGGAAAACTGTAGTTTGTTTCAAGCAAATCCACTTGGATTGAGCATGAAGGAAAATAAAATTAAAGGATGATGACGAATAAATGGAAATGTTTAAGGATCACTTTGGCCAGCATCTTCATACTTAATTGTTGCTTTTACATGTATGTAGTTTTTCCTGAACACAAGAGGAAACGTATGGTAATGTGAGGAACAGAAAGAATAAGATGGGAAACTAAACATTTGAAAAGAACTTTCATTTTCTGAAAAAAAAAAAAAATGTTCTCCCATAGATGCAACAGAATTAATCTTCATTAGTTAGCACAGCTATACTCTTCTTCTTAAATGTCTCAAATGATACTGTGACTTCCCTTAGAGAGGAGGAAATCAGAGGACAGCAGGAATAATTAAGACAGTAGGGCTAGGGGCATAGCAACAGGATTGGAACCCAAAGCCCCTGGATTTCTCATCCTCACTGAGGCACAAGAAACATCAGGCCTTTTGATTTAGGCTCCAAGCAATAATTAGCATCTAATAAGGTCCCTTCAATGAGGATTTTTACATTTATTTCCTATCACTAGTATATTATTTTAGATACTCTAATTACTTTTGAGGTGCTGGTGGTATATGAATAATATAGGTAAATGACACTACGAGACAAGGCACTGTTTGTAAATGGCCAAATTCTTTGGGCTGTACTAATCAAACAATGGTTGACTCTCCCTTTAACTTTCATCATGCATTTAAAACAGTTTTTTTTTGTTTTTTGTTTTTTGTTTTTTTTTTTTTTGGTGGGGGAGCAGTGAGGCAGCGTCTCACTCTGTTGCCCAGGCTGGAGTGCAGGGGTGAGATCACGGCTCCGTGTAGCTTCCACCTCCTGAGCTCAATCAATCCTCCCACCTCAGCTTCCTGAATAGCTGGGACTACAGGTGCACACCACCACGTCTGGCTAATTTTTGTATTTTTAGTAGAGACAGGGTTTCACTATGTTGCCCAGACTGGTCTCGAACTCCTGGGCTCAAGGGATCCACCTGCCTTGGCTTCCCAAAGTGCTGGGATTATAGGTGTGAGCCACCGTGCCCGGCCTAAAACACAGTCTTGAACTTATCTGGTTAAGTACAAGGTGCTAAAGGTGCCACTTGACCATCCTAAGCCTCCTCTTCTTTTCCCCATTTCTCACTTTTTAAAAATTCGAATTTATTTTTTGGTGTAAAGCTTAATAGCATGGGTTTTAACGTTTTTGAGGGCTGCTTTTCATTCAGAATTTTCACCACTCTTCATCGCAGCAGTTCCTGGAGTAAGCATGGCTTCACTAAGGGACCGAGGCCACAGTGAGAATTAATATTTATTTTTTGGCTAATGTTTACAGAGTGCCTTAAGCTGTTCAGCAAAAATCACTTATTTTCCCAAAGAAAACACACTCATCTCACTTCTCTACCGTCTCTCCCGCCCCTACAATGCCTTGCAGGTGTGTCAGGTTCTTTAGGTGTTTTCGATGTTCAGGTCCTGTGCCAGGCCATTATTAGGCCCACCCTACAAAATGACTTTAGCAAAACGGAGGCTGCTTCAAAAATTCCAGCTGGTTTTTCAAAGTAATACTAAGCAAAAGTACACAGGCAGAAAAATGTGATCATCCTGAACTTTTATCACACATCAAAATTTCCCTCCTATATTTTTAGAACCATTTCAGTGAAAAGTGTAGAATGGCATCGCTAATGTTTATAGGCAAAGAACAGAATCATTAGGATTTGAGACACGTTTTCAGAAAAGTGCCTTTAAATAATTAACGTCATGACACTCTTCCTCAGTTCTTCATCCAGCAGAGTAAATGTCTCTTGACAGGTAATAGTCCTTTATGTGAAGCAGTAACTCCAGTTTGGTCAAGGTAACTAGTGTTATTGAAAAGCATGCTTTAATTAAATGCAATGTCTTAGAAAACCATGCTGTTTACAAGCAATAAACAACTCTTAAATATTCAATTAATCAGCTATCAACCCAAATTCATAAAAGACCCACATACTACTTCTATGCTTTAAAAAGGAAAAGAGACATATTAAGAATGAAAGCAGATTAAAGAAAAGAGCTAATCAAAAAATAAGAAACCAGGAAATGACATTGTCAATAGTGAGCACCCGTTTTGGAGTGTGCGCTATGAATTTGCTGGCTCCGACAGTAAGTATTCCTACATGGGCTTTCTCATTTAGCACTACCCTAAATCCTGTGAGGTGGTTATTGGCATCCTTCCATTAGATGAAGAAGCTGAGGTTCAGAGACGTTAAGCATCTTGTCCAAAGGCAGTTGCTCTTAAATGGAAAAACTAAAATTCCTATCTGGAACTCTCTGAATCCCATGCTCCTTCCACTATTCACAGTGCCTCTCAAACAGAAGAAAGTAAAAAAGGGGAGAAACTGAAGAAGTCAAAACCCAGGATTATTCAGAAGTACGGAATTAACCATATTTTGGGTAAATATGTGTTTTCCAGCCATTGGATCAACCATGATGTGATTCAAACTGGCTTTTATGAAAGCCAAAGATACCAGATGGACCATCCTTCAATCTGGTGTTTTTGTCATCTAAACATGGTTCTAGAAATCAAAACAAATAGAAACATGAAAAGCATTTTTTTAAAATATGGGCAATCTCTATTCTAGAATAAAGGCAAAGAATGAAAAAATAATTATCAAAACCATTCCTAGAATAGACAGGGCCTATTTTAACATTTAAAAAGGCAGACACCCGTCCAGTTTCCTTCCGCAAATAGTCACCAATCACTACTTCTGCTGAGTACAGATAAAAATACCTGATGTGGTTTTCCAAAGGGCTTCTCACAGTATTTGGCCTATTCAACCTTTGCATCTGCCTTCCCTCTTGGCTCCTGACTTTTGTCAGCTGTACCATGAAAAGGCGATGCCTTTAATGATCTACATTTGACAAGACTGGAAATTAACCTTTTAGTGAATCTTTCACATTCAATGTGAAACAACAGAACCGGTGGTGATGTGACATTTTTGGTAGGTGCGTACCTCAAAGGCGCCTGCCTTCAAGATCTCCCTGAACACCCAAGGGTATCTCAGGCTGCCAGGTCTCCTTAGACTCGACAGGCGAAGGGAGAGAGAGGAAGGGAGAGAGAGGAAGCCTGGGCAAGCTCTTGGAACATCTACATAAAATGAAGGTATTCAAAGCTGCTTCTATTTAGCTCCTATGCACTTCATTATACCTGGCTTTTTAATATTCTAGTATAAAAGAGAAATACAGGAAAGAGTCAGAATATTGTTTCTTATTGTCAAGCCCCCCAATGCAGAAATACACAAACATTTGACTTTTATGCCCCACACTCACACGTGATCTTTCTGCCAGCATTTCTGGGAATGATCATGTTTAGAATTTCTGCTGGGAAGGCAAGCGCCTTCAGCATTTCTTTAGATGTCATGAAGCATTTTTAAACTGAAAGCACATGAAATTTGGAGTCAGCTCATAACACTGACATGTCATAGTGAAAGTAACAACAAATACTTACTTGTCTCTAAGGTACCATCTTTCTTGCACCCCCACACTCAGTGTGTAATGACCACCTCTGAGACACAGACATCTATAGAAACTTCTTGTTTCTTTGTCTCTTTCGTTTCTCCTCAACACAGGGAAGCAAGGGGAGGAGAAACCATGGAAAAGTGCTAGCCTTTGTACAGGGCCACCATCAAGATCCAGCACTTAACCCTGAGCACCCCACTCATACTTACTGGAGAGCAATGATAAATCTAAGTAGATGGCTTGAAACTCTAGGACTTCTAAAATCTCTCTCTTCATTCAGGAATCCATCCTCCTGGAAAAAAGACCACTACGGATGGGGAAGTTTGAAGGACAGGCATTTAGACCTGAAAGGCATTTAAGAGGAGATTCAGCAAAAGATCCTGTGGGACTAAGGATTTTGCGAGTCATTCTTACATGAGTGTGGCTTGCTGCTGACTGAGTAGGATGTTTTCTGCTGCTCAGTCCTCGCCCCTTACAGGCTTGAGTAGTTGGGGAGGCCTCCTGAAAGAGGAAGGACTTTAATCAGACTGTGATGAGGGCAGGGGGTCCCCTGGTAGGGAGGGGAGCAAGAGCAAAGGAGGAGATAAGAACCCGCAAGGTGTTGTGAGATTGTGAGGAAAAAGCACTAGTAGAAAGGTGACTTTTAGATGAGGGAAATATAGATCAGAAAGGCAGGGTGTCGCCAGGCAGAAGAAAGCTAGAGTTTTGGAGTTCTTCCATGGGGAGCTTCTGAGCCACTCTTGGCACCCTTAACCATTGGATGAGTGAATGTGCAGGCGGTGCCAGTTCAGGAGGAAGAAGGAAATGTTTTAGGGAACATTAATCTTACTACAGGGTCCTGGATAACTTTGAAGGAAGTCAGCTCAGGGGTGAAGAAATCAGCTTAGAAAGCAAGGAACTTAGCCCAAGTAGGAGGTATTAAGGCCCTGGGTTCAGGTCTGTGATAGAAGTAAGCAAAAGGGGTAATCTGAAGAACGTCAGGAAAGTTACAGACTAATTGAATATCAAAGGGTGAGTTGGGGAGGACAGAACAAAATTGCTGATAACTAAGCCTTTGTGCTGGAGTGAGAAGAAGAATGATGCCAGTGTTCACAGAGCCAGGGGATTCAGGAGACCCTCTGTCTAGGGCCTAGCACTTTGTATCTTAACCAGATAGAACACACTGTATCATCACACTGTATCATAACGTGGCAGTGCTGCTCATTCCACTGTAAACTAGGCAAGGACAACGTCTCTATGTTATCGGCCTTTCTATGTTTAAGCATCCAAAGCCCAACGCCTAACACAAAAGGGGTGGTCAGTAAATACCTGTTGTACGAGGCAGGTTTCATTTTGGAGGAAGATGAGGTAGTCATCTGTAAAATATGGTGAATTTACGGTGATAAAGCATTTCCACAGGCATGATAAATGTTGAAATTTTGGAGAGTGAGGTCATCTTTGATTTCTTCCTTAATTACTAACTACCTCTGCCGTTCCTCTAATAGTGCACAAATACTCCTGCATCTTCCTCCTAATGTCTATCAGTCATGGCCTTTCCTTTCCAATGGGCAGAGGGATGTTACAGCTCTGAAGACAGATTATAGTCTCCTACAGAGAGTGCAGAGAGAAGATAAGAAAGCCAGTGGCTGAGCCTCAGGGGATGCCCCTATGTAGGCAGAGGAGGAAAAAGAGGAATGTCATTCCCAGTTGCTGTAATAGAGTCAAAACAACCAAGATCCTTGCCTACTGAGAGAAACATAAGATGTAGGCCAATGGGGCCATGTGTAGATGATCTCAGGTATCAGATGTTCACTGCACACCTTAGAGTGATGTTTATTCAACTGTAGATAATATTTAATTGTTACTCTTTGAAAGATAGTTCACTTTAAGTTCCCTGAGTAGCATAGAGTTATTCAAATGTACCTATTTATTACAAGACCATTGTATAAGGAATTATGAATGTTTCTGGAAGAATAGGGATTTGTAGAAATCTTCCTTGCTCCATACAAAATCTGCTTTGAGATACGTTATTGCCATTTCTATCAACAGAATCTTTCCTCCCAGTAGGAAATTAGAGCCCAGGATTTCCTGCTATTTATGAGTTATAATAAAAGATTCTTCTTCTCAATTTTTTTTTAATGTGTCCTGTCCCTAAATAGGGCTCAGCCTGAAAGCTGGGAAAAGGACAGATGGTATCAAGGAGAAAAATGACAGTGAATTCAAAGTTCCCGTTTTGGCAGCCAATCACTCTAATCAAGAAAAAGGGATTTGGTTACTTTCAATAATAAAATAATTCTTAAAATGTAAAGGATGGAAAAAATGTAAAGGATGAATTAAAACAGTTCCACACGAAGAAGAAGAAGAAGAAGAAGAAGAACAAGAAGAAGAAGAAGAAGAAGAAGAAGAGGAAGAGGAAGAGGAAGAGGAAGAGGAAGAAGAAGAAGAAGAAGAAGAAGAAGAAGAAGAAGAAGAAGAAGAAGAAGAAGAAGAAGAAAGCCTTTCTGACAAGCACCACCCAACTACTAGTTCCATGGAGGTGGAGGGGTTTCCGTATTATTTGATTTATCTTCATTGCCTAGAGCACAATGTGGTTCCAGATCTCAGTCAAACCCAGGAAATGAATAGATTGTAAACTAAATCCTTTCAGGGAGAGACAGAGTTCACACTTCTCAGGATCTCCACCACGCCTAGTATCCTGCTGGGCCAAAGTGCGTGCCTGGCAAACATGTCCCTGGTACTTGGACATCTCTTTCCCGCGTTCCTCTTGGCTCTCCTTCCTTCCACTACTCATTCTGCTCCTGGGAGAGTTAATGCATTGCAGGAACCCTTCTTCCAGGCCTGGTTTCAGGTGGCTGTCATGACAGCACCCCCTGAGAGCAGGCACTTGCCATGGGTGCCTTTCAGGTACACCTCAGGGTAGGGGTCGGGGGCAAGGGTGACCGTGAGGTTCACAGCAGGGGATGAAGTGAGGAGACCCCATCCAGGTAAATAACACCTCTCCTGACTCCCAACCAATGTGAGCTGCTCAGGGAAACTGTGGACCCCCTCACTGGGGTGAGGTTCTAGCTTTCTCATGCCAAGGACTCTTGGGGAAGGCAGTTTGGGATGCGCTTCAGTGATCCAGCCACCTCACTCTTTCTAGTGAAAGGAGAAAAATGGCTGGAATCTTACATCAAGACAATGGAAAACAGGGGTGTCCAATCTTTCGGCTTCCCTGTACCCCACTGGAAGAAGAATTGTCTTGGGCCACACATAAAATACACTAACTATAGCTGATGAGCCAAAAAAAAAATTACAAAAATACCTGATAATGTTTTAAGAAAGTTTACGAATTTGCACTGGGCCACGTTCAAAGCCATCCTGGGCAGCGTGCGGCCGATGGGCCATGGGTTGGACAAGCTTGATATAAAATGTCAAGCCTGAATCTAAAAGCAGGTATCCTCAAAGTCCTCACGGCTGAAGAAGGAGCTGCTGTTCTTCCTCCCTGGAATTTGGCATTAAAGGGCATTGCAAGGGCTGGGCGCGGTGGCTCGTGCCTGTAATCCCAGCACTTTGGGAGGCCGAGGCGGGCGGATCACAAGATCAGGAGATCGAGACCATCCTGGCTAACATGGTGAAACCCCGTCTCTACTAAAACCACAAAACATTAGCCGGGCATGGTGGCGGGCGCCTGTGGTCCCAGCTACTCGGGAGGCTGAGGCAGGAGAATGGCATGAGCTCGGGAGGCAGAGCTTGCAGTGAGCCGAGGTTGTGCCACTGCAGGCGTGCAGGGAGACAGAGCGAGGCTCTATCTTAAAAAATAAATAAATAAATAAATAAATAAATAAATAAATAAATAAATACAAGGGCATCGCAGGAAGTCCTGATGTCAAGGTAATGCGGCCAGGCATATCTGTTGTTGCTGACCTGAGAGCTATGGATGCTGTGAGCAGGGGCTTGGTAGGCCAGGATAGACAAACTTCTGACCTCGCCCCTCATTCTAAAGTGTAATTCCCAGATTTTCAGTAACTTACGTACCAACCTCTAAGCCCCTTTATGGTTGATTCATTCCTAGGTATATTAAAAATAATTCAGGTTTACATAATCTATCTCTAATTGCAAGAGTTAAGAGGAAATTTAAACTACTGCTTTAGTTGTTGGGCATATGGGTCTCTAGAGACAGGGTGTTAAGCATCACTGCATCACCACTTTGCATATAGGAAGCACTCAATAAATGTTAGTAAGGCCGGGCACGGTGGTTCACGCCTGTAACCCCAGCACTTTGGGAGGCCAAGGCAGGTGGATCACTTGAGGTCAGGAGTTCGAGACCAGCCTGGCCAACATGGTGAAACCCCATCTCAACTAAAAATACAAAAATTAGCCAGGTGTGGTGGTGGGCGCCTGTAATGCCAGCTACTTGGGAGGCTGAGGCAGGAGAATCCCTTGAACCTAGGAGACGGAGGTTGCAGTGAGCTGGGATTGTGCCACTGCACTCTAGCCTGGGCCAGAGAACAAGACTCCGTCTCAAAAAAAAGTTAATTGGAGGAATAGAAATACTATAGGTAAAGACAGTACCCCCACCCTATGGAGCACTGCCACCTCTTCACCAAGTCTTCTTGGCTCTGAATGCCTGACAGTGCTTTCAATGTGGACACAGGCCTTGTCCCCACACAGGGTTTTTGCTGTTCTGTTTGATCAAGCCACAGAACTGGGGAGACGGCTCTGGGCCCAGCTTCCCAAGTTTGTCTTTTTCTTAGTCCTTTCCCTGAGATGCAGGTCCTGTCTTGCTCCCCTAGCCCCTAGCCTCAGCCACCCTCTACTCTCTGCAGTGCTGCATGGTTGATTCTGTATTTCCTCTGCAGCCTGCCTCTCTGTGCCACTCTCCTTGGAGAATGAGCAGAGCAGAGCCGGACGCCAGGCCTGGATGGAGTCAGGGAAGAGGTCTCAGAGGAGGGAAACTTTAGGGGAGTGTTGAGAGACAGGAGGAGCGAGCCAAGTAGAGAAGAGCAGGGCGAGTGATTCAGGCAGAGGAAACAGCTTGGGTAAAAGCATAGCATGTCTGTGACCCCTGCTTCTCAGATGGGCGGCCTTCAGGACTCTCTGGGAGCATTTGCATATCATATGTATATTAATTTATGTATTCAATGTATGCTCAGCATTCCTATCTGGAGTGATGAGAGTGATTACGCTCCCTCCTCTCCCAACTGCACAGGCATGCAACAGGAGTGCCTTATCCAATTGAAAAAGCAGTCTCCATCCCCGAGTGAGGGTATTTCCATGCTCACTACCAAGGTTCAGGGACATGCTCCCCAGAAATAGTCTGTGATGAAGCACGTGGTAGAATAAGGCATCCCACTTCACATGAACTCTTGTTTTCTATATTTGTTTTTTTTTCTAAGTTATGATAATCTGAAAATGACAGAATTTACACAGTTGGAGTATATTTCCTGAGATCCCACCACATAAAGAAAAGATCACAATATAAGGCATGAAGAGTGGGAACTCACAGACCCGGCGTATTCACCAGTGTGCTCCCTGACCTGGAGAACACAACTGCAGTTGCCAGGCTGGCCCTGTGAAGCCCACAAATCAGGACACGCCACTTAATGGCACCACCAGCAACATAGCCTTCCCTTGGAGACTCAATAATATCTGAACCCTTCACGGCGTGGAGCTGCTGATGTTCCTAACTACAAATTCAGGCTCCACAGAAAACATGGCTTCTCTTTATTTTAGATTATCTTATTTTATAAAAAGCAAGAATATATAAAAGATATAGAGAAAAAAGGCAGACAGAAGCCACTGCCCAGTGAGAACGTGCTGGAATATAAAAATGTAACTTGATAAAAGAAACAGTTACCTAGAACCTGGTATACAGTAAATGTATAAAGCATTTTATCTTTCATTATCTAAATGTGAAAAGGAATTAACTTAAGATCACTTGACCTTGCAACTGTACAAAATGAATTTTTGTACATTAGTATGATCAACCAACAGTGCAATAAAATGTAAAATAATATCTTAGAATCAGATTAGCCTGGGTGAAATCTTTGTCCTCCTAAACTGTATATCCTTGGAAACACCCTTGAAAGTTTCTAAAGGCTCAGTCTCTTCATCTTTGAAATGGAGATATCTGCCTGCTGAGGAGATTAGATGGTTCATGGGTATAAAGTATTTAGAGTGCTTCCTGGCACATGTGTGTGGTCAATATTAACTATTGTTATTAGAAAAGAAAAAGAACACTAAATGACAGTTTTTCCATTTAAAATTCCCAAATCAGGTTTCCTGTGAAAATGGTAAAACATGAGCCAGCATTGCAGAATAGAGAGCACGTTTGGCCTAGCTACTGAAACTGGGAAAATGCTAGGAAAGCCAAGTTCTTGTCCTGGTGCTGAACTGCCTTCCGTCTGGTGTGGGCACGTCAGATCACCTTGCCGGGGCTCTTTCTCGCTTCAGAATAAAGTGTGAATGGAGTTAGTGCTGGATAATGTATCAAGCCCATACCAGCCACAACATTCCAGAGTCAACCTCGAGGGCAGCTGTGATGGCAAAAGTCAACACAGTACATTTTATAAACCATAATTAGAGGACAGAGTGATCAGGCCTATTGCCCACATTATGTAATTAGCCCTCTGCCTACAGGGAGGGAGTGCCTGTGTGCAATTATGCAATCACATTTTGAAGGGAAAGACACCAACTCACATCACATCATCAAGAACAATTATGATTCACTTGAGTCACAGTTTCCATCCGCGAAGGTTGTCCAGGTAATTTTAGTCTGTACCTTTGTAGTGCCAAATATTTAAATAGTTCCTTATTTTTGCAATGCCTTGCAATACAAAGGCACATTTACATGACCCACTCTTACTGGCTTTATATTAGACCGTCAAGTTACATCCCATTATACCTGGACCATAACCTACTACTCCCACACAAGCAAACTGCAGGGATCTCAAACTTTAGAACCAAGAGAGTCATCAGGGAGCTTGTTAAAAATGCTGACCCTCCTCGCTCTATATTGATTCTGCAGGTCTACTGTGGAGCCCAGGGATGTGCTCTTTTTAACAGCCTCTCCAAATTCCTCTGGTGTCAGTGGTCCACAACATGAAAAAAAACTCAGATTTACCATGGATAGCTTTGGTGGAGACAATGCAGATGGTTGCAGGACCAGCATTACATGAATTGAGGCTTCTGTGCCTCCCCCAGTCATTGGGAAGCATGAAAAGCTACTGCCCAATCCCCCCATCCCCTTTCTTGGCACAGAAGCAGAACTCTAGAATTTCTAGGCTATAAGCCAACTTGGGAGCAATAAACATTCCCCAAGTTCCCCACTCCACCCTGTCCCTTCACACATAATGAAGCTGCTTCATTACCTGCCCTGAGCTACTTAACTCACTCTTCCCCATCTCCCAGCAACAGAGACTAACATCAATCACTAAGTGTTCCCAGTACATCAAGCAAGGAGAATCTTGAGTCCAAAGCAATTGAGAAAGCAATGTATCTAAGGCTCCAGAATGTATCACAAATTAACAATAGTGTTATCACTGGAAACTCAGCTCAAATGTCACTTCTTCCAGGAAGACTTCCTTAAAGGTAACCCCTCCCCACAGAATCTGTTTAAGATTTTCCTCCTAGGTAATAACATGACATGCCCACAAAAATCTTCACCACAGGTAGCAAGTATCAAATGTACTATAACTGTTTGTAACTGTTTTATTTAGACTACGTGCTCCTTGAAGGTGGGGGCCATATCTGTATCATCTTTACATCTGCAGCTCCCCTCTGTTTCACCTAGTTAATTCTTACTACTCTAAGTTAAACTGCCATTTTCCCATGAGAGCCTTCCCTAACGTAAGTCAGTCCTTACTATAAATGCTCATCCCACCCTTTTCTTCTCTTTTCCAACACTTCATGATGCTTCTATTTTCCACATTGACTGGTTAAACCATGTCTCTGCAATCCCACTAGCTCCATGAGGACATCAAAGGGGAATAAAACAAAAAAAAGGTATTCAAATAATATCTCTTTAATAAATAAATAGATTCAGATGACAATAATACTAGCCTGGGAGAGGCTGGTCAGAGAATATGGGGCAGAGTGGGATACCTGGATGTTCTACCTTTAAGGTGCCGTTTGATCTTGGTTGCTTCCTACTCTTGCATTCAAAGAATCCAGTATAAAGCTCATGCTGGTAAAAGTTTGACTGCAACACTGGGAGAGAAAGGACCTTTTAGAGCACAAAAATTACCTGCCAAGACCTTGTTTCCATTGCATAACCCCTAACTTTCATGCAAGACTCTGATCCTACTCCTTTAATCTGACTACATTTCATATTCTCCAATAACTTCTCCATTCTACCCCAAAAGCAGGCAATTTATCTTTCTACCATGGTCAGTGTTCCCTTCAAGGTTGGTTGCAACTTGGGTGAAATATCTCAGTGGAAAGCCAACAACTGAATCCCATGCTCAATTTTCCTCTTCTGGGCTAGGGTTTGGGCCTTTTACTTATGTCTATTTGTCTGAGAAATTTACTAATGCGTCTAGTGGTTTTTATGATTGTAAAGACCCAGTTTGCAATGGTATATTGGCACTCATCTACATTCCACATGCATCAGGAGCTTCCCATTTTCACCTATCACTCATCAACTTTTAACAAACACAGCCTAATGATTCCATGGTGGTAGACAGGCATTGTGGAACCAGAAAGGAACATGACTCTGCTATGTGTTCATTAGCCGTAATAACACTTCAGAAAAGAAACTTAAGAATGTTACATGTGTACTATAAAATTTCTTTCATCTGGGAAACTTTTTTTAGGACCAAAGTGACAAAGATGTGAGTAGTCTACAACTTGCACAATTGTGGGAAGACAGGGCATATTCCTTTTTTTTTTTTTTTTTTTTTTTTTGAGATGGAGTTTCACTCTTGTTGCCCAGGCTGGAGTGCAATGGTGCAATCTCAGCTCACTGCAACCTCCACCTCCCAGGTTCAAGCAATTCTCCTGCCTCAGCTTCCCGAGTAGCTGGGATTACAGGCATGCGCCACCACGCCTGGCTAATTTTTTTGTATTTTTGTGGAGACAGGGTTTCTGCATGTTGGTCAGGCTGGTCTCGAACTCCTGACCTCAGGTGATCCACCCACCTTGGCCTCCCAAAGTGCTGGGATTACAAGCGCGAGCCACTATGCCCCGCTGGCATGTTCCTTAAGAACACAGAATACCCTTTCAAGAAGTTCCAGCTCTTTTTGGAACCAAGTAGGTAAAAATGTCATTTCTCAAGTCCAAAGAGTCCAAATCTTCCTTCTTCTAGATCCACATGCTATGAAAGGAAAGGGTTCATAAGACCAAAAAAAAAAAAAAAAAAAAAAAAAAACCCAAAAAGGTGGATAGCCTAGGCCTTGGTCCACTGAGCACTGTCATTTTTGGCAGCTGCATTAAAGGTACGATTGTGGAAAAGAATGGCTGTAACCCTGATTTCAATGTCAGAGGTTAAAGATTTAGCCCAAGTGCTCTAGCTCTCCCAAGTTAACCATTATTGACATATTATCTATGTATGTATGCATTAGTCTAAACTTTTTTTCTTTTTTTTTTTTTTTGAGACAGAGTCTCACTCTGTCACCCAAACTGGAGTGCAGTGGCATGATCTCAGTTCACTGCAACCTCTGCCTCCCGGGTTCAAGCGATTCTCCTGCCTCAGCCTCCTGAGTAGCTAAGATTACAGGCCCATGTCACCATGCCTGGCTAATTTTTGTATTTTTAGTAGAGACGGGGTTTTACTATGTCAGTCAGGCTTGACTCCTGACCTTGTGATCCGCCCGCCTCGGCCTCCCAAAGTGCTGGGATTACAGGTGTGAACTACTGTACCTGGCCTAAACTTTTAAACTCTCATTAATTTTCAACTTGTGCAATTTCACTTAAAACTGCCTCTAATGATGTTGTCGACAACGAGGGTAATGGTAGCCATTTGTTAAATACTTTTATAAATTTCAAAAATTATGGCAGGTGGACATGCATCTCTCATTTAATGATTTTAAAAACAATTTTAAGATTGTTATTTCTTTCCTCTTCAGATAAGAAAATCAAGAATCAGAATGATTAGGTGAAATGCCCAAGACCAGACAAATAAATGGTGGGACAAGGATTTAAACACTGGTGTTCTCATCCGGTACAACATGCTGTCACCCTCAAAATATATACATATGTACTGCTGCCAGGTTCAAGGAACAAGTCCAAGTTTATGCAGTCCTGCTCTATAATGTTCATCCCATCCATTCTCAGCTTCCTACATAAAAGATACTAAATGCGTTTGCCCTTCCAAGGTAATATCTGAAATCCCTTGGCTACTTTAGCCCTGTCAGATCCTTCCTTGGTTTTGTTAGGTTGTTCTTGAGGAGTATTGGTCTAGCTGTAGATGATATTATGAATGGCCAGAGGGTCAGAGATATGCTTTTGGTCTTTGATTCCAGCATCCTCCATGATTATACCCAGCACTAGGTCTCTGAACCAAAGCCATATTTTGGTCAAAATATTTGGAGAAATGTCTGAAATGATTTATA
The DNA here is from genome assembly GCF_000001405.40 of Homo sapiens. NCBI lineage: Eukaryota > Metazoa > Chordata > Mammalia > Primates > Hominidae > Homo > Homo sapiens. The sequence goes on from NC_000015.10 coordinate 61,068,090, forward strand.
AGCCCATTTTCTAGGTTATCACCTATAATTCTGGCTGCTCACCTCCAGTTGTAATTTGAGGTGTTTCTTTTTCCATAGGTTTGGTTCATATGGATGCTCTTCAGTCTCTTTTTAACACACTTGGCCCATGATGGCTTTGTATTTCTCTCTTAGAAAGATTCAGAAGTTTCACTACACAAAACGTATAGAGAAGTGTTAAACTGGATTAGCTCTAACCAATGCTTAACGGTGTGCACTGTCTATAGTTCTCCATTCAGAGAAGTAACATTGTATATCTAACCACTGTTTCCTCTCTTGAAGATAGCCTCCACCCATGAGAGTGTTTCCTCTGATATTACGGTCATTAACAATTTTGATGGAAGGAAATAGCTGGAAAAATTCACTATGTCAATTGCATTTATTTGTCAGAGTCTCATGATAATGGTTCAATTGTTCCATGTTCCTTGACATCCTGGACTCAACTTCAGAATATTTCATTGCTCTGGGCATCTAAATGTATACAAGCAAAGCAGAGTAGGTGGTTGCACAATTGTTCTATAAAGCTGAGCTATCCATTTAGTCAATATAAACCATTCTGGGAAGAACAGGATTTCTTTGCTCACATCAGGAGTCTCAGGTACTGGAAATGACCACATTCACCCATGTATAAGCTTTAGCTTAGCTCATTTAGCTCAAGACCTGCAACAAGTCACCCAATAAAATAGCAAAAATTTTCTTGGGCACACAAGCAGTTAAAACCATTTCTCCACTCAGTGAGATGCAGAAACAAGTACTCTTGAAAAAACAAAGAGAAATTAGTCTGATAATGGAAAACCACTGAAAGCAATTTATGAACCATTTCCCCCTGACAATATAGAAACTCTTAATATACTGTACGTAATTCAGGGTGGGTCTTCTTTTGATTCCTTCCTTCTAATCATCCACCTTTCTAGCAGTAATACTGACATCTGAATCTCTTTTTCTCACTGTTTCAAAGGGATATACGATAGCAAAAATGGCTATGCAGTGGATGAAGCTAAAAGCTTGTATTGTTTATTCAATGGTACACCTCTGATAATTTAAAAAGAAGATTAATCAACCAGCTGTGAAACCAAATATTTGCAGAATCTAAGCACTTATGTAAAAAATCTACATTTGTAGCTGTGTGCCCTTAAATAAATAAACTAGTTGATCACTGCAAATTAAAAGAACTTAAATGGTAAAAACTGCCATTTCTTTAAAAACGATGACAGTGAAGAAAAAGCTTTTGCAAATAAAATTGGGTGGAGAATCTAATAAACAGGGAGCTATGCCATCCCAAAGGAGAAAAAAGCAAAAAGAAATTTCAGAAAAGATAACAAATTAGTTTAGCAAAGTCACAAAAAGAGAGGGCAGACAAAAATAAAGGCATAGGATGCAGCGTCCAGGGAAAGAGGAAGGGGCGAGTGGAAACAGCTGGAATTGTTCAGCTGTGTCAACATTCGGCTGTTTCACAGATTGACTAGCAAAGTGTCATCTGAAACCAATTACATTCCCAAAACCCCACGGACCCAGTTCATAACATTGATTAATCCACATTGTGAAAAAGTCCCCAAGCAAAACTAGAACAGCTGTCAGCCCTTGGAGCTCAAAAAACAGCAATTGCTTGAGGAAAAAAAAAAGGAAAGAAAAAAGAAAAGAAAAGAAAAGAAAATCTCCTCTTGAAATTTTAGGGATTTTCAGGAGGTATGTCTACTGAAACCGAAGATAGATTTAAAACGAACTCCTCCACCTCCTGTCTGTTTGAGCACAACTGGCTATAATTAGAAAAGCAGGGGTCATGTTAGAATAAACCCAAAGTCCATTCCCAAAGTCAGAACAGAACTGCCTCACAGTCTCTAATACCTTGTATCTTTTTGCTCCTTTCTGGAGAAAACACCATCGTTTGATGTTTTTAAAAGTATGTTTATTTTTTCTTCTCATTATTTTAAATGCATTAATCTACTCCCTTTGGGCCCATAAAAATGTAGTTATATGTTATACGTTTTCTATTAAAAGCTGTTTTTATACCGTTTGTTCTATTTCACAGAGGTAGAAGAATACATAAAGTCCTCGATTTGCAAGCATCCAACTTGTGCATGACTCAAATACAAAAATGGCGACCACACCTCTCTGATGTGCAAAACTACTGGTATAGGAGCCTGTAAAGGTTTTCACACACACCCGTATGCCCCCATGGGATCCTAGATACCTGGTACCTTCTAGCAAAGCCACTCATCCGAAGATGACTCACTCATGGCAAATGCCTTGGCCTTGACTCTGAAGCTACTGCAGCTAGAAATCCACCACCAGGTATGGTAGAAGAGACCCCAACACCATATAAGCAGCCACGAACATCTCCTTAAGAAGTCTCAATTTCTGTAGACCCTGGCCTAAACTCACCACTGTGAGGATGCAGAAGTTGTAGGCATCTGATCCTTTGGACAGATTTTTTCCACGGAAATAAAATACATGCTTATTCATCTGCTCATTCATTCAGCAAACATTTATTGAATGTCTATTCTATCTCAAACACTGGGTTGTACCCAAAAAAGCAATGTTAGCTTACAAAATGTTTGCACATGCTGAATTTTGTAGATGGGTAAACTGAAGCTCCAAAAGGTTTAGTGACCTGCCCAGGGCCATCTAACTAGTAGGTGTTGGAGTTTGTACTCAAACTGAAGGCTATCTGATAACATTTCATACTCTTTTCAAAAACCATATTTACTACATTATGCTTGACACAGGTTTTCATAAGCTAGCAGGGGAGCCCAAAAGCATGCAAAATATAGCTTCTACCTGGAGATGCATTCCAAGTTACAAAAAACTGGGTATAAATTGGACTTTAAGAACATAAGCGGTTTACATATTCAGATTACATTCTACTTTTGCTCTCTCCTCTGTAAATACCCCATTAGTAATCTAACGGACTCCTCTGCTGAAAAGCCATAGTGTAATTGCAAGTTTTATGAATTGAAGTATGTCTTTGATACACTTATCCTTTTTCTTCTGCATGCTTATGCATATGTAGCACTAACCAATATTACCAATATGAGGTTGTTTCTAAGTCAAAGCATTCAGAGAAACACAAACCTTGACTTCACTGGTACATCCTTGGATTTGAAAAAGGGGAGGGGAAGGGAAGGGAGGGGAGGGGAAGGGAATGGAGGGGAGGGGAGGGGAAGGGAGGGGAGGGGAAGGGAAGGGAGGAGAGGGGAGGGGAAGGGAAGGGAGGAGAGGGGAGGGGAAGGGAATGGAGGGGAGGGGAGGGGAGGAGAGGGGAGGGGAAGGGAGGGGAGGGGAGGGGAAGGGAGGGGAGGGGAGGGGAGGAGAGGGGATAAGAAGGGAGAGGGGAGGAGAGAGGGGAGGGAAGAGGTGGGGATAAGAAGGGAGAGGGGAGGAGAGAGGGGAAGGGAGGAGAGAGGGGAAGGGAGGGGAGGGGGAAGCGGTGGGGATGGAAGGGGAGGGGAAAGGGGAGGGGTAGGGAGGGGAGAGGGGAGGGGTGGGGAGGGGAGGGGAGGGGTGGGGAGGGGAGAGGAGGGGAGAGGGGAGGGGAGAGGGGAGGGGTGGGGAGGGGTGGGGAGGGGAGAGGGGGGAGAGGGGAGGGGAAGAGAGGACCCACAATTCACTGAGCCATACAAAGGAACAGGCTTATTCTTTGGATTTCAGAACTGAGATGAAGGTTACCAAAAGCAACAAATTATTTTAGATGTAAAGACAAAGTGTTACTAAATACTGTTCTCCAAATAGTAATAACATTCCTGGAGATTTGCAATAGGTACCCTCCCTACTGAGTTTTGAAGGATGTGTTGGGTGGGACAGGGTATAGTGAATGAGTAGAGATGGGGTAGAGGGAGGATACTCAAAGACAGGACAGTAAGAAACAACCACTAAAGTCTCTAGACAGATCCTCTGATTCTTTTTACTATTTTTTCACCCTGGAGGATATTTATAATTATTGTTTTTTAAATGCTCATGATGTCACAGATAAAGAACACCAATTGCTCCCAATAGAACTCTAACTACAGTATGTGTTTACAAGAGCAAATTACTGTTTATACACGGACAGGATTGTGAATGAGGCAAAGAACATTACAAATTATATGTTACTAAAGAAAAGCCAAAACATTTCCTTTTTTTTTTCTTTTTATGAGAAGACATCATTACCTGTATATGCCCCCTCTTCTCAGTTCCCTCAATGGACATTGGCATTGATGAGCCCATAAGTACATGATAAGCCTACAAGGACAATAGTGAGTTTATATTTTTATGTAATGATTTTAGAACATGGGATAATATCCAGAGTGATGGAGGTAAAACTATTCACATTTCCATATTCCAAACTACTTCAAGAATCACTAGAGTGCAGAAGTTATAACTCTAAATGCTGAATGGAGAAATCATCTGTCCCAAGAACTACACCCATATGACTTTCCAATAAATCTATCTCAAAAGGCCTACCATTTAACAACAACAGCAACAACAAAACTTTAAAAGAACCCAAATGAAGTTTTGTATAAGTTGGTGTCTTTTTTTCTATACATTTTGAATGACAAAAAGCTGCTGTGAGCTACACTGTTTTTATTTTATTATAAACCATTCTTATTTTATAAAACACAGCCCTACTCCCAGAAAAAATATTTTTGTGAACTAATGGGGGTCAAGACATATATCTGAGGCTACCATATGACCCTAAGAAGAACCCAAGGAATGCAGTATTAGGACTGCCTCATTGTTTGAAATATTGTTTTAAGGATTAAATGAGTAAAGCCCATGTACAGTGCTCAGAACAGGGCATGGCCCATAATAAAAGTGTTGGAAGCATGTTAGGTGTTCAAAATCAGTGTTTGCATTCCAATGGAGTTCCAGGAAAAGTGAATTCCAGGAATTTATGTTTGGGTAGACCTAAGGTAGTTTTGCACCAAAAGAAGACTTTGAAAACGGAGGGTTTCCTGTCCACTTTTCGCCACCATCAATTGCATCTTTTCTTAACTCTCTGTAGAAAAGAAGCTGAGAAAGAGCAGACAGTGCATGTCTGCACTGAAGTACAACTGGCCAAGGGCCGGACATGGTCTCTCTTCTCTTGCTTCTGTGCTGTAAACGGCTCCTCTGAGCAGTTCCTTGAGATTCGTAAGCCAAAGGCTTTTGTTAGATTGTGAGGCAAGGTAGAGGGCAGGGCGCAGGTATACCATTTGTCACAACAAGCTTCCTTACCACTCCTGTTTTATTTAAAACTCCGCTCCTGTTTTATTTAAAACCAAAACACTCAATCCACCATGTGGGATCCTTAGTAGCACACATCTCAAAAGCTTGCACTCATTCAGGGTTGGAATGGGCAGTGAAGCTTATCTAGGCACATTTCTTCACAGCCCTGTCATCGGGGTTCAAATTCGCAAATGGCATGAACTGCCTAGCAATAGTGCCACTGTTTTTACTGTAGGGCTGTGACTTGCCTCCACCTAAGGGAGTTTCAGTGATATGGGCTTAGGGAATACAGGGAAATAGACTTGTGCAGAGTTGAGAAAACCTCAGAATTCAAATTCGCATCTCAATGAATCACGTACCCGACTTAAAGTAAGGTAACCATTAAATAGGAATGCATATCTTGCCTTCCCAAGCTACTTCCTACATCAATGTAATTATGCTTCGTCCATCTTTAGATGAGAGGCAGGCAATCCATGTTAGATCTACTTTAAAAGAAAAAAAGATGTTGGGGTTTTCTGGAGTTACTCAATTTCTCCACAATGTTTTGGCACCCTAAATGCCAAGCATCGCTGAATCAATTGCTAAATTTCAAAAGGCATGCCCTGGCTTCAGATACATTAATTTTCTGGAATAACAAGCAGTCCATTTTAATGAACATAAGATACTATTTCCTTCATCTTACCACTCATAACTGAGCTTAATGATAAAATGTGGGGTGGCTCAGAACCACTGGTGGGCTTCAGTGGTTTTCTACTCAAGAACAATGTCAACTACAGAATGGGGGTTAGATACAAATCCACAGGGTGTGCTTGCTATTATCATGAAGAGCAAAAAAGCTCCTCCAGGCCCCCCACCATCATGCCAACACACTTTGATCTCACTTCCCCTTGTGAACGCTTGAGAGGATAAGCCTGTCCCTGTATATGAAGCCTTAGCTGCAGTGCTGGATATATTTACGTTACCCTTTGCAAGCCTAAAAGAACAAGATCAAAGGAAAATAAGACTGGTGCCCATTAGAGAAGCCATTTGAGAACCCATAAGTCATCCATAAAGGAGTTATATAATTTAAAAACATACAAGCACCTACTCTGTCCCAGACCCTGCCCCGCAGTAGCCAACAATCCACTCAGTGATACAGACACAGACATAGATACTGGATATGGCAATTATTCTGTTACTTCAGAAAGAAACCATTTCTTCTTAACTAAGCCACAGGCAGTATATCTACAAATGGGTTTAGAGTTGGCTTGAAATTGATTCTGACTTTGAAATGCTGGTAAGGGAATAAGTCATATCTGTCAATGCTTATCCTTCCTTCTTATAGGAATAATTTTTAAAAAATCATTATTCTACTGGACTATTCCAAGGGAAAGTTCATGAGGGTGGTAGACTCCTGGGAATATTTCTCAATGTTCTAGCTCCCATCTTTTGCTTCAGGTGAGGTACAGGCCAAACTGTGGACTGCAACTAACTCACAGGAAAGCCATGGGATGTTTTAAAGTTTCCTTGGAGAAGTCGGGTGTGGTGGCTAGCACCTGTAATCCCAGCAATTTGGGAGGCTGAGGCAGGTGTATCACTTGGGGTCACGAGTTTGAGTCCAGCCTGGCCAACATGATGAAATCCCGTCTCTACTAAAAATACAAAAATTAGCCAGGTGTGGTGGTGCACACCTGTAATACCAGCTACTCGGGAGGCTGAGGCATGAGAATCACTTGAACCCGGGAGGCGGAGCTTGCAGTGAGCAGGGATCGTGGCACTGCACTCCAGCCTGGGTGACAGAGTGAGACTCTATCTCAAAAAAAAAAAAAAAAGTTTCCAGAGAGTAACAGCGGCACGTTCAGATTCAGCATGGACTACTACTATTATTTGAAACTACTAACAAATGGAGCTAGTAGGTATTTCTCTTGTTACAGGGGCACTGTGAAAAAGTTCCCAGACACAAAAGCACCATGAATTGAGAAAGTCCGGGAGCTTTAGGAATCTGGAGGGAGGAGGCTCTCTCCATCAGACTTCAATGTCCTCAAGCAACAGGCAAAAGGGCATCCCTGCTCTCCAAGGTCACCTTGAAGGGAGTTGCCATGACTCAGCCTTGTGTTCGACCATGCCTTCCTAGGGAAGGCCTGCAGTGGGTGTGCGTCTGTGCAGATCCATCAGCTTAATTAATCAGTAAAGAACTTTGCTCCCCCCATTAGTCTGTGCTTCTCATTGGTAGGGCACCTTCAGTCAGGAATCTGTTTGAGTGGAGAAGTAAGGGTTTGGGTTGAGCAAAATCCCATCCCAACCCCTATCTCAACTGAGCAGAACATCCTATGAAAGAGACAGGGCAGGTATAATTATCTCAGTTTTTGAGATGAGAAAACTCAGGTCCATCTGAGTCTAATGAGGTTAATGGATTTTCCCAGAGTCTCAAAGCTACTAGAGCAGAGCTGTGCCTTGACCCAAGTCTTCCATGTCTAAACCTCCTCGCGTTATACCACAGCTGCTTAGATTTTGAGCAAGAATTAGTGCCCTTCCCTGCTTCAACACACACACGCAGTGGAGAAGCAAGCAGTCATTCCCCTCAAGGCAAGAACTGTCCCATATCACACCCTCCCCATACGGGCTTGTGGAATTACTTGGCTCCTGGAGCTGCCAGGCAGCCCTAAAGCATCCAAAGGAGAGAAGCTGCCACATTGTTACCCTGCTGAGGCAGCTGGGAGGCTGTCTCAAAGCCAGCCTTCACTTCCTCAAAGCTTAGTCCCCGCCCTCTAGCCCTGCTTCTACCCTAGGTCATCTCTCTCCTCTTTGCAGGAAAAATGTCTGTGGAGGGGTTCAAGGACCTGCAGGGATGCAGACCCGTGATTCTCTGACAGGAGCATGCGTCAGATGTGCCAGGGAAGGTGTGTTAAAGCAGAGGTCGCAGGGCCTGACCCCCAGAGTTGCCGAGGGTAGGGCCAAAGAATATGCATTTCTAACACATTCCCAGGTGATGCTGACGCTGCTGGTTCAGGGACCACACTCGGCGATCCACCAACATAAAGTGACTTGTCTCTTCCCAGGATCTCACTTATTGCTCCACACAGAGCAGAGATACTTATTGAGCAAACATTAAGGAGGGCATCTCTTGATCATCTCAAAAAAAAAAAACGTTTCAACAACTTCTATCATCAGCTCTGTTTTGGACCCAGTGGTAAAAGTTAAAGTCCCTGCCTTCCAGGAACGTGCAAGCTAAAGATAGACTTAATTCATGTAGACATGCATAGAAAGATAAGACTACCATATTCAGATTATAAGAAATCCCACTGAATAAAACAAAAGGCTTACAATAGAAACTGCAAAATTCCCTGGGAAGTCTCCAAAGTTTGCACTTTTTAATTTTCAGTGATACCATCATCATGCCGTGGATCACTGTGCAGATGTTACAACTGTATTTAATCACAATTCTAAAGCCAGATTGGGCTGCTCCAACCTAATGGCATGTGAGTCCTTGAACTGCCATCAACCGGATCTGACAGCAGGCATGGCTGCAGCAGGCAGTTACAGAAATGGGTTTAAATGTGGGTGACTCTTGGTATCAAAGAACTGTGAACTGTTCAGCTAAGCAGAGGAATCATCAGAATAATGATCATTTTTCACTCTACCCCCTCTCCCTTGCTTGTTCAAAGTAAAAAAAAAAAAAGCCCTTAATTGCTTCTTGAACTACACACAAGTGGGCCGTTGACTGTGACTGTAATTCAGCATGGAGAAGCAAGGGAAACACTAAAACCGATTTTGTTGCGGTAATGCCTTAAACGGAGAAAACACTGCAGTGGGATCAGCAGGCACAGGACGCTGTTAAGTAGAATGATACCTCCTTAAAGCACGGCTTGAGATATTGTCAGCTGTTAAAGTAATATTTAATCGTAGATGATACCAGGTGTGATCAAGGGGGAATATATTAATACAGGGGGTGTGGTGGGGGCAAGGAAAGGGTAGTGAGGGGAGAAAGATAAGGAGAGAGAACAAACAAATGATTTTAGAAGGACAGCACATTACGGGTGCCCTACCGGATTCAGGCTCCTAATGAAGAAGACATGTTTAGGGGAACTGAAGAATTGTGGATTCAGTCATTTGCCATTTACCTTGAAAGACACGTCCAGATAAATGATTACATCTTCAGAAACTTGAAGCGTTTCCTTCATTCTCGACTATGGGTACCTAGATAGGGTTATGAACGTGAAAGGCAGAAACTGTTTTGCCCATACTGCCCTTCCATCCAAAGCCATGACCCTCTGTCTAGGTGGCACTGGCTACAGGGAACAGAAAACAGATGCCTGCAACTGAGAAGCCTACTGCCAACTACAAGCTGTTTGTAAACACTTCTCTCCATGTTTACCTAAGAAAGATGCAGGCTTTCCAAGGAAAGCCTCCTTTTGAAAAATGTGCCTTTTTATTTCTCTGTGCTGTTAGGTCCCTAAAATAAAAACTAATGCCCATAATTCTTTATAAGTCTCCCATCTCACTCCATCCAGAAGCATCTCTTCTTCCCTTAGATGTTTTTTCAACTACCTTACAAAGGTAGCGCTTCCATTTCTGTACCCTCACATGCAGGCCTGCCCTCTTGCCTGAATATTCTACTTCTTCTGTACCAGCAGAGAGTAGGGTGAAGGCCCACCACTTTTGTCTTCTGTTCTCCGCATAGTGGCTATGTTACATCCTCAATGACACTGAACTGTAACCTTGCTTGCAAAACAAACCTCGGTGAAGAGAGCAAGCACTCTTGTACTGGAAAAAGCCTGATACCTACTTCTTAGTGAAGTAACCACTGGATAATAAGAAAAAAGTAGCTGGTAGTAATTAACATCTATTAATACTTACTATGTGCCAAGTCCACACTAAAGGCTTTATTTTTAAATTAAAAACAATTTTTATTTTAAGACGGAGTCTCGCTCTCCCCAGGCTGCAGTGCAGTGGTGCAATCTCGGTTCACTGCAACCTCTGCCTCTCAGGTTCAAGTGATTCTCCTGCCTCAGCTTCCTGAGTAGCTGAGATTACAGGCACGTGCCACCACACCTGGCTCTGTGTGTGTGTGTGTGTGTGTGTGTGTGTGTGTGTGTGTGTGTAGTTTTAGTAGAAATGGGGTTTCACCATGTTGGCCAGGCTGGTCTCGAACTTCTGACCTCAAGTGATCCGCTTGCCTTGGCCTCCCAAAGTGTTGGGATTACAGGCATGAGCTACTGCACCTGGCCCAAACTAAAGGCTTTAAACAGGTTCTGCCATTCAGTACCAACAGTAACTATTCTAGGCAGATACTATTATGATCCTTTCACAGAGAGGAAAACCAATGCTCAGAGAGGATAAGGAGATTGCAAAAGTCATAGTAACAGTGGTAAAGTCATGCTTTGAATCCACATTTCTCTGACTTTGGTGTAAAAGCTCTTATACTCTATTAATGGCCAGAAACTGTACCACAACCAGGGCACAGCCTACACAGGGACAATTTGAAGGAGGGTATGGCTATCTATCTATCTATCTATCCATCCACCCACCCACCCACCTACCTACCTACCTGCCTACCTATCTCATGGAATCAGGGGCTTAAATGTCTGCCACATATTGGACAATGATCTGATTGTTCTAATATACTATTTCTAAACTTTATAACAGCTCTACAAGGTCCACTCTTTAATCCTCATTTAAGAAATAAGAAAACCCAGAGTCCATATGAATGAATAACTTACCTACCTTTCCACAAGTGGTAGGTACAAGTGATTAAATGACTAAGTCCACATGCCTCCCACTCTGCCTTCTTAGCTTCACGTGCCCAAAACTCCCTTACTAACCAATTACAGACTTATTACCATCCTCCTCCTAATTTCCCAAAAGAAAAAAAAAAGTACTAGCTCTAATCTACGACTATTACAAGACCATCCTCTTGCATATCTTATCTTTGTGAGCATCAGAAATGATGCCACCAATTCATTTAGACAGTGCCTTCAAATTCTCATATAAAAGGTACTTACTATTTAAAAAATGGAAATGTATAACAGTGATACTATTAATAGATCAATTAAGGAGATTTAAATCACTTATTTCATTGCCAGATCGTAGACACAGTACTATACTATTCATTGAGTTTATAAAGCTTTCTCCATGACATAAGCCTGACTTTATTCCCCTGATGGCATGATATGCTCTCTCACTCTTAACCAGTCACAGTCCCACTCCCATCACCAAGTATCGTGCAAGGATTTCAAGGGTCTCTTAATAGTAGCTACGTCGACTAGTTCATCTCCTACTGATTTACCTACTCAGTTTCAGAGGAATTAGGTAAAAAATGCATAACTCCATTGGCATTGTTGAATTTTTTTCTAAACTCTTGTGATAGGGATGGAAAAAAAGGACAGAGATAGAGCATCAGTTAGCAAATATTTACTGAGAAGGTATAATGTGCTCTGCTCTGAGGCACTGGATACCCAGCAGAATAACCCTTGCCCTTATCCACAATGAGCTGGCTAGGGAGTTTTACACGAGCTTTACATTTGCTCGCCTGGGCACTCTTGGGTGGTGGTGGTGAAGAGCTCGTGTTTTGAATTAGACCTGGTTTGAAACCTGGTTTTGTGGCTTTATTTCCTGTGCGACCATGAGCAAGTTACTTAAGCTCTTAAGGGCTCAGTTTCTGTCTTTGTAATGGAGATCATAATACTCATAATAGGATGGGAAGAAGTAGCAAATCCTGTATATAAAGAGGCCAGCATGTGCCCAGCACACAGTAAGGATTATGGGAATCAAGGACCTAGCACACAGTTGAACAGAAGAGAGCTGGTTCATGGGAGCTGCTTCTCAGGTAGCTCAGGAAGCTGTTGAGTTATTCAGAGCTTCCCTCTCTTATTTATTCAGGGCTTCGCGCTCTTTTCCTTGGTTGCCAACTCCCCACTTCCCTACCTCCAAACCCCATGCAAATTTCACCTGGTTAACCTTTATTCATCCTTTAGTCTAATCTAAACCTCCATTCCCTTTTCGTCCTGAAATTCCCACCTGATCACAAAAGCACCTAAGCTTACCCATATCTTTGCACCTGTCACTCGCCTTTGAGAGTTCCTATTTTCTTGCCTATACCCCCTGCCAGAGTGAGAAACTAGAGGGCAGGACCATGTGTCAGCACTATGTCCCCAGCTCCTGGTACAATAATGGACAGTAGCAGGTGTTCAATAATCATTTGTTTAGAAGGCGAATGGATGAATGCAAATAGATACCATTTCCAAACCTGCATAGATCTGGCCTTAATAAAAAGGGCATGGCTCAAATGCGGCATCAAATTCTGCTGCCCCATCTTGTGCCTGGTATCATTAAATCTCCAGATAAGAAGGAGGAATGGCTGCAGTGTCACTTTGAGGCCTTTCTACCATGACGTCAGCTGCTCGTCCTGCACACAGTGGGTATAGAGTACGTTACATGGCTTAGCTGGCTCTTTCTTAATAAGATCATTGTTGCTAGATATGGGTGTGAATGTGGATGCAGTTCAGATGTTTATACCAACGACTGGCATAAATAAACGAGGAAAGAATTCAGGTCGGCCCAATCATTAGTAACAGTATCTTCTTGCTCTCCTGGGAGCTGTTTCAGATTTTGGCTTCATCCTCACCCCTACATAAAGAGACAAGGATGGGATTGCAGCTTCTAGAATTACAACCATTTTGTCAACTTGTCATTTGACTCACTGTCTGGCCGGTGCCTCTCCCTCTGGGTCCAGAGACATTTTGCACAGGAAGAAAGCAATAAAGTGAAGTCACAGGGCCGACGAATTCTCCAATCTTCAAAGTACCTCGTTCTGCCCCACAGTACATACATATTTCTGGTAAGCGCCATGGAGAGCCTCACATCTGTTACCTCCTGCACCGCTGGGAATCAAAGCATTTATCCCCATGAGATGTTTTCTAAAGGCCTGAGGGCACTGGGCCATTTTATCCTCCCTCCCTTGGAGAGAGCTTCTCTGACTACATGAAAATACCTGAAAAGGCTAACTTTGTCTGTTCCTTATTGCCTTAAAAATAAGAGTACTCTTAACCTTTAGGGATTTATATTTGGAAGAGGGAAATGAACTAGATACAGCTTATAAAAAGGCAGGAAAGTGAGTCATTTTTTAAATTGTTTACAAGCTTGGGACCAAAAAATATACATATTTGCAGATCTTTGAATATACACTGGTCTTATTTCCCCGTGTATATTATTCCTTTTCTCTACTATCTTTATGCTTTTCAAAGAAAACTAAGTGGGGCCAGGCATGGTGGCTCACACCTGTAATCCCAGCACTTTGGGAGGCCGACGTGGGTGGATCACGGGGTCAGGAGATCGAGACCATCCTGGCTAACATGGTGAAACCCCATCTCTACTAAAAATTCAAAAAAATTAGCCGGGTGTGGTGGCGGGCGCCTGTAGTCCCAGCTACTGGGGAGAGTGAGGCAGAAGGATGGCGTGAACCTGGGAGGCAGAGCTTGCAGTGAGCCGAGATCACGCCACCGCACTCCAGCCTAGGCAACAGAGCAAGACTCTGTCTCAAAAAAAAAAAAAAAAGAAAGAAAGAAAGCTAAGTGGAACCTATACAGCAAGTGCTAGACACCTAGTTGATTATTCGAATAACTAGGATTTACAACCATTAATTAGTAAAAATTAGCCCTGGGAAATAATAATAACTAGAATTCTAGAAAGCTGGGAAACAGCCCATATTTAGGGTTTCGGCTTTACTACTTACTAATCATTTCCAAAACATGGGGATACTACACAGTCACCTCACAGGTTTACTGTGACAATCATATGTAAAAATAATTTTGTAAAGTGCTGTACTTCTTAGTAGTGACAGGTCTTTCTACAGTTGCCCCTTAAATGACATAGGTTTGACTGCCGAGGTCCACTTACACACGGCAGTCAACCAAACGCAGATCAAAAATACGGTATTTGGCCGGGCGCAGTGGCTCACACCTGTAATCCCAGCACTCTGGGAGGCCGCGGCGGGCGAATCACCTGAGGTCAGGAGTTGGAGATCAGCCTGGCCAACATGGTGAAGCCCCGTCTCTACTAACAATACAAAAATTAGCTGGGCATGGTGGTGGGCACATGTAATCCCAGTGACTCAGGAGGCTGAGGCAGGAGAATTGCTTGAACCTGGGAGTTGGAGATTGCAGTGAGCTGAGATCACACCATTGCACTCTAGCCTGGGTGACAAGAGCAAAACTCCATCTCAAACAAACAAACAAAAAAACCACATACACAATAATACAGTATTTGCAGGATGCAAAACCTGCCCCTACAGAGGAGTGACATTTTGTAAACGTGGGTTCTGCAGCACCAACTTCATCACTTGAGTATGTGTGGACAGGCAGTCGAAGCAATCCCCATGAACACCGAAAGATGGCTGCAGTTCTTCATTGGGACTGAAGGAGAAAGGCCAATGGGGTTGCTCTTTCACAGAAAGAGTTATATCAACATGTTTTTTTAGATGCTAAATCATGTTTATAATTAAATTGGTTATTTCTTTAGATTTCTTTTCTCTAGGACATTCTAGGATTCTAAGAGAAGAGATAAAATACGAATAATTGATTTGATCTGTTTAATACTGAGAAAGAATTGGAGAGTGTTGTCCTCAGTAGAAGCTTAGAAAGCTTCTAAAGAAGGAGAGGCTGGATGAATTCCCCAAGATGACATACTAAAAAATAGAACCAGGCTGGGATGGAAGGGCTCCTGACTCCTCCTTCAGTGCTCTATGCTAAACAAAACCTTCCTTTTCGCCTTTCCACATGAAGCCCACATCTGAGACCACAAAAGCGTCCCTCTCAAAAAGGTGTGGAATTGTTGTGAAAGCTGTGCCTGGAGGACAAGGGCTGCGCCTGACTGTTCACTGCAGGATTCTTTCTCTTGTGCCTCCACAGTAGGCAAGCAGGACTGATGTTCCGTTGTCCCGAGGCTGACACGGCTTCCCTCTCCCAGCCTGAAAGCATCCAAATGGGTCACACTGGCTTCACTAATAGTGACCATGTTATTAAAATTCCAGGCAGAATCCAAAGTGCAAGATTAAGATTACAAAACGCCTAGTTCCGGTAGGGATCAGAGAAAAGAGGAGACCCATTCCTTTAGATGATCTGGGCCAAGAGGTAGCAGTTCCTTCATACAAAGCCATCTATACCTATGGACTTTTTGGAATGGGGTAATTAATTCCTTAGTCCCTCTGAATCTGAGGCTGAAATCTCTCCATGTTCAGAAGCCTAACATATTTCACAAAATCCTCTGGTGCAGGAAAAGCCCAATTTAAACAGACCCAAATAACCCCAGAATACACTGTTGCCGACTCCACATCTGTTGCTGTGTTTGTTCATCTGGAAAGGATTCTGTAGTTCTCAGGCACTAAAGGGGAAAATTAGGAAAGGGAAAAAAAAGCCCCCTCAGCTCACACTTCCACCCACTTCTCCAAGCACCTTCTCCCTTACGGAAAATTGCTCTTCCCAGAAAAAATCAAATAGAGTCAGCCTCTTCAAGCAAAACAAACAGAAGATGGAATACGTAGGCTTCTCTTGTTTATCAAGTCTAAAAGCATGAGGAAAACAGAGGGAGAACATAAAAGGAGGGGAAAAAAGGAGTCCTTTCTGGTTGGCTTCAGAATAATATGAAGAAAGCACAAACAAACCCTGAGCCACTCATGCGCAGAAAGCTCTGTCTCCACCCCTTTAGGGTTGAACCAACATTTAAGGCCCAAGAGTTAGCTGGGTAAGAGGTTGGTAAGGGACTTCCTACCATGGAGATTATTCCCTTACAGGTAACGTGAAGTGAGAGACATAAGAATATTGAAGGGAGCTCTCTCACCTCAGACTGGCTCCAAGAGGGGCTATCGATGCCACTCCCCTAACTCGAATTTTCTGTCAAGCCTCTCAGAGATGGTGAACAAATCATTTCCTCTCTCTGTTTGAGAGTGCTCTCATCTGTTTGGTTCTTTGGGAAAGCACAAGATTCTTCTAGATCCCATTAACCATGCTTGATGAGAAGTCCATCTGCCTGGACATTCACCCACCATGTCAGGAAAATAAAAACCTAGGTAGCAACTGTACAGATTCTAAGTCAAAAAAGATAGAGCAAATTGCATACCCTCTCTAGGAAAAGCAAACCACTGACTTTCTGAGGTCTTTTGTTTAAGCCCAAAGATAATTACAAGAGATGGATAATTTATTTGACCTTTTTCAGAGGTACCTAAATATAGGAAATAGTTAACACTTTCCTGTGGGACTTGCTATATCTTCTTAGAAGCGAAGGAATATCTCTATGTATGTCTCTGTCTCATTTCCTAAATTTCAACTATTCTATTGCCAGTTTGAGTTCTCTTGGCAGAATCTTCAAGTGTTCTCAGTAACAGATGCCTGGAGGAGAGGGATGCTATGAGTTCTGAAACAGAGCAATGCACAGAACCGGGGAAGCAGCTGCTCCGCTCTAGTCACTGTGTATACAACTTCACCAAAAGTGTTTAGGAAACAGATCATTCTGGAACCTATACCACCTATTCAAAATTCAGGCCCTTTCAGTTCTACCCATCCTTTTTTTTTTTTTTTTTCTTTCCTATGCTGTTTGTTTTCTGCCATGAGCTTTAGCAATCTGTTTATGTTGTGAGTGTGTGTGTATTTGTGTGTGTTTCCCTCTCCAGCCTGGCTGAATTATCCCCAAGTGACTCTTAATCCTCAACCATAATTCCCAGTGATTGCACTGACATGATAACGGGGGAGCCCATTTTCCTCCCACCCCTCCTCACTCCCTCCCCCCTTGTTGCTAAGCTCAGCCAAGGATGCTCTAGGGAGCTGTTCATTTAAAAGAGGAAGTTCACAGCAGGGTCACCAGGCTTTTAAACAGAGAGAGAGGTTGCCCAGGGTAAGAAGAGAGCTCAAAGTCACAAACCCTTTCCTTTGTCCTGTGACCCCAGCATGTGGGGACATCAGTCCCAAGTCGTCACTCTTTCTGAGGCCACTGACATCCCCACAGCATACCTGGCTGGGCACTGTGACTAGCAGAGGTCTGGACTGGGAATCAGAAGGCCAGCACCTACCCTGAGCTAGCTGTTTCATGGTGGGAAAGTGACCTGCCCACTCTTGCCCTCAATTTCCACAATCACAAAAATGGGCTGGACAGATCTGGCTGGATGATGAATCAAGCGGTACTTCTCACATTTCACTATGCACAGTCATCATCCGAAGACCTTGTTATAACAGACTCGTGGGCCCGCCTGAAAAGGTTTTAATTCAGTAGGTTGGGGCCAGGGCCTGAGGATCTGCATTTCTAACATGCTCCCTGGTGATGCTGATGCTGCAGGTCTGAGGACCACACTTTGAGAACCACTGATCCATGGCCCCTTTCACTCCTTACATCCCACTGCTCTATTCCCAGGATGGCACAAGAGCAGTCAGAACTATTTGGCCCTGGTCATGTGAAAAATTCCCCAAAGGACTACAAAAGTCACAGGCCTCTCCCACACTTAAATAGTTTTGTTTTTCCATGCCCCCAGCATCCACTCACTTATATGCAAAGACAAGCAGCATAGATATGGAGTGAGGAGAACTACTGGCTTAACTTTAAGTTGCCAACAGTTGCTACCCCTGGGAGGCCACTTGCAGTTATAAAACAGAAACAAGTTGAAATAGCAAAATAGGAATAAGAATGAATTATATAGGCTCCTCTTGCCTAGGTTGCTATGCTGGGTCATAGTTTGTCAACTGCACAAGTCACCTGGAACAGTGCAATGTAAATTTGGTAGTCTCACACATTGTGTAAAGAGGTATAAAAAATAACTCCAAAGCAATAGGAAAAGAAGTACTATCATGCAGACCTTCAGATATTTACCTTGTTCCCCGCTCTATAATCCTTTTCAAACTGCAAAACCAGAAACCTTTCTGCCATTTGGCAATCTGACTATCATCCATCAAATATTTACAAATTCCTGCATACGTCCATGATCACAGAGTTATCTGGCCTGGTGCGAAAGAGCAAAAGCACTGGGCTGGGGATGCTGGGATTATGTCTGAGAAGGAATTCTGGTTCTAAGCTCCTGCTTTCAGATGCCAAAGTATTTTGACCGATCTGAAATTCTAATTATTTAACTGCGATAGTTTATGCTAAGGCATAGTTGTAAATGAGAACTTAATGAACTCAGAGTAATGTCACTAGGCCAGAGTTCTCAGCCCCTCTACCTGTTTGAAAATCTTTGCTATATTGAGTCACTGCTACTAAGAATATTATATGCATCAGAGGAACTAAAATCAAATAAATATTAAGAACCACTGCACAGGGACAAATAAAATTTTGAGTCAAAATTTTACTCTTTAACTTAAAATTTGATTTGGCCGCTTTAGAGATTGCCAAATGGAATGGGAGCCAGATAAGGGGTCCTTTCCCAAAAGTTCTAAAAAAGTTTTTTTTTTTTCTCTAAATTTCCCAATAGCTTTTAAAAAATCTGTATTTCTTTGAATTGGGGGCTAGCAAACTATGGCCCACTGCCTATTTTTTTTAAATAAAGTTTTATTGGAAAACAGCCAA
Organism: Homo sapiens; assembly: GCF_000001405.40. Lineage (NCBI taxonomy): Eukaryota > Metazoa > Chordata > Mammalia > Primates > Hominidae > Homo > Homo sapiens. The sequence continues at coordinate 61,086,813 of NC_000015.10, forward strand.
ACTCATTTGTTTACGTATTATCTATGGCACTTCTATTGTACAACAGCAGAGCTGAGGAGTTCCTACAAAAAGCATATGGGCAGGGTGCGGTGGTTCACGCCTGGAATCTCAATGCTTTTGTAGGCCAAGGCGGAAGGATGGCTTGAGTCCAGGAGTTTGAGACCAGCTTGGGCAACACAGCAAGTCCCATCTCTACAAAAAATTTAAAAATTGGCCAGCCATGGCAGTGTGGCCTGTAGTCCTAGCTACTCAAGAGGCTGAGGTGGGAGGCTTGCTTGAGCCCAGGATTTTGAGGTCACAGTGAGCTATGATTGCACCTGGGTGACAGAATAAGACCCTGTCTCCAAAACAAAAACAAAACAAAACAAAAAGTGAGCATATGACTTGCTTAAAATATTTACTATCTAGCCCTACACAGAAAAAATACTGGTTTAAATAACAGAAAGGAAATAATGACAACACTTACACTTAAAGATGTGATGTATAACATGTATACTCCAACCAATTACCAGATAAATTAATTACAAACCTGTTGGATCAATCCTGTCAAGCCAATGTCAGAACCCACTCCTTTTTCCTGGCTCTCAGCAGTGTCTTCAAATGCAAAGTCATAATGCTTTGAAATTCACTCAGCTGTTTTAACAAACTTTTGAGAGCCTATTCTATTCAAAGTGCTAAAATCAATTTAAGTACTGAAAATTTATACATACCCATATCCACCAAAAACTAAAAGCAGAGCCATACTAATCACGAATTTCTGCATGTGATTTCAGTCATATAAAAACAACATATGAGGAAGGGGACAAATGAGGTCTTGAGAAGCCATAAGTCTGCAGTTGGCAGATAAAATGCCATCTCAGATAATCACATTCAATTGTCACTAATGTTAATATATGTTGCTAACAGTCGAGCTTGCACACCAGAGGTTAGCTTTACTGCCCATGTGCAGATGTTTGCAATACTGAATCTCTGCCATAACCCTGTGGGAATGGCATTTTTTATGTGTTCTGCAGTGAATTTATGGCCAGGGAGCCATAAATGTTATAGTTCTTTAAACCTTTTGCTTTTGGAGATTGTCACAGTGCTTGAAAAGTAGAGAGACACAGATGTCTTCTGTTAGCAAGTCATTTCTCGATGTGCTCAGGGATACGGCCTACGCCAGCTCCTAAAGTTCCAGTCATCTGTGTTATCAATGCTACACAGTTTGAAACCCCACTCTTGACTTGGTTCAATTCGGATCTACAGAGGGTTATCAAGGCCTGAATGTGCCAGGTGCTGGGCTAGGCTCTGAGACAAGGCCCTTGACCTCAAGGCACTCACATGTTGGCCAGAGTGACAGGTCATCTATGAAATATGACATGGTTAGTGTCAAAACAGAGCTCGAGAACAGACCCATCAGAGAGGGCGAAATGACAACCTGTGGAAGTCTGCTCGCAGGAGAGGCCATATGCCTGTACAAAGTCTTGAAGGGCCAGTGCAAGATATGTAAGCAAAGAAAAGTGTGTGCATGTGTGTGTCTCTGTGTTTGTGTTTGCCTCTAAGTGTGTGTGCATGTGTTGTTCATGCAAGAAAAACTGCACAAAGCCACAGCTGCAAGAAACGGGATGATTTGTTCCAGAATGCACATGTAGTTTGGTACTAAAGAAGCAAAAAGCGGTGGGGGATGGGGCGACAGGAGACATACAGCTGTAGAGACTGGAAAGACTGTGGGCTTAGCAGAGAGGTAGGCAGATCTTGATTCAAATTCTGGCTCTATCACCTACAGGTAGTGTAACCTCAAGTAACTTGCCAAATCCCATAAACCTCATGTCCTCATCAGTAAACAGAACCTCAGAGGATTAATACGAAGGTGAAGGGAGGCATGGCTGGGTCTGAGAGCAAAATGGGCTAGTAAACTAGTAAACTAACAACGAAGCCACCAGGGAAGAAAAACACTCATTCTGTACAGCAAGAAAAGGTCTTCCATTTTCTTTAAAAAATTCTATCTAAAGTCTCCTCCATCATCACTGAATAATGATGGAAGAAGCCATTTAAAAGAGGAACTGAAAAGCACAGCCAAACCTCTAAAATCTCCCAATCACCCATGTCATCACCATGCAGGTGAGAAACACTGCTAGGGAGACTGTGAATCACAAATACGATTGACACTGTTCAAAACGGTAGCCTCCTAAACATCTGCCCCAGTGTCTACACCCAACACCAGCTCTGTTTGCTACATGTGCCCCCAGAACCATTGGGAGTGTAAAACAGACCCCCTGAAGTAACACAAAACCCACTTCTGACATACCAGGAGCCATACAACACATGCAAAGTTTCTTTCAAGATAAATGAATCAGCACCTCAAGCATAACAAAAGGAATGAATTTTCTGTTAACTGGGCTTTTCCAGTTTCTCTTAGAGATAATAAAAAGCTCCCAGTGAATATGAGTAAATCCCCCTACTGTAGAAAAAAGTCCAAGATAAGTGGCCACCCTTCCTCAAAGCCTGCCTTAGTTTTATGTGAGAGGGAATTCCACAGAAGAACAGAGACCTTGCTAACTTGGGAAAACATCCTGTTTCTCACAGATGTAGCTTTGTTCATTGCTTTTTCTTGCATGAACAATACACATATACACATGTGCACATACATGCACACAAACATGCATATATATACACAGAAAATGGCTGAGACCTGCATGGCTGAGACCTGCATCTTTCAGGAACTTGGTGCAAGGTGAAAAGGATGCCTTTCACTTGCTTGAATACACAGGCCATCCTTGGAGATCACTTCTAAAAGGTCTCTAGACAGAAGATCCTGAACCCAGAAAGGCAGTCCTGGTGTAGCCCCAAATGAAAAAGATCACCTTGATCAAGAAATTCTCCTTTAAAGGTTTCAGAGCCACATTTTTGTGTGCGTGGTGGAGAACAGACCTATCCAGCTGCAGCAAAAACCATCACCGTAGGCTCTGAAGTCCTGGGATTGGTTTCCTGAGTTCCTCTGTAGCCCACCGAGCAGTGACAAGCAGCAGGCTCCAAGGATGCCCTGACCTCATCAAGCTGTTGGCAAATACAGCTTTCCAAAGATGGAGGGTAGAACATTCCCAATTACCAGGCCAATGACCATTCTGAGGGTAGATAAAACTAAGCAAATGAATCATCCAAGGGCAACCTTTAACTATAAGACCTGGGGGCTGGAATTCACTCTATCTCTAGCCCCCACTTCAACTTTCAAAGCACCAAATGGGGCAAGCCCAGGGTTTTTGCCCAGAAGACTTTTCCTTCAGAGACATTTCTCCATTCGTAATATTCAGTAAGCAGAGAAGGATGCAAGAGTTTTTCTCTAGAGTGGGGTAAAGTGAGGATAGTGCCTGTCTAGGAACCCTGGTCTGGGTTCTGAGGATCAACCATTTCACCAATTCCTGGGTCAGGCTGCATGAATCACTTTCAAGACCTTGTATTTTTTATTCTGTTTACTAAGAGATCTGAATCAACTAGATGATCCCAAAGCTACCTTCCAGTTCTCAGTTTTATGATTCTAAGTGAAAATAACCCAAATCAAGGTGCCCCTCTGTGAATATGAATGAGGCAGTTGCCAACACACTGTCATTTGGGGGCTCTAAAAAAAGAAATACCCCAGCCTCTATTGGAGATCCCTGAGAATCTTGCCACCTAGTGATTCTTGGATCAAGCATTAAGGCTGCTAAAATGTACTCATTGTGTAATTTGGGAATGCTTGCCCATTAACTCATTATCGGCCATTTAGTCACCCATGTAAAGAAAGCTATACAATAAAGTCAGCCAAAGGTTATGTAATTTTTGTTGAGGCAGAACAGGTCTTAAATCTCTAGCCCAGGGAGATGACAGCAGCCAAAATCCATCTATACTGAAATGATTATGGAGCTCTAGACAAGATGAGACAAGAGACAAGCTGTTTAGTTAATGAGAATCCCAAATCTCTCCCGGTGAAACAGGAATCAGTGGTCTCCAGCTACCATGTCACACAGCCACACTCATTGTGATCTGCCACTGTTATTCACCCCTGCCTGATAGCTTTTGTCACCCCCAAAACGCCCCCCAAAATTCACCACCTCGACACACGCAGTCATTTATGAGTCTCAGAAGAGCTGAAAACAGTGTCTGAAAACCTCATGATCTCACTCTGTCCCTGCTAATACCTAAAACAGTCCACTGTTCCATTTACACAGGCTTTTCTTCAGCAGATTTACAAGGTAACATCTGCTTCGGAAACAGATGTTTATGCCAGAATTCTCTTCTGCTCATTAATGCTTTTCCGGTTAACATCTAACTATCTCACTCATTAGTTCTTAATAATACTTTTTGTATCCGAGCCATGCCAAATACGCACTCTTTAGAGCTCTGCATTATTGTTGCTTCTGTTGCCGTTGAATTACGCTGCTGAATAAAGGAAAAGTAAAAATAAGCCCCTCTAAGAAGGCTGCTATGTGTCAGAGCTCTATCTTTGTGAACTGAACAAGCTGAAATCAATTAAAAGTGTGTGTTTAGAGAATGCATCTCAGCTGTCTAATTGCACCACCTCTGCTTTAGGGCCAAAGTTTGACTCCCTGCCAAATTGCCATCAAAATGGGCGTCCGTAAGCGCTGCTGTACTCCCTCCGCCACTGCCTGGGCCTGATGGAAGCACTTGTGTAACGAAGGAAGCCCAGTGCACCCCAGGGCTTGGCACACACACTCCCACTTCCCAGGGGCAATCCTCAGCTGTGGGGCTCCGGCAGAAGATGCCATGAAACCTCTGGGATGAAGGTCCTGGGACTAGATAAATTATTCCACCCGACTTCCTCAGTCAGCCAGCCTTAATAGATTGACTACAGGAAGCATTCGCATGATGCTCTTTATTTATCCACAAGCAACTTCACATAACAAGAATTAATTCAGGAAAGGTAGACTCGACATACCTTTGCTGAGTGCCTAGTAGTGCGTTGGGCTGCTAAGTATTTTATACCCATCCATTATTAGAAATGTAAGTACTGCTTGTGTGTATTCATAGGCAAGGGAAAAGATAAAGTAAGGTTCATTTTTTCCTGATTTGTTCCTACAAGGGTATATGTTAAAGTGGTCTTTTAAACTTGTTTCTACAATGGCATATGTTAAAAATGGTCTTTAAACACTTTGAAACACTTGATGGTGGCCCCCAAGACTAGCTTTTATGTTTCCAGAAGCCAACACCGTAGTCAAACAATTGAACAAACCAAGATATAAATAAAGCTAAAGTTGGTCTATGCAATAATGGAAAAGCCAGTCCTCTAGGGAACTTGGGCCAACACAATGTATTGTTTGGGATCAGGAGAAAGGATGCTTAATAAATCATCAACAATAGTTTCCATGGTTACAATAAAATGTATAGTCACCTATATTGTTTAGTTTTATAACCATTCTTACAGGGAAGAAATAACGAAGGGTGCTGGTGATAAGCAAATATGAAACTCACTTAAAGGCTGGCAGTATGTTCAAAAAAATGTGAAATAAAACTGAAACTAAGTCTAATCAAGGAAACTTCTAGTTTTTAGGTCTCTCGGTAACCAACATTTCTTGGTCCCAATGAACGACATTGCAGCTCCATAATCTGCTCTGTTCTTTTTATAGTAGGTTCTTCCCTTTCTGCCTAAGTGGCTGCTTTTCAGCAAAATTACTTGGCAAACACCACTTTATCAAGTATAAATCAGATATGCTACTCTGGAATCTAAACCCACAAAGAATATGCCCCATAACACTACATGAAAATGAAAAGGAGAAACACTGCATTCTTGCTGCCAAAAGAAATGTAAAAATATGAATGAAAATGATTGCTGGGTGTGCCTTCCATGAGATTCCATTTAAACAACATTCCCCATTTACTTACATCTCTACAATCTGATGGGCTTACATATTGCAAAATGAAATAAAAGCACATTTTATGAGGAAATTAAAATGTTATGAACTGCCCTGGGTGGTGTTGGCATTATACACAGAATGGTGAGTCCTAACCACAGTCAAAACCTTGTTCCCCTCCAGTCAACAGATATCATCTGAGGCTTTGAAGCAAGTGCTAAGGGAATTCAAGCTGGAGATTTAGGGGCTCTCCACAGTGCCTCTCTCCAGATAAACTCCAGGGGATTCCAGGGTGACAGAGTAGGTGAATGCTGAAGTAGGTATAAATAAAGTATGACATTGCACCTCCCAGCCCTCTTGTTTAAACACTCCCCACTTCCAGATCTACTCTGCTGCTTCTTCCTCTATCTGCTGTCAATACTGCTGCCTCGTTCTCCTGGACTTCTGAAGTGTTTCCTTAGATCCTCTAGTTAGACTGATGGCTAATACCTATCTCATGTGACTGCAGTCACAGTATTTACTCATTTATTCCACAAAGAGATAAGGAAACAAAAAAAGGTAATATTCTTCCATCTTTAAGAGTTTTCTTAAATCCCAACTAGAAAGATAAACTTCCTTTCCTATTACTGTGTTCCTACCAATATGAACGCATTAGGTGCCACAAGAGACCATGCTAGACCCAAAGTTTCCCTAAGACAGAGCTCAAGGGCTTGCACTAAGCAGGTGTCAGGTGTGGGTCTGCCAAGGGCACCAGCCAAACAAATGATATAGGCATGAGGCCACATGGTGGACTATCTGGGCATTATCCCAGATCCTATGCCTGGAGATACAGACCAACAATGCTGCGGCTACAGAGCTGGTGACTTTCTCATCCCTGTACTCAGAAGTTACTTCGGTCACAGGGGACATGCAGAAAACCATGCAGGAGAGTAATCTATACCCCGATATGGTAGTAACTAAAGATGATGGGTCAACAATAAGTAAGCATGCTCATCTGGACTTCTATAGAATTGCTCTTTGCTTGAGGAAAGCACCTTTCACATCAACCCTTTGGAAGTGGTGGTGTGGCAAAGCTGTTCTCATGACCCATAACTCGATGGCCACCTCTGAAGCTAATCAACTGAGAAGGTGAAAAAGGAGCAGGCACATTTTCTCTTGTTCCACAAGGTCTACAAGTAGTTGTTACCCACTGACAGAGTTTCCAGAACTCCATGAAACGGGGTTTGGGCAGGCACATACTGAACGAAAAGGAAACAATGTCTGCCATGTCAATGACCTAAAGAAGACAGAGATGACCTCAGGTGAGGATTACAAACTTCTCTGCTTCCGTCGCCAAGTCCTTCAAGGCACGTGATGGCCAGAGATATTTTCCAAGGTTCAACATGGCCTAGGGCTTTGTCTCAGTTGTAGGACTTAGGCACAGGAGAGAGCCTCATGCTGGTGAACCTGGCAGGTCAAGATGTTGATATTCATTAGAAAGACTTAGCCTTTTCTCCTAAGCATAGAGCATCAGGAGGTATCCATTCCTGGGGTAACTACTCCTTTATGTGAGTGAACAAAAATAATGAGATTTCCATAGATTCCAAGGAGATATCAGAATAGTCAGAAGTCTTGCCCCCAGAAAGACCTATAGATTTAAGAGGCAGAGATTCACCTTCCAGTTTTAGGAAGGAAGATCTAGGCCATTAAATTGACCTTGGAATGGTATTTTTCCTTACCCATTCTAAGTAATCAAATATGACCGTATGATCTAATCAAGCAGATCCAGGTAGTAGGTATCTCAGCTGTTGCTGTCTGGTGTGTTTTAAGAGACACCAGTACAGAGCTCAGCCCTGCTCCAGCCGTAGGCGATGCCCATCCAATGAATATAGAACACACCATGGGAAAGAGTTTCATCAGCATTGGTCCCACTTCTCTCAAACAAGATGTGGTAAGGTCCAAAAAATGCACCCAGCATGTCTTATGCTCATTGTTCTGTGGGGAAGACAAAATTGAGAAGGAATTAGTTATTTCCAGCACAGATAGGAAAGATCAGGAAGGAAATAGAAAACATTATTTGAGCCACTACTGGGTATCCAGGGCTGAGCCAGATGCTGGAGATACAATCACAAAGAAGACCCAGTTACTGCCCTTCAGGGGCTTGGTGCACCCAGCAGACAACTACTTGCAGCAAACCTTAGGTAGAAGAACAACAGATACATGGGCATATGCCTCAGCAATGAGAAAGAGGCGTTCCTCTGCCTGAGGAAGAATTCAGAAAAGATGCTACTGGAGCGGGTTTCACCAGGCAGAGAAAAGGGGAAGAGGATTCCAGGAAAAAAGCACTGCATCTTCTTGAGAGCCCATAGTCTTTCTGCATCAACCTGGTTTCTTCAGTGTTCAGGACAGTGCCTGGAATATCATGGGGACTCAATAAAGGTTACTGGATGAATCAGAGAATTCAGGGCATGGATGAACAGAATGTCCTTTGGGTGTAAAGGTGTAAAGCTGTAATCAGGGAAGGCCCTGGTCAGTCCTTGGTTTTGAAAGATTTTTTTGGTGTTCTGGAGGCTGAGCTGGCTTGCCCAGGGATAAGCTAGAATGCTCAGGTGGGCGGCTGCTGCAATGCTCTGAAGGGTATATGCCGAGATGATCATAGGGGGTAGTTTTTAGAAGTATTTTAGATACTTACAGTAGGAATTTATTTACCAAAAATATATTTTTTAAAATACCTATCTTTTAAAAAAGACAATGCCTTTTAAAAGGCTTATTTCCTGGAAAGAAAGAGCTTTTAATAATATGTACTAATAATTGTAAAGGAAGTTACATACAAAACCAATAAAGAAAAGACTGCATTCAACTAAACAAGGTTAATGCCTACCCATCTGAGGAATCTTGGCTACTTTGTAAATATCAACTCAGTCTGCGGGCTGGGCCCTGGTGACAAATGCTTTCTCCAATCTTATGGAGAATGAGGTTGTGCAAGGACACAAAATCTAAAAGTATATAAACTAGAGGTTTTGAGCACTTTTTAAAAAGCAGCAGAACCCTTTGCTTAAGCAAAATCTTATGCAGAATCCTATAGGCAAATCAGATTACAAATAAGGATGCTTGTTCGAGGTGGAGTGCTGGGGACTGGAGGACCCCAAGGTCCATGATTTTCCATCACCTCCTGGCCTTTTGAGGCAGCCCATACAGGCCCTGAACAAACACCCAGGGGCCCCTTGGGACACAAACTACTTTCTAAAAGTCAGGACAACTTCCAAACTGGCCCATCTTTTCTACTAAAGGCCTGGTCCTCAGAATGATGAGATGGCCCCTGAAGGATCTGGACTGCTACTTCCTGCTGCTTATTTGATCATTGATAGGGGGTTTGGAATTATGAATCACAAGCCAAAGGGCAGAGTCCAAAAGCTTGTCTGCAAGTGGAAGAAGTGAGAGGAGCAGGAGATTGGCTCTTCTTGGTGAATCCCAGAGCTGAGGCTTTGCAGATGAGGAAGGCAAGACCCCATGCGGACAGCACCTTACCAGGCCCACACCCACATTGGGGGAGTGTGAGGCAGAGCCAGGTGTGAAGGCTCCTGAAGTTTCTTCTAGGTGGCTTTGGGGAATGGCTGTGTACACTACTGTCCCTTATAGAGCTGCAGCCTTCTCGGAATCGGGTACATGCTTTATCCAGTGTGCTCTGGTATAAGTTCACAAGCAGTGCAGCATGGGGCAAATCCAATGACATTTTGTTCCTTCCCAGAGACTGATAAGCTCATTTAGTAGCGACAATTCACAGTCCAAAAGAAAATGCTGAATCTCACTTACAGACATAGTAAAATTCAGGCAAAGACAGCCAGATAGCACTGGAAGCTATTTTAGACATGCATACATATTTTAATACCATAAATCTTTATTTTTCTTAACAAAATAGTCCACAAGATTATCTGTTACAACCAAGTCCCCATGAGAGAGGTTATAATCCCCATTTCAGAGATGGGGAAACTGACTTGTCCAAGCTTCCAGGGATGAGACAAGAGCTGGATCTTCCTTGCACACAGCTGCCCGTGGAGCTCACACAAAGAGCTTCCACAGTCAGCAAAATGTAGGCTCCTAGTGCCTAGGGAAGGCAGCTCAGAGTCATTAAAAACCGGTCCTGTCCCATCCCAAAAGGACATCTGGATAAATACACACTGGGGAGCCATTTTGTGAGTGTTCGTGATACATTTCCCATCGTGCCCTCAGATCAGCTTCTCTCTGGTGCAGCGCTTTGGGAAACACTTCTCTGCTAGCCTGATATACAGATTTGAGTTATTTCAAATCGATAAATATTTACTGGGCATCGCCCATGTAGAAGGCACATGTGCATGGCAATGGATACAAAAAATAAAAAATAGTGAGTAACACAAGGTCTTGGCATCCAGAGGCTCTTACTCTACTAAGGGTGAACAACATGAAGAATTTTAAAACAAGGCAGAATGTGAGAAGTACTACAAAGAGGAAAAAGCAAACAAGAGGGGGAGTGTTTCCGATGGGGCAGACTGTGGAAGAGCTTGTGGAGGAAGCAGGATTTGAGCAGGGTCCAGAAAGTCGGGAAAGACTGACTCGCAAATAAACAGGAGTGAAAGGAGGGAGGAGCCTGTCTTGACTGGTCTGCTTTCCAGCACATTGGGCTGGTTAAATATCTAAATTGTAATAGGCTTTCTGCATGCAAAATAAATAAAAGGAATTGCTACATACCTGGAATTTGCTGCAAACTTTCCCCAGGATTTACCAAGGTCCCACATTTTCTGGCCTTGCCTCTTTCTCTGACCTCAGTTCTGTCATCCCTCTCCTCCCTCCCTTCACAGTAGCCACCCTGTTCTCCAAGGGGGCTCCAGGACTTTCTGCTTGTCATCTTCCCTCTGCCTGGAAGGTAAACTCCATCAGAGCAGGGACTTTTGTGTTACTTACAATTTTATCCTCAGTACCTGGCACAGAGTAGGAGTTCAATTAGTATCTTTGGAATAAATAAGTGGATAAAATAAAGTTCTCAAGTACAGTACAAAGGAGGTGACAAATGTAGAATTTCTTCTTGGATAATTTCTCTGGCTGTTTTTAATTTTTAAAATACATCTATCTGGGCTGTAAATCGTGACTTCACCTGCCCTAAACCACAAGGACTAACTAGTGTTAATTAAGTCTGATACACCATTACTCTTCATTCCCAATGTACCATTGCAGCTTTTGAATACAGGATCATTTCAGTCTGCACAAGAATGCTTGGCCTTTTAATTCCAACTTCACAGTTGAGAAAACTGATACTCAAGGCAAAGAATCTTCTCAGTAGTCAGAGTCAATAACTGCAGGAACTAAGACTGGAACCCAAGTTTTCTGCCTGGTATGTTGGGCCTAGAAGGGAACTGCTATTCCTATCTCTCCATCTTTCCTTCCATCTTTCCTTCCTTCCTTCCTTCCTTAATCCTTCCTTCCTTCCCTCCTTCTCCCCCTCCTTCCTCCTTCCCTCCCTCCCTCCTTCCTTCTCTCCCTCCCTCCCTCCTTCTTTCCCTCCCTCCCTTCCTTCCTTTCCCCCTTCCCTGCCTCCCTCCCTGTCTCCTTCCTTCCTTCTTCCCTCCCTCCTTCCTTCCCTCTCTCCCTTTTCTCCCTCCCCCCTTTTTTTCTCCCTCCCTTCTTCCCTCCTTCCCTGCCTCCCTCACTGTCTCCCTCCCTCTCTGTCTCCCTCCTTCCTTTCTTCATTCCTTCTTTTCTACTTTTTTAAGAAACAAGGTCTGGCTTTGTCACCCAGGCTGGAGTGCAGTGGCGTGATCACAGCTCACTACAGCCTCAAAATCCTGAGCTCAAGTGACCTCCCACTCCTGCCTCCTGAGTAACTAAGCCTACAGGCACATGCCATCATGCCCAGCTAATATTTTGTATTTTTTGTAGAGACAGGAGTCTCACTATGTTGCCCAGGCTAGTCTCGAGCTCCTGGGTTCAAGCAGTCCTTCCGACTTGGCCTCCTCAAATGCTAGGGTTAAAGGTGTGCACACCCAGCCTGCTACTCCTATTCTTAACATCAAGCTGTAAAGGGCTTCCATGTATCGACAAGGGAATGTGGTGTGATCTGAGGAAAATCTCACCCTACAAACAGGAAATATTAAGCAAGTTTTGACAGTTACTCCTCCTTTGCTTTGCTTTAAAGTGAACTTAACTCCTCTTGATTACTGTTATTGGAATGTCTAAACTTAAAAATAATAAGTACTGCTTAGGAGCAATCGTTATTTTAACTGTGTGAATTAAGAGCATAAGTCTTTTGTTTAAAATTCTCTTGCGTGTTCTACTGAATACTTCCAAAGGTTCCGGGCTGTAATTCCCTTGCAGGCAACGTACGCTTCAGTGAAATTTTTCATTTGCAAATTAGGTTCGTTTACGGCAGAAAATGAAAAGTCATCATCAGACAGACCAAGAAATGGGGCCAATCTTTACCTAGAAGGAGTAATTAGCTGAAATATCTGTGGGGAAATTTTTATCTTTCACGTATTGTCAATTTTACAAAGGTATGAAAGAATCACTCTAAAAACCTCAAGAACATATCTAATTACGGTTTACCCCAGTGACTGTTCATAACTGACTGTTTACTCAGATTGGAATGGGAATTGCAGACATTCCTTGGATGAGACCACACTCCACAATATGGAATTCAGTAATGAGGTTCCGGTTCACAACCTCCCAGTGCAAAGTTTGGGCAAGGTTTAGATGGTTCTGTAGATGTCAGTTCTAATTATCTCCTAAAGGACAGTCTATACTGTCCCCCACTAAATCCCCAGTGAGGGAAGGGAAACCTTTCCTTGGAACATTACCTCCCTATTTATTTAATTTTCTAGATAAATCAGGAAAGATACAAGGAGAATGGAAAGGTAAGCTCACACATCACAGGCATCCTTGACAGTAGTGGGACATTAGACTGCTGACCAGACACAGGTTGGTGGTTATCTATAAAACGTTACTTATTACTTCAAAACCAACACACGCAACGCATACCTCCTACCGAAAAAACAAGCTCTTTTCATCACAATTGTGTACCATGTTCAGCTCTGGCCATTTTTATTTCCAGCAAGTTGGATTCATTCCATTTTTAATGGCAACTCCTTGAGGAAACGCTCTTTTTAAACCTGTGTTTTGAGAAATGAAGTTAATGGGCCAGAACTGGTTTATCATGAAATACTCATCAAGTCAGGAAACAAAGTTCAAATCCTTCTACCCTTAGGTGAATGAAATTCGTTTGTAGGACACTCCTGGAGTAACTATCTAAAGGTCATCTTTCTAGTTAGTGAAGACAGTTCTAAAATAGTAAACTTGGGTTCACTGCTATTACCTTTTGTCAAACTTAATTTAAAAAGAAGGAAACAAGTCTGATACTAAATCTAATAAAGTAGTCAATCATCTTAAATTATAGGAATAGAATTCAAAAGAGCCAGAAATTGTCTCCTTTCCTCTCCCCACCAACATCTGGGAATGAATGGTCAATTTTCTTTTTTTTTTTTTTTTTTTTCTTTTGAGATGGAGTCTCACTCTGTCACCCAGGCTGGAGTGCAGTGACACGATCTCGGCTCACTGCAGCCTCCGCCTCCGGGTTCCAGCGATTCTCCTGCCTCAGCCTCCTGGGTAGCTGGGATTACAGGCACGTGTCACCAGGTCCAGCTAATTTTTTGTATTTTTAGTAGAGATGGGGTTTTGCCATGTTGGCCAGGCTGGTCTTGAACTCCTGACCTCAGATGATCTACCCTCTTTGGCCTCCCAAAGTACGAGGATTACAGGCATGACCAGCGGTGCCCGGCCTGAGCGGTCAATTTTTAAAGTGTTCTCCTAATTTATCAGAGCATTTTGCAAAGCTGGAAGAACAGGCTGTACATGGAAGAAGCAGAACAGTGTGCCCTTCTCCACTTCAGGGCTCCAGGGCTATCTGTGGCTAGAGAGGTCTCACTGTGTTGTCCAGGGGTGTCTGTGGCTAGAAATCTTCAGAGCCACCTGTGGCTAGAGAGCTGGGACCATTCATTTGGCATGGGGCTGCACTCCCCCTAATGGAAAGGGGCCATGACACATTCCCGTGGCTCTGGTTTTCAGTATTCTTTATCAGCCATCACATTATCTATCACCAGCACATGCCCTCAGTTACAATTAACTAGAGCACGGCTTATCTTACACTCCTTACAGTTTAGGCTAATGTCTTTCTGAGATTTGGGAATGGTTAATCACATCCCCGGTATGTTGATTCTTACCAGCTTTAATTTCAGAAAATTATACTACCTGGAACACCAGCATGAGAAACTATGTACTCAGACCACCCTGTATATAACTCTGTTGTAACACTTATTCTACTGTGTGGATTGATAGTTTATGACTGTCTCTTTCACCAGAATCTCCTTGAAGATAGATAATGTGCCTTAGCTTGCACATATTAACTGCTCATCAGATGCTTGTAGAGAGAACAAATTAAGTTAACAGTGACTAGCTGCTGAAATTCTTCTCCATGAAAGTACAGAGTCACAGCAACCTGTTACAAATCACTCATTCATTCACTGTTCTAGTCAACCAACATTTAAAATATACGGAAGACATCCAGATGAACAAAACAGACATGGCCCCTCCTCTTAGGGTAGGGACGGTTAATAGAGAAGACAGACAATGAACAAGTAATCACATAAATGAATATCCAGTTGGAAATTGTAACAAAGTAAATGGAAGCAAAGTAGGGTCATGAGAGACTGAAAAAAAGGCTTGTTTATTTTGAGACTGGAAGGATCAGTAGGGGTCAGCTGTGGAGAGAATAAGATAAAAATTTCGAGGCACTGGGAACAAGATGTGCAAGGGCCCCGAGGTAGGGAAGAGCATGATACATTCACGAAACTGATAGATCAGTATGGCTAGAATTCAGCAGCAGGAAGGGTAAACTGGAATGATCCTAGAAATTGAATCTCTCTAAAATCGAATCTCCCCTTCTTTTCTCTGAGTATCCTTCCTTTAAAATAAGAAAATAACGTCACACAAGGCCTTGTAAACCTGGTAAAGGGCTTTTAATTTTGTCCTCAGGGGAAAAGAAAGCCTTTCAAGCAGGAGAGTGACAGAACCAGATGTGCATTTCCGAAAGGACATTCTCCCTGCTGTGTGTGGTGGAGGAAAAGGAGGTGGACAGCAGAGGGCAAAAGTGGGAGATGGTACAGAGGGCCACTGGGAGTCAGGGTCAGGACCTGGACCGGGTGGGGACAGCAGACAGGTTTGCTATGAATGCTGGAAGTAATTCTCAGGGTCTTGGTGATAGAATCCATATGAGACAGAGGTGCAATGTGTGCCTGGGTTTGTGTGTGCTCGGAGCTAACCTGGAATACCTAGCCTGCCCAGCTCCCAAACCATCTCCCAAGGCACACAGGGAAGGCGGGGCTTTGGTTAAGAACACACCCTAACAAACCCCAGGTCATCCCCCGGATCCTAGTTCTGGCACAAGCTACACATACATTTCTCCCAGCCCTCAGCACAAGGTTCTGCACCCCGGCCCGTGTCATTGCCCCACTGAGGAAAGTGGATGCTTGAGAGAATCTGTGCTTTCCTCCTTGTCAGCAGTTGTCAGCAGGGTGCAGACACCCACTCTTGGGGTCTCCATATGAGAAGCCCCCCCTCAACCCGACTGACTTGACAAGCTCAGGGGTGCCAATGAGTGGACTACAAAACGTCACACAGGCAGTGAAATCTAATGTCTCTGTCTCTTCCTTGAGTGGCCTATAAACATCCCTCCCTTAAAAGAACAAAAGAAAAGCCCTGCTTCCCATTGTGAGTTCTGGCCTTGGCTGCCCCAACTGTCAGAGCCACAGCTGAGGACCTCTGGCCTCCCAAGCCTTTCGTTTTTGCTCTGTATTCCCTCTGCTCCAGGCCCCTGACATCCAAAGCTCTTCTTAAAACATCCTTTGATATCCAATTTCCTTTTGATATGGCCCCTACTGTCAAAAGCACATTTTTGTTTTCTTGCTGGAGAACTGATCCAAATTCCTCTTCTGTGTACCCACAACTTCCTGGTTCTGCTCATGGATCCCCGGGCTGGTGCGCTTAATCCTCACAATCACTCAACCTGCTCTTTTCCAGGGATGCCTCCTACACTGAAGCATGCACCTAGTTTTTCTTTCTTTAACATACAACATTCTAATCTAGCTTTTCTTGCTTGACCCTTCTTTTCCCTACATGACAGCGTGTTACACATTCAGATTCCTCCCAGTTAATAGACTGGATGCTTTTTTAAAGAGGACCAACAGAGGCTTTTCCAAGCCCCAGCAAGAAACTCCAGTACTTTGTTTAAGAATCATTCTGTATTTTGAATATGAATGTCTCTTAATTTTGAATGCCCAGTGAGGTTAAAGATAGACAAAAATTATTGAGTGCCTACTATATGCTTGGCAGGGAGATATCTGTTTAATAAATGTCTTTATTCAGACACGTTCCTATCTCCCGTATTCCCTAACTCCTTTCACTTATTTTAGGTGGGTAACTCAAGCGCAGTGTGCTCTGGAGTATGAGAGAAAGCAATGTTGTAAGCAACCATGGAGAAGGCATGGTGAGATGTGGGCTGCCCTCCTCTCCTGGGCGGGGCTGAGGAACTTGGCAGTGGAGGATGGGCTGTGAGCATCAGCAGGCTGCTTTGGGGCAGGCAGGAGGGAGCCTTCACCATGACTGCATGGGTAACCAGTCCCCAGACAATTAAGAGTTAACTGGATAAATTTAGGGTTATCCAGGACCTCATTGCTCCTACTACTCCTTTGATTCCGGTAAACTCAGTGTAATGACTTCCACTTTCCAGAAATAATCCATGGGGTTAAGAACTTTCTCCAAGAACTCACAGGGAGGGTGGGGTGCCCCCTGCAGCAGAACCCTCCCCACATGGAGCTGACTTTGCAGCCCACCACCAACACACACACCATGACCTTGTCCCTGGTGCCCACAGAGTGTCTGGCTCCATTACCACTAAGGAGGCTCTGCCTGCCACTGCTAGGAGACCTCAACGACTCAAAGTCAGAGTGTGCACACGTTTGGGGCTCCATTCTAATTCTCAGGGCATTCACACTGTCCTGGCAACTCACCCCCAGAACAGATCCAGATATGGCAGCCAGCAGATAAAGACCTTTATGTGTGGGCAACACCAGGATCATTTGCATGTAGGAAAGAGGCCATCCCCCACCCCGTCCATTTACACAGGCAGAATGTGCCCTGCCACTTGGACCTAAAAAGACCTCGGCAAGCACCACAAGGTTTATGAAACCAAAGAGAACCAGCAACAAACTCACTGAATCAGAGGGAAGTAGCAGGGGCTTCTTCCCCTCCCCTGATGTTCACACTTGGCCAATTTGTTTAATTTCCTTGGCAACTATGGACACGCTAAACTCACAAAAGTTAATTCTCTGAGAGAAGAAAGATGAATCTTAGATAAACAAGGCTGCATTTGGGGAGGTGGGAAAAGCCACATGATGCATGTTCTCATCTCCCCTTCCACCCAACTCACCTGTCATCTTCCTGTGCTTCCTCATTGCAAAACCAGCATTCCTCTCACGGTCAGCTATGCACAAAATATCCTTCTGTTCTCCTGGTCACATCAAAGCACCTTCACGCTATGCAGACAGGTCATTGAGGGAACGGAGAAAATTAACAAACGCACCTAGGTTATTTCTATTAAAATTAGCCCCTCAGCCGGTAGGCTCTGTCAGTTTCCATTGAACACAAACTCTGACAAGTCTGTTGAAAACTTTTAACCTTTCCAGGTTGTGTCAACAGCTTGCAAACACAACAGGAGGATGGTGCCTCTGAGTTCTGCCTTTCCTTTTGGAATAGAGGAGGTATCAGAATTTGTTACCACCAGCTTTCATGTTTATCTTCACTGCTCTGCTCACTCCCCGCTGCCACTTAAGGAGCATACAAACACCTTACTGGATAAAGACAAACATCTGTCAATTGTCTATAAGGTCCTGATGAGATTTAGCTTTTGCCTACTTCTCCCCTCATGTTTTAGCCCACTCTCCCCCACTCTCTACTCAGCTCCACTGAAGGCTACCTTATGGAATTCTTCAAAAAAGCAGGTAGAGTTCCTCCTGCCACAGGGTCTTTGCATATCCTGTTCCTTAGCATGGAGCCCTCTTCTTACCTAGTGATATGGTTTGGCTGTGTCCCACCCAAATCTCATCTTGAATTATAGCTCCCATAATTCCCACATACTGTGGGAGGGACCCATTGGGAGGTAATTGAATCATGGAGGCAGTTTCCCCCATACTGAACCATCTGATGGTTTTATAAGGGGAAATCCCTTTCACTTGGTCCTCACTCTCTCTTGTCTGCTGCCATGTAAGATGTGCCTTTCGTTTTCTGCCATGATCATGAGGCGCCCCCCCCACCGCCCAGCCACGTGGAACTCTGAGTCCATTAAACCTCTTTTTCTTTATAAATTACCCAGTCTTGGGTATGTCTTTGTCAGCAGCATGAAAGTGGACTAATACAGCTAGTTAACCCTTACTCATCTCTTGGGATCTCAACTCAAAAGTAACTTTCTCAGGAGAGGGATGGTCTAAAATTTATACTCTCACAGACCTTTTACATTTATAATGAAGCATGTTCCATACTTGGGTATTATATATAGTATTTATGAAATTATTTATCTAAGGTCTGTTTGCCCACTAGAATAAAAGTTTCATGAGAGCAGGAAGAATGTGTGATTTGTTCCAACACGGAACATGATATATACTCACTAAGTGTGTTTAATTATTAGATTAATTAATAATTTTATCATGTCATACCTCTAGTTAAACATTTTCCAGTGGTTCCCATGATATTTCATAAAGTCTGAAGTCTTCCAAAACCATCTGTAATGGAATCTCACCCAATCATAGGAATTCAAGATTATTTATTATTAATCCCCTCAAAGGTACTCTCCTCTTCTGCCAAGGTCATTGGTTGACTGTGCCTCAACGATTGCCCCTCATCTAAAATAGCTTCTTTTATCTCCCCTCTGATTATTCAAATCTAGTAATGCATGAAAATGCAGGGGCATGTGGACACCATAACACAATGTAAGGAATGCAGCTCTAGCTCAGAGTCCTAGGTTCAAATTCATCTATCATGACATATTATGTGACCTTGACCAAGCCACTTACATGCTCTGAGCTTCTCTCTTTTAAAAGAACAAAAGTGATATCTACAAGGCTACTGCGGAAGTTAAAGCACATGGTAGATACTAGGTAATTATTAGCTCCACTTCCATTCTTCAGGTGAGACCATCAAAAACCTATATGGTGAAAAGTTGACATAATGGAGAAGCAGCATGGACCAAGTTCATCTACAAAATTAGTTGCCAGGAAAACACAGGTTTATCTTCATAAGCTGGCAAGGAGATTCTCAAAAGTGGTATATGGGTTCATTCCCACTGGTGTCAGGCAGACCCTGGAGGTAGGTCTGCTCTTCCTGGTAGCAAAGCAATCTATGGTCACAATGATTTGTTTCTTAAAGGGCCCTAAAGAAACACTAGTTCTCATCAAAGTTTAGCATCCTGTGTCTTTGACCATCTTGTTCAATGAGAAAGAGTTTAGGCAGCATCTGCTACATGTTCAACATTCTAGTTATTACTAGAGAGGATGAAAAATATTACACATGGGCCTTTCCCACAAGGTATTAATAGTATAGCCAGACAGGAAAGAATTGCCTTGATGAGGTGAGACCATACAGAATTGAGTTTTAATTGTGTGCTATAGACTAAGTTCAGAGGAGAAAAAGCAATCAAAATAATTACTCATTCATTTAATAACCATCCGTTAAGTATTTACCAAACACAGGACAATGAACTAAAAAACTAAAACACAACCAGCTTTTTAGGAGCTTGTAACTCTCTCCACCTGTGATCCCCTTTGTTCCATCCATCCAAATCCTACTCACCCATGAAGGCCTTGGTCAAATCACACAACCCCCATGAAGCCTTCCTTAACCATTCTGGACCAGCTCCCCCTCCTCCCATCTATACTTCTCAAACATTGTCTATTTTTCACACTGATTTTACCACTCACCTCACATTTGCATGGCCTGTGCTGTCAAATACAGTCATCTCTACTTGCATAACTCTCATTTCACTTTTTTTCTCAGTATATACATCTTTCCATCTATTTATAAACCCTGGGAGGCCAAGGGCCCTTGAATCTTCTGCCGCAGGTTTAACACAAATGCATTTTTATTTGAATTAAAGTAGGTCTTCCTACGAGCAGTTCAAAGTAGAAAGAGGGGATAAGGATGGAAAGTGCCCTTTATGGAACACGTGCTATGTGCTGGGTCCTTCCCTCAGGCCTATTTAAATCCTTATAATCCTAGAAGAAGGTACTGAGTCTTCTTGGAATCCTTCCTCTCCTCCTACACACATCATCCTGAACATGGTCACTGAGCAGCCAGCATCTGCCCACCTTGGCCCTGGCTACATTCATTGCTGGAGTGGGAGTATATTTAACTGTTTCCAAAAGCAGGGAGGTAATTACTTGCTGTATCCAATGAGCTGGAATCACCCGTGCTCTGCTTGTTTCTAATACGCCCATCAACCAAAGCTAAACACACAGGAGACCACCATTAGAAAACGCAGGCTCTTTTTGCATGACTGCCTATTTGAACAAACTCACAAAGGTCTTAAATCCAAGTAAGACCATCTAAGAATGCAAAAGTTTAAAAATGATAGGTGGCAGTTTTGCCAGGATGTACGAAACTGCAGTACTTTTTTTATTTTTAAAGGAAGTCCACTATTCTCCATTTCCCAAAAAGTTCTTTGTTCTTTTGCTCTAACAAAGTAAATTATTCCTCACCTTGGGCAAGTTGGTAGGAACGTGAGAAAATTACATTAAATCAGACATCCTTGAGATCAAAATAGATTGGAACAGGGGTTCTCTTTGTTTAAAATAGATCTTCAAAGAGAAAGCAAAAGAGCTTAAGGGAAGAAAAAGTTGTCAAACAACCTCAAGCACTCTGGAAGCACCTAAGATCTACAAACTATTGATATGTTAATTAAAATTTACTTTTATCTAGTATAGGTGTTTGCTGGTCATGGTCTCATTACCCTGTGGCTCTTTTGGCCCTTGAATAAAATTTCATTTCTTGAAAGACATTAGAAAATGCTTCTTTTTCTCTCTTTCAGATGGTTTCCTCTCCCTTATTGCAATTTAACAAGACTTCACTCTGGCTTAAACCTGGACACCGAATCCCAGAGAGAATACACTATCCATTCACTCCATCCACCAGTAACCTTCTGACCAGATCAAAAACAAGCCATATTGGACAAGATACAGAAAAAGTAGAAAATTTTAATCAGTGAGTAATTAATAACTCTGTATTGACCAGTTGCCAGAGTAGGACTTCTCCGGATTTTAAAATGTCTAGAGAAAGAAAATCCTGTTCAGCGATAACCCTTCTATTTCAATTCTGCAAAGCCCTCACTGCTGAAAATTCCTTCAGGGCCCAATACAAATGTCCATGGGATAGTTTATCTCCTCTGGTTCTATTCCAGAGAAGATGTCCCTTCCAGGTTCTTGAAATTTCTTCCTTAAGTGATCCCTAGTACCGATCCTGATCTTGAACCAGTCAGAAAATAAGGTCATGCAAAATAGTAAACTTAAACCATCAGAAGTCAAATTCAGATTCTTAAGTGTCTAAGGAGTCTTGTGACTTTGCAGTGAGCCAATGATTTTTTTTAATATTAGTTCATGTTTTCTTTTAAAAAGCTGATCCCCTGCACAATGTTACTGCTAACAGAATTTTTACTTTCTTCCGGAACAGAGGTTGGCAAACTGACCTGTGGGCTGAATGCCTGTTTATATAAATAAAACTTTATTGGAAACACAGCTATACCGATTTGTTGACATATTATCTATGGCTGCTTTCTTCTTACAGCAGCAGGCAGAGTTGAGTAGTTGTAAGAAAGACCACATTGCCTGCAAATCCTAAAACATTTACTGTATGGCCATTTACGGAAACGTCTGTAGACCTTTGCTACTACTAAACCATTACCACTAAAATGCACAGTATCAAAATTACTACTCTAAGGTTTGAGGAAAACATGCTGGCTATCTTAAAACCTAAAGCCAATTTTTATTGTATGATTAATTCAACAGTGGTCATTCTGGAGACCTTCAAAGAACGATAATCACCTTTTATGATCTAATTTGCCATCACCATCTACAAACCCTGTTTTGCTATCTCATTTGACACACCCTACCAAAAAATTAGGAATGTGCCAATACTGTCTGTAAAAAGCACTAACCAGCAGCACCATATGATGATAACAGGTCAGGCACCGTGGCTCACACCTGTAATCCCAGCGCTTTGGGAGGCCAAGGCAGGCAGATCATGAGGTCAGGAGACTGAGACTTCCTGGCCAACATGGTAAAACTCTGTCTCTACTAAAAGTGCAAAAATTAACTGGGTGTGGTGGTGCACGCCTGTAATCCCATCTACTTGGGAGGCTGAGGCACGAGAATAGCTTGAACCCAGGAGGCAGAGGTTGCAGTGAGCCTAGATCGCGCCACTACACTCCAGCCTGGTGACAGAGCAAGACTTCCTCTCAAAAAAATAAATAATATTAACCAGTACCATAAGCACTGTGCTAAGCATGTTACGTGTATTGTCATGTGAGCAAGATGTAAGATACACAAGGGTAGGGTTTTGTCTGTTTGGTTTACTATTGAGTCCTTGGAACTTAGAACAGTGGCTAGCACATTGTAGCCACTCAACAAAAATTTGATAAATGAATGAAAGTTCTCCCATAAAGGCCACGGGATTTATCCTGGTACTGGCAAAGTGACACGCAGAGATTTGAAACCAGGTGGTTTCAGTCAACACCTCACTGCCTCTGTTATCACATGGTTCAGCCAGCACACCCTCATCCAGCCCATCTTGTTTTCAATTAAATAAACACCCTTTGGCAATGGAATAACTAAATCTAACCTGATTAAATAGTAAGCATTTATTGGGAGTTGATTTACTTAGCACTGTATTAGAAACTACAAACCTAAAAAGAAATCTAAGATGCTTTTGCCTGTGGCACATGCAGAATAGTACGCTTGTTAAAAGCATGCGCTCTGAAACACTGCCTAATGTTCACATCCTAACTCCATTATTTCCTTGCTATGTTACCTTGGCAAGTTATTTACCTTCCCAGTGCCTCAGTTTCCCCATCTGTAAATGGGTGTGATTATAGTATCTGAGAGCTTGATCCACAATAACAGTGCCTATGGCATTCTAAGTACTAATATGTACCTGTGAGTGATTTGTTATTACAGTCATGTGTCCCATAAAGACATTTTGGTCAATAAGGGACCAAATATGACAGCGGTCCCACAGGATTATAATGAAACTAACAAATTCCTATTGCCTAGTGATGTAGCCATCAAAATGTCTTATGGCAATGAGTTAATCACACATTTGTGGTGATGCTGGTGTAAACAAACCTACTGCACTGCCAGTTGTATAAGAGTACACACAGACTGGCCAGGCATGGTGGCTCACGCCTGTAATCCCACCACTTTGGGAGGCCAAGGTGGGCGGATCACGAGGTCAAGAGATCATGACCATCCTGGCCAACATGGTGAAACCCACCTCTACTAAAAATACAAAAATTAGCGGGGCATGGTGGTGCACACCTGTAGTCCCAGATACTAGGGAGGCTGAGGTGGAGAATCACTTGAACCCAGGAGACAGAGGTTGCAGTGAGCTGAGATCACACCTCTATACTCCAGCCTGGCAACAGAGCGAGACTCAGTCTCAAAAAAAAAAAAAAGTACACACAGAATTATGTACAGCATATAATACATGGTAATGATAATAAATGACCATGTTACTGGTTTGTGTATTTATTATAATATGCTTCATATTGTCATTTTAGAGTGTACTCTTATTTTTTTTAAATGATAACTATAAAACAGCCTCAGGCAGGTCCTTCCAGAGATATTCCAGAAGGAGGCATTGCTGTTATAGGCGAGGACAGCTCAATGCCTGTTATTGCCCTTGAAGACCTGCCAGGGGGACAAGATGTGGGTGTGGAAGAGAGTGATACTGATGATCCTGATGGTCATAGAGTCATCCATAAGCCCTAGAACTCTCTTCCACTACTTCCTCTGGTAAATTTCTACTCATCCTTCTTGTTGGACCTTAAATGTCACTTCCCTGCACTAACCTTCCCTGAGCTCCTTGTCGTCCAACTGGATCAGTATTCACAACGCAATCCTCATACACCGCACGCCCTGCACTTCTCTCCCCATGGATATGGCGCTCCTGGACTTGTGCAATAACTGTCAGCTACATGTGTGGAGTTGTTTGTTTCCTTGTGTCTTGTTTCCTTCTGTATTCCTGCTCCACACATAGGAGACTTCCACAAATGTTCCTGGCCTGAATGACTGTGCAGTGTAGACCTCCCCCAAAAAAGGAGAGATTGTTGTGAGTTTGAAAGTCTGCAGAAAAGTGAGACCAGAGATAGTGAGACAATAAAATGAAGGAGGCTGAATGGTTTGCAGGTCTCGATTTGATTTTATTTTCTCTTTTTAAGGTGAAGGAACAATAGCAGTATGTGATTTCCAGAGAAGAATGTGTATAGCTTACCCTCAAATCTCAAAACCTCCGTTAAGTAGTTCTAGAGGAGGTAGGGCTGGGTTTTGTCTTCTGTTGAGACAGATGCAGTGATTATTGGAAGGCATGCTTACTGGTGCACTGGTTCCTTTACCACAAGTCTGGGAATTACCACTGTATTCCCCAAGGAGGAAGAAAACCTGGGTAGGGAGATTTTCTTTTCAAATAACATTGATTTGGTGACTGATGGCAACACTACAAAATAAACTTTTACTTTTGTTAATTCAATACGGCTCTTGAGTGGTAACTGTTCAAGTTTATATACATATAAGTATATAATATCTTTCTTCTGCTCTCTAATTTGCAATTATTCAATTCAGAAATCCTGATTCTTACTAAAGCATAAGGTATGGGTTCTCTTAAGATTCTCACCTATCTTATTTCTGAAGATATTACCAAGTATGCCCTTATTTTTGTGAAAGTATAAACCTTATCTCCATTTAGCTATCACAGACGGAAAATAAAAATGTTTTAAAAACTAAGGAAAAAGAATTGGTCTTAATATGCAATGCAAATGAGTGAATTTTATAAAAGGCAAAGATAAAAAAATTATAATCCCTTTGGCATGCTATTCATTAAGAAAATTCTTCCTAAGGACTATGAGTTTTAAATATGCTCAGCAAGTCAATCATCTATTCATTCATTCAATATTTATTGTGCTTTCATTTATTCACTCATTCATTCAATTCAACTAATTTATCGAGCAACCCTGTGTATAAGCCTCCTGCCAGGTGTGGGAGGTTGGGTTCACTGAATTAGACAGTACCTGAGTAACTGTGCCAGTGCAGATGGGAATAACGTAAACTCCACACTATTCAAAGTGTGCTCCACGAACTGCTGCCGGTCCTCAAATTGGTCATTGTTGGTCTGGGGCAAGAGAAGTACAGAAACTGAGAGTAAGCCTTTTAAACCTTGCCCATATATGTGATTGTGTAATTTTGTGTCTGTTAACTCTAATAATAAAAAATGGAGCTTGCATTTTTAACTGCCTTTTTCTTTTACATTGTACTTTATACAAGTATTGATCCGTCATGGACTGGGGGGCATGGGGCCAGTTCTTGACCACAGAAAGTCTGAGAAGCCTTGCTCCAGGAAAGGAAAGTAGCACAGTGCCAGGAAAGAGGGAGAGTAGGAGAGTGTGCGCGTTTCCAGCCTGGGAAAGGGAAGCGGAAAGCAATCTGAAAAGCCTCCCCCAGGGGGAGTGGCATTTGAGCAAAGCCTAACAGGATGGGGACGGTTTGGAGGCAAAGACAGGAGAAAGGACGTTTTGAGGCAAAGAGAAAGGTTGAGGCCAGGAAGTAAAGGGTTTATGCAGGGTGCCACGCGTATTTAACGCTCTGTGAAGCACAGAGCAGGTGAGTAATAACGATAATAATAGCAGCTAACATTTATTGAACACTTACCGCAAGCCAGGCTCTGTGCTAAGAACATGGTGGGAATTATCTCATTTGTTCCTTCCAACTACCTGCAGGGACACTGATTTGTGAAAATCGTTCCCAGACAGACGAAGGATATTAAATAGGAGGTGAGAGTGCCCCTCGGGGCAATGGGCTTCAAGAGCACAGGCAGACGGGAGTCAGATGCCGTTCAGGGACAGCTGGGCACCAACTCTATTGTCTGTCTCCTCCTAGACGAGGATGTTGCCTTACTGGGCCTGAGTCAGGCTTGTCAATGTCCTCTTTAAGTGGTGGGCATAATATTGTCCTGCAAGTTCTTTTGGAATGGTGATGTGAGCCCAAGGACGAGAATGAATGGGCAGGTAAACAGAAAGCATTGGCTTGCCAGGTCTAGCACAGCCCAGCCTTGCTGCAGACCTTCTTCACAACCCTGGGGACAGCTCTGCTGGGCTGTGCTGCATCTGGCTCCTGCTATGGGTTGCCCCCTGGAATAGGTAAGATTTTGTGCCTCTGGCTCATTAAATGCAGACCTTAATCTAACCTTACAAGGTAAGTGTTCTGCTCTTTCTAGTTAGTACAGAAATGCTGCATTTGCTTTTAAGTAAGTGAGAAGTGATTTGTAAAGATGTTTCGAACTCAGGACTAACTGCCTCCAGAGATGCAGGAAGTAAGACCAGAACAGTAGGTGGGGGCCAAGACATAGATGGAGGCCCTGATTCCCAGGCTTAGGACCTGAACTTTGATTCTGAGGACAGCAGGGAACATAAAAATCATATGGGAGCTTCTTTACCTCCACAAAGAACATTCTTTGGCTCAGCAGGACAATATGGTGGGAAATGACAAAGTAACTCCTGTGGCCCTAGGTCAGGTTCTCTTGAGGAAAACAAAAAGGCTGGAATGATACAGCTCTTCGTAAACCAGGTGCCTCCAGTGCCTGCGGTTATTCCCAAGTCCACATTTTGCAGACAGGGCCCTAAAATGTCTAGCTAGGAAGTTCCTGAGCCTGTTTTTTTAAAATTCTACACACACACATGCACACACACACGCACGTGTGCACACATGCGGATATATACATCCTCACCTTTTCTTGAGATTACTGCTCAGAAGAAGGCACATTTGGTTTGGTCTGCTTACCAGTTTGTGAAGCACTTCAGCACCTTTTAAGATGTCAAGTGCCATAAAATCAACGTCCTTGTTATCGTGGTAAATTGACCTTCGTTGCCAAGGCAAAGTCAGAGACAGAGTTAACCATGACAGCCACGAATAGCTGTTCTTTGAGGGCCAAAATCATGATTTTCAATGTTTTTCCATCTGAAATAGGGGAACATTACTCACTACAGCCTATAACTGTTTCCTGTCCCATGAAGCTAAATTCCTACGCCAGCAATATGGTCTCAACAGAAGCCCTGAAAACAGAAATGTCACTCCGCAAAGTTCTTATTTCAGCCAACAAAGCTTTAAGTTTAGACTTAACTGTGAAACTGAAAATTTGGCTCACCACAGAGGGAACTGGAGAGACTTTTTTTTTAAACACCAGGAGACTGATGTCACTGCTTTGCCTATCCAATGTCATCTCATCCCTCTCCCCCAAACCCAAGCAAACTCTGCAGTGAGTGACAAACGGCTGAAATTTCAGCTTTACCCCTCAGCTAGCAGGCACTTCCAAACTCATTTAATGCTCAGGTAAGTTTTAGCTTTAAAAAACTTGGTGGGGAAAAAGACCAGGTAATTTATCCCCTATTCCATGAAAAACAGGGGAGTGGGGACCTATGTTAATATGATCTTTAGCAGAAAAATGCAGTGTTGTTAGGCCTGGTTTCTCATACAGATTTGTTTACTGTATCCATATTTACTAAAATGTTTGTTGCTGTGACTGCAAGAAATCAGGGATTAATATTTACCTCTGTTACATGAAAGAACTTACTGTCCCTTTTCTGCAAGTATTTGGAGTCAGAGATTCCTTAAGTAAAAATGCTATAGGCCAATGCTAAACCTGAAAAATGGCTTAGCAAGATGCTGAGTTCTAACCCACTCTGATGAAATTGGTTATATAATTGGCCTTGCATCACGGATGGTTATCCCTATACTTTGTTCTTGTCATTTCAATCAGCCCAAGCAAGTGCACTCCTTCTGATTTAGAGACCCAACCGATATTTGCCCACACAGACATGGTCAGGACAACCCCCAGGGCCTTCGTATGTTGGCTCTTGGCCCAGACGGTATAAGAGTCCATTTACGACATCAAAATATTATGTAAACTCCCTCATCATTAGAGTTATGCTTTTAACCTATTCATTTAAAACGCTGACTAGTTATTTAGCAGTGCTTTAAAAAATATTTCTAAATCCCAGAAGCAACTACATTTATGTGAAAGATAGAGCAGAACATGTTGCGTGTACAGTAGGCACTATTTGGTGGCAGGAGTCTGTGGCTTCCTCTACCCCCAGTGAAGCCTAGAGGACTGCAGGGATCCAGCACCCACGGGTTTAGAGTCTTGGGTCTGGTCCAGTGAAGACACTGCTCTCTTTCATATCTCCAGAGTCCACCAGGGAGCTGGCTTTCGCATCCTTTAATTTGGCTGCCTTTACTGGGAGGTGCTTCACCATGAAGGCTTGGTAATGGATATTCCAAAAAAAAAAAAATGTAAATAGGAGCCACATTCAAGAGCACCATTTAAAATGAAAACCCACATGAGGTCTCCCAGCAAACCACTAACTTTAAAGGGAGCCTGGCTGACTAAGAAGACAGGACACTGGATCCTGGACATGCTGCACCACACAGCCTGCCGGCCACAGCCCTGCTTCTTCTGACCATGGAATTTCCAAAACAGACTCCCTCAAGGAAAGCCAAGAGCACATTTTTGTGGCATTAGAGTGAAGTGAGGTTTCTCTTTATTAGAGAGAGATGGCATTGGAAATAGGCTCATTTTCCCTCATAAGGTACCAGTCTCCAAAAGACTGCCTTCCCGGAGAAGTACCCTGGGAAGGAAAATGCCTCAGTTACGGTACCACATGGTTTGGGGGACTCAAGCTGTCTCCAAAAAGCCCTGAGAAGGAAGGATCCATTTCAGCATCACAATTTTTCTGAACCAAGCGGGGATCAACAATGTGGGCACCAGAACTAAATGATCCAGTAATTATTCTACAAGGAGGTCCCAAAGGGCCCAAAAGCCATGATGTAATGAACAAGAGGAGGCTCAGCTCCAGAGGGCTTCCTTTAGGAGGTGAGTCATGAGCTGTGTTTCGCACTGGCAGAGAGGAAAGCTACGTGGGTAGGGCAGAAAAAAGTGAGCTGTGTCTAGGGGACAAGATGAATTGGATAGGTGACTCAGTGTCAAAGATCCACCATTAGTGAAACACTGTAGACCAGGCAATGTAAAGGTGTCCCATAGGAACCCACTGTTGATCCTTCAGCACTTAAAAAAACAAACAAACAAACAAAAAACACCACTGTTCTTGACGCAGGATGAACCATTTTAGCAGTGAGGGGCAAGATGAATTGGGACAGCAGGGAGACTAGCTATGAAAATGGAGTAATCATTCAGGTGTGGTACAGATGGCATTGGAATGAAGACGGTGAATATAGGAATGCAAATTAGTAAATTAGGCTCAACCAAGAGATGACTCCTGAGCAAATTATCAGACCTACTGCCCAACCGTCAGCCCAGTTTTAGGATTTTAGGGTTTTAGACAAAACAGTATAGGGCTTGGCTATGTATACCACTGGCCTACAGTACAACCTATTGCTACCCTACAAATAAGAGAACAGCAGTTAAAGACCCCCACATTTCCTCTTCCCCTAAGCACCTCACAACATATTCACCTATCACCGGATACCCCATTCCTGGACCAAGCGGCCATTCCTTTGAGGTGACTGATTCAACAAGGTAGTGAAATAAAGAACTTACCCAGATGATTACAAATGCCATTGAAATGTGACACTTTCAAATTGGAGAGGGCATGAAGCTCAAATGATATGCTCATTTTACGGAGGAAGAAGCAAAGACTGAAAACATTGACGAGCTTTCCTCAGGCTCTGAGAGAGGTGAACTGGGTGCTGGGTGAGTTCTGTTCCTGGCTCTACCCCTGAAATACTGGAAGAAGCTGAGAGAATTTTTTTTTCTTTTTTCTGAGCCTCAGATTCCACATTTGTAAATAGAAAAAATATAACTAAATGGCTCCTAGGTCCCTGCTAGCGCTAACTTCTCGTGTGATCAGTGCTTCTAAAATTGCAATGTGTCCAGGTGGGGAAGTTCATTTACCCCCTATCTGGTTTACGCTCACTTAAGGGAGTGATTTCTTTCCTCTGAGGCTCTCATCTTGCCCATTATTCAGAGTGAGCTGCCTCCTGGTGTGCTGTCAAAATACATCAGCTTCAAAGACAAACACACACCTTTCAATCCCAGTCCAAGAGAGTTTACTGTATAATTTATGATAATGTTAAGTCTGTTTCTCATAAATGTTAATGGTGCTACATTTTTTTTCATAGATGGGTAATTCTCAGAAAAGCAGCTGGATGTTAAAAGTTACTTTTTTTTTTTTTTTTAACATAAACTGCCTCAGCCAACAAATCTGATTAAAACAAAACTCTCCAGGATTGCAAGGCACAAAGATTCTGCTAATGTTAGTAAGTAAATCCAAAAAAAAATCATTCAAAGATTCTGTTCTTATAATTGTTTATCTACCATGATTTGATTAAGTTCACATTCACAGACTTTTCTCCATTTTAATGTGTAGATATTAAGAACTTTTTACTTTAATCCAATTCTTTCCACTCCTACAAATTGCTGAACTTGTACATTAGTATTAATATAACATGCCTAAGTACCTCCCAAAGTAAATTCTTTCCTGCTAAAAATATTTTGCTAGCAAATATTCGGCCTTTTCTCATTTATAGAAACTGTAACCTTTACTTCGAAGTGCCATGCTTCATCTTTTATACTCTATAGAATTGTTTTGACTGCTAAATGTGTTTGAGGAATTCTCTCCCAGACGTTAGAAAGTTGGATTTTGAAATCATTTGAATCTTTCAAAGTTATTCCCTGACGAAAGAAAATGCATCAATAATTTCAGATTAGTTACTGTACTGGAGCTTCTGAAATTCCAAATTTTCTATTTTGAAGCATCAATTTGTAGAAGAATGTAAGTATTCTTAATTTTTGATGCTGTAAAATGCAATAACGATAGACATATTTTAACACAGAAAGATAAAGACTTCAAAAGTACATAAACAGCCAGAAAAACATACAAAAGAATTAGCTTAAACACCTTCAAATTGCTTGGGCTCAAGATACCTGGGTTCTAATCCCTCCTCCACTTGATAACTCTGCAACCTCATTCATTGACTCATACATTTATTCAACAAAGGCGTATTCGGTTTGACACCAAGGTACTGTGCTGGGCATTAGTTACAGAGAAATGCTAGATATGGTCTCTATCCTCAAAGAGCCCATAGTGTAGGGGAAGAAACAGCCATGCAAACAGATATTCCTACAGTGTGGTGGGAACATTAATACAGATATACAGAGAGTATTGGAAAGGAAAGAGGGTAGGGGTGGGGGAATGTCAGGGTTTCAAGTTTTCTTAAGGAAGGTGATTCCTCAACTGAGCCTTCAGGCCTGCCCTGTCTCTCGGCTTGACAGGGCGCTTGTGAGGCTCTCGTAAGATAAAGCCCGGTAAAGGCCCTGTGAACTAAAGCACAAAAGAGCTGTACTGGGATTATTTTCCATGGTGAGAAATAGAAAAGCTACAGCATAATGAGTGAGTTCTTTTGCATCTCTGGTTATTAAGGAAAACAACCAAACATGATTTGGAAGAGGGTTTTAAAAAATTCAGTTTCAGCAGATTTTCTCACTCTTATTTGTATGTATAGAGGACTTAAAATGAAAGGACTATATATCTCCATTTCACAGATCAGGTCATTTAGGCACGGGGCCCCGAGAGTTAAGAAAGATGGCTAGGGGAAAGAGAAAAAAAAGTCTCAGCCAGAGGTGAGAGAGAGCAGCTCAGGAACCTGGAGCCGGACGGCAATGGTGGGGGATCGCGTTTTCCTTCTGTGACACTCTCCTCAAGGGTGACGCTACCCCTGCCAAATAGGGAGGAGGAATGATTTTTTTTTTCCTTCATAAAAACAAGTCAGAAAGGAAATAAAATCCACATTTAAAACTCCCAACTGTTTTTTGAAACGAGTATTTTCTTCATTTCTTTTCCAAGGCAGACAGAGCAGGTGTTAAGGCTGAGTTCCTCTTGTCATGTGAAACAAAGATGGCCCTGACTACCATGTACTGGGCGACCTATAATACTGACATCAAGCGCAAAAAGGAAACAAAAAGAAAATAAAAAAGGAATGCGTGAGGGTCGGAGTTTTTGGAAGATGAACATGAGATGACAGCATGAGCTGGGTGTTGAAGTCGGGAAGATGCAGTTAACAGAAGGGGGGGGGGGGCGCCATGGAGCAGTCGTGTGAGCCAAGGTGCAGGAACAAGCACTCAGCTTATCCAGAGGGAGGACCGCTTCCCAGAGATATTTTCAGGGGCAACTTTCGCTTTTTTGGTTTGTTTCGTTTCTTGAGGCAGGGTCTCGCTTTGTCACCCAGGCTGGAGTACAGTGGTGCAATCTTGGCTCACTGCAACCTCCACTTCTGGGCTCAAGCAATTCTCCCACATCAGCCTCCTGAGTAGCTGGGATCACAGGCATGTACCACCGTGCCTGCCTAAGGTTTTAAATTTTTTTTTGTATATGTATATATATATATATATACACACACTATATATATATATATACACACACACAAATATATATATACACACAAATATATATATATACATTTTATTTTTTCCCCCCAGAGACAGGGTTTTGTCATGTTGCCTAGGCTGGTCTGGAACACCTGTACTCAAGCCACCTGCCTGTCATGGCCCCCCAAAATGCTGGGATTGCAGGCCACCATAACCGGTCATCGGGGCAACTATCCTTCAGGGCTTCCTCCAGTAGGGCTCCCCAGGTTGGCCTTGAGGGCCACAATAAAAAATCTGACTTAGCTATACTCCTTCCCTGTCCCCAACCACAGTTATTCTTGTGGATGAGGCAAATGGCAGCAGGACAGCTGGAGTATACCAGAGTTGACTCATTTATTTTATGCATGCTTAGTGTGGCATCCCTGGGGACATGAAATTCCAGTGAAATCCAGTCTTTGTGCTGGAGAAGCTCATAGATCTGTGGAGGAGGCAGATGCCCACCCACTCACTGTACAGTACAAGGGGTTGAGGGCAACAAAAGAGAAGTGTGCAAATGCTAGTGGCAACAGGTGAGGCGGGGAGGAGTTTTGTGAAACAGAGATGATGGTAAAGGAGAACATGAGTGCACAGGGATAAAAACACACAGTACGTTTTGAAGACAAAAGAAAAGCCAGTGTCAGATCTAATGTGGATGACCGTCTGCTTGGGCTGTGGTTCTCAGCCCTGGCTGCCCATTAGAATCATCTGGAGAGTAAATACAGATGCCACATGTCCTATATTTTGATATGGGTGGTGGCTAGACAGATGTATTTCTATGTAAAAATTTATTAGGCCATATACTTAAGATTTGCATCCTTTACTGGCTTAAATCACACCTCAATGAAATTAAAATACTAATCCTTATGCTTCAACCCAGACCAATCAAATCAGAATCTGATATGCAAGCAGAGCTGAAGACCATTGTTCCAAAGGTCTGATATGCAAGCAGAGCTGAAGACCATTGTTCCAAAGGAGGAATTTTAAAAAAACATACCTGGCTGGGCACGGTGGCTCACGCCTGTAATCCCAGCACTTTGGGAGGCCGAGGCGGGCGGATCACAACTTCAGGAGATCGAGACCACCCTGGCTAACACGATGAAACCCCGTCTCTACTAAAAATGCAAAAAAAATTAGCCAGGTGTGGTGGCAGGTACCTGTAGTCCCAGCTACTCGGGAGGCTGAGGCAGGAGAACGGCGTTAACCCGGGAGGCGGAGCTTGCAGTGAGCCCAGATTGCACCACTGCACTCCAACCTGAGTGATAGAGCAAGACTCTGTCTCAAAAAAAAAAAAAAAAAAACATACCCTACTTCAAAGGACACATATTTTTAAACATGAATCAAAGCCTTAGATTCCACTATATACTACGGAGAAATTAACAAAAACAACTAAAATTTATTGAGGTTAAAAATCAAGCCTTATTTCTTTTTTTATTATTTTTTTTTTGAGATCGAGTCTCGCTTTGTCTCCCAGGATGGAGTGCAGTGGTGTGATCTCGGCTCACTGCAACCTCCGCCTCCCAGGTTCAAGCGATTCTCCTGTCTCAGCTTCCCCAGTAGCTGGGATTACAGGCGCCTGCCACCACACCCGGCTAATTTTTTTGTATTTTTGGTAGAGACGGGGTTTCACCATGTTGGCCAGGCTGGTCTCAAACTCCTGACCTCAGGTGAACCACCCGCCTCAGCCTCCCAAAGTGCTGGGGTTACAGACGTGGGCCACCATGCCCAGCCAATTAAGCCTTACTTCTGATCCTTACCACCACTCCATAACGCAGACTAAGTTATAGCAATACTATTTTACAGATGAGGACATTAAGGCTCAGAGAGGTCACTGTCTTGCTCAACGGCACAGAGCTAGCAGGAAGTGGAACTGGGTGGCTGTCTGCAGTGGAGGGATGCATATGTCTCCGAAGAGATCCAAGTATCTTTCCTTAAGGGAATTACTAAATATCATCAAATGACTTTTGTAGCCCACCACCATATCTAACTCAAGCTCTAACAACTTCTTTAAAAAGAAGCTTTTGCTGCTACAGAAAGAATTTCTGCAAAGCAGGAAGCCTGAAGTCAGCAATGATTAAACTGCCCCTTGAAACCCTTAGCTACTTGCACGTCTCTTTGTCTTTGGGGTCTCATCTCAGCAATTCGTTTCAGCTTCAGTCTGCACCAGGATCTCAAATCTGTCATGGCGAGGGCAAGAAGAAATGCCCTCCTAACAAGACTCTGGGCATCGCTGGAGCTGCCTGCAATCCAGACTTCCAAAGACTCATATTCTTCATGAGCAGGTAACGAAGCTCATAGGAACAGGAGAAACTGCACAAAAGCAGAAAATGACAATTCAGAACACACACCCATCCAGTGATGGCATTAAGGAAATCCTCAAAGCCCTTAGCAATGTAACTGCCAAAAGAAAAAAAAAAAATGACTTCCTATAAAAAAAAAAAAGGGCCCAAGTAGAAGTTATAATAAGGATCCATATACATACTGCAGGTTATGAAAATTACTGCAGCATTAAAAGTGATAGTAGAATAATGTCATCTAGTGTATATGAAATCCTGGACAATATAAGATGGGTTGCTTAAGGATAAAGGCTAATACTGCTTAGAAACACCAGGGAAATAAGAACTGTATGTAAGAGGAAAAATATTCACTTGGTATTTCTGGATCACCTCTCTGCTCTTTGCAGGAGAGTAAACAGCATTTCCGGATGGCATCTCAGCAGTTCTTTACATTGAGAGAACTTCTTTCTTTCTTAAGCCAGGCTCTGCTGTTTGAGCTGAAAAGTTCGGGAAGACATTATTCCACATTATTTCTTCACTCCCCGTTCTATTTCTAAAATCTCACAATGGATAACAGAGAGGGCTCTCTTCTATTGTGGAGAAGACTGAGAACTAAGGGAAGCATTTGAAAAGGGGCAGTTTTGGAAAACTGCACACCAACGGTCTTTTCTAAGAATCCAGACACAAGACCTATGCAGCTGGAATATATTTTAAAGTGTCTCCTCCAAATTCTCAATTTTAAAAATGAGGAAAAGAAGACTCAGGGCAGTGAAGTGACTTGCCTGAGGTTACACTGACTTCATGGCAGAACTGGGTCTAGTAAAGCCGTAATTTACATTTTATATATGGCTGTATAACGTTTAAAGCCCTTTCTCAGATATGATCTCATAAATACCCTACGGAGGATATCACTTTTTTTCAGATGAAAAAATTGAGGCTAAGAGAATCAGTAATTTTTTTTTCCCTAAGCTTACACAGCTAGTAAGGGGTGGATCTTTTTAAGACAGGTGTCTGGAATCCCTCTCTGGTATCCAGAAATTGCCTGTGCCAAGTGTGTGGCTAGCATGCTAACGTCCACATCTGTACCAGGCTCCATTTGTCCTGATTTGCTCTAAATGTAAGCTACGCCATCCTCTCTGCCCACACCCCAGATAAGGCTTCTTGCCTGTGCATTACTGAGTAAAATATATTCGGGCAGCTTCAGGCACATGCTGTACTGAGAAAATTGAGACAAAAGGCTAAGGATGTTTGGGCACAGGCAAGAAGCTAGATTACAAAGGTACATCACTTTCATATTCATTTGTACATTTTTCCTCATAAGAAAATTAGGCTTTAATGTAACCTCAATTTCAACCTTGTTGCTTTATCGCCCAGAGCCCATTAGAGAGCTATTTCCCAGGGCCAGGAACTTATGATTGGAGGTCAGGAGGCTGGGGTTTTAATCGACTCATGATGAAGCTGCTTTCCTGGGGTGTCACTCACTCTTCTGTCTCAGCTCTGCCCTGTTCTCAGGGCGGTGGGTAGGGGGTGCACCCTACATAAGCAGTGAGGATTTTTCTTAATACACCAGAGGCTGAGTTAACTGCCAATGAGGCGAGGGGGGAGCAGGGAAGGGGATGGGAAACGGCTTCGTTCATTCACTCACAGACCAACATATATCAAAACTGAGCAGCTAAAGCTTGCAAATACACTGCCCAAGATAATGTAAGGGCAGGATGTGTTCCCTGCCCTGGGCTAAACCAGGTGTCTAATCCATATTAGGGGGCACATGAAGAGCCCCTGAGGAGTTTCACGTGTCCCAAAACAAACAATCCTCAAAAAATTCTTCATATAAAACTATCTGCAAATTGGGAATGTTCTCACCCACTGGTTCTAGATGCACACTGGAAACACCGAGGTAGGCTTAAAAAATGTTGATGCTTGGGCTCCACAGCCCTTTGGAGATTCTAATATAATTGGTCTGGGGTGTGGCATGGGCACTGGGATTTTTTAACTGTCCCTTCCCCGTCTTCCAGGAGATTCTAACATGCAGGCAAGTTTGAGAAGCACAGCTCCAGCAGAGGCCTAAGCCAGATTTCCCAGCCGGCCTCTGACCTGAAATGTCTCCCTAACCTCCATGTCCATACCTGGGAAATAAGAGGGAAGGGCATGACCCTTCTGTCTACTTCCTACATGCTGGGGCCAACCATTCCAGGTACTTGACACCTCTGGGTAGGATGCTGGTGAGAACACCGGAGCAATTCACTTCAGCCTGCTGCAAAATCCTCGAAGTCTCGCTTATCCTACTAAATAAAATGTTTATCAGGCCTCAGACTTCAAAACATACATGCGAACAGCCACTGGAGGCCTGTGAGAAGGTTCCTTACCCGCCAGCACCTAGCACAATGCCAGCTCTGCTGATTCCCTTCAAAGCAGATTTCCCTTGCTGCTTCCTGAGGTCAGCCTCCTACCTCTTAGCCCATTATGCAGCCTGGCACCCCTGCCATTTAGGTGTTGGCTGCTTTTCCTTTAAGCAATTCCCTTATCGGGGCTCAGGGATAATGCAAACATCAGGAAAATACTATTTTTATATTCTAGTGGGTACAGCTTATAATAATTCATGCTGGTAGGTTTTGTTTCCTATATATTTGGATCCCGACTGCGGTCTACCTCCAGGCAGGAACAAAATGGATGCAGTTGGAGGCAGCGGGGGAGGCTCCTGAAGCGTTTGATGCCGATTCAGCACCCTCTCTGCCCCTCTGAGAGCAGAGTGTGGAGTCTCACAAGTGTTGCTTCTCATCAGGAAGCTCAGGAGACCAACAGCAAGAGGGACGCACTGGAACATGGCTTTCTAGCCAGAGAATCCCAAGAGAAGAATAACCCTTTAGTTTCCGATGTAGGTCATTCTTTAAAAGCAATGCCTTGTCTATATTTATTTAACTATTTTTTAATCTTGTTTTATTTTTTTCCCAGCATAACTTTTCCTCAATTCCTTTGCTTTTCAAATCCTGCCTGGGAGCAATAAAACCTCTATCAATAAGACTTTAAAACCCAGGCTCTGTTACTAAGGAGCCTTGTAACTCTGAGTACTCAAAGACTGAACCCCTCTCTGAGCCTCAGTTTCTCCATCTGATAAGAAGATCACACTTCACTAGCTGATTGCTAACCTTCCACTCTGACCTCACATGACTCTATCACTGTAATCCCCTTTTTATTCCATTATAATCTTTGGGTCTTATTTCCAGCATCTAATCCATGGCAGGCATTAACATGATCTTTCCTTATACAACCCATTCTTATTCCACCCCTGCAAAAACGCAAAAGAAAAAGTGTGTGTTTGGAAAGGGAGGGGATCAATTGGATTTTTTCAAATTTAAAAATGTTCATCATCAACCTTTTCTGTGATTGCAATGTTGGTGGTGATGAAAATAAATTGCCTATAAAATATAAAACTGTACCTTTTTGGTCCACTAAATGTCATATTTTACATCTATTAACACTAGTATTCATACCAAAAGCCAACTATCGTATTATTGTAAAAAGTGCATCTTGTGAGGGCAAAAGGGATAAGGATACTAAAAAACGTGACACTGAATGCCCTACACATGTTTATGGAATCTTATGGTGTTTGGGTATTATCCTTGTTATCTCAGGTAGAAAGGTGTTATCAAATTATAAACTTGGGGGCTGTTGCTATCAAGAGCAGTTAATTTCTTTATTGATACTATTAGATTACAAAATATGTCTATTCCACTAACCCGACAAAAAGAGCACAGTGGTGTGAAACAAGTGGGCACAAAGAGCCAACAAATTTCGTGGAATTCATGCTTATTTCAGTTATACAGTATATCAGATTGTTCGTTAGATCACAATGAATATGTTATTATTTGATCCCAAATATTCCTTTTTGCAAAAATTGGATTACAAAAGTAACTTTATTATACCATTTCAATTATTTCCCTATGAACTAATTCTTTTTAAAAATTGACAATGCTTCTGATTCCTCTGTTTAGCAAGAATTTTCTTGTTCTGTCCTTCCTCTTTTCTCCTCCCAGTTCCAAATCAGAAGGGTCAACAGGAATACACTTAAAAGTCCTATTTTCCACCAAAGCCCTAATATCAAATGCTTTTGATTTGAATAAAATCGGTTCCATTAGCACATTCTTAAAAAATCAATTGGCTAAAAGGTAGTGAAAAACCATCACATTTCCTGTGAGCAGGATTGTATTGCCACAGGAATGGTGGCATAGGATCCAGAAAAGCAAAATTTCATGTTGGGAAGCTGTGCTATGATACCAATTGACATAAGTATTAATGTTGTGATCTTTTTGAAATCTTGTATTACATTAAATTATAGTTTCGCAGCTGTGTAAGGAGCAATGGGAAGAATTCTGGTCACTTTTCTTTAAAAAGCTCCTCCTCTGGGGCTACAAGGAACCAGGCTTGGCTAACATAAGCAGCCCTCCAGTTGACAGCCAGACATAGAGTCTCCACACCCTAAAATCATCAAAGGCTCTCAGATGTCTTTTCCCCTCCAGCTTTATTACAGCCTAACTGACACACAAAAATTGTATGTGTTTATAATATATGCACAATGTGTATACAACCTGATATTTTGATATATGTACACATGGTGAAATGATTAAATCCAGCTAATCAACATATCCATCAACTTACACACCTTTTTTTGTACTGAGAACATTTAAAATCTACTGTCTTAGCAATTTTCAAGTTTATAATAAATTATTTACTATAGTCACTTCATTGTATGACATCCAGAACTTATTCATCCTAACTAAAATTCTATACCCTTTGACCAACATCACTTCATTCCCCCTCCTTGCTTTTTAAAAAATGACTACTGTATAGGGACAGTGAAGAGTATGAAATAAGGAAACTATCTATTTTCAAAGAGTTGTAATTAACAAGCTACTGGTTTTTTCACCTCCTATTGTAGATGCCAGATAGAATATTCACGTCTTATCTTGTTTGAACATCAAAACACTCTCCCACATACACCTGATAAATATCACTATCTCCATTTTACAGAAGAGAAAATGGAAATTTAAAGTGTTTAAGTAACTTACACAGGACCTCCCTATTGGAACTCCATGAGCCTGCGATCAGCCCACGCTCTCTCCACCATTCCATGCCGCTGGAGTGCACCACAAAGCAAGATAAAACACCAAAGAGGAAAGCAACTTAGGTTGTTAAGTCAATAAACTAAGGCAAACAACACTGCATGCATTTTATTCTTCCAATATATTTTTGGCGGAGAACAAATTGCCCTGGGAGAGGTATTGTATAATTTCATTTGGAGCCTCATCCTTCTGGTAGCAGCAAACTGAAACACACACACACTAAAATCAGATTGCAATTAAAATCCAATTATAAATATATTACTATATTAGACACCTACCCAGGAAAGATCCAGCAGGGGACCTTCTCTGAAAGGCAGTGTGTCACAGTCTTCAAACTGCTTCCACGTGTACTTCTGACTGTGCCCCCTGACCTTGAGTGTGTGTTAAACAATGCTTGGCAGTTTTTCTCTGAGTGGAAAGGACTCAATTTATGTCTCATCATGGAGTAAGTTTAATAATACTATTACCAATTTGCTTTGGAGAATGACATGCAAGGAATATTAAATCTTCCTCATGCAGACTATTAAACAAATTAAACACAGCATTTAAACTGGTGGGATTCAAGAGATGGAATCTGTGTGAGGTTAGGAAACGGAGCCACAAAAAAAGGTCCACATGTGATGTTCACACCTTTTCGGCTCTTTGTTCAAACTGTACGTTATATCTCTGACTTGAAATGTCTGGCAAACAGATCTCCAAAGCAATGGGCAGTCACATCCCCTCTACCCAAAGCTTTGTTTTCTTACAACATGATGCACAAACGAAATGAATGGCAATCAACACCAAGTATGCATCATGTCTGACGATTCTGGAGTTTCCTTTCAGTTGCCTTCTAGAAGATTTGTGCTGCTGGCATTTAAGTTGATTTTCTTTAATTTGACAGAACATTTCAACAGCAGAACTCAGGCTTCCAATATTTTTCAATAGTTGTCCTTGAGCTCATTTGTCATCATTAACACGGGCCATCCAGACAGATCACCCAGCACAACTCCATTCACCCGTCCAGTTCTCCGGTGAGGGTGCAGTACCTGGGCTGGCTCTCAATATTTTTAATTTATGAAAATGTCTAAAGGCCAGCCACCGGACCCCCACAGTTTCTTTTTAAGTGGTCTGGCATAGACTATGAGGCCACACTGTATGCATCAGCTTCTTACAGCTATAGGACAGGTGCTAATTAATCTACCTAATTATGCAGTCCAGTAGAAGAGGCTTACCCATAGGATTTTAAATCTGGAGGAAAAAAACAAGGGAAGGAGAAAGGGAGGGAAAATGCTTTTGGTTTCACACTGAAACATAATTTCAAGAGTCAGCTTATTTATCATTTCTACTTAAGTTGGAATGATTTGTATATTTTCCCTATATCATAATTGCTGTGTGTGTGTATGCACACGTGTGTGTGTGTGTGTGTGTCTGTGTGTGAGTGTGTTTCTGCAAGGGTATACTTTTAAAGCACTAGAAAAAAACAGCAAATTGACCGGAGAATTATTAGCTTACCTTTATTTTTTAAACTGCAAATACAGAAAGAAAAAAAAAATCTAAACAGTATATAAACTTAAAATCAGTCACATGAAATGTGCAGGATCTCAAATGATGCTGTAATTCCAGCAGGCTCCTGTTTGCAGTTAACCACTTACAGGGCCAGTCACTGGAATTCCCTGGGCATCCACACAAATGAATATAATTACAGATACCATGAGCACAGACCTATGACGCTGTTGATTACGTTAGATAACTCAGGGATACGGGGAGAGAGAAATCCTGGGGTGTGCAATCGATGTTGTCACATATATTCCCATGGTTTTTCCAGCTTTACGGAAGGGTTGAAATGTTCTTTCTCTGGTTCCAACTGCCAGGGACACATATGAATGCTGTGATATCTGTCAGGGAAGGGGAAATAACTCCTGAATTTCCTCCAGGGGAGTAAAAGCAGATCACAAAGGATCTAGTGTCTCAGAACACAACCAAATATTGGCAATGCATCCTGAGACAAGAGTCAAGTGCTAAGCAAAGTCAATCAGCACACGATGGCCCCAGGAATGAGAGCAACCAACCTGGTCCTGCACGCTCATTTACATGGGACCCAAGAAGAGACACTGGCCGTGGCACCACGTGCCTGCCTTGGGCCCACTCCCTTCTACGAGTGCCCTTAACCCTTTACAAAATAATAACTAGTGTCATGAATTAAAATAGCTGAAAATAATTTTTAAAAATGAATAATTTAAGAATTCACATGTCTCGTTAACACTAAATGACTTTCCAGCTGGGCAGAAAATCAAACTCTGCATTTGGCAGTTTTACAAGTCATTATGGAAATATGTCTACTCTTCATTTGATCTCCTATTTCTAGATATCTTCCCCAATTCTAGATATTTTCCTTCTCTATATGTTACAGAAGGTATTTCAAAAGGCTAAAAAATTGGGTGCCATTTGTGATTCGAGAGGGATAAAAAAAAGAAATAGTAAAATACCTGGCGATTTAAAATGGCAATGTTTTCTTGAAAACATTGTGTTAAGTGAAAGAAGCCAGACATAACAGGCCACATATTGTAATGATTCCATTTATACGGAATATCTAGAAAAGGCAAATATACAGAGACAGAAGGTAGATTAGTGGTTTCCAGGGACTAAGGAGAGGAGGTTATGGGGGATGATCGCTTAATGGGTACAGGGTTTCTGCTCGGGGGGATGAAAAGGTTCTGGAACTAGATAGTGGTGATGGTTGCACACTGTGAATGTACTTAAAGCCAATGCCTGGTACCTTTTTAAATGGTAAATTTTATGTTATGTATAATTTGCAATAAAAAATGTGATACTGTTTTAAATGGTAGAGTTTAAAGCTTGGGTTCTAATGAATGACAGTTCAGTCAAAGGATCAGAAATTCCGGGCACTCTGCTAACCCTACCAGGGCTTCACAAGGAATTTAAAAAGAGAAGGACAATGCTTCCATCTCCCTGGTTTCCTGTCTTAATCTTCTGATCTTGAGATCTGCCTGCAACTGAAAGAGATGCAGAACTGGGAAAAGAGGAACAAGGAGGCAGATCCCCACTTTCCCCCACCTTTCTTAATCAAAAAGACCAACACACATTCAGTAAACAGGGTTTCCAATGTATTCCATTTCCTCAGAGTGTTTACAAACAACAAGAAATGAAAGGTGTATAAGATTACTGCTTATAAACTCCAAACTGCTCTGCATGGCTGCACCCTGATAGTGTCTCCTTTCCTTATCAAAAAGGAAGAAGAAAAACAGGAAGAAAGCAGAAAGGGAATGGAGAGAAGGAGAGATGACAGTATCATTAGACACCTCTTGGGTCATGAGTGCCTAATGAATATCTTTCCATTGCTCTGAAAAGAAATAATATATTAGTTATAATATTAGCATAATAATTTACTGGTTATTTCATCTATAAAATGGACACAACTCATATTTGTTTTGGAAGGGATGAGATAAATGTACACATCTGATTTCTGATGCTGGGAGTTGGCTCTACATGATCTCAGAGCCAAAGACTTCAAAATCTTCCACAACCCTCTCATTTCACATGTGGAAAAAAACAAAGGCTCAGGAAAGAAAATATCTGAAAAGATGATATTTTATGGTGGGCTTTATAGGTTTTGATTCTATGAAAATGGAAGAACCAAGTGAATGCTTTGTGGACGCACTGCCTTTCGCAGTGTGAGATGTTTTGGCAGGAAGGTCTGCTTAGAATTCAGAATTTATAGATATGAGTTCAAACTGTGTTTCGCCATTTGATAGCTAAAGTATTGAGTAAGTAATTAATATATTTGGGGCTTAATTTCCTCCTCCATAAAATG
Source organism: Homo sapiens (assembly GCF_000001405.40). Taxonomy (NCBI): domain Eukaryota; kingdom Metazoa; phylum Chordata; class Mammalia; order Primates; family Hominidae; genus Homo; species Homo sapiens. The sequence goes on from NC_000015.10 coordinate 61,130,629, forward strand.
GAGATAAGTATATCTAGATATAAGGTCACTTAAAGGATTAAATGAGAAAAACACAGGTAAATGATTTAGCACAGTACTTGGAGCAGAAGTACTTGGTACATGGTAGTTGTTGGTAGCATTACTACTATTAAAATCCACTCTAGAATGGGTGTTCCCTAAACAGTTCTTTCAACTTTTCTGCACATTTCAAAATGTTCATAATAAAATGGGAATCACATTTAAAAAACATAGGGCTTCAAGAAGAAATAAAGAAGAGAAGGTGAGCATCTATCTTCACAATTACTCCTGGTATCACTGAGACCCAGCCAAGTTTTAAAAACAATTCATCAATAGTGGTGAAGCCCAGGTCTCCTGACTCCAAATATAAGTCTAACCAATATTATATGCATATAAATAACTTCAGTACACGTGTACAGTTCAGACGATGCACCTACTACTCAGCCCTCTGTAATATCCAGTGAGGCAAAACCCAAGTCACTCAAGAGTGGGAAGGATTAGCGTGCTATGGTTGGCCAACCAGGTCACACCACTTTTGAACACTGGGTGTAAACTTGATGGTCACTAACATTCCTGACCATGTGCTTTTACCAGGATCTATGTCACTAACTCTCTAGGTGGCCTCATCCCACTTGTGATTCAGCAAAATGCTTTCACTCTTTGTGTATTTATCTGTTAATAAATAAATCCATGTTTTAAAAGTTTTGAATTGTCTGTAGAAAATAAATCTAGACTCTTTCATCAGAGACTTCTAGCAGATTTCAGCAGCATTTGCTGGAGCAAGGTGACTCCAGCATTTCTCTAGAGGACACAGCTGCAGGCTCTTTGGAGCTACTCCTGGGTTGGGGTGAGTGGGGACTGAGGACTTCCTGGGGAAAGACTGAGGGAAATTATAGGGGACTTTGGCCATCCACTGGAAAACTGGAGGAACTGGGATCTAGTTACTCATGCTATAGAAGTAATAATGTTATTAATAGAACATGTGCTACACTACTGACTATCCGTTAGACAGTGCTTTAAGCACTTTTAATGTATTCACTCATTTAATATGAAATGAAAGGCAATGTGCCAACATCGGAGCTCAATTTGGTACAGTGGAAAAACATACTGAGCAGAAATTCCAACGTGGGCAGGGCTGGGGAAGGAGTAGGGCAGGAGTGAGAAAAATGAAACTGGACTCCAGTTCTGCCACCAAACGGATGTGTAACTCTAAGCAAGTCATTTCTCCTTTTTTTGGTAAAATTTCATACTTGGCAAATAGGAAAAACTTCACTTGGAAAAAACAGCACTGAATTGGAACTGGGGGTAGATGCTGTAACCCTGATTACTAGTGGAGATGGAACTTATGGGTAGAATTCATGCCCCTTGGGGCATTCTCCATTGCCTCCCTCACTTTCTCCTTCCCTCCCTCCCTCTCTCTTTTTAAAATAGAAATCAGATTTGCATTCAAGTCTTTTAAAAAAGGAGGAATTTGCTCACTAATCTATCTATTCCTGGTATAAAATGGAAGTAGAAATTCATTGAAATGCATGTAATCTAGGGGTTTACAGAAACAGTATCATTCCAGAAAAATGAATTCAATTTGTTTTAATTTCCTCAAAGTTTAACCACATTAAATGCTAGCATATATACATGTCAACAGGAAAATTATTAGGTTTTTTTTTTATCTTAACGGATGTTTGAATGATTGATAAACCATGACCTCCATCAAGACAAAACAAAGACAATTCAACAAAGTGTCTTACAGCTCGATTGTTCTTGCTGTTTACAAAGTTTTTTCACGGTAAAGTATAATTACCCTTGACCCGATTTTATAGGCATTACATATCCCAGTTCCGGATAAAAGGATAAAAGACTTTTATCCTTCTTTTCAATATTATTTTTATAGTAATCACAAGATACTTTAATAAGTAAGGTCAAAAGATAAATAATGAAAATGTAGATTTCAATATGCTATAATTCCAGTTGTAAAAAAATGAAGTGCAATAACTTAGGGTTTGTTCTTTAGCAATTATAAACATAAATAGAATTTCCTTCAGCTTTTACACAGATTCTAAGTCTGCTGTAACAGTCCTGCTGTCAGAAATGCAAACAGCTGAAAGAACAAACACCAACTTTACCTACTATTCTATAAATAAGGTTAAACTATACTGCTGGCAGGGGAAACGCAGCCCATAAATTTGGTACCACCATTTGCTTGGTACATTTATATGATTGACCTGTATAAATGTATGCTGTTTTCACTGTTGACACTTTTATAAATATAAAGAACTGCTGAATAAATCCGGCTATATATCTCTTTGTATCAAAATGGAACACTCGACTGTTGTGAAATCTGGCGGTTAATAAAAATAGCCTGCTTTTTTATTAGCTTCATCCAACTACGGGAACAGAATAGTTTAACAGTAACTAAGTATGCTTCAAAAGGTAACTCTCTAAAAGTAAAACTGTAAATACTAGAAAATGTATCATACTAGAAAAGGTATAAAGGGAAACATTTTGTTCATTATCCCCCCACCAAAAAAAAAAACTTGCCCTGTTTTTTAAGGAAATACTTTTCAAATTATGCATATAAAGTAATATCGATCAGGTAATATATATAATGTTCTGCATGGTAACTGCTAATGCCCTGTGGGGGTGTAAAGAGAAAGCCATTCTTCTTTGCATCTTCCTGAGCCTTGTAACCATGGAATAGTCACAATGTGCATGGCAGAACTCTCAGAAGACTTAAGGTAATGATTGGAGTAACAGTAAAATAAATTACATTTACCCTTTCCGCAAGGTTACATAACCACCTTATGAAAACAAAACAAACGAAACCAAAAATGACCCAAAGTAAAAAGAATCTGGAGAAGCATCTATGAGGATAAAGAAACCCGGAGAGTTGAGGGCTGATGGCTGATCAGAGAATGAGGTCCGCTGACTCTAATGTCAGGCAAGCCCAGGGGAAAGGGTGAGTCACAAGTCGGGATGGCCAAGGAGGGCCCAGACAGACAAAAGTTTTGTTGGCTCGAATGGAGGTACTCTGGGGCCACGACTACATTCACCCCATGAACTTACCTTCTCTGTTCTCCTCCAACCTGAGATAAACCAGTCCTTTCTTGAAATTGACTGGGTGCTGTGGCATTATACTTAAGGTTTCTTTTTAGTTCCAGGAATCTGGGAACATTTGCTATGATGCCACCCCCTTACCTTTTCTAACGCCTACCCTTCTTCCTACTGCATCATCAGGCTCAATGAAAATAAATCTTTAACTGTAGCAAAATACACTTAAATTCTTCCACAGGAAGGCAAAGGCTCATGAACATCTTGCCAAAACACAACTGAAAGGAGAGGCCAAGTTTGTTTGTTGAAATCACTGTCTGGTTTCTTTTACTATATGTCTGATTTCTTGCAGACTCAAGCAGGTAGGTCACTGATTTCTGGAACCACAATTTACTATGTGAACAGCCCTGGGTTTCCTTCCTTTGCCCTCAGAACTGTTATTTGGGACTCAGGATGAGCACCCTGATTTAGCCATTTATGGCTCAATGAAACTTTATGTCCCTCCCTCAGAGTCTAAGAATTGGCTTGGCCAAGCCAGCCTGAAAGTGCAGAATGGTCTGCCGGCTTATTGATGATCTAGAGTGTTCATACACTAAGGAAAGTTTCCTCATCAGTTTGATTTTAAAAAGATTCCCTTTCCCACTTAAGAACATCTAGTCCAGTAACAACAAAGAGCATGGGCTCTGCAGACTGCTGCTGGGCTGTGAATACCAGCTCCCTATGTAAGGTTCTGTGCCTCGGTGCCTCATTTACAAGGCCAGAGGTTCTAACAGCATCTCATAAACTCTGCAAGGCAGGAGCAAAGAATCCCTGGAAAACATTGAGGAGGGTGCCAGGAACAGAGGAGGCACTCAATAAGTATTAGCCTTTACTATTAACCCATTAAAAATGCTGCAAGAATTCCTATTCTCAACCCCTTGGGTAGGAATAATAATACAAAACTATGCAATGGTCCAATGTTGATTTATTCAAACACAAATGTGCTTATAAAATCACATTCTAGATGATGAAATGCACACCACAATGTTCAAACCTTAGACCTTGTTCTGGTTGTCCTTGGCGCAGTATACATGACACAAGCAAGCATCTGACAGGTGTGACCACACTTTGAGACTCTTCAGAGTTCTATGGGCCTTTGGAAGGGTGGGCAGTTTCCTTCTTCAGTGGGTCACTCACTCACTCCCCAATCTTCTACTTACTACCGCCTATAGAATCATAGACCCTGTCCAATATACCACTATCCTGAGAGATTTCAAGCCAAAAAATACCCTTCCAGGCCACTTCCATGCCACTATCCTGAGAGATTTCAAGCAAACCCCTGTCCAACATACCACTGTCCTGAGAGATTTCAAGCAAAAAAATAGCAGTGGCTCATGCCTGTAATCCCAGCACTCTGGGAGGCTAAGGCAGGCAGATCGCTTGAGGCCAGGAGTTCAAAACCAGCCTAGCCAACATGGTGAAACCCCATCTCTTACTAAAAAAAAAAAAAAAAAAAAAAAAATCCATAAAAATTAGCCAAGCGTGGTGGTACGTGCCTGCAGTCCCAACTACCTGGGAGGCTGAGGCATGAGAAACACTTGAACACAGGAGGTGGAGGCTGCAGTGAGCCATGATTATGCCACCACACTCCAGCCTGCGCTACAGAGAGAGACTCTGTCTCAAAATAATAATAATAAATAAATTTAAAAATAAATGTTTGCTTTAACAAAACTTTTGTATTATGTGTTCCTACCATAACTTTGGAAAACTAATAGTATCTATTCTACTTACAGCAAGTGCAGACACAAACTACCAATAAAGCCTATTTTGTTTCCCAAAGTGTTAGAATAATATCTAAGTGTGATAGTTTTTCTCACACTTTGATGCTATTCTCACATTTGTAATGTTAGAAACTTGTATTTCCACATCAAAAAAAAAAAAAAAAAAAACCACAACTATCACCAAATCCTAAAACCATGCGGCTACAAGATTCCAGTACATCCTTATCCCCCTGCAGAGCTGCTTTTGCCGGGTACCAGGGAAGCAGAGAGCAGGACTGCTAGAAGCAGGGGTGGTGAACTAAGAGGTAGGTAGATATGATAAGCTAGCCCATTGGAAAATCTAACAGACACCGAGCATCACTGACAGCCAAACCACACATGGTCTCACATTAAACAAGAGAGAGCCAAATAAGTGCCTAACATCTTGACCCAACTAGCCAACTTGCTGCCACCTTTGAAACACTAGTAAAACTAACCCATAGCTGTATATAGGCTAAGATGAAGAAAATGAAAATGGAAAGCTGTGAGGGGAAATAAAAGCTTCCAGCTCATCAAACGTTCAAGATAATAGGTTACCAAGATGTCCAGGTGGTATTTGTTTGAACATCTTTGTTTATCACTTGTCTTCCTTTTTAGGTATCGACCCTGGTTTAAATTTAGTGTGCCGCTTCCAGATTTATTTTCCACTCTTCTTGAAAGGGGGTGGAAGAGTTCCTGGCCATAGAAGCACAGAAGCTGGCCTTCCCTCCCCCACCCAAATATTACCACCCACCCTCCCATCTGAAAGATTTGTCCACAAGACCATGTGAGAATTTCTTCTTATACTACCTAAATTATCCTCCTATATACCATTTCCCCCCATTTTGTTTCTTAAACAGTTATGTGATGCTGACAGGCACTGTTATCCAGTTGTTACGTGTGATGCTAGAGTTGGGTCCATTTTAGTGGTGCTGAAGTTCATAGTTAAACAAATTTGTAGCCAGTATCAAATGTTTGGAGTCTCATCTACAGTTATTATCAACAACTCAAGCAAAATCATTTAAGTCCTTTTTTTCTTTTAAAGGGTAGTTACTATTTTTTTCATTAAAGAAAGAAATGCAATAGACTACAATGAGACAAAACACATGAGCACATGTTACCACAAGACAGAACTGGGGAAGAAAAGGGATTTTATTTCTCGTAAAGAAACAAGAAGTGGAGACGCAGTCGAAAGAGCTGTCCTTCAGAACGAAGGGTTTCAATCAGTATAATTCAGAGTTACTGGGACTCATGAACCAACTCAAGGCTTGAAGTGAGGATGCTAATCATAATGATGGCAATTATAACACATTCCACGGCAAAGCATTTGAAACTTTGTTCACAGTGCCTTCCTCTACAGGACACCATCTCTTCCTAACATTTATGGTCTTAAAATAAGGCTCATGAATATCACCTTTATTTTGAGTCCAAAGTCAAGATGGCCTCAGCTTTACATAAGATATTTCCTGGAATTTGCTCTTTTGGCATCCACTCATTCCAAGAAGAGAAGGTCCAGCATCCAATGACTGGAGACCAAAGCTGATAAGAGTCCCCTCTAAAAAATAAATAAAAAAGAAAGAAAGAAAGAAAGAAAGAAAGAAAGAAAGAAAGAAAGAAAGAAAGAAAGAAAGAAAGAAAGAAAGAAAGAAAGAAAAAAGCAAGGGTGTCCAGGGTGGCAGAGTTCTCTCTCCAGACCAAAATAAACATGACCAACATGTAAATGAAAAATAAGATCCTAACCAAATCTAGCTCTGTTTATTCTAAAGTTATCCTTTGAAGACTACAAACTCCAACATGTTTTATTTCTCTCCAGGCTCTTCATCATTCACTCCCTCTGTAGCTCATACAATACAGACAATATCAGCAACAGCAGTTATAGCTCTAACTTTCATTTTCTCTCTGGCGCCCAAAGTGGCCCAAACCTGGAGACTGTGGCTCAACTGCCTTTTGTGTTTTTGAACATTAACTTTCTTAAAGGAACAGACCTTAAGTTCTTCCTACAAAATTAGTATAATGCACACACTTATCCCCATTTGTAAAATGCCCTCTTTCCTGGCAGCACGTGCCCATGGCCTCACTGAACCTGCAGTTAAAAGTGGCATCAGCTTGCAGCAGCAGTCACAGAGCTGTGCCACTGTGCTGGGCCGTTCCTAACACAGATGTTCTCCAGAGCCACAAACACACCTCCTCTTGGGCTCAGAACACAGCTAAAGTGCATTTAGCATTTTGAAATTTAAAACATGTGCTTAGATGAGTGCCACTCTTGCTGAACAATCAATTTGCATTACATTAAATTAACAGTAATGGAGGGCTATAAAATTACACATTTTATGCATTAAATTTAATGATGAAATAATAGGTAATAACAGGTTACCAATTCTGACATAACTATCACACAATCAGTAAATTCACTCAACAATAATGAATAACTTCAAACATCCCATTTCCTGGGTAACAATCTTGAAAGAGAAACATATAAATTGGAAAGTTATTGTCCACCAGGAAAACATACTTACCCTGGAAAGAGACATACAGGGGGCCATTAACCTATAGCATATGGTTACCAGAGACTTTTCCATGCTTTCTTTATATTGAGTCATTTGGGAAGAATAAATACAAAATCACCTCTATTTTGACATGCTGTTTCCATATCATTCATTTTTATGGTAAAAAACACTAACTCACATGCTTGGAATAGGATGAGAACAAAGGTGGTAGTTCTTGGTAATCCAAGAAAGTGAGAAACATATGTATTTGGTTCTTAAGATTCATTTGGGTTTTTAAATTAAACAACATGATTTATTTTTACTTGTTTTTTTCTCTAATTATCTATGAGCATGAGACACTTTTCAAAAAAGAAGTACTTAAAAAAAGTGACTCACATAGACGTGGGATGGAGCTAGATGGTTTCGTGTATGCTGAATGATGTATGAACAAAAATATTCGGAGAGCAGACTTCATACAATATAAAAACCTAAGTGCTTCATGTTGGCCGTCATTACTCCCCCAGGGTTACGAAGACCACTCTGAAAATGCTCCAGTTGCAATGTTTGCCTGTTTTGAGCACCGATTTTTGGATGCCCTTTGACAAAAATGTGTGAGTCTTTATATGGCAAGAAATCCAAGTCCCTCCATGCCTCCAGATCAAACTGCTACCCCTCAGCAAAAAGCTTGTACCCCATAGATAGAGAAGCTCCTAGAGATACAGGGAGGGCCTTTTCCTGCACAGTCTAGGCTGCATTCTGTGGAACGTCTGTGCCCCTCGGGACATCAAGAGGTGCTCTGAGGGGGAAAAAAAGCCATTCTAAGCAAAAACAAATGTTCTGCAAATGCTGGCCTAAACAGAGATAAATGCCATGACAGGGACACTGCATAAAATAAAATAAAAAAATAAATTAAATTTAAAAAAAACACAGGCCGGGCGCAGTGGCTCAAGCCTGTAATCCCAGCACTTTGGGAGGCCGAGGCGGGTGGACCACGAGGTCAGGAGATCGAGACCATCCTGGCTAACAGGGTGAAACCCCGTCTCTACTAGAAATACAAAAATTAGCCAGGCGTGGTGGCGGGCGCCTGTAGTCCCAGGTACTCGGGAGGCTGAGGCAGGAGAACGGCACGAACCCAGGAGGCGGAGCTTGCAGTGAGCCAAGATCGCGCCACTGCACTCCAGCCTGGGCGACAGAGCGAGACTCCGTCTAAAAAAAAAAAAAAAGTTAAAAACGTTTCTTTTTAAACTGCAAAACTCTCTATCTTTAATGCTAATATGCACTGAGAAGCAACAAAGGGGTGATAGGGCAGGCAGTGCTCCCCAAACTAAACTGACCACAGAAATATTTTCCACAGAACAACTACAGCTACCTCACCAATCACCATCGTTCCACGGAGCACAGTCTGGGAAACACTTGTCTAAATAGATTAGAAGAATCAGGACATTTTGCCCCAAAAGACCCAAAGTCTTGCTTACTTTCTTAGAAAACAAAAACAAACCAACAAAGTAATGAAAGAATAAAAAGTAATTCACAAAAAGACTGGGACATAAAAAAGGAGGGCGAGTCTTAATACATCAACTTTTGGATTTGCAGGTGAGAAAATGTGACCAAGTTAAACCAGAGGCCACCTAAACTGGCAGTCCAACAGTACTTCTGTGGCTTTAAGGGACTTCGTTCTCACTGTGGGGAGCAGAGCACTTCAGAGAAGCTGATGTGCTCGATTCCGCAGGGAGAGCTTCAGCGGAACCCCTTGCTCACCAACCTCTTAATGAAATCGAGAGAGTCGACTACTCCTGCCTCCGTGGCTGGCACCAGGGCAGGAGAGACAGAGTGAGTTTAAGATCTGATAGGAGAAAAGAACCCAAAAATAAATCACAAGAAAAAATAAAAAGATGTCCACCCCTAAAAGCTTGTAGCTTCATTTTCTGAAAATTCTAGCCCCTTGCCCTGGGTTTTCTTTAAAAATATAGTTAAATGAATTGGATTGAAAGGAATTGTTACCTGATTGGAAGTTCCTCTCACACCAGAAAAGTTCTGTGAGATGCTGGAGGACACCATTTGGCACTTCCCAGACTTCATTTGCACATTCTCAGTTGTACTGCTATAAATGTAACCACTGGTGTGCATATACATTCACAGTACACTGAATGTACAATGTTGAACTTATTTTTCGAGAGAGAAAAATTTCTCTTCAACATGTCAATGGTCTCATTTTACCAGTGTCTGCTCACTTCCAAAAATGCAAAGACAGAGGAAGAAAAGTTCGTTCTGTCTTCACTCGCCTTATGTATACGCAGAAGGCCCAACACGGTACCTAAAATTTTCAGCAATACCATGATTCCATTAAGAGCTCTGGATACAGGTGCTTTTAAAGTAGGTTAAGGAATTATGTTGCCTGGTAGGGATACTTAACATACCAGCACCTGTAGGTGTGCTTGATTAATAACCCCCGCCAAAATTCTACTCATCCTTAAAGACTCAGTTTAAATGCCATCTCCTTCAACATATATTCTGTGATGTTGCCACCCGGATGTGACTTCTTCCTCACTTTTTAATTGTTATCTGCTTGAACTCCAAAACAATGCCCCGATCCAGAGCAATGGAACCAGGGAAGATACGTTCCAATGGCAGACAGAAGTGACGAGGAATGATCTGATCCCTATGGGAGCCACTGGTGAACTAGAGATCTACAAGGGGACCCCAAAACTTTAGCAAGGAATAGCAATGTGGAGATATGGATGGGAGAAAAAAAAACCTCATAGCAGAGGCGCAGAGCTGACCTTACAGCAGTTTTATCAGGGGTCAGCCCTTTGCCTAGGGTTTAACGCTGGTACTCTGGGCAGTGGCGGGGGGTCAGGGGGAAAAGAAGAAACTATTGTACCTTCATATTTGGAGAATATTTTTAGTCTTGTGTTGACGTGTGAGCTGCCAGCACAAAATACACCAAACACCTTCCTAACTCCCTCAAACCAAATAAATAAATGAAAAGAGAGGCTGTTGAAAACCTTGACAAGCAGCTTGTCAAGAAAAGCTGTTTTTTCACACAAGAAACCTCCTTTCAGAACCCTAAATCCTACCAACTTCCATTCTATTTGCAGTACCCTTATCTGTTAGTATCACAACGGAAAAGTGTAAATTGGACCCAAAAAAATCCTCTTTATTTTTAAAGCCAAAAACTGATCAAGGAGTTCTGTCTACATTTCAAAACACTGTATGCATATTTCAGAGATATATTTATAGACCATACAAAGAGGTGCAATATTGACTTCTGGGGTTAATGCAATATCCCATAGATTTATCTTATACATTAGGTTCTTCAACCTATGTTACTGAGAATAAATTTTTCATGATCAGTTAAGCTTGTAATCGATGTAGAATTTGGAATGAAGTATTTATCAGAACAATTTGTGACTGGAATGATTTAAAGCCAATACACATGTTATGTAATCTTCTGCCCTGTTATAAAATCCAACACAATTGCTTAGGACTAGCGAGAGACACCCAGAGAGCAAAAGAAAATCTAGAAAAGTGGCAAAATGATCCATTTTAATCCCACTGACCAGCATGAGAAAGGAAAAAAGAAACCAGAATAATGCATTTTTAAAAAAATTTTAGAAATCTATTGGAGAAGAAACCTCAGAAAGACTTTAGAAAAGGCGTCAACAGCTTCAGAGATACAAGACTGCTGAGGCTCAAACAGTACTACGGCTTGATTTCATAAGGACAAGATTGACCCTACCCAGAACAGCCAGAATGAGAAATGGGGAGTGTGGCTTTATCAGGCACACAGCAAGGTCCCGCAAGCCTGCCTGGCAGGCCCCTACCTACTGCTTTGGGTTTAAATATCCTCAAATCGCCCTGCAAAATACAAACAGGTCGACTGCAGGAGGCACAGAGACAAACTTTCACGTGAGCTTGGATTGGACTAACACCTCATTAGCAAAGAGCTGCCTCACTCAGGGTAGGTTCAGGAGGGGGAAAGAGAGCCTGATGCCTGAGCAGGTGAGTGCTTCCAGGTGGCTCCTGGGCTAAGTGGAAAAGGGGAGGGACAGGAGGGTAAATATGGGGAAAGCCTCTGAACAAAGTACAAAGAAGGGAACAGAAGGAACTAAGACAGCAGTTACCCTTTCACATTTTGTCAGAGGATCACTCTGTGAATATAACAGTAACAATCTTAATTTCAAACTACATGCAATATAGACCATTTATAAAGTTTTTTTTTTTATTGTTGTTACCCTGAATATCTCTAGGATTTTTCTGTGGATTCCCAGAGTGTTTCAGCTGAATTCTCTAGCTCCCCACCTCCTCTGAGCACTTGCTGGCATATTTCCAAGCTCCTCTGGCATCTCTCAATTCCTCAGGAAGATACCTATTAGCCCCTTCATCTTCCTTTTCCATTTTGAATAAGACAGTCCAATCTTGACAATTATTAACTATAACTCATCAAATATGTTCCTCTAAAAAGACATATTTAGGGAAGCACTGACAAAGACACTAACAGACAAGCTGCTTCATGCTGGTTCCCATTAAAATATTTAAATATGTTTTCAGGAAAGAAAACTTTTAAGTTATTTTTCCAAAACAGCTATAACACTGATTTCAAACCTGACAAAAATAACCAGAAAGAAAAGTCAGATCACTCTAATTTATAAATAATAATGTAAAAATATGAACTCAAACATGAGCAGACAGAATCCACCAGTGCAATAATAGAATAAGATACCACCACCAAATAGAGCTTATTAAAGGGATACCAGGATCATTCAAGAACAGAACTTTTACCTCTGTCATTCATAATATCAATACATTATAGCAGAAAGATCCTATAATCATCTTCACGGGTGCTAAAAAAGCATTCGACAAAATCAAAATCCATTCTGATTTAATAGGCCCTTAATAAAATAGAAATCCATGAATATTTTTTGATATGGGAAAGAGAGATATAGATACACATGCATCAGCTCAAAAGCCTAAATCATACTAAATGATACCCTAAGAGGCATTCCTATTAAGACAAGAATGGTCATTGCCAATACCCTATAATTTTACACTTTCTAATTAGTACTAGTGCAATGAGGAGAAAGTCATGAATAATAAAAATTAGAAAGAGACAAAATTATTATTTTTGCAGATTATACATATATGTACCTAGAACGCCAAAGAGGATCAACTGAAAATGGATGGATACATTAGGAGAGAAGGCAGATGCTTATAAAGCTAGTACACATAAATAGCTTATATAAACAAAAGCCAATTAAATATACAGAAGAAAGGTATCATTTTTAAGAGCAAAATGGGCATATATTTAAAAAAATAAATTTAGAAAAGTATAGAATTCACAAGAAAAAAATTTTAAATCCTACAGAGAGATGTAAAAGCTGGCAAAATAATGGAAAGACAGACTTTGTACTTAGATGGAAAGACTCATTGTAAAGATGTATTCTCCCCTAAATTTAATGTGAATCCAATAAAAATGTCAATAAGAGTATTTTGAAACTTGGAATGTTAATTCTAAATTGCACCTGAGAAATTAACCTGTGAGCATTGCCAGTAAAATTCTGAAATATAAGGTTATTAACTCTATTGGCTATTAAGACATACAGTAAAGCTAAGGAATTAGAACAGTTTGTTATTAGCAAACCAACAATCTTCTGAGGGAAAAAATAGTTCAGAAATAAACATAATGCACATAGAAACATTTGTTATATAATAAAGTTGACATTTCAGATGTGGGAAAATGGTGGATTGTCTAATAAATATGTTGGTACAACTGGCCAGTTAGTAGGGAGAAAATAATGCTGGTTCCACTCTCACTTCTTACATAAAAATAAATCTCAGGTGGCTCAAATATTTAAATGTAAAAAATAAAGATCTTAGCGGAAACAAAGGAACATTAGAAAAACAATAATCTTAGCATAAGGGAGGCTCTATTAGGCAAGGAACAAAAACCAAATGCTATCAATCAAAAGAGAAAGAAAAAAATGATAAATTTACATTGCATTCGAAATTTCTGAAAGGCAAAGAAAACCACAACAAAGTGAAAAGCAAATGACAAAGAGGCAAAAGTATCTGCAACTAATATGTTAGATAAAAGGCTAATTTCTCCTAAACAGAATCCCTTCAAGTCTCTAAGGAAAGAACAAGAACCTTGTGTAAAAATGGGTAGGGTTATTGTCCTCTACTGGGCTCCCTGGGAAGCAGATTTAGGAGGTGGAGAGTCATGTGCAGGTTTATTGGGGAGTATTCTCAGGATCAACACCCACAGAGGAAGGAAAGGAGCCAGGACTGTTCAGAGACGTTAGGCAGTGATGAAATCACAACAGAGACCTCAGCTGATTCCACGGGCAGCTCGAGCTGCGATGGCCATTCAGAGTTGTCCCAAACTGGTAAAAAAGGAGCTGAGCCTTTTAGTTTTTGGATGTAGGGTATTCCGAGGAAAGGGGCGTGACTTGGCCAGGGGAGTGTGTTCAGCGAAGGCTGAGTTCCTTCTGCTACCCACATGCACAGCAACTGAGGACTGAGAACTTGGGTCCTACAGAGGGATCTGGGAAGCTCAGCACAGCTGCCATGACTGTTAGTAGGAGGCAGTCCATAGAAACAGAAAAGCAAATAATGGCTAGTCCATATACAAAAAGATGCTCACTCCATTCATAACAAAATGTAAATCAAAACAAGTATCATCTCTCTTATCAGATAAGCAAAGATAACATGGTTGGCAACAGAGTTGTTAATACTGATATTCTTAATGCTGTTGAGTGGAATATGAAACTCTAGGATCTCTTGGAGGAAAATTTGGCAGATCTTTCTAAATTTGAAATACACCCTTTGACCCAGCACCACATTTCTAGGAATTGTTTCTATAGACAGAGTCACATGTATATCCAAAGTATGCACTAAAGTTATTAACATTGGCTACTTTGGGGGAGTATGTCTGGAAGTGAAAGAAGGATAGGAAACTATAAGTTTCGCTGTATATCCTTTTACAGTATATTGAATTTTTTATTCTGTATGTGTTATTTTTAAAAATATTAATGGTCAAAAAGGAAATCTGAACAGGAATTTGAGATACCTATCTATAAAGATATCTTGATGGTATACGCCTCTATCTAAAAGAAGCCTTTTTTTGTTTCCATACTACTATATCTAAAATATCTTCTAGATTATCTTACACTCAATGTCATAAACTTACTTCTCTATACAGGATATCTGTACAAAGATTTTAAAAATCTAGATGTATTTATCTTATGCATAGCAAACTACACCAATTCAACTCAAATCCTGGCAGTTGTTAACACTTTTGGAAAGGGAACTGAGCTACTGATATACTACTGTGTGCCTACTATACTAATAGGCACTTTAATACATTATCTAATGTAATCCCAACAATCCTGCAAGTTACGTCTTATCATTCCCAATTTACAGATATGGACACAGAATGCACACAGGTTAAGTATCCAGTGCTCTGTCATACAACTGAATGTGGGGGAGTCCAGGCTACATCTAGATGTGTACTTCCTTCGATAACATGCTCCTACCTCCCAGGGTATTTTCCTTTTGGCTTCCAAAACATTTTGTAAGCAACCACTGGTAACCTCAAATAAGTGGTATGATTTCCATTATAAAGAAGAAAAGACTGAGAAAGAGTAACAGAGAAATGTCTTTCTCTAGCTCAGAAAGCTACAATTTCACATAGTCCTAAAATGCCTGTCTTCATCTTTCTGTTATCTCCTTTTGAATACACTTCAATCCACTCATAACCCTTTTCCTAAAAGAGAATTCAAAAGACTGAGGTGGAATCTCTGCCTCAGTCTTCCTCTTTGAATTGCCATCAGAAAAACGATCAGGGGAAATATGTTCAGCCAAGAGAAGGGGGCAGTATCCCAGCACCATCATTTTCCTTTTAAACACTAAACTCCAGGCTATATACTGGAAACCTATCTTAGGGCCCATTATATGAATCCCACAGAAAGAGACCCACAAAATTTGGAGACAAAAAAGCAATAGGGAGACAAAGTGAAGGATGCTTCTCTCAAACATCAGGACAATTTACTTAACTAATGAGTTATGAGATAGCAGGTAGCTTGAGTTTCCCAATATCCAACGGAATTGTTTCCCAAATGAAAACAACCAATGCCACCAAAAATTAGACTTGAGCCAATGGCAGAAATCCTTTTTACAATATTTTAATCGTAAGTAATCAGAATGCATGATGGGTTGGTTTAAAAATATGTCGAGGATTTTTCCCCTAGATAGTGTTGCTGTTATCCAAAGGAAAGATGCTATTGCTTCTGCTCCACTGACACTGTTTATCACTTCGCCCAGACCCTTCAATAGAAATTGCTGTTTCTCACTGCCGACCATCTGTTGTCATCTACATGAAAAATCTACATAAATCCCTACTAGTTGCTGTATTTCAGAAGTGCCCCCCACCAAAGAAAATCACAGATTAATTGTTGCTGCTTTAAAACTCTAAGAAAGGGAAATGAATCTAAATATACCTTCCTCCCCCCAACACACATACACATACACACACACACACACACACACACGCACACACAGCAACTTTCATCTATAATTTAGAAAATGGATGCAGTTCAGCAACAGTTAAAGACTAATTTCTTATGCTTTTTGTGCATTTACATAATTGATTCACTAGATAATGCACTCTGCTTCCTTATTTAATAAACATGTTAATGATTTCAGACAATTACTCAAAGCTGCCTACAAGTGTCTGCCTAAGAAAAGCAACAAAAAATAATTAAAATGAAAATACACACCAAAAGGCACATCCTTCATATCACATTACACAAGATATTAAGTCAATATGTCACCCTGTCACCAGTCACTTGCTACCTGCTGTTATACATTTATTCAAATTCTAATGTATTAGCTGAGGCTGATACATTGGTTAGACACCCAAGCGGGCAGACACACAGAGCTAGAAAATAAACCTGGTGCTTTGTCAGGGTAGAGGCAGTAAAATAGCAGCAGCAAAGGAGGGGAGACAATAAAACACGGGACAGAAACAGAAGGTTGAAGCAGACGCTTTCACAAGAAAACCCTCTTCAGGCTATTCATGGTGGGGGGCAGTCACGGGGGAACTAAATGGATTCCATTTCCTCTGCCACCTCTGAGTGCTTGGAGAGCACCAAGCGGGCCAGACATCACAATAGGTTAGATTTTGGCAGATGCCTCATGCATTCTGGCCATTTTCGGGCTTATTTTATTCCCCAGAACCTTTGCATGCGTCAACCACTAGTCATGCCTTGAACCACACAGCACCGTGGTCGTTTCCACCACCCAAGAGAACCGTAAAGGTGGAAAGGGGCATTAAAGGAGCTCAGATGCCAGACAGCCACGACTTTGGCCCTCTGTGGTGCCTGGCCAGTCCCACTAGGCTTGGCTCTTCCAGTTCCTGCTGGAAGCCATGTTGCCTGGGCACCGTGAGGCTCACCCTCCCTCCCCAGCCCTCCAGGAAGAGAGAGGTGGGTAACCCAACAGGTGCAATAGGACTCTGAAGAAGGAATATGAGAGCTTCCAGCCCTTGCTAGAAGCTAGCTGATTCTGGCTGGGGAAGTCCTGGTTCCAAACCTCATAGAAGATAGGTTGGAAGCAGGAAAAAAAGATGAAATTATTTGAGGAGAAAGTTAGCTGTCCATCAGTAACTTCTTCCGCTAGAAAAGGAGTGTAGGAAGAAGAGTAAGTAAACAAGAGGCTTGCTTGACCAGGTGACACTCTTCACATTTCTAAGCCCAAGTGTCCTAGCTGGAGTTAACCCATGACTTCAGTCCTAAAAGAAAGGTTGATGGTCAGTAGGCACGTGCGCACACGCGTGTGTGTGTGTGTGTGTGTGTGTGTGTGAAATCTTTAGGTTTTTTTACCTGCCTCCTTCACTGTATAAGCCCAACCTGTTCACTGTGTATCATGCAGAGGAAACAGGCAGAAACTTGGCAGGGCAGGAACAAGGATAGTTCATCCAGAATTACCTTAAGAAATAGGCATTTTATCAGGAAGGTTATGGAGAGCCACTAGGGGACTTGAAACAAAGGGTGACAGAAACTGTTTTGCTTCCAGAAGGATCATTCTGGCAGTAAGGTGGAAAATGGCATGAAGGGAACAAAGAGACCAATGAGGAGGCTGTCACATCAATCCATCGATGCCGAAGGCGTGAGCCAAGGGACTGGCAGTGGAATCTGAGTGACATCAGCGGCAACATGGGGCTAAAAGAGGAGCCACTGAAGTTTTGAGGATCAGGCCACAGCAGTGATGTGGAAGGAGATGCTGGTCTCAGAGTGGAAGGGAAACAGGAAGTGGGCAGGAGGTAGGTGGGTATCAGGGTGGAAGAGGAGGTATGGTCCTTAACACAGCTTTGTTTCAGTTGGATGCTGGCATTCAGGTGCCTAAGGTACATCCAAATGAAGTATTCAGAAGATGGTGCCGGAATTCTGCCTGTAGTTTCACTCTCCCACATATTAAATGGTCCACTAGACTACAAAGGCAGCAAAAGGGATCTTTTACCCGGGTTATGGCATCACCCCGCTCACCATCAGAAAGACTCTCTCTAGTCTCTGGAAACAACAAGGCATGAAACAGTAGATCCACTCCTATCAAGTAGCAATAAAATACCTAATCAATAAATTAATTTAAACCACCCCTCCCTTGAAAAATAAAGAACAACATAAATAGAATGGGAAGGAATTGCTTAATGACATTAATTGCACTCCTGCAATTTCATGGCCAATTCATTCATGTTAGAAAGTGGAGCAGATAATTCTCTAACCAAATGTCCAATATTATTATGAAATTCTTATAAATCTACTCAGCAGTTAATTTAAAATTAGATTAGAATGGGATCATGAAGCCTGACTAGGCCGAGGGGAAAGGTAACCTAGGTGACCTTTTACAGAGGCAAAAATCTACCCAGGTATGAAAGTTGATTAACCAAAGGGAGTGCACACACCCTGCCTAAAAAGCGTGTGGACTGCAGAAGGGAGGGGCAGCTGCATCTACGGATAGACCCATGATGGGGGCTCCCTCTGCAGCTCTGTTGGGGCTTCACATCAGACAATGTGCTCGGTCTTCTTGATGATGCCTTCTACAAATGAACAAAAGCTACATTCCAGGATTCCAAATGCTGAGGTGTGGCTTACGTAATCAAATGTGAGCCAGGTGTTAGAGACTTCATCCATTCAGCTGACTCTGTTCCTGTGCTATCTCCTACAGAAAAGGCAGCCTCCTCGCCAGCTTCCACCAGAAATCCAACAATCCCAGACCTATTGTGATTGTTCGTGTTACTGAAGGTCTGCAGAGCCATGGCGGGGGAGTTCCCATCAGAGAGTCTCTTTCCATGTCTCTGTGCCTAGCAGCTCCATCTCTGGTCTTTCTTGTCTCTCTTCATCTACAGAGAAACCTCATCTTGAAATCTGGATACCCAAGGACTTCACTCTATCCTACAACGAACTCATCAGACAAGTTTCTCATCAAAAGAACCCCACCACCACTACTAGAAAAGAAGTTACTTCAGCGGTTAAGAAGACACTATTCTCTCTAAATCATTTCCTTCTTATTTATTTATTTATTGCCTTTCCTATCTCCCTCCAGAAAGGATCTGAAGAAACTTACAGCAAAGGAGTGATGTGCCATAATTCAGCTATGAGGAAGGGAGGGAGAAAATACCCTGACCCCATGATGATTAGAACTGTTGAGATTCCATATGAACTCCAGCCAGGAGCTCCAGGTAGCCACAACAGAACGGAAAGCACTATTCTGGAATAGCTATTTATTTCATATTGTCATAATGATAAAACATCCTGATACCCCAGAGGAGAAAACTTCAGGGCAGCTTTCAAAGCATCAACTTGGAAGGCCAAATTATTGGATAAGAAGTCCCATTTTGTCTCATTCATAGCCATGTGACTTCAGACAGTTTTCCATTTTCTTTATTATTGACTTAAGGAAAGAACAGATATCGGACTGGGAGTCAAGAATTACTGGTGTGATGATGAACTCTGAGTCCAATGGCAAACAGCTTCACCTTTCCAGTGAAACAGGAGGCAAGAACCAAACACAGAGCTTTCCATCTCCAATGTCATATGGTTTTTAAGATAAGTATCATTGGTTTTCAAAGAGTACTACACATGGTTAAACTCCTTTCTATGTGGAGAGACAGGACTAACACCCCTTATAAATTAACTCCCAAGCTTATATAGTATCTTCAACAGCCTGTGGTTCTGTGTAACAATAAGCCACACATGACAAGGGGTGTTCCACCATATTTCTTAGAAGTAGAAGAAATACACAATCAGAAAACCATACGCGAAGCATTTATTGGCCTCCTTCAGTTAATCCTCTTTGGGCTTATAAAGCTCTACATCAATTGCCATTCTTTAAAATACAGTGTACAGTTTAAAAATAAGCACTGTAGAGCCATCATTTGCACACACATGAACATTCACAAATAATATGTACATACAAACAGACAGTCTCATACATTTGGTCTATATTTAATGACCTTGTTCAGCCCTCCCTATGCTAACACTAGTATGTATAACAATCTTAATTTAAACCCATACTCAAAAGATAACATTCCTAATGAAACACAATTTCAAATTGGAGTTAAATCTGTCTCCTAGACCAAAATATACAAAAAGGCTCTTGCTTATATTTTTAAACTTCATGTGACTTATTTAAAGATTCAAGGTTTTCGCTGAAATGAGGCATAGATGACTAAACTCATTTCGGCTAAGTAGTAACTCAGGCAGAATTCTACCTGTGGATTTGGATTAATACTCCTCATCAAAACATATGGAAAGCAGTTTGACCAGGGGAAACTATACTTTTCTCTTGTTCTGTTTAAGGCAATGGTCTGAAAAAAAAATGTGCTGGGAGGAAAATTGCCATTTCTCTACTTATCAGTGGGCATTTGTAATCATTACATTGTGTCAGCTGCCCTTTGGTGCTTTCATTTTTTAAATTAATTTAAATAGAACTATGCATATCTGCAGAGCTTTTAAATTATTAGAAGGCAAAGACTTACCTTACCAAGAAAGAGAATACAGGTATTGGAACTTCATGGATTACCTGACGCAAGATAGCAAGTAAGTTGCACACATGCTGTAATTCCTACCCATCATCCAGAGCAGACATCACCAATAGATCATGAATAGCACTCTTTTACTCTATGCCCAATGTAGCCTTAGATTTCTTTTCATTGCTACCAATTGATAGTACATGAGATGAAAGCTTTTTGTATTCTGTGATGTCATCCAAGCCTGATGTTATGAGAAAGACACCAAACAAACTCCAAGTTGGGTAAGATACACAGTAGTTAGGCAATAGAGCCAGGCCTACACCCTGAACTCTAAGCTCTAAATACAGTGCTCTTCCACTAGACATTAAGCGCAATGTTGTACACTTAATATGTAATCCTAAATAGGCTGAGTGAATAGATGAAACTTTCCCCTTTGTTCTTCAGTACCTTCTCCTTTTCTTTTGGAAAGATATGTCTAGAACAAAGCTCCTAATCATTATTAAGTCATAATTTTTGGGTACCAAATGAAGCTTACTAGGCAAATAAGAAATACTGCAACTCATCCATCTGTTCAAAATACTGGAGTGTCCCATTATAAATCATCTCATGATATCAATCTAAATATCCTGCATGTTAAATCCCACAGGATAAGAACTGCACACCTCTGATTTTGCTACTATTGATCTGTGACACCTTGAACTGAATATTCCCTTCTCTGGCCACCATTGTCTTTACCTGTAAAACGAAAAGTTTCAAAGATCTGACCTCTAATATACTTTTTGAATACGAAGCTTATCAAGCATGTACTTTAAATTCAGCAGCTATTTATTAAATGTCTCCTGGAAGCAGAGCACTATGACAAATGCAAGGCAAAGCCAATGGAAAAAAAACCTAAATTCTGGATTCTGCCCTCCCTCTAGTTCCTGCATTCACTATTAGCACATGGTTTGTCTTGCCACTCGCCAGGCCCATATCACAAAGAGGGCCCACTGTGCTCTAGAGTTGTGGAAAATCGTTGTTCCCCTTTCTCCATGAAGCTGTCAGTCAGAGTAGTTTGGGAAAAATTCCAGTGCGATTTCATTCTCCGCAGCTCAATAGCTTCTCTATATGCAAACTAAAAACAAAAAACAAACAAATACAAATTCCACCAAATATCCTGGTGGAGAATCATAAACCCGGAAAGGCAGTGGCAGGAAAGCAAATGTTATAAACACATATTTTAAATGAACGTTTTTCTGAAGTCAACACCTAAAACTCACATTCTCTTAAAGCTTCCCCAACTCCTAAACTGGAGAAATAGTTGAGTTCCTGCCCAGCTATCAATGAAAAGAAGCTACTAGAAGGAAGTGGAATAAGCAAGCAGTCCCGAGGAATATGAAAAAACATGCCCATTCACTGTGAGGAAAAGAGTCATTACAGATCTAATAGATGTTTCCTTCCAAATCAAACATGTTTATGAGCAAAAGTAATATTTATAGTTAAATATCATATATTTATATTTAAATGTTACATAATCATATATATTATAAAATATTATATGTAAATATTATATTGTTAAATATAGTTCAAATCTAGAAAAAATATTCTATTGTGTTTCACTTATTCATTCAACAAATATGTACTAAATCCTTTTGTGTGCTAAGTACCATTCTAGGTGCCGGGGCATTTAGTGAACAAGAGATCTTTCTGCCCTTATAGAGCTCACATTTATATAAAAATGAAGCCTGGAAAGCAACTTTTTAGGACATCTCTCTAAGCATCCATCCATCCACAGACTCAAAGATATTTATTAGGTAACTACATCATGCCAGGCTTTAGGTTAAGCTGGGAGAAAATCAAGAACCTAAGATGCAAGCACTTGTAGATAAATAAGCAACTCCCTACAGAATAATGCAGGTCTGGACAAAGCACTGTGGACAGGCTGCTACTCCTTTAAATGTAGCTCACTGAAGAGCTACTTTCATGGAGGTACGGACAAAGCATTGTGGACAGAGGGGTGATCAATGTTCTTCACATTTTAGAGGAAGACAAGTCACAATTGAACTGGCCTTTGAAGGGTGGGTAGGTGTGTACCAGGTCAACTAAGGGGGAAAAGGTGTCCTGATTGATAATCCTATCAGAAAAAAAGTCACGAGAGTACACAGAGGGTTGGACATCCACAAGAAGCCCTGGAGCCTGCAGCACTAGGTAGGGATTGGAAGGAGAGGATTCCGGAAAGGCAGGTTGGAGCCCCAAGGAGCTGGTCTCAATGTCATGTCCAGGAGTTCGCCCTTAACCTGCAGGAATGGCAAGATGAACCCATTTTTAGTAAATATCTGGTTCAATTAAGGCTACACCATGTATACCTAAGTGGGGTGGGATGGTTTATCCCTCAATGTTTTGATTCTCCTCCAACTCCAAAACCAGTGAGGGAAATTTTACTAATTATTACTAAGAAAGGACATGGGAGTGTGAATGGCACAGGCTGGACAGAGCCCAACACATTCAGAGAGAGAGAATTTTCTTCCTTTCAACAGCTGCATCCAGTGAGCAGCTGCTAACCCACTCATAGTGCCAGAGAGACTCAGTGGGTCTGATGGCTGTTAACGGGCTTTATTACCTTGTTGAGTACCTCAAACTCCAGTTACTAATTACAGGGCATCGACTTGAATGTTTGGCTATATAATTTTTGTTAATTGATTTGCATGAGGGGATTTGGGCATGATCAGCTGTAAATGTTCTTCCGGCTCTAAAACTCCATGACTCTTCTCTATTGCTACATGCATCAATAATGACCTTGTGTATTTTGGATTGTGGGTTTCATGCACAATTGCTAAGAACCCTTCAATTGCTAAGAACCCTCAGGAGCAAAGTTGTTATGCAAGGGCACACAATGACATGGAGGCCCAGGCCGGAACAGGACGCAGCCATTATCATTCATGCTAGCTAGCATTTATTGATCTCCTATCAAGAAACAGATTTGGTAAGGCCAAGCCACTTCTAGCCATTTAGACACCTTGCCTGCAGTGGGCTCACACAGCTTATAGACACGAAGCAGGTGGTTCTGCTTGATTAGTGAATCTCAAACCCTTATATCCTGCACTTCCTAGCCAAATCCTTTCTATATTTCTCCTTCACTTTCCAATACCAGGTCTTTAACTCACCCCTTTTCTCATGCCCAGTTCACCCTTTAACCTCCCCAAATCCACATCTCATTTTGAAGGCATTCCTCCCCACCAACAACATTACTCTTTGGGGTCTTTGACTGACATTCTTTTTCTTGGCATTTCCTATTTGTGGGATGAAAAGGGGTACAAAAGTAAAGGCCAAGATAGGAAGGACCCACAGGTAGGCTGATTCAATATTTACATACCAGACTTCCCTGAGACCATCAGCGAACTGCTGGTAGACCAAGCAGTTCACACTAACTCTCAGAGCCATAAGCCTTTCTAATGCCCTGGCTTTCAAGGTGAAAAATACAATTACTAAGAACTGTGAGCCACAGCACTCCATTACCAACTGAGCTTCCGGGCAAGAGATCCTTGGAAAAATCTCTGTAGTGGAAACAAGTGATTCTCAGTCACAGACAGGTCACAGATCTACGTGACCTGTCATCCAGATGGGTCATGAGCCATTTGTTGCTAAGAGTAGTACAAATTTTAAAGTTTCAAAATAATTAAACTTTACTTCGTAAATTACAGGAGATTCAAGGTTATCATACAGTCAAGTCCCTCTCCCAGCCCTGCATTCTGGTATGTTTCATCAAGTGGGAAGGAAAATGGTGGTCTTAGAGCTAGGGTACCCATTGTGTCTTTGCCTCAGTGTGAGTGTGTGTTCCACATGGAAATGTTATTAGGGCAGTTGTGGCAAAAAATACACACTGACACCGTCGGCTGGCTCAAGAATAGAGAGTGGGCTGAGAAATGGGAAAAACAATGGTTCTGCCTCTCGCATTGTGAAAGGGAGGTCACCCGGGCAAGGAGTATTTCTTTGGGCACAGATGCAGAGATTATCACGTTCCCGGATCCAGATGTTCGAAGAAAGTTACAGTTAGACAGGACAAATACATTGTGGAGTTCTAATATACAGTATGGTGACTGTAGTGAATAACAATGTGACTGGCACTTGGTATATTTCAAGACAGCAAGAAGATTTTAAATGTTGTCACCACAAAGAAATGACAAATGTTTAAGGTGATGGACATGGTAATTATCCCAGCTTGATCATTATACAATGTATACATGCATTAAAACATCACACTGTGTCCCGTAAATATGTACATTATGTGTCACCTATTAAAAATTAATTTAAAAAGATGAATATCAGCATGTTACTTCAAAAATAATTAAAAATAAAATTCCATTAACCTTCAAATAAATACTAAATAAATAAATTTAAGGTGATTTTCTATAGCTAAAGAAAAGATAGAAGAAATACATCTTCAGGCATATAAATCTTAAATCTTGAAACTAGCCAAATCCAACTCAAGAGAAAGCACCAAAGGGGTTTATATTTTGAGAAGGAAAAAACAGTGTGAGGAAAACAGAAGGTTAATGAACAAAGCTAGAAGAGTTGCCCGGTTTTCCCTTTTTAAATACGCCCTAGCTGTTTGGGGAGTTGTGGCCGCAGCCATGGGAAGATCTTTGGAAGATTCCTTGGGCTATCAGGCAACAGAGACCGATCAATGGGAAAGATTAAGCAAAATAATACACTTGTCTATGATGCCTGACAAATTCTGTCTCATCTTCAGCTGTGAGGGGAAAAAAAATAATAGTTTCCTCCAATAACATTAATTACCCAACCACAGAAGAAACTTGACAAAGGCTGATGATGTGTTTACAAACAGCAAAGCTGGTGAATCACCAGGCCCAGATCCAAGGATTCAGATACCTCAGAACCACAGCTTTCTCCTTGCCACACTCCAGGTGGAAGGAGACCCCGCGTTTCAACCCAGCCAAGGCAGGAATGCACACACGGGCACTCTGGACTTTGTGTTCTGGAAAACGGGATTATACAGAGAAGACACCGTTGACGTCTCAGAACCCAACAGGCTGGGTGTTAATCCAGCTGTAACCATTCACTCTCCTTGCACATGACTTTTCTGGAAGATAGTCCCTGAAATTTTGCAGAAGAAAAAAAAAATCTCATGATCTGCTCAAAAGCCAAAGGACTGTTCCTACTCTTTACTGGGTGAGAAGCCAGTTCCTTGTCACTTCTCTTTCTTTTTTTTAAGAGCATAAAGCAGAGGAAAAGAGAGGAAAACAAGGGGGGAAAAGTTTGAAGATATGTATTAAGATATGTTAAAATCTGTTCCTGTTGCCATTTTAGTATGATTCTAGATTTTTTGTTTGTGTTATAATTTTTGCAAATGGTCCAATAGTGTGGAAAAGGAGGCTGCCTGAGATAGTCGGTTCCTTGAGTTGTTTCTTTTAATCAGAAAAGAAGAAACAAGCAGTTTCCTTTCTGCCCCCACAGGCCGGCACCCCTACAGTACATGAGTCATAAAATAGCTCCTGGAAGAGCCAGTTCCATCAAGTCTTCTCAGCAACTCTCCATTACCTTCCCCAGAGACCTGGAGAGATGGCGCCAGAGAACAGCCCAGCAGGAATCTGTGGGAGTGAAAAGCAAACAGGAAGCCTGAGACCCTAGGAGGTAGAAGCACTCTGAGAAGGAGGAAAGTTCTGGAAGCTACAGCATTATAAGAGCCATCCTTTAGGGTATAAAGATGAAATACAGCAAAGGCTTGGAAACAGAAAGACCCTTAAAACTTGACGTCTTCTCCAGACTCCCCCATGTTATAAGAGATGTTAAATCTGAGGTGAAAAGAGGTTAATAAATTTGTCAAAGTCACACTTTTATAACTTAGTACTGGCCCATATCAAGGATTTGCTTTTTCAAAGGATTTTCCAGGTTGCAAAATATGGCCAGTGCAGATTCAGCCCAATACCATCTATCTTTTGTAATGAATGGTGAGAAGGATGTTCATCTTGAAGAACCTGGGTACTGCCAGAGCCTCCAGTTCCTTCTAAATCAGCCAAACAATAGTTTGATCAACATATTTTCAAGGTAGAGTATAATTTATCCTTTTCCAAGCTTCAGAAAACCAAACAACCCTGCATGGTACATGTAGTAAATCTGAAACAGAATATTTAATTAAGGTAGCACACGGCACATGGTAGGTACTTAGTAAATGTTCGCAGGATGAAAAAAGAATGACCAAAACCAAGTATTTTGACCAAGTGAGAATAGATTATATCCTCTGAACCATTAAGTTTTGACACCTCTTAGGGAAATAAAAATAGCCCTTTTGGCATAAATGTAGGCAACATCATGAATATTGAAAGGAACTTTCAATCCAGAGACCTCTGTGTTGGGCATGACACCCAACTAGCTGTGTGATGGTAGGGAGGTAGGTTAACTCTTCTGAGTTTCAGCTAAACATAAAATGTTAAAAAATACCTTTTAAAGTTAATGGGTTATTTGTGTAAACTAAGTGATATAGTGAATATGAAACTACATTTATAAAGTTTAAAATACTGGACTCAGCTAGGTATTTGCACTACACAGATACAATATATTTGATCCTCACAGCCGTTTGTACCCAGCTTACTTACCCCATTGTTCTCCAGGAGCCAAGATTTAAGGGACAGCCCTCCTCACCATGTGCTGGCACAACGAAAGGCACTGGGCACACACAGATAAGACAAAGAAAAAAATCTTTGCGATTGATTTTAAGCAGCTCTCTCCCATTAGTGTATATGTTTTAAAGGAATCTGATTCTCTTTACATCTAGCTGAGTGACTGGCCCTAGTTTCGTGACTGCCACACAGTAGGCTGTTATTAAATGACTGTTAAATAAATCGATAAATAAATGTGTTCATGGTGGAAGGAATGAAAACAAACCCAGCATTGGGATAATCGCCCCATCCCTCAGACCCAGATTAGTAAAATTCCATAATATGCAAAGCTGAAGAGAGCAACAGAGTCGGGCCTCTGAGGTATGTGTATGTTCCTCAGCTGGAGCCAAATCCCAGACCCTGGAGAGCATGGAAAGCCACAGTTCAATTCATGAGAGGACGTGCCAAAGCCCAACCCCAGCTGCACACTGACTTGTCGGAAAACTTACCAAATTCCCTTTCAGAAGGGTTTGCTGTGACCACTATCCCAAATGGAGTGTTGGTCACATGTCAGACTTGGACGCCAAGTCCTTGTCCACAGAGTGTGGGATGAGCAATTCCATCCTGACAGATGTGATCCCTGGAGTGCTCGAAGTGACAGTGTGGAGTTTTCCACTCCTCCAGACAGCGGGCAAATATGTGCTGATCTGACTTGGCTTAAACGAAGACCTGACAGCCTTCTCCTCTCTGGAAGTGTCATCTCAACTGGAGATCAGCCAGGATGTCTTTGCAAGTTGTGGGTTCTCAACTTTCTAGAACTGGCGGGGGCTGGGAAATCTGCAGCATTAATTGGATATGAACTTTTCATTCCTCCTCCAAGCTGGCTAATGTTGGTCAAAGGCATATGATGTTTAACCTATTTTATGTCTAAATGGCTACATAGCTCATTACTTCCTAGGTGGCTGCCAACCTTTGCCTTTATTGAATAAACAATTTTTGAGCACTTGCTATATGCCACCCACTCTTCTAGATTCTTTACAAGTGTCCACTTATTTACTGCTCATCCGCTCCCCCGAGGTAAGTACTATTATTTCCCTCAGTTCGCAGATGTGGTAATAGAGACCCAAAGAGGCTCAGAAACTGTTCCTGGTCTGGATTGTTGCGGGAGCTGTCGTGTCAGCTGAAACAATATTTGATGAAAGACTGTGCACTTTGGAGAATAAAATGGCTCTGTTCCTCTTCAGGAGTGAGTCATTCTGAAGCACGTTCTATGGCATTTAAAGGATGAAGGCAAGGATGAAGTGGGGAGGTCCGCAAGGAAAAGTACATTGGGAATATTGCATTCACATCTGCACCTTTAACCAAGGACAGAGGATATCAAGGGAAGTACACATTCATGATGTGGTAGGATCTTTTCTCAGATTCAATCTTAGTCATTTTACGACTAGACCTCAATAAATCGCAAGCATGGTGTAACATATATAAATATACAGCTAGACATAGGTAGATATAAATAGATAGACATAACTAGACAAATCAGACTCTGATTTAAGAACAACTTCCTACCCTTTGTTAACTGGAAAATAATCAGCTCTCATAGATCCTCCTACACAGAATGAAAGGGGGTTACTTAGCCTATATCAAGAGTCCCATTTATCAGCCTTTTTGAAGGAAATGCCACACCCCTTCGAGACACATCTCTCCCTATAAAGAAGCAGCTTTGCCTTTCCTATTTACCCATCTACCCTTGCTGAACATCATTAAAACATTAAGCCATCATTTAACCTGAGAGATAAAATTTAACCCTGAAAATGTACTTCCAATTTTTTTTACTTACCAGCTTGTCACCCACAGCTAATCCCTTTCTTCCATCAGAAACCCTTGTCAAAAACTGATGGTTATTGCATGCTAATTTCACCACAAATACCTGATCTGAATTCTAAGTAATTAGCAAATCAGGTAACCTGTGAGATGCTGATCTTTTTTTATAACTACAAAAAAGCTTGTCACGGAGGATATTTTAGTTCAAGAACATTTCCAATCAGGAAACCTAACATCGTGTTCCAAAATACCACACTGTATTGCATTCATACATTTAGGTGACATATTGACTGTGGATAATAATGTACCTTTGCGGCAATCACACTGCATTTTGAATGTGCAATGGCAACGAGGTGTGCATTATGTATGTTTTACCAGTTTGGGCAGCTGCCCATAAATAGGGATTAGCTATTACCAAATTCATTTTGTGAGGTTCAGTTTCCTATTGTGAATGAAAAGCATTTGTTTGCTCAACTAGAAATATGTATGTGTACTGAGAATTTTCATTTTGTGAGGATCTGAAGATGGGTACACTCAGATGATAAAAGAAAATTCCCACATAGTTCTGAAAATCAAACGATTGGGTAGTGGACCCTGGGATAGAAGATGACTCATTCCAGTTCCTTCTCTGCGATCACCAGGTGTGTGACCTCAGTTTCCTTACCTATAAAACAGGAATGCAAATAAACACCTACATCAAAAGGTTGTTGAGAAGAATAAAAGAAATGATGTGACAATGTTATACAAACTTAAATCAACACTCCACATAAGCTCTCATGTTCCTGGCACGAAGCACTAATCCAAGAACTGACAGGACCTACTTCAAACAAACAAAAAATAACAGCAAAGTTGCATAAACCTGCTTCCATTACTGATGCTCATAAAGCGGTTCCCTGTTTATAGATACTAGCTTATTAGGTCTATAGCCTACAGTAGTATACGTAAAGTAACTACGAGGTGAGAAGGATAACTTTTTTATAATTTACAAGTTCATGTTACATTACACATTTTCACAGCATTGCTGTTTTAATGTTGAACCACATTTCACACTATAGCTATCTTATTGAGCTTTAATATTCAGTAAATATGTTTATTCTTATTAGAATTTCAAACAAATATAAAAATCTCTCGAAAAACAGAATTCTGCAAATGTTAAGCATGAAACAACGGCGAAGAAGGGGACTTTGCTGAGAATGCCATGAGAACCTGATGCTTGCCCATAGCTGGTGCTCAGTGCCTGCTTGATGAAGAAATGGATGAGTGAATAAACTATAGAGGTGATAAGAAACATAGTGGCAAGTGGAGAATTTCAGAACTGCATGCTATTTTAGAGCTATCATAATTGATCACAGAAAAGATGGAGAATTCTCTGGGAAATATTAGGGGGTTATGAAGAGAGCTGTCTTCACAAACGAAGACATAAAAGTCACAATGCAGAGTGAACACAAAGAAAATTCTTTTTATTTCTTCACTGAGACCCAACCAATCATTTGCCCAATGAATGAAGGTTTCCCATGGAAATCTGGGAAGAATGTTTCTGGGGCAAGTACCAATCTATCAAACCCACTTTGCACTGGGGCAAGCACGGATGTTTGGAGACGAGCTCCCATTAAAAGCCAATTGTATTTCACTGAAGCAAAAGGACAGGGGATTGGGTGCATTTGGGAGGCGGAGGGGGTCTGACAAAATAGGGGTCATCTTCTTACTCAGAAGCCCAATATGTAAAACAGGAAAAGGCTGAGTTGCTCTGACTGAAGCAATGGGAGGAGAGATGATGCTGGAGCCAGAAGGATTGTGGATCCCATATGAAGTCTCAACTCCATGGTCCCCCAAGCAGTGGGAACACTGCTCTTGTGGACTATCTTTCTGAATTTTTTTGAGAGCTTTACAGTAATATAGGGCAGAAGAGCAGCAGCAGTCACCTTGATCCAGGGTTTGATTTTATTTAGGCAGTATGATATAAAATCGGAAGAATTTGCGTTTTGGATTTGAGAGACCTGGGTTCAAATGCTGGCTCTGCCATTTTCCAGCTACCTGGGCAAGTGCTGAACCTCTCTGAGCTCAGTTTTGTCTTCTGCAGAACAAGAATAAGTAACATCTATCTCACAGACTGGCTGGGAGAACGTAATGAAATAATGTATGCGCATTCACATAGCATGTGCTCCATAAATGTCAGTTTTCTCCTCTTCCCATCTTTTCTTAATGTTTTATTGTTTTGACTGTTCTTATCTCCACTACTGGGCTTGGGTGCACATAACTACAAAAATAGAATCTCAAAAAAAAAGTTCTTATCTAGTATTTGAATCTTTAAACAGCAAGCAACTTAGATTGTAGATAATTTGAAGATGCTAATTACAGGCAATTTCTTCTCATAGCCAATATGAAGTGCAAATCTATTAGTCTAAAGACATATTTATCTTCCCCCCGTGAAGGCCACTTAAAAACAGAAACTCATGGGGTCCAAATAAAAATACAATGATATACTGTGGCAATAGTTCAATAAATTATGGTATAATCACTATGAACTGTATATGCAGCCACTGAAAATCACGTTTTTGAGCCATTTTTAATCACGTGGCAAATGCATAAGATATTTGATGCAAAAGGCAGAATGCAAATATCCAAAAATAGAAATGTAGATATATACACACGTTAAAAGTGGTCCTAAAAGTGAATATTTTATTGTTATTGTTTTCTATTCCAAAATAAGCATCTACTTTTGCCTACAGTCAGAAAAAAACGAAAAATGGCCTTAAAAATATTTCACAGTAAAGAAATGATATAGCTGTTATGATCTGTAACGAATGTTCTTTGCAGTGTAATGTGTAACTTTCCCCTGCTGTAGGCATCCATATAAAAGTGTCTTGGATCATCACTATTCCCACAGAAAGATGTGTCTGGTAACCACATGATCTGGTCCTCGGTCCTGGGTCATTACAGTGGTCATGGTTTCAAATGAACTAAAACATTTTAAAAAGCAAAAGAAGAAATATCTTAGTCCGTATTTTAATAGACTTTAGCCTTGACAAAAGGCCACACACGAAAGCACCCACAAGGGCTCCTGTTCATGGAGGAGATGCTGCCAGTAGGGGCATTTCTGGTGCTAACAGTGGTCTTGGTGAGGGACTCTACCAACTGTGAGTAACATAAGGGGGAAAGGTGACAGCCGTCCATGGCCCTCTCTTTTAGCCCTGACATTTAAAAATAATTTTTATAAATTAATAGAATTCTAGATCTGGCTCAACCCAAACCAGCTGCCTCTTACTACGGCTAAAGAAACCAAGGTAGGAAAAGGTTAAGTGTTTTATTAAATATCTATGGACCCACAGTTAGCAAAAGAGCCGAGACCATAAATGAAGTTTCCCAACACACAATCCAATCCTCCTTCACTTACCTAATAACTACTTTGGCCAGCTCAATAAATGGGCTGTCTGTGACCAGTTTCCAGCTTCTTACAAGTCTTCAACATAAAACTGGAAACAAGGCCACTATTACTGGGGAATTTGGCAGAACACAGAATTGTTGTATGCTACATTTAATAGGGTCAGAGCAGGTCTTGCCACCTATGCGTCACTCACCGCACTCAGCAGAACGATTCATAAGGTGCAAGGACCTGATTTATGTTGGGTGATAAGTCAATGAATGAATCAATCAATGCCAATGGCTCCAAGTGGCAAGAGAAACACACTTAACTTAGTAACACATCATGATTTCCTTCCATCTATTTTAGTGGGGTTTTTAAACATTCTACTTGCTGTTTTCCAGTTAACTATCTATTTCTCTGTTTATCTGTGTGTGGATACATTTGCATCCATCAGTTACTTTAGTATCAATATGCCAAATCATGGAAGGCCACATAGAAATTAAATGGACAAGGGGTCTGGGTCCCAGAGCAGAGCCTAAGAGGATCCGTGTTCCAGGAGACACCAGTTGGTCAGGGCAAATAGAACACTAGCGATCAGCGTCATGATGAGACGGGGCACCTAGCAATATCTATTCAGAGGCAAGTCAGTTTTCCAGAAGACATAAATTCTGCCAGGTAAAGGCCTCCTCTAGAGGGCAGGACATGTATAAGGTTCTGGAATCTGACAAATTAGACAAAGCAAGAAAACACCACCAGCAGCCAACACATAGACCTGAGTCTAATTGTCAGATAAAAACAATTCAAGATTCGTACTTCCTACTAAAGAAGGGGAGCCGATGAGGGAAGACACGAAATTGAGACCAGATACGTGCCAAGCAGGGCACACAGGTGACATCGAAGCAGTGGTAGCTGGTCAGAGAGGAGTCACAGCTGCTGATCTGCTCAGGGGCAATGACAAATTCCACAGAGTTTGTCACAGGAAATCTGGTGTCATCTTCTCATCTCAAAACCATCACACAGCTCGCACACAATCACACACCATTCACTGAGAGCCTTTTACACACAAAGGACCACACTGAGCTCTTAACATGCCATTTATTTCTCCAAAAAGATTGTTGCCTGCATGATCCACATAGAGAAACCTAAGCTTGGCTTAGATGAAACCACTTACCCAAGGTAACACAGCAAGTGATATAGAGGGATTTAATCCAAATTAGTCAGATCACTGAGTCTGGGCTCAATAAACTGTTAGATAGTTTAAACACCTATGCAACCAAAAAACCCCAAAGCACACACAAGATCTTACAACTGGAGGTTTCATCTCTCAAGAGAGTGTAGGTGTCTGTGCATCAATGGTACAGCCAATAGGTGAGCCCAGGTGTCTCAGTGGCCTGTATCAAAAAAAAAAAAACATGTGGAGCCTGTAGTCTTAACTACGTATTAATGGGTACTTTTTCTGACTTTGAGTATAAGGTTTCATCAGCACTTTAGAGATATTTTCCACATTTGCTGTCTCTCTGTAGTGTCCAAACCCATAAATTACCAGCAGCGGCTGGCAGGCTGAAAATTTTCATATGTGGTAAGACCACTCTACTCCAGGCTTATTAGAAAGATTGGGAGTGAAGGATCTGTGGAATCTTTAAAAAGTAAAAAGCTTGTTTTTCCTGAACAATCAGGTGTCATTGCTTTTTTATCAAGAATAGTAACACAAACCTAAGCAATGCAACCATTGCCGTATACAGGTCCTGCTTGTATGAAAAGGCTAGAACGGTTTGCAATTAGGACAGCAGTTGTATGCTCTTAAATACCTACAAGCCCTTTGTTCCTGTTGGGTAGATCATATGAGCTCTGGATGAACTTGCTCCAGCAAAGCCCTTTCCTCCTGAGCAATGCTAGTTACATCTTTTTTTTTCTCAACCTCTGACACAGTTATCACAAATTCTGCATCAGTAAGGTCTAAATTAACACTATGTTCTGTACCAGATCTGCAGATTATATAGAAGGCTACTGTTAAGGGCTAAAGAGATCTGGAAGCTGAAAGACTGATTTTTGAAAAATTAAGAGAGGTATGGAGGGATAACAGAAAAAATATAAATGTTCCAGGTAATTAGAGAGCACTTTCCAAGAAGCACCACAAAATTGCAAGTGCCCATCAATACTAAAGAATATCATGCTGTTGACAGCACAGCAGAGAACCTTTTCAAAGACAGATCGGCAGCTTTACCCAAAGCACCCTTCACCCTGCACCACCTACCCCTCTCCTGTGGCTCCATCACACCCTCCAAAGCTCCTACTGAGAAGAAGGCATCCTGCTTCTCTCTGTAGGTTCCCCTAGCAAACCCCAAAGAATAAACTGCGTAATTGTGAAATACAGAATCTGTGTGTGAAAAAACACTTGTTTCATTCTTTTCACCTTCCTGCTGCCTCAACACAGGGAGTATCTTCCCCACGTCAACACCACACCAGGCATCTGGGGGCATAAGCCAGTTTTCCACGAGATTTGGGCTAGAAATATTTATTGTGGCTGCAACTCCAACTGTCATCCATTCGGATTACTTCTTGCAGGAATCATAGCCCCATCTTCTCAACAGTTCAAAAGTGGCTGTGTGTATCCAGCTCCCCTCTTTATTTCCAGAGCATTTCTGTGATTTTAGAGCTGCTAAGCCTCACCAAAGTCAAGTCCTTTATCTAATTCCCTCTTTTGATCCAGTGTCTTTATCCTAGACCACGGCCAGTGGTTGGTGGGTTTCAAAACTCTTTGTCTTTTTTCTGTAGAACTTTTACCCTAAAGAAATTCCATTCTAAATGCCAATATGTAAAATAGATCAAAGGCTTGATTAGAAGAGAGTTGGAGAGCTGGGGTCCCACCAATCCCCAAGGATGGGGAACCTGAGGGTTCTGTGGATCACTTGAGAGTGGAAACACAGGAACATGACTAGGGAAAGGAGGGGTTCACAGAAATGAAAGAGGGGCAAACAACATCCCACTTTAAACATGAAAGCTGAAAATCTTCAACCCATTCTTAGTTGCACAGGGCATGTGGAAATCTCAAACACAGAGGCCTGCCTTACAAACATTAATAATATCTACCCCTTACTCCAGACACTTGCAGAGACCTCATTTAATCCCCACAACTACTATCTGTGGTTTATAGATTTTCAGCTTACAGATACAAAATGTGAAGCCCAGGATGATGAAGTAACTTGTCCAAGGCCACATAGACCTAAGTGGCAGAAGTCTGACCTGAGCTCGATGTGGGACTCTGAAACCTTTACTCTTAATGCATGCAGGGCTGCCATCAGGTGCAAGATTTTCAAACTCTTCTGAGTGGGGGGCATCAGCCCAATGAAAGGATATTCCAGTATGTGGAAGAGAAATGTAGCAAACGTAAAGACTGATGCCATCTTTCACTTTTTTTTTTAAAAGACTGAAACATTTCAAGAACTCTTTCCTTAAGAGGTTACTGAGGACCTCGATGAAGATGCAAGAAAGACACTGACAGTATTCACGATCTATTAAACTGACCAGTTTCTACTAAATACCTACAACATGCCCAAGCACCAGAAAGACACAGATGAACATGTCTCTTGGAATACCAGAATAATTTCCCCACGTCAGCCTTGTGAATCTGTTTAGAGAGGAGGGCCCAGGGACAGCAATAGGAATAAAAACATGAACAGACACAGAACAGGAGCAGGCAGAAGAACAGAAGAAAAGGGATGAGGCAGGAGAGGAGTAGTTAATCTTACACAACATTTGGACTTTTCAAACGTAATTGCACATCCATTGACAACCGTTATATCACCTTATATTTACCCAGTGCTTTTTGTTTGAATCTCACAGCAGCATGATATTATAGGAAGGGGAAATATAAAACCAAGTTTTACAGCTAAAGAATATGTGGCCTCAGAGAGGTCATCTTTCCAAAAGTCACAGAGGGAGTCTCCCTCTGTTAGAGGGAGAGCCAGAGCTAGGATCTGGACCTCAGGACTCCTAGCACAGTGCTCATCCCACCACACAGAGCACTACTTGTGAAGCAGAACATACCCTTTACATGTTATCCACATGTTATCCACAGCTACAATGCTTGCCAGTGGCCAGCATGGTAATAAAGACTCCATTCTCATGTACATCTCCATAATTAGATTACTTTTCCCCATCCTCATCCCCACAACCTACTCACCAACAATTATCTGAGCCCAGCTATGCTCACCCCTTCTTAAGACCTGCCCTCTCTGGAATTACAGTAGACAATGACAAAGAAGTTGTAGTTGCCAGATGTCTCAAACTGCAGTGACACACATACACAAAATCACAGAATCGGCTGCACCCCTAATGCTTCTCTGTTCAAAATCCAGTTCTTCTTGTAATGACATCTAATCAGGCCCTGGAATCAGCTGAAACGAGAGCTTCTGTAAAAATCACTCTTCACTCGGTACTCAGCAGTTAAGTCTCTTAAATGTCAACCTGCTAGGAATTACTTTAAAAGATTTTTTTTTCCTTCATTACAAATCTCAAAGCTATTGAGTCTTTTCAACTTCCAGATGGATCCTGATATTCATATAGTCCAGAAAATGACAATGTTCTTTGTCTGCTAGGTTTGAACAATTTTGAGTTACTTAAAGAATGTGTCCACATTATTACAGACACTCAGGTTAATAATAAACATTGAGATCCTTATCCAGATATTTATAAGCCTTTAGAACTCTTTAAAGGATGCAAATAATTTGACCAGGATTTTTTTTTTTTTTTTTTTTTTTTTTTTTTTTTTTTTTTTATGAAGAAATTTCTCTACAACCAGGACTCTGGCTAAATCCATTAGCCCTACAATTTGGCTATGTGACCACCAGGTGGTGACAGTGTGCCACAATTCAGGACCAGCAAGGTTGGCATCAGGGAGCTTTCCCCACACTTATGTTGAAAACCAACCTTTCAAATTTAGATCTCACTTAATCCCCTGCCACATTTAAGGTGTTACTTTTAATACAGCATCTCAACCACCACCTCTGGGTTAGGTCCTTCATAATCTGTAGAACCGAAATCTTTTAATGTGGCATTCAGGACCCTCCAAGGTGGTCCCACCCCACCCACCACTCTCCTACACAGTCCCTGTATTACAGCCACACTTCAATGCATGTTTCCTGCACATTCACACAGATGCAAAGATGGTTCTAACATTTCTTGCTTCTGTATATTTGCTCTTGGGGATATCCCCTGATGTTCACCTACCTTTTCAGGCACCTATAAAACATCTGGAAACTTGCTCAGACAAAACTCCACCAAACAGTTGTAAAAGCCCAGAGTTCTACTAGTATTTAGGAATATGCTGAGTGTTGTTTCCTGTAGAAAACTTGTAATGTATATATATAATATATATTAAAAACATACATATATACACATATATACATACATATACATATATATGTAAATCATTACATATATACACATATATACACGCGCGTGCGTGCGTGCGTGTGTGTGTGTGTGTGTGTATGTATTTTGAGACGGAGTCTTGCTCTGTTGTCCAGGCTGGAGTGCCGTGGCGTGATCTTGGCTCACTGCAACCTCCACCTTCTGGGTTCAAGCGATTCTCTTGCCTCACCCTCCCTACTAGGTGAGACTACAGGTATGCACCACCATGCCCAACTAATTTTTGTATTTTTACAAAATTACAAAATAGTAATTTTGTAATTAGTAGAGACAGGGTTTCGCCATGTTAGCCAGGCTGTTCCCGAACTCCTGAGCTCAAGTTATCTGCCCACCTCGGCCTCCCAAAGTGCTGGGATTACAGGTGTGAGCCACTGTGCCTGGCCCTTGTATTATATATTAATCTTGATATTTTTAGGATAAATAAAAACGTGTGTCTTAATGAGCGCTAGATCACATAACCTGCCTTATCTACTTAGCTATTTCTCTTGAACATCTTTCCTTGTCATTAAATGATACATGAAGCGTTTTATGGTTCCCCTCACCAGGAGTCTGCTCAGTCTGGTGGACAGTATGCTG
Organism: Homo sapiens; assembly: GCF_000001405.40. Taxonomy (NCBI): domain Eukaryota; kingdom Metazoa; phylum Chordata; class Mammalia; order Primates; family Hominidae; genus Homo; species Homo sapiens. The sequence goes on from NC_000015.10 coordinate 61,168,752, forward strand.
GGCTTGAAATCAAAACACCGAGATTCAGTCCTAGTTCTAGCAGGTGCTAGCTGTGTTTGGGCAAGTTGTTTAACCTCTCTGAGCCCAAGCTGCATGGGTGTAATGCTTACCTCCCAAAGTCTCTGACAGCCTAAATGAGATCACTCATCTGATCATTTCTAGCTTGGAACCTGCCTTGGAGTGACCTCTCAATTATTACTCATTTCTATCCACTCAGTTGATGTGATTTCTTTCTCCCTCCAAGCCACACCACTCTTTGTACCTTCCTGTGCCTCCATCCTGCTGGATCTCACCTTAAAGGAGCTTGGGAACTTGCTGTATTCCCCCTGCCAGAGCATAAGAACACTCCTGAAGGCAGGGCTGGCCTGACTCCTCTGACTGGCCCCAGGGATCCCCTAGCATATGCCAAGTCCCCTGCAGACGCCAGGCATCTGTGGAACTGAATGGGGAATCCAGCCTCCCTTCGCCTTAACCCTTGCCATTCTGGGCCTTGCACTCTTACAGCCCTGTACACAGCTTGGAAAAAAAAAAAAAAAGTCTGGCGTCTTTTAAGGCCCTGGCTTGACGTTGATGCTAAAAAATACTTTCAATCTGGAGCTTGGCTCTTTGGGGTCCCGATGATACCTCTCTGCCTGGTATCCTCTGCCTACAGCTTCTCTCTTGGTGGCCAGCTCTGCCTCCTCTTCTGCAGGTTCCTCTTCTGTGGCAGCAGAGGATAACCTTGTTAAGTGAGAGGAAGAGTGGTACCCCCTCTCTGCCTCCTCCTCACACGGGACGTAAACACCACGGCTTCAGCAGGGAGCTAGTCCATGCTGAGGCCTTCTCCAGCCTTTCTAGCCTTGATGTTTCTTTATTGTTGTCTGTGGCTTGGTTTCGTTTTTCCATTTTCATGAAAAAAAAAAAAAAAAAGCTTTCTTTTCTTGGCCCTTCTTCCAGCAGTTGATTGATTTGCATTGGATGCTGAAGCCACTTCCTGTTTTTCCTTCAAACCCCCCAGCAACTGTCTTCCTTACAAACGGCCTCAGAAAAAAAAGAAACAGCTCACATTCCTGGTACAGGGCACCTGGGAAGAAAAATTCATTGGATTTCATCAGGAAGTATGATGTTCCTTGGGCAGCATCCCAGGGTGGACCTTTCTGTTGACCCTATCAGGATGGTAAAATTGAAAAGAACCCCCAGAAGGCAGTCCTCACTCTGCAGGACACCTACTCCCAGAGGCACCGTGTCCATCATAATAGTTCTAAGCGTGTGTACTAGAATTGGATGTGGGTGTGTTTACTTCTGCACTGCCTCCTAGCTGTGTGACCCAAGGTGAGCTGCTGTGCCTTGCTGATCCCCAGTTTCCTCATTTGTCAAGTGGGTTGAGTCATAAGACTTCCTGTATTGGTTTCCTGTGGCTGCAGTGATCAATTACCATAAATGCAGTGGCTTAAATCAACACAAATCTACTAACTGTTCTGAAAGTCAGAAGTCTTCAAATCAAGGAGTTGGCAGGCTTGTATTTCTTCTGAAAGCTGTAGGGAGAAATCTGTTTTCTTGCGTTTTCTACTTTCTGCAGGCCACCTGCATTCTCTTTGCCCTTTCTTCCACTTTCAAAGCCAGCAGTGTAGCGTCTTCAAATCTTTCTCTTCCTGTTTGTGTGTCCTGTGCTTTTGTCATTAAATCTCCTTCTTTCACTCTGACTCTCCTGCCCGCCTCTTATAAGGACCTGTAATTACACTGAGCTCGCCTAGTTAATCCAGGATCATCTCCCAACTCAAGGTCCTAACTGAATCGCATGTGCAAGGTCGCTTTCCATGCAAGGTAACAGATTGCCAGGCTCTAGGGATTGGGGTATGGACTTCGCTATTTTGCCTGCCATACTTCTCTCATAAAACCATTATGAAAATATAAAAAGAGCATATATGTGTATTTTTCAGCACAATCCTGGCACATTGTAAGTGCTCCAAATATACAGCCATGATTATATCAATATACCAATACCAGCACTAGCAGTCAAAAGAGAAGTGGTTGTTAATGCTTAGTTAGGTAAAGCAGAGCCATTTGGATCAACCTTGAATGAAAGCAAATGGAAGCGTAATTGGGGCTGGATAGTGCACAGACACATCCTTTTACAGTTTCATATCCTCACTCTTCGTTTTAAAAACAAATGTTTACTGGGCACCCTCTAGATACCATACTTTCCATTCCTCACAATAGTCGTTTCTGGTAGATGTTACCGCCTTACTTTACAGGTGACGACAGTAAGACTTAGGTTACACAATTTGGTCAGATTGTTCAGCTGGTCACTAGCAAAGGCAGGATTTGAATTTGCTATTGTCTGATTTAAGCCCGCCCTCTTTCCAGGCTCCAGGACTTGGCGACATGCTGGCTCATACTCACTCTGATCATCAAAACTACACCAGACCTGCCCCACGGGCAGCTGGCACACTTGGCTTTCAGGGCAGAAATCAAGTTCTTGCTTCTCCGGTGTCCTCCACAGCCCTACACCCATCCAGGGGCACACGGTGGGTGGGCTATGCCATCCTTGTGATCTTGCTAGGAACAGGAGAGCCCAATGAGAGGCCTAAGTGCTTCTGGGGCAATGGTTCTCAGCCCTGGCATGTGTCACAATGACCTGGAGAGCCTGCTAAGCCAGACTGTTGGCCCCACCCCCAGAGTTCAGTAGGTCTGTATTTGCATTTCAAATAAGAACCCAGGTGATGCTGATTCTGCTAATCCAGGCCCACACCCTAAGAACCACCCCTCTGCAGGGATCCGGAAGTAAATTTATTAAAGGAGAATACACTGCTCAGATGTGGGGTATTAACACTCACTGGTCCCCACCCACTCCACTTCTGGACTTCTGCAGAGCTGCTAGCCCTACTTGACTAATAATTCCCAGCAGAGGGGCAGTCTCCCCATAACCTATGACACATCGCTCACTTTCCTCCACTGCTCCTGGAGGTGGCCCCCATTGGGAATCTTAGCTTTACTGGCTACATCTTTAGCAGAGAGGCCTGGGTCATCTGTCCTCCCTGTATCTTCAGCTCAGCCAAACAATAAAATGCAAGACACAAAACGTTGCCTTTGAAAATGAGGCAGCTGGGGAGAGGAACGATGCCTTTAAAAGGGCAAAGGTTCTTTGGGACACCGATCCTCAACATCTCACCCTGCAGCTCAAAGTCAAGGCTTGCCAGGGTTCAAGTTCTCAAGTGTGCTTCAGTGGTGTTATTTAGATGTGACCCTATAGGCTGAAGGGCATGCACATTAGCATATTTTGTAACAGCTGTTGATGAAGATGTTAAGTCTTGCTCAGGGGACCAGTTGCAGTGAGAAGCATTTTATGAGAACAATATATATTGTAGACATCTGAATATATTTCCATGAGAAAATAAGGATGAAGAAACAAAAAAAAATGGTATAGTGTCCTTACACAGCAGATGAATATTTAATACACTGGAGCTTATCTTTAAGAGAAAAAAATACCCTTTGCAATTTTTCATGCTTCCTACAATAGCAATCCATATACGAAATGACAAACACTATAGCCACCCATATAAATACCACGTATTTCATTATTCCTTTCTTACGGTGGCACAAAGGCCAGCTGCTACATGAAGTATCATGAAAACATAAATTAGTGGTTATAAATAGCATATTTAAAGGATGAGGCCATCTAAAATCGGTTGGCTTAACAGAGGCCAAGAACAAGTCTGAGGAATTGATAAGACAGGAGGGAAACTCAGGTAGTATATGCAGATCCCAGGACAGCAGCCCACAGATGCTCCACCAGGGGCTCTCAAAACAGAGTTCAAGGGGGATAGGTCTCAGGGCCCCGGAGGAATGATCCTACTTTCAGTTGACCCTTGCCACCTCAGGAGGGACCAATTCAGAGACTGCTTATCACCACTATTTTTAACTTCTTGGCAATATAACCAGTACAATGGGAAAATCGCCCAAAGTAAATACATACTCTCCTTTGATTCTTCTCCTGGAAAGCAGTTTTCTACTATTTTCCGTTAGAATCATTTCCAGGGTAAATCACACTTCAGAGGCAGAGCTTAAGTCTAAGGGTCCCCTAAGGAGCATGTATCCTGGGCTGGGAGGAGCTAAAAAAAAGGCATGTCTTTGCTCTCTGCTGTAGATGCTGTGTCCAAGCAAGTCCTTTGAGAAGCCTCTGCAAGTTTTTCACCTTCAAGCCTCCTGCGTTATTACTATTTCCTGAGTTTTGCTACCAAACAAAATTACCTGTAGTCATATATAATTATTTTTCCATGAGACAGCTTAATATTGATAACATTTTTGTGGTTTTTAAATTTTATTTTATTTTTCCTTTTCCATCTCTCTTTCCTGGTATTAATAACATTTTTGAACATTTTCTTTCTACTAGGCACTGTACGAGGATCCTCTCATGTAATCCTCATCTCAATCCTATGAGCTGGGTACCACTATTACCCCCACTTTATATACAGGAAAACTGGATCACAGCAGTGCAGTAACTTGCTCAAGATCTTGCAGCTTGAAAGTGGTGGTACAAATCTAAAATCCAGATCTGTCTTCAAAGTCCATGCTTTTAACCACTGCACTGTGCAGCCTGAATTCATCCATTCACCATATTATGTTAATACAGTTCCATATTAAAGAGAAAACTGTTTAAACTATTTTAAAACTTAGGAAGGATAAATGCATAACTTGTGTTGGAATTTTTTAAGCACATAAAATAGTTTCAGGCAACCCATTCAGGTCTTCATGGACCCCTAGCTGTCCTGGACCTCACATTAGAAATCACTGACCTAGACCCACCTGAACATCATTTGCCATGTGAATCTTCTAGGTCTGCACAAAACACCTAGTTAAAAATATCGTCTGATGCTCTGGAATAACAAGTCAAATAAAATCAAAATACGGAATGACATTCAAGCCTCTTTTTTTGAGTGTGTGAGATGGGGTCCTGCTCTGCCACCCAGGCTGGAGTGCAGTGGCGTGACCACGGCTCACTGCGACCTCAACCTCCCAGATTCAAGAGATCCTCACACCTCAGCCTCCCGAGTAGCTGGGACTATAGGCATGTGGGGCCTGTGCCACCGTGCCTGGATGATTTTTTGTAGAAAGGTCTACGTTGCCCAGGCTGGTCTCCATCAAGGCTCTAATTAAACTGGTCCTTCCTATCTTTTCAGATCCATCTTCCAGATCTGTGGTATGCACACTGGGTCTGAATCAGCAGGTGAGGGGCCTGGGAATCTGTGCTTTTAGCAAACTCCCCAGGAGACCTTTATTGGCAGAAATTTTGGAAAACATTTCCATCCTGTTCCTGGCCATTCACAAACATGGTAACTCTGACCTCCTGGGGCAACTCACCATTTACAAGGCACATTACCTACTCTCTCAGCTTTCTGCCAGGGCTCAAGCCCATTCTCCAGCCTGAAATGTATGTCTCATGCTTTCCTCCCAGGCCTGGCTCAAAGGTCTCCTCTGGAAAGCCTTCTCTGCTGGCTTCTGTTAGAATCTGTCACGTCCCCCCTGCCCCCACACCACCCAGCTTACATTCTGCCTTCTTCCATAGGGAGCCATTTCCTAGTTTCACCCAGTAAGCTCTTTAAGAGTTAGGCTGGTTCTTACTAACCTTGGCTTCCCCAGCTCTTAGCCAACCACTGGCCATAGAAAATTCTTAATAAGGATCAGCAGATTTAATTTGTCACTGGCAACCGCAAGTAGCCACTGTTCTGGAAACAGACTTCTCCCTTCTCACGCAGCTTATGCCACTGGCAAAAGAGGGGCGGGAAATGTGATCCAGGATTAATAATGCACAGATGTTTCTCAGGAAGTAGTATATCACTGTGTCAAAACTTCCTGTCATAAATTCTGACAAAATATTTTAGTATTTGCATTTGTCATCCTTATCAACCGCTCTCATACATGAAATGGAGCAAATGACTCCTGAGCCTGACTACACCTTCCCAGGCTCCAGTGTAAACCTCAGCCATACAACCCTACATTTTTACCCTGCATCTGTTCCGTAGGGAAAGAGAATTTTACTGATTGCCAGCTAATGTTTATTGCATACTCACTATGTTCCAGAGACTAAAGCCTCCATTCTTATGCATATCTGACCCGCATAATGGCTCTCTAAGGTGGTATTACCATCATTTTCTACATGAGAGCACTGAGCCCAGAGAGGTTAAATAACTTGCCCACAGTTGCACAGCTAGTGAATTTGGGGTTTGAACCCAAATCTGCTTGACTGCAAAGCCCATGTTCTTAACTATTCTACTGGTTTTTAAATAACAAGAGCCTCATGATTTCACAGGGTATAAACAATGACATCAAAATAGAAGTGAAAGAAGGAAAGTCTCTGGGTCTATACTATGGCTAGCCGGAAAACACTATTTCAGCAGTAATGGCTTTGCATCACATAAGTTCACTCTGTCTAGAGCACAGGGATCATCAGGCAAAAGTCCTGGTGGGCAAGCACAGCACTTCAAGATGCCACGAGGGCTGTGTCCATGGTCCTGAAAATTTAGGAAAATTTAGGATTCAAATTTAGGAAATAGTACAAGGCTGCCCAGCCCAGTCCTCAATGAGCACAAATGCCAAGCTGCCTCAAGGGCAGAGTCTCATGAGATTTTACAAAACACAAGGGCCAAGGAGACTAGGGAGTTCCCTCACCTCATTTTCTCATTTTAAAGATAGGGGCCAGGCACGGTGACTCATACCTATAACCCCAGCACTCTGGGTGGCTGAGGTAGAAGAAATGCTTGAGTCCATGAGTTCAAGACCAGCCTGAGCAACATAGTGAGATCCTGTTTCTAAAAAAAAAAAAAAAAAACTTGCCAAGCATGGTGGCATGTGCCTGTGGTCCCAGCTACTTGGAAGGGCTGATGTGGGGGCGTGGGGGATTGCTTGAGCCCGGGAGGTTGAGGCTGCAATGAGCCATAATTGTGTCACTGCACTCCAACCCGGGACACAGAGCAAAACCCAGTCTCGAATAAAATAGAAAGGAAGATGTTGAAACTGAGGCTCACCAAAGTTATGTGTTTGCCCAGGCCACAGAGCTAATGAGCCACAAAGCTAAGTCTCAGACCCATATTTCTTGCTCTGAGTTGGGCTTGTCTTCTTTCCTTAAGTTTTATTTCTTAATCTCATAAGAAAATGTCACAAGTTATTGTAGCAGTGAAACAATGAGGGCATACACAATGAAAAAAACCTCTCCTATCTCACGCCAACCACAGGCTTCTGCCCTGCAAAGATCACCAATGTCAATAGTTTGGTAATACACCATCATAAAGGTTCCTAAATTCATCTCTATATCTACAAACACACACACACACATTCTTTCTTTAACAATATGGAGTACATAGACATTTATTTACTTTGAATATTTTAGCACTTAACATGTGTTGAATATATTCCCACATCAAGCAGATTTAGCTCTTTCTTATTAAATGCTGCCCCACACACCACAGTCAAGAGGTTGCACATGTGTTCAAACACTCTCTTCTTGGTAGATAGTCAGACTATTTGGTGTTCCTTCTGCGAACCGCCCTACTGTCATTTAAGTAACAAACTCTGTTGATACAGGAGTGGCCTCTAACTCATTTAGTCTCCTGTGGATCAAAATAAAATCCTGGTCTCCTAAATGGGTGCGGCTGGGAGATCACTTGCTTTTCAGAGAGTAGTTTCCATTTCCTGTACATCAGATGGTCAGCCCTTTAAGCATGCCAATCTGCAAAAAGAAAATATTTCTTTTTACTTTCATGTTTCAGAGATGGGATCTTGCTATGCTGCCCAGATTGATCTTGAACTCCTGGGCTCACGTAATCCTCTTACCTCAGTCTCCCAAAATGCTTGGGGATTACAGGCATGAGCCACCATGCCTGGCTAAAAATGAATTATTCTTATCAACTGCTTAAAAACATGCTTACTAAGCCATATGAACATGGGCAAGCTGCAGTTTCTTCAACTATAAAATGGGAAAATAATAACCCTTACAGAGTTGTGTAATTCATAGTAAAATGAGATGACACATATAATGTGCCTAATATGATGTCAGGAACACAGTAGGCATTTAGTAAAAATGACTACTATTATTATTGTTGTTAAAATTACGGCATTTATACACTAACAAAAGAGGTACGCAGGTTTTAACATAAATGTTCATGCTTTATATGTCCTGACTTCAAATTAACATGTAACTGGCCTCTGGAACATTCACTGCCCTACCTACATTTATTGAATGCCTGCTCTCATAGGTCGGGGGAAGGGGATGGCAAAGAGGAAGCAAACAGGATTGGTTGGCCTTAAATGGATATCGATGATTGAAGATTTAAAAGACATTGAAGACAAAATCCCTACACAGCCATTCAGTGTTTATAACGCACCTTCTGTGAAGCGATGGAAGGAGTTCTGATGTTTAATTCTAGAACTTTTCAGCATCCACAAATAATGCTACTTCCAGCAGAGAAGAGGAAGATTTGCTGCTCTGAGTTAAAGCTAGAGAATCCAAGTGAGCACAAAGGCACTTCAAGGAAAATGCAATTAGAAAAACAGGTGAGTGGGGACTTGGGTTTCCAGAAATGCGTGCTTAGAAATACTGACAGGCTTGGGCTTTTCACCCGAGACGTTTTACATCTTTAAATATGTTTGTAATTTCAGTGGTCTGCACACTCCAGATTTTGTTTTGAAAGGGAAACTTTATAAATCACTGTATTATTATTAGAAATAATTAAACTAAAAACTAAGATGTGGTTGCACACATGTTTACAACGATGTGAAAAATACGGCTGTCAGCACCAGGGCCCAGCTTCCATCACATAACTGTTCGTGCGTTTTAATGGACATTTGAGTGTTACAAATCTGGCCAGGGTGGGAGTCAAAGAGAGGCATAAAATTATATAATAAGAATAAAAATAAAAATAAAAAACAAGAAAGGAACCGGAGGCCGGTGCAGTTGCTCACGCCTATAATCCCGTATAACCCGAGCCCTTTGGGAGGCTGAGGCAGGCAGATCTCTTGAGGTCAGAAGTTCGAGACCAGCCTGATCAAGATGGTGAGATCTCGTCTCTACTAAAAATACAAAAAATTAGCCAAGTGTGGTGGCATGTGCCTGTAATCTCAGCTGCTCGGGAGGCTGAGCCAGGAGAATCCCTTGAACTCAGGAAGCGGAGGCTGCAGTGAGCCGAGATTGCACCACTGCACTCCACCCTGGGCAACAGAGCAAGACTCCATCTCAACAAAAAAAAAAAGAAAAAGAAAAAAGAAAGGAGAAAAAGAAGGAAAGAAGGCCAAAGGGGAAGAAATGAGGAAGGGAGGCAGATAAAAACCTTCCTTCCATTTTCTTATTCTTAGCATTAAAAAAGACTCCAAGTGTTACACTGGAAAGTGTGTTTAAAATACTCGGATTCTAAAAAAGAGCAAAGAACCTAATGTATGTTTTTCAAAATCCTTTGATTCTAAATCCATTCAACTATAAATCTGAGTTATTACTTTGAAAGCTAGCTACATCCTGACTTTCCTAAAGTGATACAAAATATTCAATCCCAGGCCAAGAAAAATCCCAAACCAACCAACAGAAGGCAAGGAAAATTGAATACAGAAGCTTGCAACTTGAATTATTCGGATCCAAGGAAATTAAAACTCTTTCATCCTTTTTCCCCAGTTAATTTTTAAAACATTTTAAATACATTGCCCTAAATATTTGAAAATATAATCTGAAAGTGCTCAAATTCTATTTTATGAGCAGAAAAATATGGATAAATATATCAATTTTATCTAGAATGCTCACAGCCATTTCTTTCAAGGATATTGGAAAATACTGGTAGTGCTGTGTCTACTAAAACACTTCTAAGGCATCAGAGGAAAAGCTTTTTGATATTTTGATTGATTTAACTCTAAAATAAACCATCACCCCAAGATTCTTTTTAAAAATAAAAGATACTCTATGTGAAGAAACAAAAAATCATGCAATTCTTTCAATATATACACAAATACTAAAAAGGAATAAACAGGTTGTGAGTTAATTACAAAAAAGAAAATAAGCTTACATATAAATGACAAACAACCTAGCAGGAGACAACTGTTAAATGGAAACATGACACCCATGGCAAGTCCTTGAATAGCTAACCATATAGACTATACCCGCTTTTGAAAATATCTTCTGATGGGGTAAAATGTATTGCTATATCTAACCCATTATTTAATGTTTTAACATGACCCATCTACATACTTTTTCCTTTGGTACAAAGAAAATCTAAACACATGCATTCTTTTCTCTTTTGTGGATTCAAACCAAAATAACCATGGTCACATGAAGGATGCGTGATCTCCTCTGCCGGGATGTAATATGGACCCGAGGACCTCAGCCCACAGCTCTGCCTCCTCAGGTTCTTTTCAAGGCACCTCCAGGATTCAGTATCTCCACTCCATAGAGGGAAGCAGCATGATTTAGCACAGCAGTTCCCACAAGTGTGGTCCGTGGTCCCTTGCAGGGGTCGACTCTTCCAAGGAAACCCATGAGGTCAAAACAATTTTCATAATACTTTGACAAATAGTAGAGTTTTCCAGGGGTTACATGATGTGTGATACCACCACACACTGAATGCAGAAGCAGAGCTGGGAATCCAGCTGTTTTCTATTAAGCCAGACATAAAAGAGATACGCAAAAATAAAAAAGAATGCCACTCTTCTAACTGGTTTTTGTTTTGGAAGATTTTTGTTTAATTACAATATGTTATTTATGTTAGGATGCAATGGGTTTATAATATTTTAAAACACATGTATTTTAAATTATTTTCTCTATTTTCAGTTCTTGGATGGTAAGTATCAATAAATGTAATTCACATAAACAAAAAGCTCTTTAAGATCCTCAATAATCTTTAAGAGTATAAAGGGGTCACGAGATCAAAAAGTTTGCCAACCAGTGATTTAGCATAACGCCTGACATATAGTAAATGTGTGGCAAATGGACAAACTGATGGATTAAAGGGTTTTAATAACTGCTTTCAAATGTTCAGAGTTCAATAAATGAATATGGCCAGTAAAGATCTTTGGATAACCATCTTCAGGTCCTCCACACCTGCTTACACATGATTTAAAAGCAAATGATGGTAAGAAGACAAAACCGTAGGCTGGGTGTGGAGGCTCACGCCTGTAATCCCAGCACTTTGGGAGGCCGAGGTGGGCAGATCACCTGAGGTCAGGAGTTCGAGACCAGCCTAGTCAACCCAGTGAAACCCGTTTCTACTAAAAAAAAAAACAAAAAAAAAATAGCTGGGTGTGGTGGTGCATGCCTGTAGTCCCAGCTACCGAGGAGGCTGTGGCACGAGAATCACTTGAACCCAGGAGGCAGAGGCTGCAGTGAGCCAAGATCATGCCACTGCACTCGAGCCTGGGCAACAGAGCAAGACTCCATCTCAAAAAAAAAAAAAAAAAAAAAAAAGACAAAACTGTAGAGCAACAATTACTACACTGAAGATACCAGTTAAGTATGACTTAAAGACAAGTAAAGGGAGGATCCAGGTAGGTAGCAGTACAAATACGTTTTCATCATCAATGGCTTCATTTATCCATCCTATCACTACTTATTTCCATTTCAGAGAAATAATATCTTCTACGAATTTGGAGAGGATGTTGTTCTAAAGGGTTGTATGAGATTTAATACAATTAAACTATGCAACATCTTACATGGTTCAGTGCTTATAACCCTACAAGGTTATAGGGTCATTTGTGCGGACCAATTAGTTACCTTGCTGTGTTCTGCGGCCACAGTGTTCACAACTTTCTACCAATTTTCTTCCTGGCAATATCTTATTCATCTTGCAAAATCCAGTTTGGACAACACCTCTTCCAAAAAGCTTTCCCTGAATTCTTCTTTTAAAGAGACAGTTAAAAATTCCTTCCTCTCTTACCTCTGTATGTTGTGCCTATGTCTATGGTAACACATTCTATTGAAATTCTGTATTTTTGCTGTCTTCCTTACTAGACCATGAGCACCTTGAAGGCAGGGCCTGTGGGTTGCCCACTTTTGAGTTCCAGCACCTAGCACACTGCCAAACATGGCAGACACTTTAAAAATCCACACAAAGAAAGGCCAGGCGTGGTGGCTCACACCTGTAATCCCAGAACTTTGGGAGGCCAAAGCAGGTCTCCTGGATCACCTGAGGTCAGGAGTTTGAGACCAGTCTGGCCAATATGGCGAAACCTCTTCTCTACTAAAAATATAAAAATTATCTGGGTGTGGTGGTGTGCACCTATAATCCCAGCTACTCGGGAGGCTGAGGTAGGAGAATCGTTTGAACCTGGGAGGCAGAGCTTGCAGTAAGCCGAGATCATGCCACTGCATTCCAGCCAGGGAGACAGAGCGAGATTCCATCTCAAAAAAAAAAAAAAAAAAAAATCTAGTCAGTCACCTTACAGGCCAATAGGACTAGTATTAGAATTAAGTAAAATGCTAAGGAATACTAAGACAATAGTAACATTCCATATGTTTCCGGCCCAGTCAGAAATCCAGCATGTGTGTCTTAGTGAGTTGGTCTTAACATGTTTGAGAATGAAGGGTAGCCATTCTACCATTAAACAGCCACTAAAGAGAGCCCTTTCCTAAAAACATTATCTCCTGGAAGAACATTGAGCTCTTTTCATCCTTCTGAAACGATGCAAATTGCAAATGGTAAGGCAAGAATTTCAAATGATAAATTAAACCAAGGTAAAAACTCACAAAGCAAAAAGCAGCACTAAAGTGAAAAAGGGTCAATTAGCAGAAAATGACCAGAAAGGGGGAAAATGTGACAATCTGGGATGCTTATGGGACGTCAAAGAGGGTTTGAAATTCATGCTCTGAAATTAATCAGACTTTGTTGCCACCTTTTCAGTGACATGCCCATCAGCAAAGAACAAGCATTGTCATTAGCAGAACAAAGAAAAAAAAGTGTATGCCTAGGATTAGCTTTGGCAAAAAAAAAAAAAAAAAAAAAAGGATAAAGTAGGTCATTTCCATGTTCAGCTTTAAGAATACGGCCATATGGTAAGAATTAAGATGTTGCCCAGAATCTAATATGGGAGAGATGTCTGCATACTCCAAAAGAAGAGAGAAATACCAAACACCAGTAGCACTAGAGTGGAAATCTGAGATTGGGTAACTAAAGGCAATCTAATCTTGTGAAAAGCTACAGAGAGGAAAGGTCTTGAACATAAAGAGCTTGTCCTTTCTTACAGCCATCCACTATAATTGGATGTATACCCTTTTGTGAGACTTTGAAAATAGCAATTTATTTCTCATTCATTAGCCTGATTTCAAAATACCCTTAATGGATGTCTCAATTACAGAGACTCCAAGGTCATATAACACCCAGACACCCTTCATATCTGTTTTCTTTACTGTATTGTAACTCAGTTTTCCTTATTAGAGGTAGAGTTTTAGCCAAGAAGGAAATCTCACCATGGAACTACAGAATGTTACCAGTGAAAGTCTCTCTAGGAATTGACTAATCTAACCTCAGCCACTTTAGGAAAACTGAAGCCCAGAGAACTCAAGTTCCTCGCCTGAGGTCACACAGCTCAGTATCATCAGGAACAGACCAGTCCTCAGGGTTTCCTTCCTCCACTTCAGTGTTGTTGCCATGATAGCAAAACAAAGTAGTGCAGATACTCTTTCAGAAATGTGCGTTTGGAAAAATTGCTAGCCCTGAGCACCATTTCCTCTCTACATAAATAAAAGCAATGCTTTACACCTGCTACCATCACCCTGGGAACATCCATGGTGTGTGAGTTTATTCCCTGGAGCCAACTGCAGGAAGATGGAAGACAGAGCATCGCATGAAGCCACAGTGCTGTTTCCAGTAGGAGAAAGGTTAGAATGAACCATGACAAAGGCTTGAAAAGGAGCTTGTGGTAAGTTTAAGGAGAAGTAGAATATTTCCTAGCCCCAAAGTATCTGTTGGTTACAAAGGGAAACACAGTGACTTTATAGTGGAGATGGCTGGCAGACACCACCTTAACTAGGGAATCAGATCGAGGTTCACATCACCAGAAATGGGACAGCTCGATGGCATGACACAATATACCAATGATATGATATGTTAAGGAGAGCCCTTCACCTCTGTGTGGTGCTCTTCCCCTAAATCCACAGGCTCCCTTTAACCAGGAGAAAATGCCAGAGAACCCAAATTGGGGGGCCTTCTATAACGTTCCTAACCAATGCTCTTCACAGGGATCAAGATCAAGATCATAAACAACAAGGAAAACCAAGGAATCATCACAGGCTGGGGGAGACTAAGTAGACAACACAACTCAATGCAATGTGGAATCCTAGAACAGAGAAAGGACGCTGGCAGAAGAATGAGTCAATCCAATAAGGTCTGTAGGTGGTGGCATTGTGCCAATACTAAGTTTTTAATTGATAACTTGTACCATGGTTACAGAGGTTAACTTTGGGGCAAGCTGGGTGAGGAGTATGCAGGAGTTGCCTGTACTATCTTTACAACTGTTCTGCAAGTCTAAAAGTTATTTCAATTTTTTAAAAAATGTGGCCAGGCATGGTGGCTCACGCTTGTAATCCAGCACTTTGGGAGGGCAAAGTGGGCAGATCACCTGAGGTCAGGCGTTCCAGGCCAGCCTGGCCAACATGGTGAAACCCCATCCCTACTAAAAATACAAAAATTAGCTGGGTGTGGTGGCAAACACCTGTAATCCCACCTACTTGGGAGGCTGAGGCAGGAAAATCGCTTGAACCCGGGAGGGAGAAGTTGCAGTGAGCCTGGATCACACCATTGCACTCTAGCCTGGGCAACAAGAGTGAGACTGTTTCAAAAAAAAAAAAAAAAGGAAAAAAACTGGCTCATGGATGGACAGAGAACAGAGCTGAAGCTTTTCCCTCCTTTCAAACCCTTGTTAGAATCATTCATATATCACTCTTTCTTTCAAAAGCAGTTTGCACTAGTTCTTCTTATCCTCATTTATTCTGATTTTTTGTGTACCCATCTCTTAAAAATGGTAATGTTTTAATGACAAAGACCAGGGAATAATCTTTATCACTGCTAAGAGCACCTTGTCCTGTGTTTTTCCACAAAGCAAATGCTCAATAAACAACTCTGCTACATGAATGAATGGGTTACAATCAATAGTCTCATGTCCTCCTTTCATACCTCTCTTCCCAGCAATTTTGTCAGACAGACACGCCTTGTCTAACCTTTCCCATCCTTGGAATGGGAAGGCAAAGTTTCCTGGCTGCTCCCACACACCTCTGCCCTAACCCAGTGATCCTCTCCTCATCTGTTAATTCAGAGGGCTGAACTGACACAGAGCCATCTCCTATCAAAGCCCAGTTCCCATGTCCACAGAACTCAAAAACACATCTCTGAACAGCTGATGTGAGAATGTACTTGCTTCCCACAGATGAGTTCCACGCATTGCACTGCATTTCACAATTTTGCCCCATCTTCCCATTCCATAAGTTAAAACATAAAATTTGCATTTGCAACCATGTGTCTATCCCTTCACAACACACTCCCCTTACACACTGAACGCTGAGAAGCAATAGCTATTCACATTTCCCTGTGCTCTTTGCCTAGACTGCTCTTCACCTCCTTTTCAGTCCAGAAAAATGGTCAGTTATCTTCCCAAACTTCACGCATTACATCATCTCCTCCAGGAAGCCCTCCCCAGACACCCCTCAATTTCCCCCCTAAGATAAGTCTCTTTCTCCTTAGAATTAAGGAGAGTCTCTCTTTCCTTAGAATTAATCACTTCCTGCTCTGTGGTACCTATGTACCTGGTATGAAATTCTGTTTCGGTAGTTGTAACACTTAATCTTAATCATCTATACACAACCATCTCCTCAACTATCACAGGAGCTCCTTGAGAGAAGTAACTTTGCTTTATTTATTGTATATACTTCGCCCCCTAGGGGAGTACTTGGCATACAGTCAGCCATACAGTAAAGGTTTGCTGAATCAAAGGACTGTTAGGAGACTGTTAGGCTGGGAGTGATGGCTCAAACCTGTAATCCCAGTGCTTTGGAAAGCCAAGGTGGGAGAATTACTTGAGGCCAGATTGTTCAAGACCAGCCTGGGCAACATAGTGAGACCCCTACAAAAAATAAAAATAAAAATTGGCTGGGCATGGTGGCATGTGTCTGTAGTTGTTGCTACTTGGAAGGCTGAGGTAGGAAGATACCTCGAGCTCAGCAGTTCAAGGCTGCACTGAGCTATGATTGTCCCACTGCACTCCAGCCTGGGCAAAGGAGCGAGACCCTGTCTCTCAAAAAAAAAAAAAAAAAAGAAGAAGAAGAAGAAGAAGAAGGACTGTTACTTCTATTCTTTGGCTCCTACCACCCAAGAACTTATCAAGGTGGCAGACACATGGAACATGCAGGCGTTACCTGGAACAAATGAACCCAGACTGCAAAGCTGTTTCGCAGGTCCTTTTGCTTGTTGCAGAGAGCTCATGGTTTGGATGTGTCCCTCTGTAAATGAGGTTTCAGCACACTGATGAAGCATGAAGTGATTATCTGCTGACACTCTGATTTCTCTGAGCCTCTGCAGCAAACTAAATGATATTTAGCCTCCAGACCTGTTGATCCCATCTTTTTTTTTTTCCTATGAGCATTAATGTTCAATAAGAGGACAAGAAATGAATTTAGGCAACCAGACTGGCAGGATCTCTATACGGCTACTCAAGTATAAAGAAAAAGTGAAATCTTCCCAGAATGTTCTCATCAGAAACTCCATCTCTGCCAACTCTGTAATCAGAGTGGTTTTCCTTGATTGCCCCGACATTGGCAAAACCTTAGGATAGCTCCTAAACTTCTGGCCAGCCACACTGCTATCTCACTGGTCCCCCAAACTAGAAATCTTAGATTTGTCAGTCACTGAATTTTCTCTCTTTTGGCTCCCACATTCAAGTGAAAATCTCATGCTATTGATCATGCAACAACTGAAATAACCTAAACTACCACTCTGTTCCATTCTGTGGCAGGACTCAAGTTCCAGCCTTTGATGCCTTAATTCTAGAACATCCCTATCTGCACCTCAGGCCCAGCCTAATCTCATCTCTTCCCCATGGCTCTGAGGGTCTCCTCAGGAGAAGGTCGTCGGCAGTCACACACCCTTCTCTCTGATCTCTTATCACACAGGCACCATGAAATGCCCAGACCGAGACCTGCATTGCTGCCATTATTTTTCCCTGGAATGCCCCACCCTGTTTCTCTACTGGATAAACTCCTATACATCCTTCACCACCCAGCTCTAAAGCCACAGTGGTTAACCTTCACTCTAAGAAAACACATCTGATTATTCAGTACTCAATACTAAAGTTCTCTCTGTGGCTGGCTCCTCCTAAAACGTGAAAAATTAACCACTTATGATTTGTCTGCAAAATACAATCTGTTTGTTGAATTTAACTATTTAACTGCTATCATTTAAGCCTTCATATGCATCTGTCATGTCTTTGATTAGACTACAATTTCTTCCTTGCTCAGCACACTGCAACCTAGGGTCATCTAAAAAGACATGCTGGTTAAGTGACTAAAAAGCAAACATCATCCAGTATCAGCCCCAGGATTATCCCTGTAATTCTAAGACCCTGATGTGCATCAGAACCACCTGAAAAGCTTGTTAAGAATCCAGATGCCCTGGCCAGGCACGGTGGCTCATGCCTGTAATCCCAGCACTTTGGGAGGCCAAGGTGGGCAGATCACTTGAGGTCAGGAGTTCGAGACCAGCCTGGCTAACATGGTGGAACCCTGTCTCTACTAAAAATACAAAAATTAGCCTGGCATGGTGGTCCATGCTTGTAATCCCAGCTACTCAGGATGTTGAGGCAGGAGAATTGCCTGAACCGGGGAGGTGGAGGTTACAGTGAGCCAAGATCATGCCACTGCACTCCAGCCTGGGCAATGATGTGAGACCCTGACTCAAAAAAAAAAAAAAAAAAAAAAAAAAAGGGAAAAAGAAAAAGAATCCAGATGTCATGGCACTGTCCCCTGGGAGGGTCTACCAAAATCTGCATTTTCCAAGAAGCCCCCACTCCTCCCAGTTAACTGTGCTGCTCCTCAAACATGAAAACTACTCCTTCCTACTGTGGGTTTGGTGAGCTCCAGTGCCCTGCTTGCCCTTCGGGCTCACTCTGTCTGGAGTCAGAGGTCAGAGGTAAAATCAGGAGGAGTCACTAAAGAAGAAAAAGTTCAGAGCCCTCTGTGCTGGCTTCTCTTGGGAAATGGCTCCCAATCTTGGAGGCAGCTGAGAGGTGATTGTATCTGGAGAGCACACGGACTACTTATCTGCTCTCTCTGAAATGCCAGTGAGTTTGAAAGGCACTTTGTCCAATTAGAAGTGTGGAGAAATATTCATCCTGTCCATGACAAAGATGAAGTGCTTCTTTCAAAAGCGGCGGTGGCAGGCTGCCAGGTTTAAGAAGTCCAACTATTCCACATCGAGCCAGCAGTTATTAATTAGTTTTATTAGTGGCAGGTCCTTAATGCAAAATGACAGAGGGAGACAGAGAATATCCCCGTTACTACTAAAATACAAATTGTCCAGATTTAGGTTGTGTTGTTCCCCAACATGTACAGGCGGCCCGCCAGGCCCAAGTGGGGAACGGAGAAGGCAGCCAGATGCCTTTCTGCAGAGTTCCGGACTATTAATGGCATGACAAAGAGACTCGGATCCTTACCTCAGGTAGCTCTCGAGAGGAAAATCCACCAATTTTAATTATCAAGGAGGAAGAGCCTCCAGGGGGAGGATAGGGAGATCTGAGGGAAAAACCAAGAGGAGGAGGAGGGGTGGCGGTAGGGATGGGAAGTGGGCCCGTGTTATTCACGCTGTTCAACACGGCCTCTGCATAACAGCCTCTTCCACAGGGAACAGCGCAGGGCTACTTTGCTGAGAATTAGTCTTACACTGTCAACCAGTTTTTTATGACCATTAATCACATTTGTATTTATAAGCGTTAAGACAGGAAAATCAAATCTCATGCTTCAAAGCATATGTTTATCACCACAGGCATAAAAGGGAAAGAAAAAGTTGACAAGCCCGCACTGTTGGCAAGAGCTGCTGCGTGTCTGGTGGCTTCCCCAGAAGCACCCTGGGGGCTCTGAAGAACGTTTTGTAAGGGAGAAGACAGAACTGCCCAGTGCCTCACTTTGTTAATGTTTCTCCTTCTTTCTGCACCAGAAATTCCTAAGGCAGAAATTTAAAGAAGTTCCCCAACATCCTCTCCCTCAACCCTCCCCTAACACACCCCTGAACTCCCTGCCTCAGACCTGCCAGGCCTTCTTCCTCTGCCCCACAAGACAGAAGATCCCGACAGGCTTTGAGTGATGTTGCTCTCACCACAGCTTTTCTTTTAGCAGCTGGCATATTCCCTGTCGTTCCCCCGAAATACCCAATGACCCAACCCCAAGCTGTCTGGGCTTCAAAGAGGTTTCCCCACCCGACACACCTCAGGGCCACCTTCCTCTAGATGGGAGTGGGGATAGGGAAACTCTGCAAAAGGTCAGAAAGTGAATCGTCTTTGCGGGCCAAAAGGTCTCTGTGGCAACTACTCAACTCTGCCATTGTGGCCCCAAAGCAGACCCAGGCAATGTGTCAACAAGTAGGTGTGGCTGTGTTCGAATAAAACTTTATTTACAAAACCAGGCTGTGGGTGGGCCGGGTTTGACCCACCAACGGGGCCTAGTTTGCTGACCCTTATTCTGGGGCAGCAGTGCCCAATCTAAGAACCCAGGTACCAGTGAGTTCTGCAAAACTGGAGGGAATATTTTAAAAATTCTAATGGAAAACGTGCAACTGTCTTCATCACAACAGCACAGGCTAACCCGGATCTCTTGGCTGGAACCATATGGGCCACCTGTTTTAAGAGCACCTACCTCACATTGTCTGAGTAACAACTAGGAAATAATCATTAATGATTTAAAAATAATAATTTAAATAAATAATTAAAAAATCAAAATACAGCTGGATGATCAAAGTCTTTCAAAACATGGGTCCACAATGGAGAGAGGGCAGGTGATAAAAGTGGCCCCACTGGTCCTCTTCTTCCTTTGATAGCAAAGAGGGGTCTCAAAAACGTCTAACGTCACATGTTTCCTAAGAGATTCCCTCAAGGAGCTCAACACACTTTTAATGAAGTAGAACATCATCTCCTAACCTACGAGTGACCAAGGTCAGGGTGAAAAAGCCTTACCCCCACTTTCAATATTAAGAACTAATATTGCAAGTACTCACCGAGGAAGAAAAAATTGTGTAAGCTCATCAGAACCAAGGGCATTACCAACCCACTCTCAGATTTTCTAGAACAGTATGAAAAAATACACAGCACTGGGGAAAGAAAATAAGAGCAAGGGGGATGCAAGAGCAAGGAGCCCCTGCTTCTCTTGCTGAGTTGCCAGGTAAGAAACAGCAACCCACGAGCCTAAAAGCCATGTCTTCTTCATCTTTGACCCCTTAGTGTTTAACACAGTCCTTAAATGTCCCTTGAATAAACGCATTTTTACATTCATGATAGACATTATAAAAGATTTAAAAATGAACATGAGATGATCTTTGCCTTCTTAAGGTTAATGGTAAAATAATGGAGAACGACAAAGGAGAAAGACATAAATAACATCCAGTGCCTGTATCCACGCACTCTATTTGCTGGCTCCCACTCGGCAGCTATGGGCTCTTGTTTTTGAGAGGATCTTCTCCAGCCTGTCTATCTGGTTTCCCACCTCCTAGCTGCTCTGCAGTAGATGATTCAAAGGATGGCTGGAGAAGGAGCCCTGTGGGGCCAGCACAATGTCAATATCCCAGCAAGAAGGAGGGCTGCAGCCTCCACAGGGCCCCAGGTGCTGAAGACAGAACAGATATCTGGCCAGGTGTGGTGGCTCACACCTGTAATCCCAAAATTTTGGGAGGCCGAGGTAGGCAGATCACGAGGTCAGGAGATCAAGACCATCCTGGCTAACACGGTGAAACCCCATCTCTACTAAAAATACAAAAAATTAGCCAGGAATGGTGGCGGGCACCTGTTGTCCCAGCTGCTCAGGAGGCTGAGGCAGGAGAATGGCATGAACCCAGGAGGCGGAGCTTGCAGTGAGCCGAGATTGCACCACCGCACTCCAGCCTGGGTGACAGAGCGAGACTCTGTCTCAAAAAAAAAAAAAAAAAAAAAAAAAACCACAGATATCCATCATTATTCCAGCATTATTTATCATGGAAAAAAAACAATACCAAACTGCAAACAACCTACATGTTTGTCAATAGGGATGAATAAATTAATACATGTCTACACCAGGTGAAATTTTGCAATTTTTAATAAAAAGAATAAATGAGATTTATATCTATTGGCCTGAAGTGAAGCTCATTATATCTTTTAAAGTTTATCTGTTCCTCAAACTCCAAAAGCCTGGTGAGGCTAATTCTCATGCTTATCAATAAAAATTACTTTTCTCCGTCAATTAGTATTTGGTCCAGAAAAAAAAAAAATCAGTGTGTCTTGCTGTAAGAACATCAGTGTGCTCAGAGCTAAAATTAGGAAACACACACAAAAATAAAACCTGACTTTACAAGGGGCATTTTCCTATTAACAAAAGGGACACCAATAAGTTCTATAAAATTGATTGTTTTACACGGTGCATGGAAAGCATGATGTTGCATAGAAACTAAAGTGATATATGTCCTGCATAAAGTGAGGCCTACCTTTAAATATCAGAAGATGCTTTCCTAAAAAATAAAATCATGAGATAGATTACATAAAGAGTTCAAAGGACGCTGGGCATGGTGGGTGGCTCAGGCCAATAACTCCAGCACTTTGGGAGGGCAAGGTGGGCAAATCGCTTGAGCCCAGGAGTTTGAGACCAGCCTGGGCAACATTGCGAAACCCCATCTCTACAAAAAATACAATGGGAGTCTAAGGGAGGCTATGGGAGGCTAAGGGAGGCTCAGGTAAGGAGGATCTCTTGAGCCTGGGAGGCAGAAGCTGCAGTGAGCCAAAATGGCACCACTGCACTCCAGCCTGAGTAACAGAGTAAGACTCTGTCTCAAAAAAAGAAAAGAAAAGAAAAAAAGAATTCAAAGGAGAACTGACATATCACCCAGTGGGTATATTACAGAATGCTTGCATGTATGTGTGTGTGTGTATGGTTTTATATATATTTATATAAAGTATAAATGCTTTTGCTTATATATATGAATCTCATTTTCCCACTGGCTTTCCTTAAAAACTAAACAAAACACAAACACCTTACTGATCGTTAGTAGCTCGTAAGCTGATTTTTAGCCTTTCAGCTGAGAGGAAATGGTCCAAAAAAAAAAATACTAAATGCATCAGGGAGATTTTTCATACATTCACATTTCCATGTGGGAAGCAGCATTATATAGTGGAAACAACATAGTCTTTAAAACAGAAGAGATTTGTATTGAAAGGCTGGCTCCACCGTTACGGATTTGGGCAAAGCTCTGAACCTCTGTTTCCTCATCTAAAGATAGGAATAGCTGCACTTTCCTTGCACCATCATCATGCGGAATGGAAACACTACACATGAAGCCTCTGGTACAACTCTTGGCAGAGTACACACTCAGGAATTGTCATCTGTATTATTATTTCACAAGCTGACATTTTTTAAAGGAAAGCACACCTAGGCTGCCATCTCCTTGTAGCAAAAAAAAAAAAAAAAGAAAGAAATCAGTTCTGATCAAGGGCACATCTAATAGTTGAGAGTGAAATGTGAAATGGGAAGATGACACCACCACACAACCAGCCCCTTCCTCATTCATTTAGATGTGTCCCAGGACACCACAAGGCTGGCTATTGTACTTCTTAGGCTGTGTCAAAACCATTTTAGTCAAGCCCAGTGCTTTGCAGATAAACACATTGCCAACCTTTAAAATATTCATCTTCCCCTCTATCGTTCCTTCCAATGGAATTGAGACACTGACTGCTTATTGGTTCTCCCTTCCCAAACAATAAGAACAGTAAAGTGGTACTCATGCAGACGCAGCACACATAGTAATCCAAGGACAACTCTGTCCATCAAGGAAGCTTCAGCAAGACCCAAGGTACCAATGGGCTCATTTATGATTCTGTGTCCTCACATTCTGTAGTCTCGCATCTGTTCTGAAAATCTGATGGTTTATAAAATAACAGGAATATTTAAAAATTAGGTCTGTAGAGTGGGATAGGTCTGAATGTCAAATACTATTGCCATTCAAGCTTCGCTTCTCTAAGAAAAGCCTGCCTAGAATGAAGATACAACTGCTGTCCAGGCTTAATCTAAACCTTGCTTAATGGTGCACAAGGTACTTGGGTTGACAGAGCTACGTGTAGATTTTAGGCGGTAGCTCTCCATAGAGCATGTTGCATGCAAACAGAGGTCGTGTCAGCACATGTCACCCTTAACCAACACGGTGCTATTTAAGTAAGTGCCAACCTGCAGTTTCAGCAATTGTGATTTATTGAGAAGGGTGGTGTGAATAATGCGGAGGACTTGACCATTGGCCTTTAATTCCTCTCATTTAGACAGGCTGCTCTTCGCTATAAAATAGTCATTCTGTAAATTAATGTGTTTTATTTTAAAAGTGACATGTTGTACTGGCTTATGCCTAAAGGCAAATTACTCTGGATTGCCAGTTTCCTAACCAGGCTACAAGGGATCCAGCATACTCTACCCAGAGTAGAGGAAAAATCTATACAATCAGTAAAAGATGACAATATCTACCATCCGCACCCAAGACCCAGGTACCCCATTCACCAACAATGACATACCTGCTACAAAATAAGGGGTACAGTGCTCAGTAACTGAGGACCTCTCTGCAGCTCAGCACTGGGCTCTGCCTCATCTACCAGGAAGCACCCCAAAGACAGTGTCTGCCACAATTCACTGTGGTCTACACTGCCCTGAGACCCAAAGCCAGTCAGGCAGTGAGTGAGTCTATTGCTTTCCCTTGGTTAGCAATGAATAATGATTTATGGAATAGATTATAATGCACACTGCTACCAGTACACATCCCAACCTACCATGCTCCTCACTGAGTATGTGATTTGTTTCCTAGAGACTTGAGTTCACCTCCCAGCTCTGAGACTCTGGTTGTCAGAGAGTTCCAGTGAGACCCTTAACATCTCAGTCTACATTTTCTAATCTGTGAAACGGAGCTAACACTTGCCTTACAGGGCTGTTGTGAGGTCAAACAGACAAGGTACCTATGGCAGTGATTGGTCAACAGAACAGTGTTTGCACATACTAGTTGTTGCTATTCCTATTATCTTATAACTCCTTGGCACGAAACCTTCAACGACTCTCTGTTATCAAGTGAATAACAATGAAACTCTAGCCCAACAATCAACGCCCTCACCAGCCCCTATTCTCTCTCCTATATCTTTCAAACTCCCAATAGGAACCATCTATTCCAAATATACGTCATTTTACTTATCCCCGAACACATGATGCCAATTCCTACCCCTCACACTTTGTTTCTACCATCCTGAAATACTTGTACTTCTGTCTTCAGCAAAGCTTAGCCTATCTAAATTCTATACTTTCATAAAACAATAATATATTTTTAGAATCTATATGTGTTCCACAAGAATAGGCACAAGACCCAGTCCTACCACTGGGTGTACTACATCCCAGCCCTGCACAAAGTTATACTGCTGCAGGGTGGAGAAGGAGGTGTCACATGAACCAGCCTAAGCTAGTGAGTATTTTTTTAAGGATTCATTATAGAAAAAGTTAGACTTTTTCCCTTAGGTCTCTTGCTGTAGAGGAACTGCCTGTGAATAGAGAAAAGCCAACACAGGAACACTTTGACTCCCTGGATCCAGCCCTTCCTGAAGTTTGATCTCCTCCTTAAACTTTCTAGTTATATGAGCCCATTAATTCTCATCTTTACTTAAGATAGTTTGAGTCTGTTTTTCTCATTTGAACTCAAAAGAGCTATGACCAATACCAATAATAATAATAGCAGCTCCATTTGCTTATGAAGAAACATCATGTTAATTGCTTTACATATGCAATATCCTAACAATTCTGTAATTTTACAGTTGTGGAAATTGAGACCCAGAGAGGCTCAATCATTTTCTCAAGGTCACACGAATAGTGACAGTGTCAAGTGTCACCAGTCCCAGCTTAATGCATTTCCACCATATGCCACCTTGAGACACTAACCTTAGCGGATGGCTCCAGGGGCACGTAGGAAGGGTTGTTGCTCTTAACGCGGCCCCTTTTTCAAGAATTGCTGTAGTTGGAAGCAGCTCCACAGTAATTTCCTATAGCCCTGGGGAGTATGCTTTTACCAATGGCACCTCTAGATGCCCTTCACTCTCTCTTGCAGCAGGGCCAAGACTGATAACGAATGGCCCGTGGGAAGCGCACGAAGTCCAACGTGAATCAACGATAGCACTAATGAAATTGCTTCAAGTTCTAGAGCAGAAGGTAAACTGAATGCCTTTCAGAGACATTTGAACTTGTGCCCTTCCAAGTTCCCAGAGAAGAAAGAAAATGCACATGGGGTGCAAGCCAAGAGTAGGAACAAGCCATCACATATTTCTTATTTTTACTTAAAATCTGTAACACAGGCCGGGCGCGGTGGCTCATGCCTGTAATCCCAGCACTTTGGGAGGCAGAGGCAGGAGGATCATGAGGTCAGGAGTTTGAGACGAGCCTGGCCAACTTGTTGAAACCCTGTCTCTACTAAAAATACAAAAAAATTAGCCGGGCGTAGTGGTGGTGCATGCCTGTAATCCCAGCTACTCGGGAGGCTGAGGCAGGAGAATCGCTTGAACCCGGGAGGTCGAGGTTGCAGTGAGCTAAGACTGTGCCACTGCACTCCAGCCTAGGAGGAAAAAAAAAAAAAGCTGTAACACTTCCTCACTTCGACCATATTGGTGGAGAAGGCAGTATTCCACATACATCATTCCATAGACAATGGCCATTTGTCTATTTTTTCACGGTTCATATTTTTGAATGCAACATTGTACATTTCAGCGTGGCAGTAAAAGGGCTTCCTGAACCTTATTTCATCATGGCCTAAGGCTTGGAGGTTATTAGGTGGTATAGAGGATTTCTAAAACACAGGTAGAGCCACACGGCCTGGGTTTGTATTCCAGTCATATAATTTTCCAATCGTGTGACCTTGGGCAAGTTAATTAACCTTTCTAAGCTGGCGTTTTCACCTTGTAATATAGAGATAATTGCAGTACCATTCTCATTGAAGTGCTGTGAGAATTAAGTCAATGCAAGTAAAATGATTAATATAGCACCAGAACAAAAAAAAAAGCCCTTTAGTTGCTGTTGTTGTTAATAATAATAATATTGTTAATGTTGTTATTTCAACATCACCAATTATGATTTTTTTGTGACACAGTGATGTCTTTAGGATCTAAAGAGGTATACAGGTGGATTTACCTTATCCCAAAATAGCCCCGGTCTTTTTAAAAAATGCATTCTGTAGTTCTTCTGACTCTGTAAGATTTTAGGTTGTCAGCTGTTACTGCTGTCAGGATGGATGTTACTTACATTCAGCTTCCAATATATAATACAGTGCAGCCAAGCTCGTGAAAGTTATGCATTAAACAAGATTCATACCATTAAGGGTTGCAGTAACTCTCTCAGCCACTAGAGGTCTACTCCACATTCATGGGTTCGCTCTTCCCAGAGGTCTGCAGGTCTAGCCAGAGCTCCATGCTTCAACAAACCAAACCACACTAGATACGGCAAGGATTTCCTTAACCTGGCATTCACAGTTCTCCACAGAGGGGTTCCGATCTACAGTTCTAATCAATCCCACTATGTATTACACACAAACCATGACTCCCAGAACAAATGCATATTCTCATTGTTTTCCACATGGACCTCAGCCTCTTCATCTCTGTGCTTTGACCCTACTATTGACCCCATTGATAAGCAGTTGCCGGCCTTCTCCACACACAACCCCCAGCAGTCTTTCCACCTGTCCAAATTTTCATCCTTCCAAAACTGGTCAGATCCACATTTATAAGAAGCTTACCTAGTGATCTATCTTCTCCTTTGAACTCACTGAATTTTAGGTCTATACCACTCACTAGTCAATGAGTCACAGCCTATTTGTGACATTTCTCGTATTACTCTGTGCCTTTATTTAACTCAGGGCCTACTGACACTTTGCCTCTTCATCTAGATGGTAAGCTCCTGAGGCCACATCCCACGAGTGTCAAAAGGGACGAAATGTCTGACCACTTACTGAGCACCTAATATGTACGTGAAAAGCACAATGTTGGTCATTTTATAATCTTGATCAATAAGCCTACTTGACAGATATGTCTATTCCTTTTGCAGAAATTGAGCCTTAAAGAGACAAAATGACTTGGCCCCTAAGGCCTCACTGCTATTTTAGTAGCAAAACCCACAATTGCTTTTGCACCAACCTAATAGTAAACCAAGGGTCACAATTCAAATCCAGATCTGACCCCAAAAGTTACGTAATTTTGCCCCATTATATCACATCTATCCAATATTGCAGGCAGTAACTACTCAATAAATATTTAGGGGTAACTTGAAGAGCTGGGTAGCAGCTTATGCTGAATAGCTGCAATATCAGACTATCATCAACCAGTAGCTTGCATCACCAATCCTCAGACCCCCTGAGTCCGTGTGACAACTTAGCAGCTCAGCAGTTTACCTGATAAGCCAGGACTATTTAGGGATGGAAAAGCCTCCTTCTCCAGCATTCCAGCAGTTCTGAAGGTCCTGTGCCTGGCCTCACAAGCCCATTACAGGTTGCAAAGATCTAATGATCTTCTCAGAAGGAAACTGAGGAGACAGGAGGCACTGAGAAGCTGCACAAGCAGCACTTGCGTGATTCTCAGAGAGTACATGAGGCTAACGCACACGCTTTCCCTGCTAGCAGCTTTGTAATTCCAGTAGCACTACGACTCAGTTAGCCATAATATTATGAAATATGTCTCAAACAACTGGATTTCATTTCAAACAGCATAAATTAACAAATTGCACATGTGCACAGAGCATCTGCTTACCTAATAATTAAGATATTTAAAAAGTCACCTAATGGCACCAAAGTCAGAATAATGGAATAATTGTTACAGTGTTTTAAAAAAATTTTAAGACACATAATCCAGTCACCCGTGCAGCGCATCAAACGGAGGGCTGCTTTTTCCTGATCTCTTTGAGCACCGTGTTTGGATTAGCATGATGTGAAAAGCAGCAACTGCTGTTATGTAACTAAACCCTGCATATACAGTTGTCAGTCTGGGTAAATTTAACTCTGCAGGTTTAAGGCAGAGCTTGCTTGCCAGAGCAGAACTTAGGAAACAACAAAAATTTAAAGACATATTGCCCCAGGGACCACAGGGGAAAGCCGATGAGGGAGCTGTTCAGGCAGCAAGGTGCAGAAGGCCAGCGTTACTTCCCGGTGCCACACCCGGGCCTTAGCCCCCTGTAATAGCTGGTTTGAAAACAATGACTACTGACAAGAGCATGGTTGTTCAATTACAAAGCTGTCTGCATTTTCCCTCTCCCTACATGGCAATAAAGGCACTTAGGGGGCCTAATGTAGTTTGGAAAGAAAGGCACTGAAACCCAGAATCAGGGGGAGACTTTAATAACAGGTTGCCTTACAGGGAGAACAAAGTGGATCCCGTCTCCAGGCAAGGGCTCCCCCGTTCCCATGGTGTGGAGAAGCCTGCCAAGAGCCGAACCGCGGCCTGAGTTCTAAGCACCGCCGGTCATGTGGCTCACGAGGAGCCCATCCATCTTCCTGCACCTCAGGTTTGCCAGATGGAAAATAAGGGATGAGGGTTAACTCTCTGGTGGTCCCTTCCAAATCTCTCATTTCTCCCTCTGGTTTCATTGGCAGATCTATATTCACTACAGACAAGGAATAACTCTGTAGGTAACCTCTCATTCTAAACCGGGCTCCGTCAGGTGAGGCTGAGAGAAGGACATTCACTGGGAACCGTCAAGATGTCAAAAAATATCAATCCCATGGGCCATGTTTCCAATCCTCCTACCTCCTACCCAGACGAACTCATTACGAAACAGGTTTGTCCTGGATCCCATCCAAAAAGACCTGGTGAAGTCAAGCACAACGAGGAGGTTCCCACTTCTCAGGTGTCTCTCCATGCACATCTCAATGCCTTAGGGAGAGGGTATAACCAGGGAAGAGCCCACCACCACACGCTGAAGGGAAGATCCCTCCCAGGGGGTTCAAGGGAGGCTGGAGAGTGGTACTGCTTTGGCTGCTGCTTGTTTTGTGTGGTATCAGGGACATATTCCACAAGGATGTGAGTAGACTCGAAGAGATGCTCAAATGACTCAGAGCATTTGAAAGATTTTCCACTCTGTTTTATAAACGCAACAGGGCCAGACTAGAGGAAGCAAGTGAGACGCTCATCTCAGGCGCAGGATTTAAGGGGATCCCAAACAACTCAGCCATCTAGATAAATAACATTTTAGTGCAAATTTAAAAAAATTGATATGGATGCAAACAATCCATGATGAGCAAAATACCAAAATGTTAAATAAAGAGAGCAGCAGTCTAGGTATAAGCAGACAGCCAGGTTCTTTTAAAAGAGTGGGTCTGGCTCGTGTAAAATAAACCATTGTAACATCTTCCAATCCCACTTTAAATTTAGATCTAGGAAGATAACCTAGATCTAGGAGACTTGAGTGCTGATGATTTACCCACATTCTCATCTTTGTCATATCCACATCTGCATTTGCTAAACATTCTCATCATGGATGTTCGGGAATGAGCAATACCAGCCGCAGAATTGTACTAGGAGGATATGCCAACAAAAGGTACGCAGCTTCCATCCTTTGAAACTAGACTGAACAGAAATTTTCAAGGACGACTGTAGGAAAATTCATGTCCTGGAAAGAAGTATTACCCAAAAATGTTCAATTCTAAAACGATATTTCTTTGAAATAATTATTTATTTGAGTAGAGATAAAGCTTTGGCCTGCATTATATTCTCTCAAAAAAAAAAAAAAAGACAACTACTATATATACTGATACCTATTTATTTTCTGGAAGTGTAGTTCAGCTGATGCCACCCCCAACTCAAAAACCTCAGAGGGCTCCCGACTGCCTGTAAACTTAAATTCAAATTCCAGAGCCCAGTAATCAAGAGGCTTACTCTCCATACTAATTCCTATGATTTCCCTTAACTCCTCCTTCTTTCACTCACCCGCCAGCAGCCCTGTCCATTCTCCTTACCCAGGCTTTCCAGCCTTCCTGCCTTTGCTGAGGCTCTTCCCTCCTAGGAGCAGGAAGGCCCTTCTCTCACCACCTGCTAGCCCATCTCTCCTTTTCTAAATCTTATTCATTCTTCCCATCTCAATTCTAAAACTGCCTTCTCTGCGAAGCCTTAGAACTCTGTTAGGTGCTGAATTATCAGACAAAGAAAAGTTAGCAAGTGATGGCCCCAAGTAGCTTTTGCATTTTAATTTAACCCTAAATTAACCCAAATGCTTAATTTACCAAAAATGCCTCATTTTCAAAGCATACTGATTATTCCTTCTCTGCTCTCGGGAGCAGTGCCAATAGGGGCAGGAAAGAAAGGGAAAAAAAAATGAGAAAAAAATAAAGCTTCTTTTCCTCATGGACTCCTGGAACAAAGCAGATATTCAATAAATGAATACACGAACGAATCCAATTTTTTATGGACAAGAAGTTAGTCCAATGGCCCCAGGAATCAGATACAGATGTACAAGATAAATATTCTCTGTATCCCAAAAAACCCACACAAAGA
Source organism: Homo sapiens (assembly GCF_000001405.40). Classification (NCBI taxonomy): domain Eukaryota; kingdom Metazoa; phylum Chordata; class Mammalia; order Primates; family Hominidae; genus Homo; species Homo sapiens. The sequence goes on from NC_000015.10 coordinate 61,199,451, forward strand.
AACACACACTACTCTCGGCCCAAGCAGGGAAAGAAAGAAAAATCCCGTTTTGACTCCTGAGGCTTAACTGGGATTCCCAGCTCTCCCAGACCTGTGCTGCCTGCCCTGGGTGATTTGTTTCCGAAACTAAGGACCTGGTGCTCAAAGCCTGATTTTCTCCATGCAAAGCCATTCAAAACCATCTTAGTCACACAGATAGAAGGTGAAAATATATTGCAAGCAAACTACTGGACTGAGGTCTAGTTTATCAAACCAATTACACTGAGATGTTATGGGAAGGGGGGGAAATGTAATCACATATGACAAGGATTATCAAAACTGCTTACACAGTAAATCAGGAAACTGATAACAGGCTGACAATGGCATATACCTGACTGAGGAATTTCAGGATTCCCCAGGCTTGTAAAACAGAAATAACAACACAGAACGAGCTGTGCCGTGCTGTCGGGGACTGGGATACACCTGGGTGAAGGGTGGAGGGTGAGAAAGGCCTGGGACAGGTGAAGCAAGAGTCTGTCTCAAGGACCCTTCTCCAAGACCTTGTTTTGCAGGGTGCCCTTTCTTGTTACACTCTTCAGAAACATCTTAATGGGTCCTGACCTTGGTCAACACAGAATTAGAGCAGTAAGTCAGGGGTGACATGAGGAAACTCCTTGGGGAACAGAAAGAGACACAGAGAAATCAAAGTTGTGGTAAGGACTGGGGTCTATCAGAGCTCCACCTTGACAGGAGAGTCGGGAAAAGAGTCATTCTGCTTCGTTTCTGGCATCAACTGACTTTCTGAGGAATGGCCTAGAAAGCTATATGGGGCTTCACGAGTAGGGACGTGCAGGCACACTGAGAAGCTCTCGCTCCTTTTTGGACCCTGCCTTTCAGGGTGTTGAGAGGCCATCCAGGGCAGGCAAAGGCATGCAGAGTGGTGTCATGTTGTACCCCAAATAAAAGGGCAATAAATTAACTTTCTGGAACATAGAGTCACCGCAGGATCCATCGGGGCCCAGAGCAAAAGCAAACTGCAGGAGATACCAAATGAATCACTGACAGACAAGACACCAAAATAGAGGCCCTAAATAAAGCAACTGACCTGGAAAAGGAAATAAATACCTACATTTTAAAGGAGGGCTCTCCTAGTCTTCCCTGTGCCTCACTAGGTTTGGGGTTTTGTTCACAATTGTGGCACCTTGAAACACTCTAAGAAGTTTGGCTGACTCAGGAGGGCACAGGCTTAAACTTTATCAACATCGGAGACGGCCGTGATTTGCATCAAGTTCAATGCTGTCCTTTTGGCAGTTGTTGCACTTAATTGAGTGAAAAAAGCTGTCAGTCTAATGCCCCAATCCCAAGGTAGATTCACTCTGAACTAACCATCTGCCAGGGCTTCTCCCAGGGTAGTCAACACTTATCATCCAGAGGACTGGATTCACTTTCTCATAATTAGATCATTCCTGAATTAAATTGACGGTCCCAGGGAAAAAAAAATGCAAAGTGTGTTTTGAGACCAGAAAGCGGAAGCCGACTTGTTTTAACAAATGCAGAAGACTACATATTTTTCCACAGCAACAGAGTGGCAAATAAATGACTTTTCCTAAATTAGGCTGCACAACAATTATTATCTTTCATGCCATCCTTTGAATTATATTCAGGTTTTTATTTGGAAAGTTAAGGCATTTCTTGGAAGCTCCACACACAAACCCAAAGAATGGGTAGCTAGCTGTTCACAGTCCCAGGTACCCAAGCAAAGTCAGGCCAGGCTGACCAATCTTATCAAATGCTGTGAATGTCAAAGTCTCTGTGCATTTGCTGGCACACCCATGAACCTGCTCCTCACTCAAAATAAAGGGAAAGAATTACACGCAGTTTCTTGTATCCCAAGGTAGCCATTTGTTGGAGAGGCCTGGGTTAGGGGAGTCAGGTCAAACAAACCACTAAGACATAAACCTGGAACCAGGTCCCAAAAGCAACACAATCATGCTCTAAGCAAAAACAGGTGAAGATATGAAACAGGAGGAGAGTCTGAAGGTTTCTCTGTAAACATGATTTCATTCCCTGACAGTAATTGGGTGATTTGCCTCGAGTCAGATTCAGTCTCGTGGGCACTTAACTGCACAAGGTTTTTCAAACATTGCACATTAACTCAAATTTTTCCAGGAAATATTTCTGAATTAACTAAAGTGCTTAGTAATTTTTTTTCTATTGTTCTTCAGAAGTTTTCACACCACTTGGTTATCACTATTTTTCTGATGAAACACAGAGACAGAAACCAGTGAAACACTGTCTCATAGGGCCTTCTCCAACCATAGGTTAGGAAAGATTAATTTAACTCAAAATAGAATGAGACCAATACATTTTTTCCTGAATATCCAGATTAGACATTTCCATGCTTACTTTTGCAAGGGTATGATATTAGAGGTAAGATAATGGAAAACACAAAGAACAAATTAGTTCCTCATAACATTACAAGCGAAATCGAACTGACTATTAGATTCGATGTAATATCTATATATGTAATATGATATTTCTATTTCTCAAACTTTTAATATTTATCAACCCTGCTTGATCTTTTTTTTTTTTTTTTGAGACGGAGTCTCACTCTGTTGCCGAGGCTGGAGTGCAGTGGTGCGATCTCAGCTTATTGCAACCTCCGCCTCCCAGGTTCAAGCGATTCTCCTGCCTTAGCCTCCCAAGTTGCTGGGATTACAGGTGCGCACCACCATGCCCAGCTAATTTTTTTTTGTATTTTTAGTAGAGATGGGGTTTCACCATGTTCATCAGGCTGGTCTCAAACTCCTGGCCTCGTGATCCGCCTGCCTCAGCCTCCCACAGTGCTGGGATTACAGGCATGAGACACTGCTCCCGGCCCAACCCTACTTGATCTTAATAGTTACCTGCAGCATTTCTTAAAAACATAAGGTTTTTGGGTCCTTCTTCTAGAGGTTTAAATTCAGTAGGTCTGGGCCTCAATAACCTTTTACACAAACTTACCAGATGCAAAAACTTAGAGTGGAACACAGAGGCTAGAATCAAAGCAAAAAGAATAAGAAGAAACGTACAGATGATGCAATGCTGGCCTGGGTCAGGGGCACTCACCTTCATCTACACATACCCTAGGAGGGTAGGGCCTGTGGTGCTAACAACCTCATAGGAGCAGGAGATGAGATCTTGCAGCCTCGCTTGGCCAGAAGCTAGAATTCAGATGCCTATTTTAAGAGTACCCTTGAAAAACAAACCCCTTCATGTAAGAAAGACTAGAAAAACTCTACCCCTTGCCCAAGGAAGTAAAAAAGGAACTTGCCATCTACCTGGAATTCCAGGTAGAAAAAACAAAAACAAACAAACAAACAAAAAAAAGTAGGCCCATATGAGAAGCTGAAATCCTAAACCTATGGAATATGCAAACGTATTTAGGCTCTGAATTTCCACTACCCTGTGTTGCAGGATAGAGACACTTGTACAACCCAAGAAACACAGTACTCAGTGAGAAAAATAATTTCTGCTGAAGATGATTTTACAGTCAAAAATTACAATCATATAAGGAACAAGTTCACTATACGTAAGATACAAATAACAGAAATTAGTATACCTTAAGTACTTGACATAATTGACTAGTATTAATATAAAACAAGCAAGTCTGAATATTTTTAAGAAGTTTTAAAGAAGAAGATATAGAAAACATAATGAAGGAACAGAATACTATGACCAAAAAATAGGCAAGTTTTAAAAAATTCTAGAAAGGACAGACAAACATAGTCACTTAAAATTACACAAAGGACATGACACAAAAGAACACATTTGGCATGTTTCCATTTATGTGAAATTCAATAAGAGGCAAAACTAATCTATGATGATGGAAGACAGAAAAGCATCTAGCTTTGGGAGGATATTGCCTCAGAGGGGCTTTCAGGGGAGCTAGAAATGTTCTCTGTCTTGATCTGAGTGATGGTTTCATGAGTGTTTTCCCATGTAAAACCATCATCACTTCATGTATATTAAACTACCATTTAGGAATTTCAATAGGCAGTTTAAACAGCAGAGTAGATAGAATGAGTGAACCATTCTGAAAGAACCAAGGAAACTGCCTGAAACATGAGACAGACAGAAAAGGAGATAAAAGATATAAAAGAAGTGAAACGGGATAAAATGAGTAGATCACTCATATATCCAACAGAAGCTTCAGAAAAAAAGATTAAGAAAAGACAAAAGTGTCCACGAACATTCTAGAATTAAAGGAAAACATGAGTCTTCACAATGAACAAGCACAAGTCTTGAGCAGAATAAATAAATAGATCCATGCTTAAACATATCATAGTGACCCTGCAGAACACCAAAGAAAGAGAAAATCTTAAAAGCAACCAGGAAGACAAATTACCTGCAAAGGAACAACAATATGACTGACAGCAAACTTATCATCCGCAACATTAGATGCCTCCTACTGGTCAAAGGCCACTGCCAAGCCGTTGACAATGTGGAGAATGAGTTTTGTTCAAAATGTTTGCAGAGAGTACCTATTTTTTCACTGAGGCTGCTTAGTGTCAAATGCATCCTTCCTTCATTCCTTCAACAGACTGAGTACCCACTATGTGCCAGCCTGGGCAAGGAACGTTTCTGCTTTCAAGGAGCTCAACACTGTGAATTCAGGTGAGTTGTGAGCGCTGTAATGCAGAAAATACAGGTGCTCTAGAGGGCAAAGGAATGATGTCAAATCCAGAGGAGAGAAGTCAAGGATAGCTTCTTGGAAGAGGGAGATCCAAGCTGAGACTCACCAGATGGGTGGGAATTAGCAAGTGAGGACTGTGAACTCCATGACAGCAGGACCCTCGTCTGTCTTCACACGAATGTATCCCCAGGATTCAGAACAGTAACTGGCACTTAGGAGGTGCTGCATAAATGCTTATTAAATGAATGAGTGGATAAATCGATTGTAATGGCAATCAATGAGTGGATAAATCAGAGCAGATAAATCAACACAGGTATAAGGGAAAGCACATGGAGGTGAGAATGCAGAGCATGTTGGAGGACCAAAGTTCAGTATGGCTACAAAGGCGAGCACGTATGTGAGTAGGGGAAGGACAGATGAAAGATGAGTCTGGAAGGCTGGACAGGGGACACCTGAGGCCAGGTTAGAGGGTTTGAATTATATTCTATGAGCAACCGGAATCCAATGTAGGGTTTTAAGCAAGAACATGAGATATGAGATTTGCATTTCCAAAAATCCACTTTGGTCCCAGTGTCCATGTCAGAAAAGTGAGCACTGTTCCATAAGGGAAAAGAGCACTTCCTCACTGGTATTATGACATGCAGCTTTCAGACTTCCACCCAAAAAGTATGCGCAAGAGAGAGCGAGCAAGAGAAATTGAGACTGTGCGTGAACAGGTCTAAGAAATAAACATAAAATCCTGGCTATCCAAATCCTGCAGTGGGTGTATTTTCCAATCAGCCCTGAGGCTTATGGAAGAGATAAAATAGGAAAGGAATATGTCCCCAGCTCCAGCCGAACATTCTGTTCAGGCTTTTCAATCTAAAAACTTCAATGTGCTGGTCGGCACCATTGCTGTTCTCGTGTTTGGCCTACGCTGGGCCAAATCCTGCCCCAAAATATCAACGTGTCATATGTGGGCCCAGACAAGGCTTTCTAACTCTTCTGAAGTTTGAGTTTTTTCCCCTTCTTATAAAAGCAGTGAGCCAGAGAAGAGTCCATGGTAATAATTATGGCTTTTCTTGTGTGGACAGCATCCAGAAAGGGGCAGCAAGCCCACAGAGCCTGGCTGAATAAAGCCATTCCTCAGCCAATGCCAACTTCAGCAACTTCTCTGTTAGCAGCTCTTGTTAGAGCTGCAAAGCACCGGTAGAGCTGGCGAGGGTGGGGGGCAATTCTGAGGATATGTCCACCTTGCGTTCAAGGGTCCTGCCGTGTCATAAACTCTGCATCTTTCGTATTCACAGTACACAGCACACGCCTCTGCCAAGCCACAGTCGCAGGTTGTTCTCAACAATTGGTTAAAGTTACTTGTCAGGATTGCACGCAGGAATTCCTCCAGCAAGATCAGAGTTTCGCTTTGTCTAGTCAGCCGGAAGTCAGCTAAGACAGTGAGGAAGAGAGTAAAATCTCACGGAGTTCTCTAGCACATCCGTCTCAGGCCTAGGAAGGGCAACAGGATACCTAAGGAATGAAAGGAAAACCTGCAACCAGAAGAGTGAAGGAGCTGGCACAGGAACAGCCAGAGGGCAAGAGAAAGTAGAAAAACAATCTCTAGGGGCAGCTGTGGTCAGCTGACTTGGCTGAACACTGCACAACTCCAAGGAGCTCCATTTGCTTAGGCTGCTTGCTACCTCCCACCTCCACACATGGAGAAGGGCACACACACAGATGAAAAGGGAAGCCAGGGTGCTGGGGCTGTTACGGAGACACATTTAATGCAGTCAGGGGAAGGGGATGGGGACCTGGGGTTGGTGGTATGGTAGGAGGCACGAGCCATGGTCGAGAGCAACCTTCTGGACTCAGACTCAGCAACTCTTCTAGGCCTCGGTCCTCTAATCTGCAACATGGGGTTCATAATTCTTGCTTCCTAAAGACGCAGTGAGAATTTTAAGGACTGAGCCCAGTGTGTTCAGAACCTAGAGCAGATTAAGCTATCAATAAGAGCTCCTAACTATTGTGAACCACTATCACATCACATACCGAACTCTAGGATAACATTCTTATTAACTCATTGAGGATGCAGATAATACTTTATTTAATCTTTGTAACCTCAGCCCCTAGTGCAGTGCCTGGTGAATATAAGAACTGATTATTGCAGAAGGAAGGGAGGGAGAGAGGAAGGAAGAAATTCTTATTTCTATATCATGGCCACCCAGCAAGCGTCAGGCATTATTGTGAACACTAGCATATTCACAAATACTGTTTGTTGAATGGAAAGTATTTATTCATCAGCTACTTATAAAACAATAGCTGAGGACTTGCTGTATGCAAAGCACTGTGTTAAAAACCCTGGGAAACACGTGGACAACCCCACGACATCCCTGTTCTCAAGGATCTCATAACTTAGCCAGAGACTCCTACATAAATCATCCTAGCAATAATCAACTATGATAATACCATAATATAGGCCCAAATAAAAGAGGATGCTGACCATCCCGCCCTTCACCCCGACCACCAAACAAGATATGGCATTTTTTTCCTATTTCCTTCCCGATGGAGAGAAGAAAAATTTCACCACTTTAAAGCTGTGGGAGAAAAGGATAAGGATGTGATCACACCTGGATGCAGTTTGCTCATCCTCCAGCCCGGCAGCACACAGCCCTCAGCAGCCCTCTCTGCCCAGTTGCCAGATCTCAGGCTCAGCACACGGGAGGGTCTGATGTTTACTAAACAATGGCCTGGCTTATCTTTCTCCACAAGAATCCTACCATATGGATTCAACAAAGGCAAAGCTTTCGCAGGACCCAAGAGGCAGGGTGTGATGCTCTAAAGGATCACTTCCACCAGTGGGAACAGTCTAACGCCTAAATTCCAAAAGATATTACTGATACTGTTTATAATTAGCATGCTAAATAAAACTGAGGCAAGCTGCTGGCTTTCGTAGGCCTCATCCCACTATGCAGTTAGAAGAATATGTGTCTGTGTATACGTGTGTGTATATATATATATGTATGCATATAGACACATATGTATACATATATACACACACACACATGCATATATACACACATGCACACACACACATACTACTTGTTGGGCCCAACCTTTCTGAAATTTATAATAGAGAAAGCCTACAAAACATATTTACCACACATGTGAAGATGAGAAAGGCAAATGGAATAGACTTTCTCCTTCATCCTACAGGACGTGCTAGCCAAGGATGGATTCCAGGAAGTTAAATGGACCTAAGAACAGCTGAGGCTCAAAACATACTACAGATTAACCACATTTCCAGAGCTAGGTTTTAAATGAGAGAATCATTTGAGGAGCATCCAGAATACTGACTTGCTACCCTCCATTAGCTAGAAGCTCAGCAAATGGAAGTGCACATCGTGGTTTCACTCACAACATGAAAAGAACAACACACATTAATACATTAGAGTTGTCTTCTCTATGGTTTCTCTTTAAAGAAATCAACAGCCCCAAGACTTAGCTCAGTCCTCTTCTCATCACATCTACCTTTTCATCACAATTACATTTGGCAGTCTTCGTGATTCCGAGCTGAAAAGCAAAGTATGAGGCTGTTTCCCTCTGTGGGTTTGTTATTGTTCATGATAATTCTGATGACTTCCAGAGAAAAATCCTGAAAGTGACATTACTAAGTTAGGTTAACAGCCAGTGTCCTTAACTCTTGCTTCCAAATACTTCATCCAATGTGTAAAATAAATGCAAAACAACAAACAGGCTGTCATTGGGAAAGCTTGAGTCAAGTTCCCTAACGCAGAAACCTTACATTCATATTAATCACATAGCAAGGAAAAGTACCTACAGCTAGTGCTTTCACATTACTGATAGTTACTACATAGCTGCTTAATCACATTTTCAATGACCCAGCCAGCTCAATCTACTGACTTGGAAGGGTTTAAAACACAAAGCTCCGGCCTCTTCTGCAAGGGAAGGCCTGAAATAAAGACCTCGCATTTCTCTAAGAGAGACCTGTTTTTTCCCAGTATGGGGGTAGGCAAGAGGAGGGGAAGCGCTCCAAGGGTAGGAAAGGAAGAGAAAGGAGTCTATCAGTTGATGAATGAATAAACAAAATGTGATACATCCACATAATGGAAGATTATTCAGCAACATAAAGGACCAAGGTACTGATCCATTTTATGACATAGACAAACCCCCAAAACACAATGCTAAGTGAAAGGAGGCAGACACAGAAGAACACATAGTATATGATTCCACTTAAATGAAATGTCCAGAAAAGGAAAATCTATATATAGAGAAAACAGATTAATGGCTGTCTTAGACTAGGGCTAGGAAGGAGGAGTAACAGCAAACGGGCATGTGGATCTTCTGGGGCTGATGGAAATGTTGAACTAGACTGTGGTGGTGGTTGTACAACTCTATAAATTTACTAAAAATTATTGAATTGTATACTTAAGATGGGTGAATGTAATGGTAAGTAAATTATGCTTCAATAATAATTTTTTTAAAGTTGGAATGAATAAAGAAGTATATTCTTTGGTGGTTCCTTTAAAAATCACAGGATTATAGAATATCAGAGCTGGCAGGAAGCTGTAGTTCAGTGCCTCTCTGTACTAAGGAGAAGGTGAGGTCTCAGGGTGAAAGCCATTTGCCCAGAGCCACTTACATAATTAATGGTGGGCTGGGATCAGAACCGAGGCCTCCTGGTTACTTGTCCAGTGTATTCTTCACAATTTGTCTTCATTATTTTGCTTCACATAAACACTCAGGGCATTAACCATAAAGATAATAAAATATCCTCACAAACAGATGTGCCTGATTCAATGACCAGAATGTTTTTGTGGTATATATCATACTGGATAACCCATGATTTGGTTATTCTCTGCTTGCGTTAGTACTTATATTTTTCGTTTTCTTGTCTTCTCAGTATTTGTTTTTAGGTAAAATCCATGGCTGTTTATAAGCTTTAAATTGAAGGTTCTTTCCTTACCCTAAAGATTCACAGATGAGTTTTTCAGAAGCTGAATCAGCTCTAAAAGCCTCACTGCTTCAGTACTTCTAATGGCCAACATCCTAATTCAGAGCTCGCCACAGGGGCTTGTCTTTCTAATAGAAATGTAAAATAGATCTTTATTTGCCACAAAATTAAAATGTGATCCAATTATGCACAATATGAAGGAACTTGTTGTTGAATTACAAAAAAAAAAAAAAATTCACACACTCTAATTTAAAACAATGATACCCCAGCCTTAATTACCTTGGGTTTCACTACTGTGATTTCAAACAGTACAGGAATAGGAAGAGAGGTGACCATGCCTAAGATAAAATACACATAGGAAAATACAACTCTGTTGAAACAAACAAATGACAAAGCTAAAAAATTTTAACTTTTTAGAGACAAACCAACCACCCTGTAAATTATTAGTATGCTTTAGGCATCAACCTATGTTATGAAATGAATGTTTGTGTCCCCATAAAATTTACATGTTAAAGCGCTAATCCTCAGTGTGATGGTATTAGAAGGTGGGGCCTCTAGAAATGTGAGAAAATAAATGTCTGTTGTTTAAGCCACCCAGTTGATGGTGTTTTGTTATAGCAGCCTGAGCTAACTAAGACAGCCAAATACTTTACTTTTGTACAGTTGTGCAGACCTCTGTATAACTCATTACAGTGATCAAGGTCAAATGGTTACACAACATCCCTTTCTCAGGAACTCGATCAGGGGTTATTCATGTGCATTAAAGTATGTGAGAAAATATTTAGCCTCCCTAAATCTGCATTTTGCAAGGGGCTATTCTTGCACTGACTTACTTATACATTTATAGTCTATCTCCCAATGCTTTTGCCTTGGCATAAAGTGAAAATTAAAATAGAACTGCATATTTAGCTCAACTTCCCCGCCACAGAACCAGTCCCTAACTTTCTAAAATGTACTTCAGCCTTAAAGTGATGCCTGTCTCGAAACTGCTTCACTTTTCAGGTCTCTGTGTGTACAGGGGCCAGTTGGACAGATGCTCCCGGGATGCTGAGGGTTCCCTCAAGAGGCAGGTGTCTCCTCTAGAAACATAGATGTTAAAATGTGCAGTTAACAAGGAAGGGCAGAGCTTCACTAACCAGCATGTGCAGAAGCTCAGAATTGAAGTATACTGATGATCTTACACTTAAGAAGACTCCAAACTGCCCACAGGGATCAGAACTTTTATAGCCAGTCTTTCTCTGACAATGCCCAGTACTGTTTCCTATTCCATCTAAATGACCCAGCTGATACCTAAAATGGAAAGAAAAATTCCAAAACTGAAGGCTGTACTTATAGGCAATAAGGCGAGTCTAAGACCTAAACTAGATAATTTGAGAACAGGGAAAAAAGATTCCATTTCGATTCCTGAAGGTTACCCCCATACCTATTATAACAGAATAAAATAAAATAATTCGAAACTGCACAACCTCTAACTTATCAAATCCTATATATGCCTCATTTTCTCAAATGACTCCTAATTTGTGTAAAGAAAAAGGCAAAAAGAGAAAGGACAGAAGTATGTCAAGGTGGGCTAAAGCTATGAATACCCTTTTATGTAAACTAAGAAAAAAATAGATACACACGCATTTTTTAAAAGGGAACTTTTTGAAACCTTGAGCCGCAAAGAGGAAAAATTCCTGGCTAAATTGCACCACTCAAAGACAACTAGACTTACGGTCATAAATTTCTTCTCCAACCCATTTCTTTCAGGATTCTTACAGATCCATAGCATTTTGCAAGCTGACATAGGACCCTTTCAAACAATGCAACCTAACCTTCACCAACAGCTATGATTCTCTTCCTACTCTTCTGCACAGAGAGGCCCTGACCCTCAGCTGTCGCTGGAGCTCGAGATGGTGGCCAAGGCGAAAGCAGTCAAGCCGGAGAACTCCCGAAGGTGGTTCTCAGGTAACCAGCTGGTTAGATTTCATCTTGTGTGAGTTTAGCTTTGCCTAGCTAGGCCAAGGAGGCACTTGGCCTGGGTTTAGAATGATTTCTGTTTTTCTTCAGGGCTCAATTATAAACAGCCCAAAGAAAGGCTCTGCTGTCCTGGAGGGCACCTTTCAAGAGAAACAAAAATGGGACGCTCGCTTAACAAAAGGGGACTGTTTGGCCACCAACGTCCTGAACAGGGTCTGAGTGTATAACTGGAAGGGCTTTCTGCAAAGTTAAAAAGACAGAGAAGAAAACAACAGCAAAAAAAAAAAAAAAAAAAGGATCATCACAGAATCTCCCATTCCAAACCTTCCTTCCGCTCAGAAGTGCCAACAGATAAAATATAAACCCCTTTGAAGAAAACTCCAGCCGGAGCTCAGCTTTCAGGTTTTAGAAGACACTGGCATCCCAAGGCCTTCCCACTGTCAGATCAAACACACACAAAATATTTCCCTGATATTTTCCCAGTTTCGCCCACACCATAAAAAACAGGCTTTCCTTTTAATCTACTTACCACACTGTGGGTGAAGGCCTCTAATTTCACAGCACAGAGATAACACAAATAATTCATATGACACATTAGTGAAATATTGACAGGGAAAACATCTAGTCAGAGCTCACCGAAAACAACAGGGAGCTCAGTGATGGCCACAGAGGGCAGAGGGATGCCTTTCCAACAGGGCAGAGCCCCCTCCCGCCACACTACTTGAGTTGAAGATAAAGTCAGCCTATTTGGATCCGAATTGTTTTAAGGCAACAGGTCTTCATAATTACACAACATTTTTCTGGTCCCTCGATGGGCTGCAACATCATCAACCTCCTTCCAGGACTTCCAGGGGCTGCTGCGTATGTGAAAGTCCCTAGAAAACTGTTAAGTGCCATCAACTTGCAGCAATGGCAATCCCACCCAGTCATAACCAAGGTCAGCATCCGCCTGGCCAAACACTTGGTGCATTTCTTTTTCTCTTCCTGATCAACTTAAAAAAAAATTCTTTCACTTAGTTTCCCATGGCTAGACCCAGCCTTTGAAGATCTCACCCCCTTTCTCAAGACCCTCTTTCAACTTCCTCTCCTACGAAGTCTTCCTCCCAGGGCAATAAGGAGACCTATCCACAGCTACTATTCATTCCATTTCTCCCACCCTTAAGGTTCTGCCAAGTGTGGGGCAGATTGCCTTTAGAGACAGGACAACTCAATGCTGTCTGTGTAGAAAGGGTTGTTTGTTTGTTTGTTTTAAAAAAAAAAGGCTGCAACACTTCAATCATCAGTTAGGCATGTTGGGAGAGCACCATCAAAGCAGAGAAAAGTGAAATGCAACCCGAAACAGCAAAGGGTCTAAAACCTGACTCTGGGCTTACAAACGTTCTGACTTTATTTTTACTTATTTATTTTTTGGGACGGAGTCTCACTCTGTCGCCCAGGCTGGAGTGCAATGGCGCAATCTCAGCTCCCTGCAACCTCTGCCTCCCAGGTTCGGGTGATTCTCCTGCCTCAGCCTCCCAAGTAGCTGGGATTACAAGTGCACACCTGGCTAATTTTTGTATTTTTAGTAGAGAAAGGGTTTCACCATATTGGCCAGGGTGGTCTTGAACTCCTGACCTCAGGTGATCCACCCACCTCAGCCTCCCAAAGTGCTGGGATTACAGGCGTGAGCCACCATGCCAGGCCCATTCTTACTTTTTTACACCTTATGTAGATGTAGGGTCTCCAAGTCCCAATCCACTTTTGTGAGAGACTTTTCTTTGTCATCGTACCAATCCAAGCCCTTCAATTTCCCAACCACACCCACTTAGACCTTAGATTTATTTTCTGCTGATATCATTTCAAAATCCATGAACATCACCTCATAGATGTAAAAATTCACCTTCTAATCCTCTATCAAGAGTGCTGCTCAGAGTTAGGACTCCAGCTCTCTAGCCTGGCCCTCCTAAGTGCCAGATACTTGCTATTGCTATTTTTTTGTTTTCTTGCCTAATGCCACATGTAACATATTGTCACCTGCTCCCTGCTAGACCCCCATTCCCCGCTGCCCATCAGATATGTCCCTGGAACTTCCAACTCAGCCCATCCCAAATTGAACCCATGCCTTCTCTCCTCTTCACACTCTACTCCACTACACTGTCCCAGCCAATAATCCCGGCCCACACTCTGCACTTGACTCCTGCCATTCCCTCCATCATGTTCTTCCAACTCCACTTCCTGGGGAATCCTACCGCAGAGTCAACTCTTCTTCGCCTTCCACTCCCAACCCTCACCCCAGTCTTGGCCTTCAATATCAGTCACCAGAATTATTACAGAATCTCCTAACTTGGTTCCTTGTCTCCCTCCCTAACTCCACATAAGTATATTTAAGTACCTTACCAAAAAGAAATCAGGTATTTTTCATTTGTTCAAAATTTTGCTATAAGACAAGGTCCGAAATGCTTAGGCTCGCCCCTGCCTACTTTCTCCAACCTTATCTCCTACTCCTCACCAGCATACTCTCAGGCCAAGCTACATCTCACTTATGTTACCTGAATGTGCCATGAACTCTCCCCTTGGGTGCCTCAGCCTGGAATGCCCTGTCACTTTTTGCCAAAAGAATCTCCTCATTTTTCTAAAACCCGGGCAGGCATAACCACCTCAGTGAGCTTTCCCTAACTCCTCTCGGGGCATTTTCTCCTTCTTCTCTATGTTATAGGTTTCCTAAGTATCTCTACTATAGCATGCTACATCTTTTTAAAGTAATGTCTTTCTTGCCCATCAATTCACTTAATTCAGCTTTGTCGTTCCATTGACTAACATGGGACCTGACACATAGTAAGTGCACAAGAATATTTGATGGATCAATGCAAGGAGGCGATATATTCTATTATACTGCCCTTAAACATTTGAAACTTTCGAGGAATAGATTTTCTTGCTTCATCCCAGTCCTCCCTCAGCTGGCTCATCTTTCACATATTGATTCTAAACTGCACGTCACTAGCATCCTGAGGGCATTCACCGAATGCTCATGTAAAAGGCAGAGAGATATGGGACAGAACACTGAAGACAATCTATAACCTGGCTCCCAAGGAACTGAGACCAATGAGAAGATAAACACAGCTGAAGTCGCAAAATGTGAATCCAATGAGGACTATAACTAATGAGAGCTAAAACCAGAGTGTGTTTGCTACTAAGAAAATAATAATGGAAAAGACCAATTAATAAAGAGATGTTGTCAAACGCCATGACAATTTTCATTAAAACATTTTATTAGGCTGAATATGATATTGATGCTTTTTCATTGAGGTTTGTATTAAAACTTCTCCACTAAATATATTCTTAATTCAGATGCCAGGCATTGATACTGTCTACTATCTCCTTAAATCCTTGCGGGGTTTAAAACTTACGTTGTTGATTTCAAAGACAGGGAGTGAACAGTGGCTTATGAAGCAAATTCGCTTTCAATATATTGATCATCAGAGCAAGCATTATATATACGAAAGTTAAAGGTATTCTAAACTACATACAATCTCATCTCTATGGACAAGTCTTTCTGAGGTTCTAGATTACCAGATGGTGGTGTTGGCAATGCCACAGAAGCAAAATCCAAAAGCGGGGGCAGGTGAGAGATGGGAGGCCATCAGTATAACCCCTTCTAGATGCTGTGGTGGCAGAATGCAGAGAGGGGGCCTTGGAGGCAGCAATCCAGACTGGAGATGGACCAGGTAAAAGTTTTCAGGACCTCCCTGCCCATACCACCCTAACGGTTGAAAACTCCTGGACAATTACTGCCAAACTATCCCCTGAAGCCAGTCCTCTTGTGGGCGAAGGGATAATGTCACTGGAATGTCATCAAAGTTTAACACCTTCTTGGACTTTTTTTTTTTTTTTTTTTTGAGACGGAGTCTTGCTGTGTCCCCAGGCTGGAGTGCAGTGGCACGATCTCGGCTCACTGTAAGCTCCGCCTCCTGGGTTCATGCCATTCTCCTGCCTCAGCCTCCCGAGTAGCTGGGACTACAGGCGCCCGCCACCACGCCCAGCTAATTTTTTTTTTTTTTTTTTTTTTTTTGTATTTTAGGTAGATATGGGGTTTCACCGTGTTAGCCAGGATGGTCTCGAACTCATGACCTCGTGATCCGCCCGCCTCAGCCTCCCAAAGTGCTGGGATTACAGGTGTGAGCCACCGCGCCTGGCCCTTCTTGTACTTTTAAATCTACCTGTCCCACTGGGAGCAGCCATGTTGGACACTGCCTTCTCAGGTCCTATTTCTGCTCTTAGGGTTCATGTGTGACTTAAGGCATAGAAATGTGCCTCTATCTTTCTGCTGTGGAAAGAAAATTGTTTGACAAATGTCCTTCCTTAGGAGATAAATGACAAAATAAAATGATCATTCCTGGGCCCTTAATACTTCTTTCCAAAACTTGAGAAATACCAGTTAATAGGGGTTCTCAGACATGGTAATAAGGATGAAGAGGTTGAAACAAACGTAGAAAGCCTTGTTTTCAAAGCCTGGCATTGATGCCATCATTGACTTGACTTGTCATAATTAATATGTGTCCCCATTCATAATCAACTTGTTAAAAGGCAACATAAGCCAAGCATTTTTTTATGCCAAAGTCATATATCTTCTTGATCTGCCTGACACAATATGTATGTGTGCATGTGTGTGTATATTTATATATGTGGCTGTGTATATATATGTATATGTATAAATAAATTCACTTTGCACAGAACCAATTATTTTTGTTCACTGACTGTTCAATATTATAGGACTGGGGTTTCTCTTCTCAGCTAGAGTCTATTTCTTAAAGACCAGCTCCTCTACGTCTGCATGTGTGTGTATCACTCACACTACCACAATACAAATTAGACAAAATAGATGCTTAATGGTGTAATTCACTTTACAATGGCACTATTATTACAGCATTACTCTATTTTCATTACTACCGCATATTAGAATCGGCTTCCAACATGTTTGAGTGAAGAAATAAAACAACCTAATCACAATGCCAATTAATTCTGTAAAAGTCATGCAGTATATCAAAACTAAAACATTTCACAGCCATCTCAGAAAGACAGGATTCCATACTTGCTTCACTATTTTTAGCCAGCTATGCCTCTACTCCTTGAATACTTTGACCTATCCTAGTCCAGTTATAAGCCAAAATCGATAAAAGACCCTAAGCAAGTTTAATTGATTCTCTAAGAAAGGATATTATAATCCATCAGCACACCCTCACCTTGTGCTGACATTATTTTCCTGGGTTTACCTAATACCACTGTGGTACCAAAAACTACTCTTTCTCACGCTGTTCTCTCATCAGCTCAAATACTGTAACAGCAGAGCAATTTCAAACAGGTTGCGAGTCTTTTAGAGTATTGCTTGCAAAGTGCATGTAAATTATTAGATTACATTACAAGTGAAAGACTCAGCAGTGGGTCACCATAGTGGAGCATTAATGTACAGCAAGTTGAATGGAACCCTTGCAGACAAGCTTCTCCGATGTGATTTTTTTTTTTGGCAGAAAGGAGAAAGTGAGTAAAGGGAAGGGAGGGCAAGGAATGATGGGTTGGTGAAAAGTGAAGTCTCTGAGAGCACCAGGGCAAGGTGGGAATAAGGTAGCAACCCCAGCCTCAGTGCCTGGATGGGGCAGCCAGAGGGCAGTACAAGAATAGTGGGAGCAGGGAGACAGGGAAAAGGGAAGGAAGAAGCCAGACAGGTATGGGAGGTAACGTCAGGAAAGCTCAACAAGTGGCTGATGGGGCTGAATTTCAGTGATTTGTCCTCTTTTAATTGGATCCAGCCCATGGTAGCTGAACTGAGGGATTAATGAATTTACCTAAGGTCACACGGCTAGCACAGCACACACCTGGGTCTTGGCCCAGGTCTGTCTCACTCCTCCCAGCAGGCTTGTAAAAACCACATACACATATTGTCTCCCAACACGTCCAGCTTTGGTCTGAGTTGCTCAAGACTAGAGTAGGCCTGATCGTGCAATTGAGGGGATCAGTGGATTCAAGAGAGGCAGAAGTCACACAAACAAGTGCAGCTGAGTCCAAACCGAAGGCCCCATTGGAAATATAAGACAGCAGGAGATGTGCCTGCAGAGTTGGGAAGTGCCTAGCTGGTGTACTGAGAAGGCAAACACCTCTGCAGGACAATGTGGAAGAGAGTATCTGCATGCTTAATGGGCACCTATTTTATGCAAGGTATCGTGCATGGAGTAAAAACATAAACTGTGGTCTTGATCTCCTTAAGACTAGGCTCATACCTGGAAAATAACTATCAGACAGCGTAAAAGAGGCCTGGCAGAGGAAGAGGTTACATGTTCACTAAATGAGCAAGGCCCATATGACTGACTGCTGTAACAAACAGGAGTCTGGGAGCTTCAAGAGGGAGAAGGTGGATCTTATCTGGAGTGAAAATGATGGTAGGATTTCAATGAGCAGAGAGAGAGATGGGGACTAGGTGAGGCAGAGGAGGAGGGGAAAGGTGAAGGCACATACAAGGTAGAGAGATGAAAAGGCCAAGTTCAAAACACATTTAGAAGAGAACCACCATAAATGCCTGGTCTGAGGTGACCCAGGTATTTCAGTGAGCTTCTTAAGAGAAATGCCACCACTCAAATATAAGATCCAGAAAGGCAGGGAGCTCGCCTCTCTTGTTTGCTGCTTTATCCCCAGGCCCTAGCACATAGAAAGTACTCAGTAAATATATGTTGAATGAAAGAATGCCACCCTTGGGCTCTTACACACTGATGTCAGCTCCAAGCAAAAGAGGGATCCCAGAATTTATATTCTAAGCCAGTCTAGGCAGATGTGCCTCTAAATGTACTAGCATATTAATGAGCATGTGCTAAAAGTGGCATAAAGATACTGTATGATTATAAATAATAAGTATTTACATTATTTTCCCTCCCCCTCCTCCTCCCTGAAGTCATAATGAGTAACACCTGGAGCTTAACATCAGTTACTGTGGAAACACTTCCTTCCTCCCCCACTGCTGGGCCATGGTCCCCCAGAAAGGCTGCTTCTACTTCATGCCCAGGACAAGGTTTTCAAATAGTGAGGAGTGGCTCATAAATAGATCATGAAACCAATGTGGTGGCTCGTAATCTGTATTTTAAATAATAGAGCAAACACAATCACGCATCACAAGTGAAGGGTAAATATTTTACATGAAATGTTTGTGTGTGTGTGTGTGTGTGTGTGTGTGTGTGTACTAGTTCACAATGTAATTAATATGTTTTTCTCATTGTGGATCACGGTATTAATGTCTCAAAGATATCGCCCTGAGAGGCAAGCGGTTCCAGTGTTAGGACCTGTAATATTCAAGCTGAATGACCCTTGTTTTACCGGCTAAATGTGCCTGTCAAGTGGTATTTCTCTTTGGCCCGGTAAACTTGACCCATCCTGAAACACTGAGATGTTCTGTGTAACATACTAAGTTCAGAATCAGTTCCTTCAAAGGATCCCAAGTTTCACAACACACAGTCTTTTGTGGAAGAAAAAATGATTTATTTTTTCTAATTACAAAAGTAACATATACATAATGTAAGAACTTCAAAAAATACAGAAAAGCACAAAGAAAAAGAAACTCACAGGTAATCCCAGCATCCACAGATGACCACTTTATCATTTCATCATTTTGGTATTCGTGGGTCCAAGTTAATTTACTAATATAACTCACACACACACACACACACACACACACACACACACAATTTCCTTCTACAAAAAAGATGGCATTCCATGCACACTGCTATGAAAGCTGTTACTTTTCACTTAGCAATGGCTGATAGACACTTTTTCTTGATAAGAAATACTTTTCTAGTGCAACATGATTTTTAATGGCTACATAATATTCCATTCACAGACTTGATCCTGAGCATCTCTAGACAAGGTACAGCCTTAAATCCTCTACTTTGAGAAAACAAGCTTGCTGCGGAGACACACATCTTTGCTGTGGGCCTCCTGGCTGTGTCTAGCTCTGGTGAGCACTAAGCATGA
This sequence comes from Homo sapiens, assembly GCF_000001405.40. Lineage (NCBI taxonomy): Eukaryota > Metazoa > Chordata > Mammalia > Primates > Hominidae > Homo > Homo sapiens. The sequence goes on from NC_000015.10 coordinate 61,218,998, forward strand.
GATGCTCAACTCTATACCTATTAATAGAAAGTAAAAATAGTTTTACTTTCCACTAAATCAGAGCATGAGACTTGGACACTATTTTCACTATGTTTTAGAATGGCTTTACTGACATAGCCACAAGCTCACTGGTGGATTTTTAATTAATAATAAAAATGCCCAGTGGGGTTAAAAAATAACAATTACTGACAATGTTCCACTAATAATGCATAGCCAAAATAACCCATGCTTAATTTTGTACATAATCTACTGCCTAATGCTAGATCAACTTGCACACATCTTAATAGCCTCATTAGGCTGGGTGTGGTGGCTCATGCCTGTAATCCCAGCACTTTGGGAGGCCAAGGCGGGAGGATCACGAGGTCAGGAGATCGAGACCAACCTGGCGAACACGGTGAAACCCTGTCTCTACTAAAAATACAAAAAAATCATCTGGGCGCGGTGGCTGGCGCCTATTGTTCCAGCTATTCGGGAGGCTGAGGCAGGAGAATGGCGTGAACCCAGGAGGCGGAGCTTGCAGTGAGCAGACATCACGCCACTGCACTCCAGCCTGGGCGACAGAGCAAGACTCCGTCTCAAAATTTAAAAAAAAAAAAATCCTCATTATTCGAACTTTGGAGGATCCTGGCACAGCACACAAGTGACAGGAACATGAGGTAAGAAAGTACAAGACTTGGGTTCTAGTCACAGTCTTGCTGCTTACTAGGAATGTGATCTCGAACACGTTACCTTTGTCAGCATCAGTTCAAATAGGGTGGGCTAGGCTCGCTGATTCATAAAGCCCTTTCTGGCTTTAACACACTTTAGTCTAATAAAATACGACCAAGTGGTAGCATCATGAGTGAGTATCACATATTTAACATACAACCCCAAGTTCAAGACTAAAAAGTCAGCTTTAGAGGGTTCAAGAGCCCTTTCAGTGTAGCTTCAGTTCTTCTTCTGATTCCCTGTGAGTCCTCAAGAATGCTAGGGAACCTCACCAATCCTTGACTGTCATCCTTCACACTGTGAAATTTTACAGCTTGCAGGTTAACAGCCTGGTCTATAGAAATTGCCCGGGTTCCCACTTTCTGCACACATGTGCTCATCCAAAGCACGTGATGAGTGCCAGAAATGGTAAAATACAACTCTGGCAATTTCACACTTGTCATCATCAGTCAACTAATAAGAGCACTAAAAGAGGAATCATTTTTTGATGATCAGGTTATTTCATTTGCCTTTGCTTTCCCAATGCTTCATTACCTGGACAATTGAGAGTTATGAGCAGTTCACCCTCCCAGTTGCCCTGTCCCTTCAGATATAATATCCCCGTCACACAAACATTCCTGAGAGTACATGCTGTATTGTCACATGGCCTTTTCATCATCCACTGGTTTTATAACTGGAAAGTGAAAATGAAAAGCAATGCAGTTTATTTAAGAGGTTTTAGACTTGCTAAATATACATGTGTGTCCTCTGTGATTGGATGTTGAAAATCCATTAATTTCCACACAGCCACTCCTCCCCATGACTGGCATCGATCATATGGGATGAAATAAGCCTCTTTGCTTCTGGAAGGGCGGAATCACATCTGGTTGCCTTTTCTCTGTCTTTGTCCATTTCTTCAGGTTTCTTTAAAATTAATTGGAAGAGTCAATAAACACGGCTGCCAATTCCCTTTACACCCTAGGAAAGCAGCTCACCGTGCCCTTCAGACCTATTCTTGCTGTTTTTCCAAGTACTCCCTTACCTGCCTTTGTCAATTGGCATTCTCGACAAGTTCGTCATAACTTCTCAAAGTGTCAACTTTTCCTCTTTTCATTGCCCTTGTTAAAGATAATTTAAAATTAGAAAGTCACATTCCCAGCCATTTCAGAGTCAATGCTAATGTCATTTTCCTTTGCACAGAAGTCTCTTTTCCCTCTAGAGGCTCCCTGCCTTCATCCACAGCCCCCACTCCCCAGCCCCAAACAGGCATTGTTAATCTCTGCAGGCACTAGTCCATTCCCCTATTTCATCCTTCTTATCTTTCCCCCAAAATACTTCACCCAGTGAAACACACTTTAGCTTCTGGTTCTCCTTCCTTCACTCCACTTCAGAGAGAAATGTCTGGGTCTAGAGATTGTAAAGTCACCTTCAGGAAAGAAGCATACAGTTGACTGTCAATTAATCAGGATAAGACAGAAAAAATTACACCATGTGCAGCTTGGCTTCTCAGTACATGCATTTATGTTTTGGGATCAAGAGGATTTCTTCCGTACAACCTAAAATTCATATTTATGGCTTTTGTTTGGCTACAACTAATTCCCTTCCTAACTGCACAGTAGTTAATAGTCTGGAATTCTTAAAACAGTGATTACCATACTTCATAGTAGATTCAAACGATGGTCCCTCATTTCCCCCTCATTCTATTTCACCTCTATTCTTGCCTGTTTATTCTTGGTAGCATTCTTTGCTTATACAAAAAAGTCAGACGATTTTATATTCTATAATTTTTATTCTCGTGGCTAGTTTGACATAGATTTTAAGCCCGTTTACTTTCCCCCATTAAGCACAGACCTAAACATCACCATTCTTATCACGTGTACAATCCCATCAAGTTTCAGACTGTCATTTATACACAATTTTATTTCTTCTTACTTCTTTCACACACGCCTACCACTTACGTACAGCAACTTCACTACATTCATATTTCATAAACTTCATCAGTATTCAGCCAAACCCTCCCCCGAAGTAAGCTAGGTATTTTTAACACTGCACTGCCTCTTTCAGTGGCTTGAGGATCCTATACTAAGTGGCACCCTTCCTTGCATCCCAGAAGAGTTTATCTATTATGGTCTGTGCGTGGATGCAGAAACTTCCTAATTGTTTCAGGAAACTTTAAGATGTTCATAATCAAGCCAGGTGCAGTAGTACATGCCTGTAGTCTCAGTTACTAAGAAGCCTGAGGCGGGAGGATCCCTTGAGCCCATCTCTTTAAGAAAAAAAAAAAAAAACTAAAAAAATAGTTCATAATCAAAATTAAAACACCCAATAACATTGTTAAGATGATTCTAGGCTAGGAGATTATAAATCCTCTGTACCATAATATTTCCTACTCATTTCCATCCTCTGACACAGAGTTTCAGAGAAAACATCTATGGTATAGAAGCTCTACCTGGGGCAGCCTGGAGTCCTCCACCACCTACAAGGGTGTGTGAAACCTGTACTCTCAGCTGTCAGTGGGTGCTGTACAGGGCTCCCTAGCTGACCACCAGGGCCCCAGTTCTGCGGACAAAACCATCACCAGGAAACCACAGCGCCATGCCACTGTTAATGTGCCATACTATGTAATGTGATAAGACAGTCTGTAATAATGACGTGTCAGTTAAGGCCATACAAATATGTTAGGAAAAAAAAATTGTTCTTGCACCAACACAGGGGAATTGTTACCTATAATTCCTTTTAGCATTAGCATGTAAGAGCTGGCGCAAAAAGCCGGCCTGACTAAACTGTGAGCTATGGTACATTTATTCCTCATCATGCCCCATTCCTCTCTTCTAAGGATTTCTTTAGACAATCTCCTTGATGTCTTTGCTCCAAAATCAAGAGAGAAATAATAATAACTGGGCTGTCACAAAAGAACATCAGGACTCCCAAGCTGAATTTCCAACACTACAATATCAAAGATAATCACAAGACAACTGCAGACTATATCATTAAGTCAAGTGGGACATCCCTGAGAAAGTCAGCTTCTGATGGTGTGGTTCCAGGGATGCTTTCCATATTCGTCCAGTGAAAACAACCTGTGCTTGGAAAGAGGGTTTCCTTTGGGGCAATCGAAATGTTCTTTGTTGACATTCTTGGAATTATTCCTTCTAACCCTAGAGTTTCCTAACTTTCAGGATTTAAGAGCCTCATGCCAAAGATACCCCTTCAATATATCTATGTAAGAGTTAGGACTACCTGGAGTTTCTGTCTACCATTAGATGGGAGAAAACTTATGTTATCATAATACAGTAAATAACTTACTTGAAAATATAATATCCTTCCTGAATATTCAAGAATGACTTTACCGCCAGGCATGGTGATTCACACCTGTAATCCTAGCACTTTGGGAGGCCGAGGCGGGTGGATTGTCTAAGCTCAGGAGTTTGAAACCAGCCTGGGCAACATGGTGAAACCCCGTCTCTACTAAAACACAAAAAATTAGCTGGGCATGGTGGTGCGCACCTGTAGTCCCAGTTCCCTGGGAGGCTGAGGCACAAGAATTGCTTGAACCCGGGAGGCAGAGGTTGTACTGAGCTGAGATCGTGCCACTGCACTCCAGCCTGGGAGACACAGCGAAGACTCTGTCTCAAAAAAAAAAAAAAAAAAAAAATGACTTTACATCCTCTTTAACTCCAAAGAAAGAATTAAGAAGAGCCTAAGCTCTGGATGAAATATTCCTATAAAGTAAAAATCTCAATTAACTAAAATCAACTAATTGAATTTCTATTTTGCTACTTGCAACTTAGACAACAAGGGAGGAAATAACAAAACATACTGATATTGAGCATTTAACAAAAAAAGAAAGAAAGAAAACAATTTCCAAGTGGGGATCAAGATAGATTTAGTCCAATCTCTGACACTGTGTCCATTTACAGTTCTATAATGTACAATTGGAATTCATACTCAGAACAGTGACCTTGTGGCACCATAAGATTCTCAAACCTCAAAGAAAGATTCAATTACATTCTCAGTGTTCTTTCTAGAGTAGGAAACGGGACTAGTACGTTTAGAAAACGTATTCAACAAGTAAAGGACAAAAAATACTTTGGGTTAATCTACTGTTAGTCAGAAAAACCAACTCATCAGTAATGTCCTGGCACCCTTAGAGAAAAATCATGGTTTACTGTGTATTAATCAACACTTAAACACTGATTCTCAGGTTTTTTTTAAAGCATTAATTTTAAAAATACAATTTTATTTTAACATACAGCCTAAAAAGATGGGTGAAAAATTTAACAGCTCATTTCTAAACCAACACTTCCTGCGTGAATTAGATATCAAAAAAAAAAAAACCACTAAAAAATGATAGAAGAGAAAATGAGAGACAGAGAGTATTATTCCTAAATTTTGAGTAAGGAAGATAATCTTCATATTCAGAAAAGTATTCCAAATTCTGGATGAGTATTCACTCCAACACTTGAAGGCCTTTCAAAAATACTCTCCTTGTTTCTGCACACTTTATCACTAATCTGGGATGAATGGGACAGGAATCTGTGAGCGAGCAGATGAGGTCTACCTCAAAGTCCCTGTATATTGGCTCATGGGAGACAATGAATGTGAACAGCCAGATATGTCATAATAGGAGAGGTGCGTTTCCTATAAATTTTTTTATTATTTGTTTTTGCACACATGGCAATCACATTACAGCTCTTTCCCCAGATACCTGGGAAATGTGGTTATGCATTTGGCTTCCACAGAAGTGTAAGCTAAGAAGCTCAATTCATCAAGTAGCCTGGGAAGATGAAGGGGGAAAGGAAGAGTAAACTCAGAACACATGGCACATGCTTAAGATACCATACCATATGAACCTCTAATAACCTCCAACTCCATCTCTCCTGTCAACATGGTACCGCAAGCTCCTAAACACAAAAATGGGAGAAGGTGGATCTTAATTCAGAAGTGACATGTCCAAGGAAAAGAACCCATGGGCTTGTCTCACTCGAATTCCAAAGGTTAGCTCTGGACAGAGGGCAGTTTGCTTCCAAAAGTGATTCAGCTGTCACTAAAAATCCTCAGAACATTTTTATCCGGAGGCACATCTATTACAATTAACATTCTCACGCCTCCCTGTGTCCCACTTCAGGAGTCTAGTGTGGAACCAGAAGTGTGTGCTACAGCCCCCACCTCTGCTACCTTGAAAACAAGCTGAAGGGTCTCATCGTTAGGGGCTTCAATGCAGGCTCCATACTTCAGTTTCAGACGTAGAGGCATTTTCTAAAGCCAAGGGCTCCTCACCATGCCAGTAGGTATTGGAAAATTCCAGCAGGTGACTAACATTAGAAGAGTCTCCTATAGATGTTTTGAACCACTCAGGACTTGAATTCTAGATTAATAATTCAATTTTTTTTAAGAAATAAGGGGGAAGCAACAGAAAAGGTTATCATAACTATCATCAAATGCCTTTTCTATAATTATTATATTACATTTTTAAAGGGTATTATTATAAATGTTTTTATGAGCAATTTACCGGAAAATTAAAGTCCTTTAGTTTAAAAAATAATTATTTTATCCCTCTGGCAAAGGCTTTTCTCCCAGTCAGCAGCTCTTTCAAACTATGGGGCATCATTTGTTCACTGTGGCGAGCCGGGTCCATGTGAGGAAAGTTGATCTGAGAATCAATCTCTAGAAAGGGCGCTAAATTGCTAGGTAAGAGCACCTACTAGAAAGTGAATCAGCCAAAACTGAAGGGGGCAAGAGAGGCCACGCACTTTCAAAGTCAAAGACGTATGTGGTTCTAGAAGTCCTCAGGGCTACACATAAACTACAGGCCCTGTTAACTGATTTTAAGTCAATCTAAGCTGAGCTTCCAGGGGGTTCGATCTCAACCCAACTGAGCTTTTCACTGTTAATCCCATCTTTTGGTTTCGATTTTTCCCTTAGGTCTGCCGGCCCTAAAAGCCTTCAACCTTCAGCACTGGTGTTCCAAACCAACTGTGTGGTGGTACACAGCCCTGTGTGGATGACTTCACTGAACTAAAATATGTAAGCTTCTGGCAAGCACATATAATAACGAGATTCTGAAAAAGGGTTTTTAACAACAGTTATGTCACGAGGCTCATGGCTCCCTGAAGTCCCTGAAAGCCTTGTTAAATTAAAGATTCGCTGTGGTTTTTTTTCCGCTTCATTCCTACTTCCCTTGTCGCTTCCTGCCTTTCTTTTTTCTCTTTCATTGTGTTGTTAAGATGGAACTGAGTGACACCAGCTATCATTAATATCACCTAGAAAATGGAAGAGTTTCATTAAAACTGCTAACATTCCCAGCAGTTTTATGGACAGGGGAAGGTCGTCTTTCAGATTATAAAGTCACACACCTGATTTTGTAAGCTCAGGCAATAAAGGTACACAGTGCATCCACACTTGGATTCCCAAGAGGGAGGAATTCAACAGTAGCCTCAAGTCTACCTAGGTAATGTCTCATGAGGTCACTGCAATGTCATGAGAATTCAGACCACAATTTCTGTGGACTTCAAACACTGACTGGGTAGAAGCTAAACCTGCTACCCTTTGGAAAGTATCTCCCAAATCAGAAAGCTTCCCATTTCACCCAATGCCAAGAACTCCACTCCACCCTCCTGGAGGTTGAAAATGCTAATCATAAGGTGATGATGTTTGCTTTTCCTTTCTAGTTGTGTGCCTTTATGTTTTAAGTATTTAAAAGGCATAATCACCTAGTGTGTAGGTTAATTTCTTTCCGATATTGTAATTTATGCAACATTAATACTGGATGCCAGCTCCAATTTTCTTACTGCTTACACTCTGGGAGCCGGCTTGCATATTCTGCCAACTCCATTACATCATCTGAAAACCCAAACATTTCCCATTTTCAAATCACTCTCAACTACCAGGCATACTTACACATTCTCTCTTTTTCTCCCTAGCTCACACACATAAAGATTGGTACCCCTGAGGAGCAGATGCTACATCTGAGGTTAAAGTCTGCAAATGCACATAATTTCTGGAAGCTATTACTACTGCTGTGTTAGCTAAAGGATGCCTCCATCTCTGACCTTCCTTTTTCCATTCAGACTGTTATATAACCTAGTGCCTGCGTGCAGGATGTGAGTTGAGTGTTTGGGCCTTACCACCCCCCTCCCATTAAATCTTCCAGGAGGGACAGACAGGGGCTGGTTCAAAGAATGAGTTGGGGTGGGGGCAGAGGGTGGGGGGAAGGGGATATGGGTCAGCAGGTCAGCTGTGCAAGATGTATCCCACTCCTACTATGCCCCTCTCCCCTTTTTGCTGAGCCTAAGGGGGCTGGTGGCACTGAATGCTCCGGCGTTACATAATTTGCAAGAACAGCAAGTTACGGATTTGCTAGTCGGCTCTGCAGCCTGCCACCCTGATCGCTTGCAAGAACACCTTCTGGCAAGAATGACACCTGAAGATGTTAATAACACAGGGTGTGGGGGGGTCAAGAAGGAGAAAGGTGGCAGCACAAACCAAAAATTAGTGCAGCTTCCTAAATACTATGTCCCCCCCATTCCAAAAAAAAAAAAAAAGCCCCAGAAACACATGAAGGGGATTTTCTCCAGTGTTTCTGATTAACCCTGTTACATAACCCGCTCGCATTCCAAATCCACCGTCTCAGGGTCTAAATATACTCTTTGCAGCCAAAAGCTCCCCGCACACAAACTCACCGAGCTAGCGGCAGGTCCAGGCCCCCAGCCCTCATCCCCTTCCCTTTTGTCCCAGCCCTCGCCGCCCCCCTCCCGCTGAAACCGCGGTTCGCCGCGGTCACCCTTTGGAAATCGCCTTTAATTAAATGTTTTTCGCGTGTGTCATCCTGATGGCTTTTACTGTACTCGAATTCCGTGAATGGGAAAGCGCCTGGACAGGGGGTGTGGCTAAGGTGGGGGGGGGGATACTGTAAAACAGCCAGCACATGATCAGCCATATTCCTACCTCCAACTACAACATCGAGAGGAAGGGAGCAGTTCCTGGGGCCCCCATTCGCCTCTACCCAGCCCTCCCCAACCGCCGCCAGAAGCCGAGTGCAAGAGGAGGGGGCGCGCTGGGCCGGTACCCAAGCCGGGGCTGGAGAAATCCTCTCCGTCCCCAGCTCCAGGCGGCTCGCGCGAGCACGCTTCCTCCGGAGTGACAGGCGCGATTTATACATTATTTACAACAGTAATTAAAGCTGTAGCTTCCTCCTGTTCTTTGCAAACTCCAGGCGCATTCAAATAAATAATCCCCCACTCTCGAGAAAAACACACATCAGGTTCCAATACCTTCAAGAAAGAGTGAGCTTTCCTCAACAGCTCACTTTAGGAAAGGAGGGAGCAACTGAGTCCCCCCCATCCCCCCCAACACACGCAGACACAGACCAAACACCAAAATGAAGAGTAAAAATCGCCAGGGGAGGAGAAAACATTGCTTGCACTATCCAACCAGCATACAACTTGCACTGACCATCCCCAGGTTCCTGCAGAAATGCTTGGAACCTCCGAGAGGGAAGGATTCCCAGAGCAGAAATAAGTTTCGGTGCTTGCTTTTGTAGACGCTCCCTCCGGATGCGCGTGGAGCGCCCCACAGGACCGCCGCCCTCTGCGCGTTGGCGCGCACACGCCCCCCGCCAGCCTGGGCGCCGGGCTCCGAACCCCCGGTCTGCAAACTTGCGCATCTCCCCTCGCCGCGCCCGCCAGACAACTTGGCGAACAGCTCGCCCGCCCGCACCCCGCTTCCTTCGGCCCTTCCTTCAAATCCCAAACGCACCGCCGTGCTCCAAAGAAGGTGTCCACGTCGCCCCCAGACCCCGGAGCGCCCCCTCTCCACCCCCGGGACTTCCCAGGTCGCTCACTCCTCCCGCCCCCCGCCCAGATCTGAGAGGGACCGAAAACACACCCCCGACTCGGGCAGCCAGGGCCGAAACTGTCAAGAGGAGAAAAGGTAAAGCGGAAGGAGGGTGGCCATAAACAGATTTTTTTGCCCCTTCTTAAAAGGACACTGCCGCTTTAAAAGTTTCTTTCCCGGGCCCCCACTCCCCGCATCTCCGTATTTTGGGGGAGCGTATTTAATTGAGGCAACGCAGCTTTCCTCCAGTGTTTGCAGAAAAATCAAAGCCAGGGGGGTGAGCCCGCCGGCTGTCAACCTTCCCGCCGCCTCCCCCGCCCCACTCTGCTCCCGCAAGCCGAGAACGGGCTGCAAAAGTTTGCAACATTTCTGGGGGGCGGAGGGGGGAGGGGAGGGGGGTCCTCCGGGCTCGGGGCGCCGCCGCAGGCTCGCGCGCGGCCGCCGGACCCCGCGCCCCGGGCGCCCGCTCCCGGCCGCCCCCCGCTCCGCGCCCGGGCTCCCGCCGCCCCCTCCCCAGCCCCTCTCCAGCCTCCTACCTCTGCTGGTGCTGGAATAGCTCTGTCTGCGCACCGGGGCAGGCGGCTCGCTCTTGCGGGCGGATTCCTGGTTCAGCGGGGTCTCCCTGGAGCCGGCGGCCGCGTCCGCGCCGCTGCTGCCTGGCTCGCTGGCGGCGGGGTCGGGGGCTGCCGGAGCTGACTCCATGTTTTTTCCCAATGTAGAGATCGCTGGAGATGGCGAGCTCCGAGACTCCCTCTATCTTCTGTTTTCAGAGCAACTCTATGGTACCAAAAAAAAAAAAAAAAAAAAAAAAAAAAAAAAAAAAAAAAAAAGAAGGAGAAGGCGACCGGCGAAAGCAGGAGGGAAAAAGCAGGCGGCGGCGGGCGGGCAAGCAAAAGCGCGAGGGAGCGCGCGGAGTGTCTGGGTGGACGTGTGTGTGCGCCCGAAAGGGGACAAGAGGCGGGTCTGGCCACAGGCAGCGCTAGCGAGAGCTTCTCCAGCCGGCCCCCACACCCACATTCCCCACCCTCCAGACCCCAGACCGAGAGCCACAGACTGGCTGCCAATTTTGGGAGGTGGGGAAAAGAGGGGAGGAGGAGAACAGAGCCTCCCGCGCCCCAATCCTCCCCTCTCCCCAGCCCAGGGACAGAAATTAAAATCGGTGAGATGATTCCGTGCCTACTTCTGAGACTCTCTCGGGAACAGAACTCGTCCCCATCCGCTGCCAGCTTGGGTAGAGACAAATCCGATTGTCCACGTCCACGTTGGGAAATCGCAGGTAGCCCCCTGCCAGCCCTGCCGAGGGCTGAGGAGAAACTAAAAAGGAATTAGAACGGGGCTGACATCCCAAGGAAGGCGGAGGATGGGAGGACGTGGCACTTTTTACTTTGGGATGGGACGGCCAGTGGGTTTCCAATCTTGGTTAAAGACATCTGTGTCTAAAACAGATTTTGTGAATCTAGAAGCGCCATGGACAGTTTCTGGCATGGTTGAAAGAGGTCGCTTTCAGCTCCTTTGCTGTTTGTCCGCGAAGGATCCAGAAACCATTTGGCAGGGCATTTTCTACTGAAGAAAACTTTGGCCTGTTTGGTCGACAACTATCTAAGCTGGATAAAACATGCCACGCTGCATCTAGCTCAAGCGTGGCTGCTAATTGTCAATTCCCACTGGTACTTTTCCTATTAAATGTACAGTCTCATCCATAAAAGGTAGATATACTGGAGAGGCATTACTAATGCCCGGATAACATTCAGATAATTAACAGCTCCTAATAATTCGTATTATTATAGGCATCATTCTACACCCTCCTCCCATTGAAATACATTCATCCCCTAGTAGGTACCTAAAACTCCAGGAAAGCAGATAATTGCATCATCGTTACCTTGACTGCAAACTCCAAGATGAAGGAACAATACAAATTGAAAGAATGGAAAATACTCCAATGGTAGTAGCCTGATTTGTCTGCCTTCATACTCAATCTACCACTTTCTTTTGCCTGCGAAGACACTGTGGAAATACGCCCCACCTTCCTTTCAAAAGGATCCAAAATTTTGACAATAAATAATATTATTAGAGGCCAGAAGGTGGCATAAATATATGTGCTTCAGAACGTGGGGTAGGCGGAGGGAATTGGGGGACATTTTTCTTTTGCTAACTTCCTGGTTTGGAAAAATGCTTTAAAAAATAGTAAGTGCGGGAAACCCAGTTAGCTAATCCTTCAGAGGAACCGCCATATGCCAAATTTCACACATAGTTTCTGTTACTGTTACTGATCTTGATCTTATTTCAAATACACAATGCCCTTTGCCATAGTCTGTGTACTAATCAGCAAAACCTGTGGTCCACTCTTCGGGGTGATGTAAATGAGATGTGAACAGTCCTGATACCTTAATCCTGTCTCTGCAAGGATCCCTGGCTTTAGCCTGTCTGTTGGCGCCTACAAACAATGCACAATTGTCTCCTCCATCCCAAATCAGACGTGTGGGTTTCCCCATACGTGAAAGCACAGATTTCCAGAGTAGCCTTCACAACATTTACCATTGGTTAGCCTGTTAGTAATGTTCTTGATGCAATTGACCTAGCTTGTTACACTTGACTTTTCTAAGGAAACAAATATATCAAAGTGTACAGTTTAAGAAACAACTTCCTCTGGGACAGTGAGCATCTCAGAATACATTGGCTGCCTCATGTTTATTTTAGAATACTTTAAAAAATACTCGTCACATTAAATTTCACCAGTAATTCTATCTGGGACGCAAGTGACTTAAAAAGTATCCCTGGTTTCCTTTTAGGTACCAGTAGCAACTTGTTAACATTTTTTATTAAGTCTGTTCCCCTTGGACCTTTAATGAGTTTCTTACTGTTCTCCTTTAACTAAGGTGATGTTTAGTCACCCTGAAAAGACCATCTAGAAAATAGTCATAATGACCTGAATCAATTAAAATAGACTCTATATTCCCTTCAGAAAAAGATCGCAGCTCCAAAAAGCCATTTCTCCTAACTCTCTAAGACAATTACTGCTTCTGCAATTTAAAACAATTGGGAACTCAAGTGCTTTCCCCAAGGGAAAAAATAAAAGTGAGTTAGATACATTCCTTGACTGTCAATCACTGTGACTAAAGTGTAAATTACCTGGATTGGGGAAGCATTTGAAACCTGAAAAGCACAGTGATTAGGTTTATATTTCTTTCCTTCCGTCATGCTCCCTTTCGGATTACTAATTAAGGCTTTCCAATTTTCCAAATATTTGAAGAGATGGGAGCCTTCCTTAGACTCTGCTCATTGACAAAGGGCAACAGTGTTTGCTTAAAAATGGTTATTTTACTTTGCACCGAGTTCCCTGAAAATGGCTTAGAAAAGCTATGCTTGTGGAAGAGATCAGCCTAATTTCAGTTTTTTTGTAACTCCTCTTTGCAACACCACAGCCATCGCCCCCTACCTCCTTGCCAATCCCAGGCTCCTCTCCTGATGGTAACATTACTTTTCTCCTACTCTAAGGTAATTACTGGGAACCTCAAAGTTAACTTTGACTCCTCTCTTTTGCTCCTGCCCCTAGTTCTCCACATCCTAACATGCTTGCCAAGTGCTACAAATTCTACCTACATGACATATGCCCCTCCTTTCTGCAGCCATCCATGCAGTTCCAGACATTATTGCTCACCTAAACCATCTCAGTAACCTCTTAAATAACTGGCCTTCAGTCTTATAACCATTCTAATCCATTCCAGATAGTACTGCCAAGTTAATTACCCTGAACTACAGCTCTCATTTCCCACCATGTCACTCCCCTACTTACAAGACTTTAATGGCTCCCCATTGCCCATGCAATTAACAACTAACTAGTCAACGCGGTATTGAAGGCTCTATCTCCCTATCTCTGCACTCCTATACCAAGGATGGCAAGTCGATCTCGTCATGTGGAAAGGTGTGGGCTGTGATTGATTTATGTTATCTCCCATGGGTGGAGGATAGGGAGTGTGACACTCCTGGCAGGAGTTTGTCAAACTGTCTTACATCCTTATGTAATCTCCACAATCCATGTGCAGTACTCAGGCCAGGCCACATGCTGCTGCCTGCTCCCCCTCCTACTTCTAGTCCATGATACATAGATAGTTGCCTCTGCCTCTTCTCCCTAAAGGCCCTCCCTGCCTTCTCTGTTTACTGAAATCTACCTTCCTTTCAAAGTTAATTCTAAATGACAGCTCCTCTGTGGAGCCTTCCCTGATTTACCCCAAACCAAATATTTTAACTATCTTAGTGCTGTGCACCCCTCCTAAGGCATTTGGTCTGCTCAATCTACCTTGTATTGTGGTTGTTTGAACATTTGCTTTTTCCTCCCTGGTGGAAGACATGCTCCTTAAAAACAGGGACTGTGCCTTTGCACATAGTAGGCATTCATTACAGTTACTGGATTTGGGAAATGCAGTTGATGAAGTCATCAAAAAGTAGCATGTCCACACGGTAATTCCATTATCCAACAAGAATGAAAACCTAAGCATTTCAACTTTCAATCACTTGAAATAAGCCTTTCCTTCTTGGATAAAAGATTCATCAGCATGTATGTGCTGTTAAAATTTATATATGCAAAAAAAGTTGACAGTTATTTTCTTGCATTTCTTGAGAGGGAGAGAAGGGAAATGATGGAAATATACAGTAGAATTTCCTTGGGAGTATGGAGCTTTCTACAACATGCACAAGAACAAAGAAGACAGAAAATTAAAACTGAGTGCCCAGACAACAAGTTTTCCTTCTTTCAAGAAAGCATCCAGAAGCTGAAGCTGGGCTATGTGCAGAAAATAGAAGACACACCAATGAAAATGCAGCACTGCTCTTGGGCATGGGAGGGGCTCCATCTCACTGCTTGTCATTAAGTTGTCCCCCAGCTGGTAAAGTCCAGGGTAAGAAGCAGCCAGAGAATCAGTGATGTGAACCTGATGTCCTCCTGGGTGGTAACAGGAGAGCCAGACTTGCCAGACATGAGGAAATAAAGACGAAGATTGAAACATGCAGTGTCCACCCTGGATGATCCACTCCACCCATGCCCATTTTATAGGTGAGGAAATGAAAATATAGAGAAGAAAAGTGACTCGCCCAAGGCCACACAACTAATCGGTGGCATGATGTGACTGACGGCTTCAGACTGCCTGAAGTCAACGCCCAACTCTGCCACGTGCTGGCAATGTGGCCAAGGGAAAGTCACTAACCATTTCTATGCCTATATTTCCTCATCCATAGATGAACATTGTTGGGGTTAGATGAGATGATCCTTCTGAAATCTTGGCACTCAAAATTCTGCTCTTATCATTATGCATCTTACAAGTTGTTATAAACTTCTGTATAAAACAGCACCGTCCAATACTAGTCATTAGCCAAATGTGTCTATTGATTTCTTAAAATATGGTGAGTTCAAATTGAGATGTGTGATAACTGTTAAAATCCACATTGAATTTCAAAGACTTAGTACAAAAATGTAACGTGTCTCATTAATACTTTTTTATTGATTGCATGTCAAAATGATCAGAGTTTGGATATATTGGGTTAAGTGAGATATTTAAATTTATTTCATCTCTTTTAACTTTTTAAAATCTGACTACTAGAAAATTTAAAATTACTGTGTGGTTGATAGCATTGTCTATTGGAAAGTGCTGGTATGGACCATCTCCAGCTCATAGTAGGTATTATAACAATGTAATAAGAGTAATTTCTAGGGCTCAGCTGGGGCTCAAAAGGTAGCATCCAGCCGGGCACTGTGCCTCACACCTATAATCCCAGCAGTTTGGGAGGCCAAGGCAAGCAGATCGCTTGAACCCAGGAGTTTGAGACCAGCCTGGACAACATGGTAAAACCCCTTCTCTACCAAAAAATACAAAAATTTAGCCAGGTGTGGTGGCACACACCTGTAGTCCCAGCTACTAGGAAGGCTAAGGTGGGAGGATCACTAGAGCCTGAGAAGTCAAGGTTGCAGTGAGCCATGATGATTCTGCCACTATATTTCAGCCTGTGCAACGAAGTGAGACCTGTCTCAAAAAAAAAAAAAAGATATTAGCATCTGTCTTGTCACTTCACAAAATTTTAATTGTGCTGCTGCTATTTGCAGGGCATTACGCTGGATGCTAAGGAAAACAGAGACAAAGGTATTGGGTCTTGTAGGAAAGGTAAACTTGTGCACATCAAAACTAAGTGTAATTGTATGCCTCTGTTAAAATCCTTTAGGGATGAGGCTTACACTGCCCTAGAGACCTCCATAAAGCAGCTAATAATCTTTCCAGGGCATGAAGCAAGAAAGACCCTGTCTTAGGCAGCAAATGTTCCTTTTGATAACTTCTAGAACTAGGGCTGAGGAATTGGAGAAGAGAAAGGCATTTAACAAGCGGCAAATGCCAGGGGACATGAGGAACAGTTCTTCTGTAGCCCAGTGTTTTCCAGCAGCTTCACCTGAACTTCACCTGGGTGAGATGAAGGGATGTTGTATTGGCCTTAGTATCCTTCATAGACCCATTATGACCCCACCGAGATTGAGTTCACTAGTATCTCTGGCTGGCTTTGGAACACACGAGGGTAAAGAAGGCTGGATTGTAAGCTCCTTGAGGGCAGGGACCTCGTCTCACTTGTTCACCTGTGCATCCCCAGTGCCAAGCACTGTATCTAATACGTGATAAATGCAATATTTGTTGACAGATTGATTGAATAATGAGGTAGGGTCAAAATAAAAAAGAAAACTTAATAAATCAACAAATAATGGAGTACGATTGATTGCATACCCACTAAGTTCTAGAAACTTTCTCATGTCTGATACGTATTTTATAGATTACATTCTTCCACTTTGCCATAAAGCAATTTATTTTCTCTAAGATTGCATTTTTTCCAGCTATAAAATGGATATGATGACTTTTTAAACCACTTACATCACAGTGGTGTTGGTGAGGGGCAGATAAGATAACATAGATGAAAGTGATTTGGAAATTCTGGAGTAGTCCACCCAATAGAACCATGTATGTGTTCAATGTGATTATCACGCCAACGTGGCTATTGAGTACTTGAGACACAACTAGTATGAGGGAGGAACTGGAATTTTTCCCCTTTAAATAAACTATTCTTAGAGTAGAAAAAGTGAGCAGAAAGTAGAGAAATATCCCATATATTGCCTATCCCAACACAGGCACAGGCCCTGTCACTGTCAATATCTGGCATCAAAGGGTACATTTATTACAATGGATGAACCCACATTGACACGTCATAATCACTCAAAGTCCATAGTTTACATTGGGGTTCACTCTTGGTGTTGTTCATTCTCTGGATTTTGACAAATGTAAAATGACATGCATCCACCATGATAGTAACATAGAAGGTAGTTTCACTGCCCTGAACGTTCTCTGTACTCTGCCTATTCGTCTCTCCCTTCCCCCAACCCTGGGCAACCATTGATCTTTTTACTGTCTCCAAAGTTTTGCCTTTTCCAAAATGGCATGTAGTTGGACTCATACAGTATATAGCCTTTTCAGATTGGCTTCTTCACTTAGTAATGTGCGTTTAAGGTTTCTCCGTGTCTTTTCGTGGCTTGGTAGCTCATTTCCTTTTAGCACTAAATAATATTCCATTATTTGGATTTACCGTGGTTTATACATTCACCTACTGAAGGACATCTTGGTTGCTTCCAAGTCTTGGCAATAATAAATGAGGCTGCTATAAACATGCATGTGCAGGTTTTTGTTTGAACATAAGTTTTCAACTCCTTTGGGTCATTAACAAGGGGCACAATTGCTGGACTGTATGTAAGAGTATGTTTAGTTTTGCAGGAAACAGCCAAACTGTCCTACAAGGTGGCTGTACCATTCTGCAGTCCCACTAGCAGTGAATGAGATTTCCTGTTGCTCCATATCCTCACCAGCATTTAGTGTTGTCAATGTTCTGGACTTTCGCCATTCTAATATTCATGTGACTGGTATCTCATTTTTGTTTTAATTTGCTTTTCCCTAATGACATAAGATGTGCAGCATCTTTTCATATGCTTATTTGCCATCTGTATATCTTCTTTGGTGAGGTGTTTGTTCAAATCTTTGGCCTTTTATTCATGGGTTTTTTTTTTTTTTTTATTGTTGAGTTTTAAGAGGTCTTTGGCTATTTTGGAGAGCAGTCTTTATCAGATGTATCTTTCCAAATACTTTCTCCCAGTCAGTGCTTGGCTTCTCACTCTCTTGACACTCTTTCACAGAAGAGAAGTTTTTTAATTTTAATGAAGACCAGCTTATCAACTATTCCTTTCATCAGTTGTGCCTTTGGTGTATGTATGTGAAGGCATCTAGATTTTCTCCTATGCTGTCTTTTTTTTTTTTTTTTTTTTTTTTTTTTTTTTTTTTTTTGAGACAGAGTTTTGTTCTTGTTGCCCAGTCTGGAGTGCAATGGCTTGATCTCAGCTCACCTCAACTTCTGCCTCCTGGGTTCAAGCAATTCTCCTGCCTCAGCCTCCAGAGTAGATGGGATTACAGGTGCCTGCCACCACACCCGGCTAATTTTGTATTTTTACTAGAGACGGGGTTTCTCCATGTTGGTCAGGCTGGTCTCAAACTCCCACCCTCAGGTGATCTGCCTGCCTCGACCTCCCAAAGTGCTGTGATTATAGGCGTGAGCCACCGCACCTGGCCTCCTATGCTGTCTTTTAAGAGTTTTATAGTTTTACAT
Source organism: Homo sapiens (assembly GCF_000001405.40). Classification (NCBI taxonomy): domain Eukaryota; kingdom Metazoa; phylum Chordata; class Mammalia; order Primates; family Hominidae; genus Homo; species Homo sapiens. The sequence continues at coordinate 61,237,193 of NC_000015.10, forward strand.
TTTAAAGTATACAATCCGTTTTGAGTTAATTTTTGTGAAAGGTATAAGGGCTGTGTCTAGATGCACTACTTTGCATTGGGATGTCCAGTTCTTCCAGCACCGTTTGTTGAAATGACTATATTTTCACCAATGTATTGCCTTTGTTCTTTTGTCAAAGATCTGTTGACTACATTTATGGGTATCCATTTTGGAGCTGTCTATTCTGTTCCATCGATGTATTTGTCTATTCTTTTAGAAATACCATACTGTCTTGATTAGTATAGCTTGGAACTGGATTTTTAATTTCATCTAACTTCAATTAACTTAACATTAAATAGCCACACGTGGCCACTGGTCACTGCATTTGACAATGCAGACTGTTAATGTTAAGTTTTACTCTTTTGACTTCCTAAGCCCATCCTCACATGGTTACTCATTCACAGATTTCAGGATCTATAAATATTTATTTTGTATCTGCCATGTGAAAGACCTGTAGGAAATTCTAAGATGAATCAGATAGATTGTACATCCTTTATGAAAAGCTAAGACAAGTTCATAAGCACCTGTACTTTGCCATAGAATGGGTTCAGGGTCTCAGAAGAAGAAGCCAATATTTCTTGTTGGAGAAATCAGAGAAGGCTTCCTTGCAAAGGAGGCATTTCATGAGTTGTTTTTGCTGGATTCAGGACTACTGATACAAATTTGGGAAGTGGTTATGGGAGTAGATGAACTTTTTGCAAAGAAAGTTGAGGTTGCTGACTCCATTTGTATTCTCCAGGTGGACCTATTCTTAGTGTTGCACACAAACATGTTTTCATTAAGGAAATGCATAAGAATCTTCTCTGTCAAGGCAATGTGCCACATGGAATCTATCTCACACATACATAATTTTTCACCTCATATTGGTGGTTTTCAAAGTGTGGTCTTCAGACCAGCAGCATCAGCGTCCCCTGATGGACTTAATAGAGATGCAGATTCTCAGGCCTCAGCCAGACTTAGCTGAGTTACAAACTCTGGGGGTGGGGTCCAGCAATCTGTGCTGTCACGAGTCACCCTGATGATTCTGATGCACACTCAAGTTTGAGAATAACTGTCCTATATTCAAGACCACCTGATTAATAAATGCACTTATGTGAATGCCATAAATCCTAAAAGAGGGCTTTTCTGGGAGATGAGACCTATACTTCTGTGGGCCTAACTATCATTTGACTTATTATTTCAGCACAATCACAAAATTCCCAGCACCATGTAAGAAACCCTATCATAACTAAGGATATGTATGTCTGATCATTTTGGTAGTAGTTATATAGAAAGGGCTTTTTCTCTGTTTTTCCACAAAAACTTGGAGAGAGCTTAAATTTGAAAATTAAAAAAAAAAAAAAGGAAAGGAAAAGGAAAAAAAAAAAGCTGTCAAACTAGCCTGGGGCACTGATGATTCAGAATGCCAGCTCTGCCCTGGTGAGGATAGATATTTAGATGGCAGCCCTGTGTGAAACTGAGTAAGAAATCAGCAGGAAATATTTTCTGCTTAACAGATCAGAAGGGTGACAAAGACAGTAGCACTGTTCCAAAAAGCTACATCATGGCAGGCATGATGGGTCAAACCTTCCTTTAGAAAAAGTTATAAGTTGTCTTTTTCTCTCACGCAAGAAGAAATGTTCAATTATCCACAATGTTGGCCATCTCACTAAATAATCTTTTTCTTATTTTAGGTATGTCAGTTACCTCTTACACAAAAATGCTGCCTAGCAAACCACCCCCAAACTCAGTGGCTTACAGCAATAACACTTCCTTCCCATTCTTATGTCTATGGGCAGGCTAGGGTTCAGCTACATTTGGCTCCAGGCTGGTAATTGGGTTTGGTTCTGCTGTATGTGTCTCTTCCTAGGACAGTGGTTGACTGAAGCACGCTCTTCTGGCAAAAAAAGCAGGTGCACATAAGAGCAAGCCCATCTGCCAAGCAGCTGTCAAATCTTAGCACACATCACATTTATGAACACTCCATTGGCCAAAACAAACCACATGGCCAAATCCACAGTCAAAAGGTGGGGAAATATCTTCTGCCCACCAAGAGATTATAGCAAGGGTGTCACTGCATAGCCCTACTACAGGGGAGTGAACGACCGAGGACAATCATTCAGTCACCCAGGATGGCTTATCACTAAATCAGAAGTTCTCAAGCTTGGCTGCACATTGTAATCACTGGGGGAGCTTTACAAAGTTCTGATGCCTGGGTCCCACCCCCAGAGATTGTGGCTTAATTGGTTTGGGGTGCAGCCCAGGCTGAGAGTAGTAAAAGCTCCCCAGGTAATTCGAATGAGCAGCCAAGTCTAAGAACCATTGGTGTTAAACCAAATGCTGTTGATTAAACAAACGTAATTTTGACTACTGCTTTGGGGAGGACCCTTTCCCGTTCATTTTGGGAACTCCCCATCTTTTAAAACCTTTTGCAATTAAAGCACATTACTGTGTCAGATGCAATTTCAGTTCCCTCCAGTAAGCAGCCTCGGGTCAGGTTCATAAAGAGGTATCATCAGAGATTTTCTTAGTGTTGAATTCTAATGAATTGTTGGTGATTCTGTGTGTTACTTATCTATCGTTAAAGTGGAAACGCTGGTGTGGGTGCTAATTGCTGTCTACATTTCCAAAGAATCCTTGTATGGGAGTGGAGCATCTTGCTGTATCATTAGAAGTTAGGATCTATCTTCTCAAGGCATAGGATAGTTGCTCAGATAATGTACATTTTATTTTGCTTTTTGTTTATTTTTGTATTTTCTATATGTAAATACATTGAGAAAGATTTCCTTTTTTGGGTGACTTCTGGCACTCAAAATTCTATAAATACATGGAAGTTGTAAAGGAGCTTATAAAGGTTTTGAGGACCTTATAAAGATATCTTCTAAGGTTTTGTTTATTTTATTTTATTTTTGCCATACATTTTGGAAAGCGATGCATGGAGCTGATTACAACTGGCACCGTCATCGTTTATAAGCCATGTTTCTTCCCATAGGAGATTTTGCCACTTAAGGGTCTCTGTATATTTTTAGTCTTAAAATGTTTCATGTTATTTATTCCATCACTAATTTTATTTCACAGTTTTCAGCTTGGGATATTTTTAAACTTGTTTATGACACTGTAAAAATAAAAATATTGCATTATACCCCCTTTTCTGACTTTTTTTTCTGTGTGTAAGGAAAACAATATTTTAAGGACCAATCTATGTTTTAGAAAATCCTTCATATCTTTCATGGATCTTCTAGACATAGTGATCAAGTAAAAAACATCCTCCCACAATGTCCCAATATGATGTCTGGCTCATAGAGAGCTCCTTTGTTGGAAAAAGAAGAAGATAAATAATCAGTCTGCATATTATTTCACTCCTCAATTGATTGCTGGCTGTCAGGATGCTTGAGATTTTGAATAACCAATCAAATTATTAATTTTTGGATGAAATTCCATAACGCTTTGGCTAATTATTGATGCATATGCAGATTAGGGGGAGCTCTGTGTAGAGCAACAAAAATGTCAGTGTCTAAGAAGAAGAAAAAAAGATACATCTGCCCTGCGCATGAGTCACTGGGAACATATTGGATACATTTATCCGAGTAGGAAGCACTATAGAGTCAATAACATTTCACTTTGACACTTCACATCCAAAAGTTAGATCCACAAATATTTTCTTCCTGGGGACATGTGGTCATAATAAAGAAAATAAAGCTTTGGGACTACACAGCTGTTACCCTTCATATTTATTCCTTGATGACATGCCCCACCAAAAAAGGCATCATCAGGTACCAACTACCTTTTTACTGCAGGGGGCTGAAGGCAGGTGTCCTAGAACTGCTGCCAAAAAGCTGTGTGACTTTGGAGAAGTTGCTGAACATCTCTGAGTTTCAGTTTTTTTTTTTTCATCTGATAGATTAAATGGTTTCCAAACCACCCCCTGCAATTCATTTTAATTGCCTAGAGAATACTTGGCGCTACAGAAGACACAGTGTTGGAGGGAGCTGTGTTTCAAGAGATGGATAAAAGCAGATGTTCAATATGAAAGATGTTATGGGTGGAATGTTCTGGTGCTGAAGACATTCATTAAACCAATACATAACACTAGACACTTGGAAAATAGACAGAGTCCTTAAGTGACAGGAGGAAACCAGTGAGGTCAGTGAGGAATTGGCCAAAGTCACTCACAGAGTTGGTAACTGAATGAAAGAAGGACCTGGAACTCAAAACCCCCATTAGTGCCCTTTCCTCTGCCCCAGGCTGCTTCTTTGGCCCAAGTTCAGCAGCCTTGAGATTTACTGGCAGCTCTCACTGTTTGGCTGCTGAAGGGGCACTTTAACTTACCCTTTGTTTTAGTGTAAGCAAAGGGATCTTTGAGGGCAGACACAGCCTACCAGATTGGAGACAAAATCATCCCATTGAATGTGGACCGAAGTATGGCCAGTCTTTCAAGTTCACTGTCAGCTGCACTGTAACCAAATGATCGTACAAGGTCAGCAATCAGTCCTGGTCTTAACCAAGCGTTCAGGCTGGATTTGAGTTTATTTGACTGTACTTCCTTGATCCATTTGGGCAAATGGTGCCACTTTTCAATCTCAGGGGTGCCCCAACACTGCCTCCAGAGAAGATGTGGTTAAGACTCGGAACCCTTGCCTTCACTCTTGGGCTTGGGCCTCAGGGGGAGATATCAGCATGCCTTGAAACATACTAGGGTTGTTACTTGCATTATCACGTGGAATCCTCAGTGCTAGGAACTGAGTGGTGGAATCCTTGCTTGGCAAAGAAACAGCCCAGATGTATTAAGGGGTTTGACCAAAGCTCTGTGGTTAATATTCAACAAACATAGGCTGTCACCCTAGGTCTGTCTAGTTCCAGTGCCCATGTTCTTCCCACAACACATTTTCTCTCTAATGCAAAAATAATAAAATGAAAATAAAAGATTAGGCTGAAATCTCAGGCTACGGAAAAGAAAAGGGGAAAAAAAAGATGAGTTAGTGAAAATAAGTAAGAATTTTAAAACCAGGGTCCAAATTCCAGGTCCTTCTTCTTGATCATCATCCCATCCTCTTCAGCACACACTAGATATTGCTATACAACTAATGACTACTGACCACTCACCCTTCAAGTGCTTTATACTTATTTCCTGTACTTTACAAATATTTCCCACATGGTAATGCAATGAGGCAGCTACTGTTATCACTCGTGGTGTGGTCGAGGAAACTGGAACACAGGGAGAAGATAAATAGCATGACCAAAATTATGCAACTCATGGTGTCAGAGATGACGTGTGCCATTGCCCCCTCCCCATTTCAGACTGACACCAGGTTTGCCCTTGACCACTCAATGAACCTGCCAAATTGTTTAAAGTTCCCAGATAAATCACTTTCCTACTGGGGGAACCTGCCCCCAATAGTCACATAGTTTCTTTTCTTTTTTCCCTAAGTGTCAGCCGGTCTGAGAAGTAAAGGGACAGAGTACAAAAGGAGAAATTTTAAAGCTGTGTGTCTGGGAAAGGCTTCACGTGGCAGCAGATTCCATGATAACCCCCAAGCTGCAAAACCAGCAAGTTTTTATTAGTGATTTTCAAAAGGGGAGGGAGTGTATGAACAGGGTGTGGGTCACAGAGATCACATGCTTCACATGGTAATAGAATATCACAAAGGAAATGGAGGCAGGGTGAGACCACAGGACCAGGGTGAAATTAAAATTGCTAATGAAGTTTTGGGCATGCATTGTCATTGATAACATCTTATCAGGAGACAGGGTTTGAGAGCAGACAACCAGTCTGACCAAAATTTATTCGGCGGGAATTTCTTCGTCCTAATAAGCCTGGGGGCACTACGGGAAACTGGGGCTTATTTCATCCCTACAGCTGCAACCGTAAAAGACAGCCACCCCCAAAGCGGCCATTTCAGAGGCCTACCCTCAGGGATGCATTCTCTTTCTCAGGGATGTTCATAGCTAAGCAAAAGAATTCAGCGATATTTCTCCCATTTGCTTTTGAAAGAAGAGAAATATGGCTCTGTTCTGTCTGGCTCACCAGCAGTCAGAGTTTAAGGTTATCTCTCTTGTTCCCTGAACATTGCTGTTATCTTGTTCTTTTTTCAAGGTGGCCAGATTTCATATTGTTCAAACACACATGCTCTACAAACAATTTGTGCAATTAACGCAATCATCACAGGGTCCTGAGGTGACATACATCCTCCTCAGCTTACGAAGATGATGGGATTAAGAGATTAAAGTAAAGACAGGCATAGGAAATCACAAGGGTATTGATTAGGGAAGTGATAAGTGTCCATGTCCATGTCCATGAAATCTTCACAATTTATGTTCAGAGATTGCAGTAAAGACAGGCGTAAGAAATTATAAAAGTATTAATTTGGGGAACTAATAAATGTCCACGAAATCTTCACAATTTATGTTCTTCTGCCATGGCTTCAGCCAGTCCCTCCGTTTGGGATCCCTGACTTCCTGCAACACTTTCCCTCCTGGACATCAGCTTCCTTGTCAATCAAACAAGGAGGCTAGACTAGATTCATAAGGTCCTTTGCAAACCTATCATTTGTTAAATTTGTGTAGGACAAAAAGACTAAGAAAGATATATGATTAAGAAGAAACTAGAGTAAGAAGAGAAGGAAGAGGAAAAGCAGTGGACCAGGGCAGCGGGGGTGTGCCTCTTTCCCCACATTGCCTATTTTATTGCTACCCTAAAGGAATCCTTCCACATTCTGGTCAGCAGAATTTTCTTAAGGCAAAGGGCCCTGGCTTTTCAGGTTTTGAGAGATCTTAAAGAGCCAGAAATTCAAGTCCTGTGTTCTAGGGACAGAAAAACCTGGATTCAAGTTTAGGTTTTTCTCTGATCAGCTCTGTGACATCAGGTGAGTCATTGCTTCTCCTGGGCCTTAGAACCCTCATTACTAAGATGATGGCCTCAGTAACCACAAAGTCCTTTTCTGTTTTTATAGATAGTGATTCTGTGGAAAGTATGAGTACTTCCCCCACAGAACTCTGAAGTGTTTACAGTATGGGCTTCTCTGGGTTAAGGCACCGAAGACTATCACTAGACTGTGACTTTTATGCAAAAGGAAGTACATTAAATCTATATGTACCATTAACCCCTCACTAGTCATTTGTTTTGCTTATTCATATGATTATATCATCATTTCCTCCACTGACAAATTAGTTACCATTTACTGTGGGGCACATAAGTGTGAGGCATTTTACCAGGTAATGACGATGAAGCTATGACAGCCTAGAGTCTCAGCTCAAGATGCTAGTTGAGGGGGCAGAGGTGGGCATGATGTGGGAATGTGATAAGAGGTATGCATGAGAATTCGTGTATTTGTTTGACCCCATTCATCAGAGATCAGAGTCATCATCATCCATTAGCAAGTTTTGCTATGCAAAGAGCAGGGGTTTAGAATCTCAGGACATGTGTTGAGATGGCAAGCTCTTTTACCCTGATAAGTCTTTCTCCATGCTAGACTGTATCAAATTATGTTCCATTTCAAGGAACAAAAAACTCAACTCAAAATGTCATAAGCAAAAGGAAAATATGTCATAATGTAAGAGTTACTCTGTTAAGATGGACCTGGGCTGGGCTAATTTTGTAGCTCAGTGATATCAACAAGGGTTTTTCCATCTCTGTTCTCTGCATCCTCTGAATGTCACCTGAATCCCTCATGCTGACAAAATAGCTGCCACTGCTCTAGGTATTAACGTCCAGCAGAAGAGGGCTATCTTGTCCTTGTGCCTTTTTTTTTTTTTTTTGAGACAGAGTTTTGCTCTTCCCTCTTGTTGCCCAGGCTGGAGTGCAATGGCATGATCTCAGATCACCACAACCTCTGCCTCCCGGGTTCAACTGATTCTTCTGCCTCAGCCTCCCGAGTAGCTGGGATTATAGGCCTGTGCCACCACACTGAACTAATTTTGTATTTTTAGTAGAAACAGGGTTTCTTCTCCATGTTGGTCAGCCTGGTCTTGAACTTCCAACCTCATTTTTCTTTAAGAGAGAAGACAATTCCAAGTAGCCCCTCAACAGACTTTCAGTCTTGTCTGTTGGCAAGAACTTATTCACAAGCCTACTTGTAAACCAGCCACTTAAAAAGGAACTGGGAGTACCAGAATTGGCTTAGGCTAATTGAGATTTATTCCTGAATAGTTGGAAGGTCACCTTTGCTGGAGGAGTGGGTGCCTGAACACAAGTGCAGTCCTATTAGTAAGCCAGGACCTTCAGCTCCTCAGTTGAAAGGGAAATAACTATTCTACTTTTGCAAGACCGTTGTGAGTATTAAAATCATGTAGCAACATTTCGAACATTTTAAAGCACTCACAGATATAAGGCACTATTATCCCTCTACTATAAAGCAGAGATTCTCAAATTGAGTGAGGATCAGAGTCCCTTAGATGGCTTGTTAAAACAGATTTCTGGGCCCCAGAGTTTCTCATTCAGTATGTCTGGGTGAAGTCAGAGAATTCCTTTGTCCAAAAAGGTCCCAGGTGCTGCTGCTGATGGTGGCTCAGGATCATGCTTTGAGAATCCGTGTTCCAGACTATGAGTTTCTTGTGCGTAAGGACCATGTCTTATTTCTGTTTACATCTCTAGCACTTCAGTGCCTGGTGTGCACAGTAGATAGTGAATAATAACAGCTAATCTTTATTCTATACTGAGCACATTATTAATTCTTTTACATGGATTTAATGTGGGGAAAGAGGCACACCCCCACTGCCCTGGTCCACTGCTTTTCCTTTTCTTCCTCCTCCTTCTCTTCTTACTCTAGTTTCTTCCTAATCATGTATCTTTCCTTGTCTTTTTGTCCTACACGAATTTAACAAAGTAAGGACCTTTAATCCTTACTGTAACATCATGAAGGAGGTACCATTATTACCCCTATTTTACAGATGGATAAAGTGAGGCATAGATGCAGAAGACTAGTAAATGTGAAGCCAAGATTCGAACTCAGATTTATGTCATTCAAGAACCTGTGCAATTAACTAAAACTTTATTCTGAATGTAAGTGGTTGCTGATTGTTTGTTGAATGAATGCATATAAGATTCTAAAGGAAGGACAAATAACACAGTTGTATGCCAATGAGTTAAAAAAGACAAGGCAGAGCTAAAGCATGGGCCAACTCCTTGGGAATGTAGTCCAGGAAAAGCCCTTGACACTGGGGATCCTGGGCAGAAAAGTAGCAGGCAGCACAGCAGGCCCCCTAGGGAGGGAAGATCCTCAGGGAGGTAACTCTAACCAAGGGGAAACAGCTTACACTCAGGAGCTCCAGTTCACCTCCCTTACTCATTGGCCTTGGCTTATCTTTCACTGACACAGCAGCCCTGCATGAGATGTGATGAAAACATAAGAGCACCAAGGGGCCTCATTCTCCCCATTTTCCACCCTCGGCTGTCCATGCATTGCAGGGAGAATTCTGAGCATGCATCCCTTGATGTGAAGGAAGCCTCTTTACAGATGTGCATTCACTCTCTAAGTCACCAGGGTACCATTTGGTAAATTGCTGCTGCAAAGCAGTGAATAGTACCCTGGTGGCCTCACAGACTGACTGTATCCCTAAAAGTGTTTAATTTATCTCTGGGGGGAATTTACACCCTGGGAAAATCTGCTTAAATGTACAAATGAATCTTCTAACCAGCCAAGATTGAAGATATCATAAAATAATAAAGCCAGAAGGCACTCCCTGAAAGCAACAGGTTCATCCCTCTCCTGGCACACACTCACTACACAGTCTCAGGCGGGTGGATGTCCCTGGTGATTTCAGAAGAGCAGAGGAAGGAGGTTCCAGGATGTCATTCCACCTCTCTGATCCTCAGAATATTTTTGCTCACCTCACTTAAATCCCTTCAGCAGTAGCTTCGGCTCATTTCAGTCTTCTCAGCCCCCAGTGAAGATGGAGGACAGATGATCAGCAGCACCCTCTGAGTAAGAATGTTCTTAAGCATGATGACAGCCAGTAAACTTCTAGTAGGTCTAAACCTTTTAGGGTTAAGCCCGAGTTTAATGACTTTTCTTTCCATTCCTTGATGTAAAATTAAAATGCCAAGAATCACTCTCTCATTGGACAATTTCAATAGCATCTCAATCAGGATAGACTACGTCACAAGGTTGTAGTCACCAACCACCAACTCTTAATAGCTTATAGCAACCGAGGTTTGGGTCTTACTCACACCAGTGTTCGCTGCAGGTCAGCAGTGTGGGCTCTGCTCTTCACAGTCATATTTCAAACATTATTGGTCACTGGACCAGTGGGAAATCATGCATGGACTCTTGCAGCTTTCACCTGGAGGTGAGAGTTGTCACTTCTATTCACATTGCATTAGCCAAAGCAAGTCACATGGGCTCACCTAACTCAAGAAAGCAGGTAAGGGAAATCCTAACATGTTCCCAGAAGGGAGCATGGGAAATACTTGGTAAATCAGCACTAATGACAACCACAAGGAACATTCCTGTGTGGGAACTTCTTTGAAAAGGTATTTTACATCACATACCTGGAAATACCTGGAAAAAAAGTTCAATGAAGTTGTGAGCATGTATATGCAACAGGAAGATGAATCTCCAGTTCTGTATTTTTACTAGCACATGCACTTTTGGGGGGAGCTATGTCTATTACAAAAAATTAATATTTCCATCTCATGTAATAGGAACACATTCAAGGGGCAGTAGAGGAGGAGAGAGATGTAAATTCAAATGAGCTAGTGTCTGATTCTATACTACACATTGAGAGTAAAAAATGAATTAAGAAACTGTCCCTAGTCTTAAAGAACATAGAGTCCATCAAGGAGATAGTCAAATTAATACTTAAATTCACTATAATGCATTATACCATAATGGGTAAATATACAAGTTTTGGGATCAAAAAGACCTGAATAGGCATCCCAGTTTCTATCTACTCAAGTGTCTTCCTCACAGATTGTCCATAATCAGAGTGGCCTTCTTCAGAGGGCTTCTGAGAATTAAAGTAGGCAATCTATGTAAAACATTTATAGCACATATTAGAGAAATGCTCAAAAGAACATTTTATTGGAATGAAGTTTCAGTCCATTACAGGAGCACAAAGGGGCCTTAGGCTAGGGCACTAGGGATGGTTTCCTGAAGAAAAGTGGCTCCTGCATTGTGTTTCGAAAGGTGAATAGGGTTTAGTTAAGGAAAAAAGGAAGTTAGAGGCCTTCATAGCAGTAAAGATAATGCAGCCATGGTCCGGGACCTAAATCAGAACCAAGACATAGCTGGGTTCAAACCCCTGTTTTGCTATTTTTTAGCTATGTGACCATGGGTAAGTAATGTCAACCCTCCAAGGCTCCGTTTTCTGATATATTCCTCATGGGGTTGTTATGAGTATTACAGTTCCAGCTAGCATTTGATTAACTGTATATGCAATAAATAAAGGCTTGAACTTGTGCAAGAATGGAAACATGAGATGCCAGTGCTTTTGCCTACACTACATTTTTACCAGTGCCTTGGATTTATAACAAAGAGCATGAGCTCACTGCCATTATTCCATGCACAGAAAATGTAAGAGAAAGGCAGTTTCATTGGCCAGGGTTGAGGGCAAGAGCGAGGAATAGAGCTTTGTGTTTGTTTTTTGTTACAAGTGGTAGGGTTCCTGTTAGCAAAGGAAGATAATTGACTTATAGTTTCCACCAAACTTAAGCTGCTTCAGTTTGTGCCAGATGAAAATTAAATAACTAGCAAGGAATGCTCAACTCCAACATCCTCAGCCAACAGCCTGTTTCTCTATAAAGATGGGCCCCCAGGGAATGGAGATGGATGTAACTGCAATTAAATAGGTGCATAAACCTTGCAGAGAGCTGTCACCGCAGTGCCAGAGCTTGGCTGGGATCTATTCTAGAGCATTCATCACCCCCATTCATGGTTTGCTCCAAGGGAAAGTGCATCAAAATGGTGGTGAGCATTCCCAGATCTGCCCATTCTTAAAAAAATAAAAGTCCAATAAAAATGTCATTCTAAAATGTTGTCCATGAAAGATGATTGTTTCAGAAAATATAGTAGAGAGGGTCTGATGTTTCTTTTAAGGTTTCAAAGTCATAGGCCCCAACCAAAGATGTGAAAAGATATATATTTTATCACCTTACCTGAAATTCTCACAGTCACTACTATCTTGCCTGTAAATAGAAATGTAGGCCTCCTATGCACACTTATTGAGTATTTACTGTGTTCTATACCCAGTGTCAAGTTCCGTGCATGTAATACTGAGTAAAATATAAGCCCTCCCTGTGGCTTTACATAATTCAAGACTAGGTTCAGCTCTACATAAAAGAAATCTATTCAAAACAATGTTTTAAACTACCTAGAAGTTAATTCTGTTTCTTGGATAAAAGAAGAGGAGCATGAAGTTGAGGACTGACATCCCAGCTCCATGAAGTCAGGAGCCCTGACTACTCCTGTCTTGTTGCTCTGGCCTCTTTTACATGATACCATACAGTACAATATGGCTGCTTTAGCTCCAGCCATCACATTCACATCTCAGTAATCAAAAAAGAAGTAAAGGCAAGAATATTAATGCTTCTTTCCTTTAAAGACATTTCACAAAACCCAGATACTTCCGAGTTTCAAGGAAAGCTAGTAATTATATAGTTTTTATTCTGGGTTGTCACGTACTCAGCTAATAATTGGGAGTTCTGTTACTAAGGAAGAAGGCAAAAACTGATATTGAAGGACAATTAACAGCTTTGCCACAGGATTAAAAATCTTGCTTTTTTTCTTTTCTGCATTGTCTTATTTATAACCAAACCACTGAAGTAGCACCATTCTCCTCCAAGAAGAAGAAAAAGCCCTAGGCACAAGTGTATTACAGGAAGAAAATTGTCTTGATTTTTACTATCTTTCAGATTAATAACAGCTGAAAGTTTTGTATGAAAACCACAATGGGAAAATATAAAAATATCAGAGATATTTTAAGGATGTCCCTCCAGGAGATCATTGTTTAACCTCTTGGGGAAAAATAAGTGTAGATGTTTACTTCATGCTGTAAATAAAAACAAAATCCCTGAAGATAAAAAATTCAAATACGAAAAACATGAAGTATTCCACAAGTAAATTTAGGGTGTTATATATTTAATCTTGTGGTGAATAGGGTCATAAACAGATCACACACACATATATCACACACACACACACATACACACAAATATATACATGCAACACCATGCACAGAGATGACGTACTAGGTAACGTATTTGAAATGGTAATATAATAATAGCCTAATGTAAGAAAATGATGAAAACTCCAAGTGTAAAAACGACAAAGGCAATTTACCAAATAATTACATTTAATTTACATGAGTTTAAACATAATTTTGCCAAAAACAAATAAAAAGGAGATAAAAATCCCAAGGAAAATAATTGGAGTTATTCTACCCACTATTCCACTCAATAAGCCTAAACTCTAGATTGCACTTGTAATAAGAGATGAGGACCTATCTCTTGTCTCTGTACTTCATGGACAACGTAAGGGATCTTTGAGAGTCATTTGAACTGTATCTGATCTTTTGCTTTAAGGGCTGTCTTTAAAATCTAAACGTCATGTGGAATGTAACATCTCTTTACCCAGAACTGGTGAGGAATGGGGGAGATGGACTTTCTCACTCACAGCTGGTGGGAAATAGAAGCTGATAGAAGCTTTCTTGATGATAATTTGGCAATGCAATGCGTGAAGTTCAACAGCCTGGGAGGTGTTTGAGAACTGTAGCTTGTTCAACAGGCATGGGGACAGACTGTTGGCAGAGCTGAATAACAACTTAGTGAAGCATTTCAAGAAATTAGGCTTGCTAGTTGGCCACATTTAACCATTTTCTTATTATGCATCTCAATAGAGATATAGGTCTATAAACCAGCGTTTCTTCAGGGAGTCCTGAGAATCTGGGTGGTCTTTGATAGTCTTTAAAGGGTTCTCCAGGTCTTTTCATGGTTTCAGAGGGAAAAAGGCTTAAAGAAATTCTGTTTATATATGTTTGAAATGTGAACTTCATTATGATCTTCTAGAAATCTATAGTGCTAATAACCATTACATTCTTAAATGTTGGTTATGCACTAGTAAAATTGCATTTGTTACTCTGTCTTGACTAATTTCAGATAATCAGTGTACTTAACATTGGTTAAAACCTTTTTCTGTCTCCTTTGGGTTATAATTTTATTTGTTAAATTTGAATTTATTGTTGTTACTATATTGTTGTATCATATTCTCAATGAACTGAAAGGATCAATAATTCAGAAGTCACTGACTGAAGTATGTGAGTAGTGATAACACAATTCAAAATAATGTGTAAAACATGAATTGTGGGCTGCTCCAGGGGACTGCTCCAGTGCAAATTGTGGGCTGCTCTGTGAATTCACATTCAAAAAGATGTGAATCTCTGTGTGCTGAGACACCTGTATTTGCAAGTGCGATGGCTTTTCATACACAGTCAAGAAAGAAAAAAGGGAGTAGGAAGAACTACGATGAATCTGAAAATTAGATTTTATTGAGCCAGCCAGCTATTCATTCTCAATTCTAAGTGTTTTTTTCTGATATGGAACTGCCAAATCGTGGCATGAAACCACCACATTAAAAAAAAAATTCTCTCTAAATACAGCCACTTCTCTAGTAAATAAATTTATATTTTCCATAATAAGCACAAAATAATGTTTTCTAGCATGAAATTGATGAACATTGTTGCTAAAGGCAAACAAGAGACCAAAACTACAGAAGCATCCTTCAAAGTCACACTCCTTATAGCATAAAAAGGAAAGAGTGTTACTCCTGAGAAGCTTAGGAAATGACACCCAATATAACATATATTACACTTAGAGAAAGAAGACAAGCTATTGGTGAAATTCCGTTATCAAATGAGACAGATGGACATAGCATAACAACAGTGGCTTACAATGTGGGAGAGCAATTACTCTCCCATATACAGGCTCACGATTGGAAGAAACCAATGATACAGAGTGCATAAATCAGGTCCTGGAATATTATGGTGCTTGTATAAGGCAGAAATGATGATTAGCTTTTGTTTTGTTGATCACAGAAAAAAATTCATGTACAGGAATTTAGGTAATGGCATTTTGTGAACTAAGATAAAACTGAAAAAGGCATATTTTGCTACATATTCATGAAACACCAGGCAGGTACTCAACAAGAAAAGGAATTTCCACATACACACTAAGAAGTCTTATCTGAACACGAATCTACGGACTGATTTATTCAAAAAGGGCAATTGGGAGTGAACACTGTTCCTTCTGGTCATGACTTAGTGCTGAAGAAAATATTGACCTCTGTGAATATAAGCAAATTACACCATGTATGTATTTTTTCACTTTGGTATGCTAACAAGGCAGTAAGGTACAAGAATGCTTTAATACACTGGTATATGCTTCCTGTGAAAAAGAAATTATGCACCAAAGTTTTCGAAGGCCAGAGGTATAACTTAAAATATTCAAAGCTATGTTAAAAAAGAAGAGTGCAGCCAGAAGACTTATTCTACCTTACTTTGAAGCTTACAATAAAGCTTCAGTAATCAAGACAGTGTAGTGCTGGTATAAGAAAGAAATAGATCAGTGGGACAGACTAGAAAGCTCAGAAATAGATCCAAACTTATGCCATCAATTAATTGTTTAACTTAATTGTATTGTAATAAAGTCTCATTACATAAAGTCACCATTGTAAAGTGTGCAATTTTACAAAGCATATGGTTTTTGTAGTATACTGGCAATGTTGTGCCATCATCACCATTACCTAATTCCAGAACATTGTGAACACTCCAAAACGAAACCCATAACTGTTAGCAGTCACTCCTCTACTCCTTACTCCCCAACCCCTGGCAACCACTAATCTAGTTCTTAATCTCTATGGATTTGCCTATTCTGCATACTTCACATCAACCAAATCATATAATATGTAGACTTTTGTGTCTGGCTTCTTTTATTAGTGTAATGTTTACAACGTTCATTCATGTTGTACATGTGTCAGTATTTCTTCTGTCCCTTTTCATGGCTGAATACTATTCCATTGAATGGGTATATTACACTATATTTTGTTAATCCATTCATCTAGTGATGAACATTTGGGTGGTTTCCATTGTTGCAATATTATGAATAATGATGCTATGAACATTTGTGTACAAGTTCTATGTCAACATATGTTTTCAATTATCTTGGGTATATAACTAGGAGAGGAATTTCTAGGTCATACGGTAACGCAGTGTTCAACTTTTTGAGGAACTGCCAAACTGTTTTCCACAGCAGCTGCACCATTCTACATTCCCAGTGACAATGTATGAGCGTTCCAATTTCTCCATATCCTTGCCCATAATTATTATTGGTAATTCCTCAAAGATCTAGAGTCAGAAATACCACTTGACCCAGCGATTCTATTACTGGGTATATACCCAAATAAATATAAACAATTCTATTATAAAGATACCTGCACACATATGTTCATTGCAGCATTATTCACAACAGCATAGACATGGAATCAACCCAAATGCCCACCAATGATAGACTGGATAAAGAAAATGTGGTACAGGTATACACCATGGAGTACTATGCGACCATAAAAATGAATGAGATCATGTTCTTTGCAGGGACATGGATGGAGCTGGAAGCTGTTATCCTCAGCAAACTAATTCAGGAACAGATAAGCAAACACCTTGTGTTCTCACTTGTGAGTGAGAGCTGAACAATGAGAACACATGGATACGTGGGGGTGAACAACACACTGGGGCCTGTTGGGGGCTGGGGTGGGGGTAGGGGTGGAGAGAGGGAGAGCATTAAGAATAGCTAAGGAATGCTGTGCTTATACCTAGGTGTTGGATTGATCTGTGCAGCAAACCACCAAGGCACATGTTTACCTATGTAACAAACCTGCACATCTGCACATGCACCCCAGAACTTAAAAGAAAATTTGAAGGAAAAAAAATCTCAAGGAAAAAAATATTATTGCTATAGCAATCGTAGTGGGTGTGAAGTAGTAGCATGGTTTTAATATGCATGTCCCTAATGGCTAACGATGTTGAGCATCTTTTCATCTGCCTATTGGCAATGTTTGTTGATCTATTCAAAGAACTAACTTTTGGTTTTATTGATTTTCTCTATTGTTTTTCTATTCTCTATTTTGTTTACCTTTAATCTTTCATTTCTTTCTCTTGCTTTGGGTGTAGTTTGCTCGTCTTTTTCTATTTCCTTAAGGCAGAAGATTGGATTATTGATTTGAGATTTTTCTAATTTTAACGTAGGTTTTTATAGCTACAAATTTCCCTCTAAGCACTGTTTTCACTGTGTCCTGTATGTTTTGGTATGCTGTGATTTTGTTTTCATTTATCCCAAAGTGTTCTCTAACTTTTCTTGTGGTTTCTCTTCTGATCCATTAGTTATTTAGAACAATGTTGTTTAATTTCTGCATTTGTGAATTCTCTAATTTTTCTAACTTTATTCCATTATAATTGGAGAGCACACTTTGTATGATTTCAATGATTTAAATCTATTAAGACTAGTTTTGTGACCTAACGTATGTTCTACTCTGGAAAATGATTCTCGTGCACTAGAGAAAAATGTGTGTTCTGCTCTTGTTGGATAAAGTGTTTTATAGATGTTCAGTTGATTTTTGATCCAATAGAGAGAGCAAAGTCTTTTCAACAAATGGTTGTGGAACAACTATATATATCCACATGAGAAAAAAATGAACTTTTACTTCTCCCTTATACTATGCACAAAAATTAATTCTAAGTGGATCATAGCCTTAATATAAAAACTAAGACATCCAGTTAGGTAGTAGATAATATTTTTGCAAATTGGAGGTAGAAAAATTTTTCTAAGGTAAGACAGTACACAATAAACACAAAAGAAAATGATATATTAGAGTTCATTGCAATCAGGAACTTTTGCACATCAATAGACACTGATAAGAAAATGAACAGACAAGACATGGACTAGGAGGAAATATTTATAAAATATATATCTAACAGAAAATGCATATTCAAGATACATAAACAATTCCTATGACCCAATATTAAAAGGACAAATAACTCAATATAAATCAAGTAAAATATTTGACAAATATTCTTCATAAGACATACAAATAGCTATTGAACGCATGCAAATATACTCAACATCAACAGGTAAATGCAAACTAGAGCCATAATGACATTCTCATAGAACACTACATACCCACTACAATGGCTAAAATTTTTTTTTGTCTTTTTTAAAAATTTTATTATTATTAAAGTTTTAGGGTACATGTGCACAATGTGCAGGTTTGTTACATATGTATACATGTGCCATGTTGGTGTGCTGCACCCATTAACTCGTCATTTAGCATTAGGTATATCTCCTAATGCTATCTGTTCCCCCTCCCCCAACCCCACAACAGCCCCCGGAGTGTGATGTTCCCCTTTCTGTGTCCATGTGTTCTCATTGTTCAATTCCCACCAGTGAGTGAGAACATGTGGTGTTTGGTTTTTTGTCCTTGCGATAGTTTGCTGAGAATGATGGTTTCCAGTTTCATCCGTGTCCCTACAAAGGACATGAACTCATCATTTTTTATGGCTGCATAGTATTCCATGGTGTATATGTGCCACATTTTCTTAATCCAGTCTATCGTTGTTGGACATTTGGATTGGTTCCAAGTCTTTGCTATTGTGAATAGTGCTGCAATAAACATACGTGTGCACGTGTCTTTATAGCAGCATGATTTATAATCCTTTGGGTATATACCCAGTAATGGGATGGCTGGGTCAAATGGTATTTCTAGTTCTAGATCCCTGAGGAATCGCCACACTGACTTCCACAATGGTTGAACTAGTTTACAGTCTCACCAACAGTGTAAAAGTGTTCCTATTTCTCCACATCCTCTCCAGCACCTGTTGTTTCCTGACTTTTTAATGATCGCCATTCTAACTGGTGTGAGATGGTATCTCATTGTGGTTTTGATTTGCATTTCTCTGATGGCCAGTGATGATGAGCATTTTTTCCATGTGTTTTTTGGCTGCATAAATGTCTTCTTTGGAGAAGTGTATGTTCATATCCTTTGCCCACTTTTTGATGGGGTTGTTTGTTTTTTCTTGTAAATTTGTTTAAATAGACAACACCAAATGTTAGCAAAGATGTGAAGCCATTGAAACTCTCATATTGCTGATGACCTTTAAAGTGCTTCAATCATTTGGGGGAAAAGGTCTAGCAGTTTCTTATAAAAGTAAACATATGCTGACCTTATGACTCAGAGATTCCAATCATAGGTATTTAACCAGGAAAAAAAACATATCCACAAAAATACTTACACAAGAATGTTCATAACAGGATTATTTATAATAGCTACAAACTGGAAATGGCTCAGATATCCACCAACAGGAGAGTAATTAAGTAAACTATGGTATATCTATACAAAGTAATACAGAACAGAAATGTAAAAGAATGGACTACTGACACAGCCAATGGGTTGGGCAAATCTTTAAAATGTTATGCTGTGTGAAAAAGGCCTTACAGAAAATAATGCATACTGCATACTCTATTATTTCATTTATATGAAGTTCTAGAACAGGCAAAATTAATCTTTGGTTAAAAAAAAAAGTCAGAACCTGATTGTCTCTGGGAGACAGATGTTGTGGGGACTGTCTGGGAAAAAATATGAGAGATCTTCCTGGAATGATGGTACGTCTCTCTATATTAGTAGGAGTTTGGGTAACATAAGTGTTTGTTTAGATCTGTCAAAACTCATAGAACAGTACATTTGAGATTTATGCATTCATTGTGTGTACATTCTATTTTTCACAAGGAACTATAAAAAATTTTGAACTCTAGTTAATGCATGCTTCAATTTACTTGAAAATGTATCAAAATAAAATGAATTGGTGGATGGATAGGAGTATGGAAAGAGTGATAAATGTATAAGGCAAATGTAGTAAATATTAACTGTAGAATCTAGGTAGTTATGAGTGTTCACAGTACAATTCTTTCAACTTTTCTGTGTGTTGGAAAATTTCATAAAAACATGTTAAAAAACAAGGGTCTGATAAAAATAATAAAATCATGGCTCTCATAATTCTTGTGAAGACCATTTCCATGATTTTAGGAGTCTAACCATCTGTTGTTTCTTAGTGTAAGTGTTTTAAATAATATAAGACTATTATTTCAGTTTTTAAAAATTTTTTTTAGTGTTGAGGATAAAGTGTTAGGATCCCTTACAAAGACCAAAGTGTGGTGCAAATAACATAACTACCAAGAATATTATGTTTTCCATCACTTGATTTTATACATTCATCAGAAAATGAGAACTATAAGGACATGCAGAAATACTTTCCAAAATCAAATGCAATAATGTAATAAGAGCAAAATTGAGAATCCATTTGCTGCTATCTCTCAAGTTGAAATATTCAACCTTCTGGCTTTCGAATACGATATGCTCATTGATTTAGCATCTGACTGAATCATGAAAGTAGTCTTCACCGGAAAATCCCTTCATAATTTCTATGTCCATATTCAATCTAGAACCATTTGTCAGAGTCACCAAAAACTTGCTGCCATTCCTGACAATCTGTGACTGTAAATTTGTATTTTCTAATATAGTGACTATAAAGAGCAAAGAGAGAAATTGACTGGATACAGAACATGGCCTGTGGCTCAACTTATCTGTCAGATAGTAAAACAGTCTTAGCCCAGGTTCCCTAGAAGACAGAGCCTAAGGCAAAGATTACCTGTGAACACTTTATTGGTAGGTGCAATCTCAGGCAAGGAAGAGTTAGGGAAAAGGAGAATTGATTAAGGGAAGGGGGGAGATCAAATGCAAGATAGTGCATTATTGAGGTGGTCAAATTCCATACCAAATACAGCTCAGTCACTGATTCTTACAGAGATGTCATCATTGAGACCATACGTTACGTGTTCCAGAATAACCCTTGGGAAGGGGTGAGTTGGGGAGAGGGATGGAAGTGGGACACAGGTTGACACGTTTATCTTCTGGTTCCCTTTGCCTCTCCTATTCCAGTGTTTGAAGTCCACCTGAGGCCCTGCTCTCTGTTCATCACCCGGCCCTTCTGGACACCCATGGAGACTCCAGAATACCGAAGGGTCCACTCCAGCCAGTGCACAGGTGTGGAGTCCTCTCCTTGTCAGCTGACACCACAGACAGCTGCTGCTTAATGCAGACTTGGTGGCAGTAGCTAACTTTTAGAATCTTGGGAATAGAGTGAGCTGTAGTTAGAGCATCTTTGGCCAGGAGGTAAGACATATGGCCATGATGAGAGGGACTGCGTAGTGCTGGGGAAAGTTCACAGTGGGCCTGGTATGGATAAGTTGATGAAAGATTACAAACAATAAAAACTTGACATAAAGTTGACACATGAAATTATCATTAATGTTTTAGTTTAAATTTTAAATATTCTTTTCTTCTAGATTTTCTAGTTTATTTGCGTAGAGGTGTTAGTAGTATTCTCTGATGGTAGTTTGTATTTCTGTAGGATCGGTGGTGATATGCCCTTTATCATTTTTTATCGCGTCTATTTGATTCTTCTCTCTTTTCTTCTTTATTAGTCTTGTTAGCGGTCTATCAATTTTGTTGATCCTTTCAAAAAACCAGCTCCTGGATTCCTTAATTTTTTGAAGTGTTTTTTGTGTCTCTATTTCCTTCAGTTCTGCTCTGATTTTAGTTATTTCTTGCCTTCTGCTAGCTTTTGAATGTGTTTGCTCTTGCTTTTCTAGTTCTTTTAATTGTGATGTTACGGTGTCAATTTTGGATCTTTCCTGCTTTCTCTTGTGGGCATTTAGTGCTATAAATTTCCCTCTACACGCTGCTTTGAATGTGTCCCAGAGATTCTGGTATGTTGTGTCTTTGTTCTCGTTGGTTTCAAAGAACATCTTTATTTCTGCCTTCATTTCATTATGTACCCAGTATTCATTCAGGAGCAGGCTGTTCAGTTTCCATGTAGTTGAGCGGTTTTGAGTGAGTTTCTTAATCCTGAGTTCTAGTTTGATTGCACTGTGGTCTGAGAGACAGTTTGTTATAATTTCTCATCTTTTACATTTGCTGAGGAGAGCTTTACTTCCAACTATGTGGTCAATTTTGGAATAGGTGTGGTGTTGTGCTGAAAAAAATGTATATTCTGTTGATTTGGGGTGGAGAGTTCTGTAGATGTCTATTAGGTCCACTTGGTGCAGAGCTGAGTTCAATTCCTGGGTATCCTTGTTGACTTTCTGTCTCATTGATCTGTCTAATGTTGACAGTGGGGTGTTAAAGTCTCCCATTATTATTGTGTGGGAGTCTAAGTCTCTTTGTAGGTCACTCAGGACTTGCTTTATGAATCTGGGTGCTCCTGTATTGGGTGCATATATATTTAGGATAGTTAGCTCTTCTTGTTGAATTGATCCCTTTACCATTATGTAATGGCCTTCTTTGTCTCTTTTGATCTTTGTTGGTTTAAAGTCTGTTTTATCAGAGACTAGGATTGCAACCCTGGCCTTTTTTTGTTTTCCATTTGCTTGGTAGATCTTCCTCCATCCTTTTATTTTGAGCCCATGTGTGTCTCTGCACATGAGATGGGTTTCCTAAATACAGCACACTGATGGGTCTTGACTCTTTATCCAATTTGCCAGTCTGTGTCTTTTAATTGGAGCGTTTAGTCCATTTACATTTAAAGTTAATATTTTATTTATTTATATTTTTATGTATTTATTTATTATTATACTTTAAGTTTTAGGGTACATGTGCACAATGTGCAGGTTAGTTACATATGTATACTTGTGCCATGCTGGTGCGCTGCACCCACTAACTCGTCCTCTAGCATTAGGTATATCTCCCAATGCTATCCCTCCCCTCTCCCCCTACCCCACAACAGTCCCCGGAGTGTGATGTTCCCCTTCCTGTGTCCATGTGTTCTCATTGTTCAGTTCCCACCTATGAGTGAGAATATGCGGTGTTTGGGTTTTTGTTCTTGCGATAGTTTACTGAGAATGATGATTTCCAATTTCATCCATGTCCCTACAAAGGACATGAACTCATCATTTTTTATGGCTGCATAGTATTCCATGGTGTATATGTGCCACATTTTCTTAATCCAGTCTATCATTGTTGGACATTTGGGTTGGTTCCAAGTCTTTGCTATTGTGAATAATGCTGCAATAAACATACGTGTGCACGTGTCTTTATAGCAGCATGATTTATAGTCCTTTGGGTATATACTCAGCAATGGGATGGCTGGGTCAAATGGTATTTCTAGTTCTAGATCCCTGAGGAATCGCCATACTGACTTCCACAATGGTTGAACTAGTTTACAGTCCCACCAACAGTGTAAAAGTGTTCCTATTTCTCCACATCCTCTCTAGCACCTGTTGCTTCCTGACTTTTTAATGATTGCCATTCTAACTGGTGTGAAATGGTATCACACTGTGGTTTTGATTTTGCATTTCTCTGATGGCCAGTGATGGTGAGCATTTTTTCATGTGTTTTTTTGGCTGCATAAATGTCTTCTTTTGAGAAGTGTCTGTTCATGTCCTTTGCCCACTTTTTAATGGGGTTGTTTGTTTTTTATTGTTATATGTGAATTTGATCCTGTCATTATGGTGTTAGCTGGTTATTTTGCTCGTTAGTTGATGCAGTTTCTTCCTAATGTCCAACAATGATAGACTAGATTAAGAAAATGTGGCACATATACACCATGGAATACTATGCAGCCATAAAAAATGATGAGTTCATGTCCTTTGTAGGGACATGGATGAAATTGGAAATCATCATTCTCAGTAAACTATCCCAAGAACAAAAAACCAAACACCGCATATTCTCATTCATAGGTGGGAATTGAACAATGAGAACACAGGAAGGGGAACATCACACTCTGGGGACTGTTGTGGGGTGGGGGGAGGGGGGAGGGATAGCTTTAGGAGATATACCTAATGCTAAATGACGAGTTAATGGGTGCAGCACACCAGCATGGCACATGTATACATATGTAACTAACCTGCACATTGTGCACATGTACCCTAAAACTTAAAGTATAATAAAAAATTTTTTTTTAATATTCTATTATAAATTTTTTATAAATCTTTAAAAATTTAACCTACAATTGTTGTCTTTATGTATGAAGAATACCATATAAGTGGTACTTGGTGGCCAAAAATTGGAGAAATGTAGGTATATATTGAAGTCCTTGTAGGTTCAGGTGAAAAAATTCATTAGTTCATGTAATTTATTATATTGTGAGCAAGACAAGACATTGTTCCACTATTTAGCCATATGTACTTTAGAATTGTATCAAGAAGGACAAAGCCAATAATAGTGACCAAAGTATTAAAACAAAGCATGTAATCTCGTCAATATACAGTAATAGGAAACTTCGTATCCATCAGTTTCACTCTGATACGTCCAGGGGTTAATTTTTACTTATCCTGAGTGCAATTCAGTGGTTGTTTTTGGTTTCTTTGTTTGTTTGTTTCTATTTTGGTAAATGAAGTCTTTCTTTATTTGCGTTAACATCTCAGCTAACATCTTTTCAACACTGCCTTTCTGCCATTCCAACTCTTATTTCTTGAACTTTACACCTATATTTCCCAGTCTGTTACCTGTGACTTCTAAATTCCTCCTTCCTATTTTCCTTCTTTTAATCTCTCATTCTGCAATTTAGATTCATTTTTTAGTATTATCTTTCTAGCCATTAATTCTCTTTTCAACTGTGTCAATCTGGTGTTTATTCTGCCTTGTGGGTTCTTCCATTCTTGAAAAGAATATATCTGTCATTTTCAGGATTTCTAGCTGGTGGCTTTACTAGTCCTCTAGAACTTCTTTACTATTTTTATAGTTGTTCTTGCTTCCTTTAACTATTTAAAGATGATTAATATATTTAGTTTGAAATGTTTTTCAGAATCCTCTATCATATCTATTTCCTCAAAGTTAAATTCTTTTGGACAGGAAGGCATCTTTCATATCTCAGTTTTCCTCATGAACTTCGACATTTTCCATGCAAGCTCATTCTGTGTGGGAGTTTTGTTATGTTTTTCTCTTTGCACTCAATCTTCTCTATCTAGATGTCATTTGGTTGATTTCATCAGGGCCCCCATGTTTGGGTCCCTAGTTCAGAAATGGGTCTTGTATTTGGAGTTCCTGAGCTCTTGTTCCATGGGACTATATCTTTAATCACCCAACCATTCAGCTTGATGCCATCCACAGACTCAGGCAGTAATTGAAACTTTTTTCAGCCTCTGTTCACTGAAAAACCTTATCCCAGAATGTTTCCCACAGTGTGAATCATGAGTCGGTATGTCTGATACCTTTTTCTTGGGAATGAACCCTTTGCTTCTATTCTGGAAGTCCAGTAGGACCAAAGTTTTAGGTCCCATTTGTCCTTGGATGTTTCTGGTCTACAGAAATATTTGCCATATCTTCAGTGATAAATGTTTTAAAATTATTTTAATAGAAATATGTTATTAATCTTTTTTTGCATTTAAAATATGAGTGTGTATATTTGCACAGAGTTCTGTGACCAAACATCTCAATATATTGAGTGAAGTTCAAAAATATAATAAAGTGACATTATTCTGATACATGAATATGCTAGATTAATAGAAACATAATTTTTTAAACTCTTTTATTTTATTTTTAGATGGAGTCTCACTCTGTTGCCTAGGCTGGAGTGCAGTGGCGCGATCTCAGCTCACTGCAATCTCTGCCTCCTGGGTTGAAGCAATTCTCCTGCCTCAGCCTACTGAGTAGCTGGGGTTACAGGCGCCCACCACCACACCTAGCTAATTTTTGTATTTTTAGTAAAGACAGGGTTTCACCATGTTGGCCAGGCTGGTCTTGAACTCCTGATCTCAAGTGATCTGCCTGCCTTGGCCTCCCAAAGTGCTGTAATTATAGGCATGAGCCACCGCTCCAGGCCATTAACTCTTTTAAAATATGCATATTTTAAAAATAAGACGTTAACTTTTAAAATTAAACCCAAAGGCAGTTATTAAGGCATGTGAAAAAAAATTGGCCTTTGGGAAATGCATCACAGCGTTACTTAAAAACAAACAAACAAAAAAGAAACAACTAAATGATCAAAAATAGAGGATTAATTAAATAGATTCTGCTACATGCACACAAGGAATCTTCATAGTCATTAAATATAATTATATGGACGTATTTTTGACAAGAAAATATTTTTACCATCTATTAAGTGAAAAAACAGTTTATAAAACAATTTATTCAGCATAATCTCATGTGTATTTACTGAAAGGGGATAGAGTAAAATATTGACAGTAGTAACCACGAGATGGTGGATATGTAGGTGATTTAAAATTTTTCTTTTCTTTATTTGCCTGTATTGCTTTCTTGTTATTTTCTGTTTAGCTAACTTTGAAGTTTCCCTTGTTAGATATTTTAATCTGTAAAATTTGATTTTCTTATCTCATAAATGGGAATAACCACAGTAAGTTCCCCATATGATTATTATGGGAATTAAATGAGATAATTTATACACATCAAGCCTTCTAGCACATCATCCAACCAAAAGATAAATGAGAAAGCTTTGTAAAAGGACTGATGATAAATATTTCATATGTTTAACTATAGATATAAGACAAGAATAGAGTACATAAGGGGTTAAAAATATTACATATTCTGATACAGTAAAAAGAATGTAACTAAAAAGTGACAGAAGAGAAGAAAAAGGGAGACTGTAGAATAAGATCACTGACTGTTCTATAGGTAATAGAGGGGAATGAAATGGTTCCTTTAAACTGAGGGAGACATTAAGCAAGTAAAGAAGGAATTAAGGATGCTATAAAAATATTAATATAAATGTAACCACTAGAACAAAAAAAGAACCTTCTAAAATACTAAATTTTTTGAAAAGCAAAGAGGACACCCCAAATTGAGAAACAAAATCAGTAAATACAACATAATACACAGTACTTTCAGTATAAGCTAGGTCAAGTGGATAAAATATAGATAATGACATAAAATATCTAAACTACATGATCAATAGCGTAGATCTTTTGGAGATATATGTAATATTGTACCCTGACAAGGATATGTTTTCTTCTCAAGTGTGGATGGAAATTTCAATACAGGTAATTGTATATACTAGGGCACAAAGTAGATTCCATAAAATAGAAATATTGCAAACAACACTTACTAATCATAATGCAATTAAGTAAGAAATTAAAAAAAAATTCCTTTGGCTACAAACATAAGTTACAGAAATACTAAAAAAAAATTGAAAACACTACATATCATAATATCGTATACATTTAAAGCAGTGATCAGAGGAAAATTCACAGCCCTAAACATGTATATCAATGAAAATGTGAAAAAATAAAAATATGTATTAAATTCCCAATACTAAAAACCAGAAACAACAACAAAAGCAAGCACAAGAAAGGAGATCATAATGATAAAAGCAGAGCAGAACATCAGAACAGAAAATCAGTAAGTCAAATTAAGAAATCAAAACCCTGATTCTTTGAAAAAAGTCAACAAAATAGCAAAATGAATAGACAGTCAGCTCAAGGGAAAAGGGAGAAAATGAAAATATATTAAGAAATGACAAGATGACTTAACTACTGATATAGAGGCCATTTAAAAAAATCATGAAAATGCTTTGCACACCTTCATGCAAGTAAATGTGAAAAACTAGAGGAAATATATACTAGGCAAGTATAATTTAGCAAACTGACCTCAGTGATCATAGAAAGCTTAAAAAGACCAATTTCCACAGAAGCAAGCAAGAAAAAGTTATCAAGGAACTATCCCCCAAAGAAGCACAAGCCCAGATATTTTTTGTAGGTAATTCTCCCAAACTTTTAGAAACTGGATAGCCTCAAAGCCCCATAGATTGTTTCAGTGTAGAAAATGAAGAACACTTTCAAATGGTTTTTGTGAAGCAAGTACAATATTGATAGCTAAATGTGATAAAGATAGCACAAATAAATTACAGACAGTATCACTTGTAAATATTGATTAAAAACTTTTGAACAAAATATGCAAAAGACTCCTACACTCCATTAAGAAAATAATATATCATAACTTATTGTGGTTTATACCAGGAATGCAAGGATAGTTCAATACTAGAAAAGTTGTTAATATAATTCACCATATTAATAGCTCTAAAAAGAAAAACAATATAATTATCTCCATAGTTTTTTTTTTTTTTTTATTTTAGAGACAGGGTCTCACTGTGTTGCCCCAGCTGGAGTGCAGTGGCTATTCACAGACATGATCATTGTACATTGCAACCTTAAATTCTTGGCCTTAAGTGATACTACTGCCTCAGCCTTCTGAGTAGCTGAGATTCCAGGCATGTACTACTGCACCTTCCATAGATTTTGAAAAACATTTGATATAATTAAACACTTATTTCTAATAAAAAAATCTTGAGAAAATAAGAATGAGTAGTTCCTCAACGTGTGTGTGTGTGTGTTGTACTTAAGACTATTTGCACATTTCACTACTGAAATATCACTGGGGTTGATTATGAGGTATTGCTTCAGACACTGCTGAGAGTTTTGCCTGATAAATAGCATACTTATCATATGACCTTTCTAAGATCAAAATTCCAAGATATAATTGGCCCAAGAGTTCTGGATAATGGATAGTGGATTTCTTCTGCTGCTGCTATCAGCATTACTACTAGTTCTACCATGTAACCCCCCAAATAGGGCCAAGCAGAGAAAGGGAGAATAATACATTGCAACATACTTGATAATAAAGAATTGGAGACAACAAAAATTTGCAATACAAAATAGATGGAATAAATGAAATATTTGTCATCATTTGTGATGACTCTGTAGCAACATGAAAAAAATTACTTCTACCATATTGTTAAACAGAAGAAAAAATAGAATATAAAAATTTTAATTAGGTTAGAATTTAAAACAGTACTATCTTTAGTAATACGAATGATATGGACTGAGGTGGCATATAGAAAAGTAAAAATGAGTGACTTGTGGAAATGGTAAAATTTTAGGTAATTATTTTCCTAATTCAATTTTCTGCATGTTATAAAACTGTTTAGGAATTAGTTAGAATGATACTGAATTCAAGTTTGTCTAAGTATTGCCAAGGACATTGTCCTTGATTTGTTCTTTACACATGATATGAATGTATCCAATTATTACATGTACCCCCAAAATATGTACATCTATTATGTATCAATAAAAATAATACATATTTTTTAGTTATATATAATTTAGTAATCTGAGAACCTTGTCCATTTGATACATAGAAGACTGATTCTATGTAAAATCATAAAAGAAGAGATTACCATGTCAAAACCTCCCTGTCTTCCTGGTCAGTCTTATACTTGCCCTCTCAGAAAAACGGGTTCGAGCACCAGGATTAGGCCCACCCCCACTTTTGTTGGACCTGGGGCAAGAATGTAAATAGAAGTCCATATATAACACATCTAAATATTTAAAGAGATTAATTATTTCACAAACAGTTAAATATGTTTTGACAGATAATGACAGAACTTAGAAACATGGAAATTCATGGTTTTTATACTGACTGATAACAAGAAAATTATTGAAGACACCTAAATTTAATTATTGCACATGTCTGGGTGATCTGTTGATGGGCTTTCAGTGCTTGGAAGAGTAACAAAATACTGACACATGTATATGTTTTACAAATTTTTATATATCAATTCCACAAAATTTATTTTTCTGGCTTGTATTTACCCCAAATCATTAATTATGGGTTATAATCAAGATTTTGATTTAAATTGTGTTCTATGACAGTGATGATCTAAATGATTAAGAAATAAACTTATGTTCAATCATACAAAATGTGAAAACCTTTTATCAAAACAAAAATGAAATTGATATAAAAATGGAAAAAACTAGCATCCAAACAAATCCTTCCCTAAAGTAGACCTCAGAATGGCAGTGCCTGTGTTGGTGGGCATCCTGATCTGCAGTGACTGGATAACATGTGCTTGCTCCTCTCAGTCTGTCAGAGGCACTGGGAGCCCAGTAATGTGGGCTGTAGACTTCCCTACTTAGTTTACATCAGCTGTCTTTGAAGTGTTTCTTACCAGCCCAAGAAAAGCATGAAATCAGTTTAGCAGAGAGAAATAAACAGATGGACAGAGTCATTTATTTTGAGGGGAACTCTGTGCTGTTTGAATTAAAGTAATGAGCACTTTAAGATGCAGTGAAGCTGTTTTTACATTTCATTTGAGTAATTCAAGATGTAAACAGAGCCTCATGGCGGATGAGCAATACCACACTTCTTCAGCTTCTGAATATTCTAATAAAGGATTGGGAAAGGAAACATCCTTCCTCTGAGAGGAGGTAATAATAATGATGGTGATGCTGTCACCAACAGCATCTTCTTTTTGAGCACTGTCACGTGCAGGCCCTATGCAAGGCACTTTTATCTACATCATCTTTAATCCTCACCACTATTCTACAAACGCCTGCTCAAAGATGAGGAAACTGAGTCTGACAAGTTAAGAAACTTATTAAGGGTACAGAGCTTGTAAGTGATGGAACTCGGATCTGAACCCACTCCCCTGTGATTCTAAAACTCTTTGTCACTCTTTCTGCTACTCCACGGACTGAGGAAGGTCTGCTGTCTTCCATTCATCCACCGAAGCATGGTTGCTTTGCTTGTATTTGAATTTAATTGCTTTCTTACTGATGCTCTATAGCTAAAGTAAGAAGCATAGCAGTGGTCTGCATTCTGGCCCAGACTTCAACAGCTATTAGTTTGGGATATTCAGCAGGTTACTTGATGTCTCTGAGTTTCACTTTCTCCGTACTTAAAAGGGGGATAATGATACATTACCTACCAAGGGTAGTGAATGAAAAGGCATTTTTGGGGGGTAGGCTGGTTGCGAGGACAAAAGTATAGCAACGATGTAACAAGCTATTCACATAGTAGTAATTATAGCATAGCATAGTTTAGAATGGTACAATATAGTATACCATAGAATAGAATACAGTAGTACAGTTTTTTATTGAATAGACTAACATAGTATAGTATAGTATAGTACAGTACAGTACAGTACAGTATAGTATAGTATAGTATAGTATAGTATAGTATAAATAATAGCAAGGTAACCTCTGTGCAATGCTCTTTGATTGTTAACATTAAATTGCTGGGAAGGAAGTTGTTTTAAAATGTATATTTTAAAAAACAGATTCATATATCAAATAACAATTGTCATTCAATCTCTCAGAATTTGTATACATAATATGCATCAGACTCTATAGTAAGAACAGGATCAGAAAGCAAGAGGAGAGGAGATATGAGAAAGTATCATATTCTCTAAAAACCAATTCTAAAGATCTCCTTGCTTTAAGTAACTGTATCCTTGGACTACCATCACAGCATTTTGGGTGCTAGCTATCACCCCTGCTACATAGGCCTAAGAGTTCAACCTTCAGAACCTTGCCTGGTGCCATGATATAACTCCAGGAGGTTATATCACTGGGCTGCTGATTGCCTTATTCACCTCTGTGTCCCTGGTACCTGAGGGCAAAGCAGTCACGCAATAAATGTTTGCTAAATGAATTGAATGCATAATAAAATGCTCTGCAACCATCAAACAGGCTACCAAAGTGCATTTCTTGACATGAGAATATATTTATTATTTATAATTGAACAATTATTAAACAAAATGTAATACTATCTTTTTTTGGTAAGAGAATTATGCTTAAGTACAGAGAAACACACATACCCATATATTATCTATAGAAAAATACCTAAGAAGAGAGACAAAATATTGCCAGTGATTATCTCTGGATGGTGAGATTTTAGATGTCTTTACATTTTATTTCATTATCCTCATTTTCTTATTTTAGACAATAACTATGTCTGACTTCTAATAAAATGTATGGTATTAGAAGGAAAAAACCTCTTCTTTCCCTTATCAATGTCACACATTTCAATAGCCTCGGATGCCTGGCAATGGGAGAGTCTGCACTGTTACAAACTGGTGAAGTGTTGCTGCTGCTGTCCCCAGTATTCAGTAATGAGGGGAAAGAGGGCAACTCTGTTCAGTAGCAAGAAAATGGTACTCAACCTTTGAGTCTGTTAGTTGGATTTTCAAATCTGCATAGGAGTGTGTATAGGGGATTCATAGTTTTAGATTCTTGCTCAGGGTGAGGCTCCAATAAAGAATAACTGGGTTTCAAGACTCAAATTTGCTTGGCTCCCCAGTTACCATTGACTTAATAAGAGAATCCAGTTAGCAGACTAGTATGGAGAACAGAATGCAGATTAGGTTTAAGGCTAACTGGTTATGTGAATTTGAGCATGGTTTTTAACTTCTCTGAGCCTGTTTCTTCACTGGCATAATGAGGGGATTGGAGTATGTGATCAAATATTTTCTGGGAATATATGTTTTGGGATTCTCTTTCCACCATGATATCCCGTTGGGGCCTGACTGCTTAAAACAAGAAAGTCAAAAGTGATTGTTTTTGAGGACATGTGACTGTTTTCACCCAAAGTCATTAGCTTTCTAGGATCAGAAAGTTGCTCCTGCCTTGGGAACAGGCTTCTATACCTCTAGCCTGGGCTCAGCCAGAGGCCCAGCACCTTCACATGAAAATTCATGATATGAAACGATGCTCAGTATAAACTGTCATAAAGGAAAAGAAAAATACAAAGCAAATGGTAACAGAGATCCACTTTGGGAGGTGGGATGATAAAGATACCCACAGCAAGGGGCTGTTGAAAGTTGATTTCTTAAGACTCAAAGACCTCTACTCTGTTAATAGCTGCTAATGTAGACCTCAGGGACAGTGGGGCAAAATGGGCATTATGCAACTTCTCCAAATACTTTGTGTGTATGTGTGAGTACTAAATAAGCTAACACATATAAAGCGCTTAGCATGGGGGCAGGTAGCTAAAAGGTACCAGTTAATGGTGGCTATGATTATTGTAACTTGTAAATGTGGTCTGCACTCTCCTTTCTTCCCTCATCACTTTGACCATTTCATTTCTGCTTCCTGTGTTGCTGCGCAGACTTTCAAGTTTTCCCCTATTATTTTCCTATATCAAATACCTTACCTTCATCTTTGTATGTAGTTTTTGTTCCAGAGGTAGCATTATACTTGCAGGCCAGTGGGCTCTAACTGGTTAACCTGGAGCAGAAAGTATACAGTGTCAATATTTAGAGTGGCACTATTTGACTGACAGTGGTTTTCCCTTCTCAGAGTAATTACTCTTTGTTTGGATTCTCGGTTTTCATAAAAGAAACTTGGCTTGCTAGCTATTACATATACCAAATGAAGCCTAAGCTTGTGTAAATGTTGAATAATGAATTAAAATAAAATTGCTGCTAGTGACAGGCCTTCCATGACTCAGTGTGGTTTTGGAGGCAAAAAGTCCCCTATGTCAGCTTCCATGAAGGAGAACATTAGAGTGGCCACATAGTACAACCTCATCGCAGTTCCATTTGGCTGAATGATACAGACAGCTTTAGAGATAAGCAGGGGCTTTTGAGTCCTCCCTTCCTGAAAACACAAGCGGTCCAAATGTTGACTTGGGTACCAGTAACTTTCATGAAGACATAGGCCTTGGAGTTATACTCCACCCTGTGAAGCTTAACTGCTGAATGTTGAAAGCACATTTGAAAATGATTACATCTTTCAGGACACAATCAAAGACTCTTTAGTATTTAGCAAAGAAGCAATCAAACATACATTTGTGGAGGGATTGGTGAAAGCCACTTTGGCCAATATCCATCAGGAGACATTTTAAGACCCAATATCCTTAAATTTAGTTCTATTCTGTAAGACCCACCGAATCTCCATTGCAGATCACTGAGGAAGAAAAAGTAAGTGCCACATGATGTTAATCTAAGTGAATGTGATTTTAGTCCTCAGGCAAGTAAAGAGAAAGGTAGGAGATGAACCTTTAGAAGAAAAGTCATATGGAGAGGTGGGGCAATTTATTTTGGGCATGGTAGAGTATGTACTTATTCTAGTTGAAATTAAGAGAGAGTTTGATGCTAATATGTAGACAAATATTCCTTGATTGGATTAATTAGTTTTTTTTAAAGAACCAAGATCTTTGCTGAAAAGATTAACATGTTTCTTTTTGACCCCAGACCTACCCCTGTTTCCAAAGCCTCAAGGTCCTTCAACCTCTGCCAAAGCCGTTTTCTACCATCAACCAAAGCAGCCGAATCAGGATCTGAGCTAATTCAGCTCAGTTCAACTTGGCAAATATTTACTGTGCATATTTTACTCTGCTAGAAACAGGGGAGACACAGGTGAAGATGTAGTCCTTACTCCCAAGTAGCTCACAGTCCAATAGGAAAAAGACCTGTCATCAACAATGAGCTTATCTCTGTGAAGTTACTGAAAAGTTAGAAGCAGCCCCAGGTTACCACAGTGACATAAACAAGGGTCTGTGAGGCAGTGCCTGCCCTGGAATTTCTGGTTAAAAGAGGTTCAGGGACAGCAATCTAATTGTATGTGCTGGGAATGGGGCAGGATGGGTGGGTAGCAGGTAGGGTTGCCAGACTTAGCAAATAAAACTAGAGAACACCAAGGTAAATTTGCAGTTCAGATAAACAACAGATAGATTTTTAGCATAAGTATATCCCATGCAATAGTCTAAGTTGTTTTTTTTTTTTTTTTCTGAAACTCAAATTTAACTGGGAATCTTGTATTTTATATGGTGGGCCTAGGAGTTGCCTTGCAGTTTTAATTGCTTAGCATATTTACTGAAGACTGAGACAGTGTCGAGGTTAGAAAAGGCTTCCTGGAGGGAAGAACCCAGGGGCTGGGTTTTGAAGACTGAAAATGAGAACCTAGGCCCTTTGAATCAAAGTGTGATCTACAGACAAGCAACACCAGCATCACCTGAGAGCTTGCTGGAAACGCAGACTCTCAGGCACCACCCCAGACCTACAGACCCAGAATCCGCATTTTAACAAGATGTCCAGATGATTCATATGCACATTAGTGTTTGAGATGCCCTGGTCTAGGTGAAAAAGAACAAGGAGCAAATAAAAGAAATGGCATGCCCATATGTACACATACCCAAAACAGCACAGTCGTCTCGTGAAAAATCAATCACTTATTTTATCCTCTATCACACACAGCACAGCCAGCAATATCTTGCACTTTGTTATTATTATTTCTTGCATAGATATTCTTCTTCTTTCCATTATAGGAAGCAAGAAGGCCAATATTACTCTTATTTAGCAAGAGTTATATCCTGGTGAATGGTCAGAAATTTAAAGACATAAATAAAACTTAGTTACAACCTACTAGGTTATTTTCATTCATGTTCAATTAAGGGTTTAGTGTACAGTGGGCTACACTTTCCATGTATGTAATTCTGATATGCATTAGTGATTCCTCCACATTTTTATGGTTCCTCATGTGCATAATTCTACCATGCATTAATGCTTCCTCTACATTCTACAAATGGGGAAATGAATGCCTTGA
Organism: Homo sapiens; assembly: GCF_000001405.40. NCBI lineage: Eukaryota > Metazoa > Chordata > Mammalia > Primates > Hominidae > Homo > Homo sapiens. The sequence continues at coordinate 61,272,558 of NC_000015.10, forward strand.
GGGTTGAGTGACTTGTAAGTTTCAAACGCAGAATTCTAACCCGCAAATGTCTGACCCAAACTCTACATTTTTTGCCCATTGCTTTTAAGAGGTGACCGTGAACAAAGTGAGAAATGTTTAACATTCTAAAAATCTTTTAGAAAATTCAGGTTAAACAAACATTGCTACAGACTTCTAGACATTTTAGGCAGCATTTTTTTGTTTTGTTTTGGTTTTATGGGGGGGGGGGGCAGCATTAACTTGCTAATTGCCTCAATTGTACATTCTTGCATGTATATAAAATCGTGGGCCTTATTATTGGCCTACCATTTTCTCTTCTCTTCATTTATCTAATCTCAAGGCTCACCTGATACTGTTTCTCTTTGTTGTTCCTTAAAATGGTTTCCCATAGTGCCTTAACTCACAGGGATCCCATTCCAGGCCCTTCTTCCAATTCTTTGTTCTTATTGATTCTGCTTGTGGTTCTCAACTTTCCCCCGAGAAGTGGGCTCTTAAACAAACAAACAAAAAACTGAAATCATGCATAAGCCAAATTTGAAAAGAGAAGTAGAGCTCTGGAATGCCCTATCTACCCCAGACTCACCTCTTCCCTCCTCCAGTGTTCCCCATGTGCCTCCCAAAGATCCCTTAGGCACGTGGAGAACATTGGGAGGAGACAGATGTGTGCCACTTGTATTGCCGTCTCAATTTGTTCTTGTACCTGTGTCTATTTTCCTAAATAAATGAAAGCACCTTGAGGGTGGAGAATATTGATTATCATGGCTGCCACCTCATCCAAATCCCAAAACGGGGCTCTGGTACTTCTGCGCATAAGAGGGCAGAATATTTGAAGGCTAACCCTGAAAAACCTAGAAATATGGTCATTTTCTACTTTCGTGTCTCTCCTCATGATTCCTAGCACAGTGCGTTCCACGTAAAATATGTTTAATCAATTCCGTACATGCTGATTACTTGACTGCTCTTGGAGTTAAGTGGATCATTTTAATTGTGTTGGCTGAAATATATTTATTTAAATTGTATAAATTGACTGCACTCTTTATAATAGCGTGTTAGTGAATAGTGTTTTCAAAATTTAGAAATAGTGGAAATAAGAACAACGTACATCCGGACAGCAAATAGCTAAATAGCTACCATCTGATTTACAGGTTGTCATGCTTCTTTCGAAATAAAAATATGTAGTAAGATAAAATGTGTTATAAAGATTTAAACTCTAGGAGGAACTTTTTGTTTGGATATTCTCCTTCCTTAAGCATTCAAAAGTTTCTTCTACTACCTTGAGGATTAAATCCATAAAGGAGGTAATCATTTAAATTAAAATATTGCTGAAAATTCAGATGGGCATATGGAATGGTTTCCTAGTTGCAAATGGAGTCTCTGTCACATAAAAAATTGTGGCTTCTTCAAAGTCTAAGTGAATGACTAGAATGCTCATTCCATCATTAGTCTATTCATTCATTCACCAAATATCTATTGAGCAACTTATACATGCCAGGCACTCTGCTAAATACAAGTGGTTATACACTAAAACACCATATGCACTCCTCCAAAACCTCATGTTCCGCAAAATCATGCACTTAAAAAATAACAGGACTTGGAAGAAAAATAAGGTTGGAACAGACCACTCAAAACCTAGGCTGTTTTGGAACCAGAGCACTAACATGAGTAACAAAAAACAATAACAGTTCTAAAAGTTTTAACATAGTTAAAAAGACCTGTTAAATTTCTAAATAATAAATACTGTGGTAAATATTTACCAACTACTGTAAATATTTATTAAATAAATAGTTGTTAAAAGGTGATTGGTTGCTTGGTAGAAGTGGGTGTGAGGTGTAAGGGAGGGTGGAAGCCAGAGGTCACTGAGATATGGAAGTGGGGCCATGGACGGGGAGGACCGTGTTCCAGCACTTCCAAGACAGCGTGGAGATGCAGTCAAGAGGAAGAGTGAGGTGTATCAGCTCAGATTTCCCTCAAATCAACCTTAAGAGCAGGATTTTGGTGCAAGTAGTTTATTGGGAGGTGATCTAGAGGAAGCACAGTGAGAGAGTGGAATAATGAGCAGGCCAGGGAGGAAAGTCTCTTCACTTTATTACATGACATCAGTGAACAGATTACTACTGTGGGCAACTGGGACTCAGCCCAAGTGGGACGTGTCTGGCTGCAGATCACCACTGGGTCATTAATTCCTTAGCAGTTCTTGCCCTATGTACAGCCCAGGCAATCTCTCTTGGCTGTCAAGGAAACATACTCAGAGAGATGCAGATAGTGACTTGCAGGTCCTAGAACCTTCTGCAAGTGACCTTGGAGAAGTATGTAGGCTGGGAGGATCCAGGAGGGAAACTTAGAAGGTCTGCTAGTGGGCAAATGAGGATGTATACAGTGAGGCAAATGGGCACTGGGTTCAGTATTGTATTCATTAGTGGCTTGCTGGGATCAGCTTTGTTTGATTGCATCAGTTACTGTTTGGTGGAACAAAACTGTGGAGTGTTAGCACATATTACCCAGGAATCAGGGAAACTTCCAAGTTATGCTTATATCATATCCCTATTTATGGATTGTGTATGGGAATATCATCTTTTTTTCTCTTTTTCGTTTTCTTTTAGAGACAGGGTTTCATTCTGTCACCCAGACTAAAGTGCAGTGGCACACTCACAGCTCACTGCAGTCTTGAAATCTTAGGCTCAAGCAATCCTCCTGCTTTAGCCTCCAGAGAAGCTGGAACTACAGGCATGCACCACCATGCCCAGCCATTTTTTTAAAAATTATCTGTAGAGACAAGGTCTCACTCCATTGCCCAGGTGGGTCTTGAACTTCTGGCCTCAAGCGAACCTTCTTACTTGGCCTCCCAAAGTGCTAGGATTATAGATGCGAGCCACCATGCCCAGCAGGGATACTACTGTTGAATAAACTACTGAACTGCCCCTGATTGCAAGAAACTCCCAGGCTAGTGGGAGAAACAGGAGTTTAGATTTCAGTGAGGCGCTATGGGAGAATATGTTACAAAATTCAACACATCCCCAAAGGTAGTTCCCCCCTCTAGTCCTGGGGCATCAGGGAAGAGACACTGAAATTCTGAAGGATGAGCAACAGGTAGGTAGGTAGGCGAGAGGAGAAGCCTAGGGAAATAAACGTGTAAGAATACAGGGTGAACTGATGATGAAGTCATTGCCCACTCCCTACAAATCAGCAAAGACCCCTGGATTACCAAGAGTTTAGTGTAAGAAAAGGGGGAACAGGAGGACTCAAATTTGGGTCCTCGAAGAAAAAATTTAAACCCTAAGGTAGATGCTCAAATTGATCCCTGCCTCATGCAGAGCCTGGCTGGCTGCAAGGATTGGATAAATAATAAATACCAGCCCCTTCTGTCTCCAGGATCAGTGTCCTGCCTTGACCTTGCTTATCAGATCAGGTAGGAAACCGAGGGCCTCCTTACCACATGTGGTCATTACATTTCCCATGGCATTTTTCACAAGAGGCTCGGGCTGCTTCCCTGGCTGTTCTCCAGGTAGGTAATTATCTTGCCTCCTGTTCTAACTCCCTTGTGGTTTCAGTTGTAGGAGAGAGCCTTCTTCGTTCCCACATGATTGGCTGCTGGTACTGAAAGGCTTCATTCCGGAAATCTGTTACCTTCTGCCCTGGAGCTTGGCTGGCATTCAGGGGTGGGAGAGGATGTTTGAGGACAACTTGGCTGGGTCTATCCTTACTAAGAGAAGTAGAGAATTGGGACTAATTTCCTAATACATTGAGCACCAAATGTAATTATTTATCGTATGACCTCATTTTCAAAAAATATGAAAACCTGGAGTGTTCAGGGAAATGAAAAAGTTTCTTATTCAAGATTACCAACATAAAAAGCGTATTCTTTAGCTTCACCATAAGGTATGCTGTTTTGGCAAAGTGGTGGGTAATCACGATGGTCAAATTTGCTGAAGATGACACACCTGAGGACAGAATATCTGCACTAAGACTCTACCAGAAAATCTGTCTATCTGAATCTATCTATCTATCTATCAATCTATCTATCTATCTATCAATCTATCTACCTACCTACGTACCTGTCTATCATAATCATTTCCTTCCTTCTTCATGCATTATTAGTGAATAGCTGTCAGCATGCAAACCTTGGTGATGATGTTCCAGGCAGTTTCATCAGGCAACCAGTAGTTTCTGAGTTGGTTTTGCAGTTGCATGGCCCTGGCACAGGAGATATACACAATGACAGTCCCTCCCCTCCTCCCTCAGTTCACTTCCAAGCTGTAACGCAGCTTAAGAGGACCAGTTCTTAAAACAGGCCTGACTTTAAATCCTGGCACCACTACTGCTGCATTCCTGAGCAAGTTAAACTTGCGAACCCACAGATTCTTCATCTATAAAATGGGGGCAATAATATTGGTACCTAACTATTACTAATTTAATAGAATAATAGATTCCATGAGATATTGAAATCAAAGTGCACAGTGTCTGATGCCTAACAGGTTCAATACGGTTCAATACGTGTTTGTAATCATTAATAAAACACCAAAAAACAGATACAAAACATGACTACACTGCTAAGGGAAGAAACGCCCAGTCCTCCTCTTCTGTTCTCCCCAGCAGCTCAGAGAAGAGCTGGTGCTTGGTAGAAATATAAGATGGTTGTTAAGAATATTGGCTTTGTGGTCAGCCAAACCTGGTTAGAATCTCAAGTTTGTTACTTATCAGCTCTGTGACACCAGGTAAGTTAAATGACCTCTCCAAGCCTTGTTTCCTCATGGTAAAATAGGATAGTTGTAGGATAAAATGCAGTCACTATAGGATCACATAGAACTTGCCACATAGAAAGCACCAAACAAATAATAGTCATTACTATTAGAGACAATGAAGAGGAAGCATTTGATGATTTGACCATAGGAGCCACTCAAAATGCAGCTATTTTTTAATCTTTATCAATCACTTGAAATTGTCTGTTATTCAATATTTATCAAAGGCCCAGTTGAAAGATACTGTCCATGGAGGTCTCATGAAGGGTAATAGTCCCTCCCTCTCAGCCATGGAACAAGCCAGTTCATCTTAATGCAGAGGTAGGCTTTTACTGACTTTATCTTTGGCTCTCCGCTCCTGGTGAGCATTGGAGCTCACCCAAGTTATCACATGCATGAAAATCACTGTAGTTTTTTCTTTCTTTCTTTCTTTCTTTCTTTTTTTTTTTTTTTTTTTTGAGACGGAGTTTCACTCTTGTCGCCCAGGCTGCTGCTGGAGTGCAATGGCGCAATCTCAGCTCACTGCAACCCCCACCTCTCAGGTTCAAACGATTCTCCTGCCTCAGCCTTCTGAGTAGCTGGGATTACAGGTGCATGCCACCACGCCCGGATAATTTTTTTATTTTTAGTAGAGATGGGGTTTCACCATGTTGGACCAGGCTGGTCTTAAACTCCTGACCTCAGGTGATCCACCTACCTCGGCCTCCCAAAATGTTGAGATTACAGGCCTGAGCCACCGCGCCCGGCTTACCATTGGGTTTAAGCAGGGAAATTGTTGAAATCAAGACCACTCCTTCAAACAGTATTACTGTTTGAGGACCTGCAGACAGAAAGTCCCTCAGACTTCAGTTCCTTGAAAACCCAGACCACTTCAAGTTCAACTTGTAATGTAAAAACTTTTAATTTTGAAATAATTATAGATTCACAGTAAGTTGCAAAGATTGAACAGAGAGGTCCCATGTACCTGTCACCATTTCCCCCAGTGGTTATACCTTAGAAAACTATAGCACAATATCAGAACCAGAAAATTTAAATTATCTTTAGGGGCTTTAATGAAATGTATAGCATACCTAACTGATATTAACCCTGAGGTTTTTTTACTATCTTCTCTTCATTTTTCTCTTTATTTTGTTTTCTCTTTCCGTTTATTTTATTATATTTTTACATCAAATCCTTTTAGGAACAAGATTGGGAATAAATTAATAAATTTAATGAAATATCCTTGTATACTAACACTATGCTTTATAGAGTTTGGAATATTGTTCAAGTTAGGTGAATCCATAACCAGAAAGAAGTATAAATTCATAATGTCTTCTCTCTGTACTGTAGACTCTTACCAGAGCATTTCAGCATAAAGACATTGGGTAGCCCAAGGACAGTTACTTAATTGACTAAAACTTGGTTTTTTTAATGATCAAATTAGAATACTACTATGACTGTACTATAATAATAATAGGTAACAGCTTTTGAACATCTATCACCTGCCAGACACTATGCAGAGCAATTCACATGCATATTTAATTCAATCTGTTACAATTCAATCCTATCACTAAATACTTTCCAGGAATATTTAAGTTACAGATGAGGAGACTGAGGCTCAGAGAGGCTATGTGCCCAGAACTTACACAGTTAATAGATGACAGGTTGGCCAGGAGACCTCTACTATGGCACTTGGAACCATATTCACATTTATATCGGTGATTTAGTTTAAATGACATCATCTGTCATAATTAATTTCAGCAAAATGACATTATCTGTGACATGCTGTGAACTTGATTTTGGTTATGAGGATTTATTTAATCTATAACTTTTATATGAAATAAAACTGCTAAGGAGCTGTACTTTATTTTATGTTTGTATATTTTAGGCATCATTCTGAAAATAGTTGAAGTCAATATTAGGGAGAATTTTTTTTCCACTGGCAAGGTTGATACGTTTCTCAGATTTGGGAAATATTGATACAGGGAAGTTTCATCTTTTATCTGTTTTATCTTTTAAATCTTAAGTCTACAAGATTTATAAACACTGAGAGGAAAAAGAGATCCCATTGGGATGGGCTAGAAAAAGTGGGATTTGAACTAGCTTTGAAAGAAGTATGAAATTCAGAATGACATCCAGCTGCAACACCCACCACCCAGGTAATTTTTGGTAGGTTTGTCTCACGTGGATGGCTAGAAGGGTATTATTCTTCTTTCCTCAAGATTCCAAGTGGAGCCCTTCAAAAGCTGAGAACTTGGTTAAAAGAGGACAGCTTTCCAAATAAAGGGGGATCTGTCTTCAGTCAGAAAACAAGTTTCAGATAAGTGGAGATGAGAGAGAAACCCCTCTTGCTAGAAGAGTCCCAGGCATGCAAGGGGAAATGAGTAGAACACATCGAGGTCCTATATAAACCAGGCTGATGGAGCCAGGGACCACAGTGAAAGTTAATTAAGATGAATTAGAATCAGAACCAAAACCAGAACCACACAGTGGAAGGCTCTGAACATGGAATAAGGAGTAAAAAGCTAAACAGTGGGGAGCCATTGTATATCTTTGAGTAGGAGATTGGTATGAAATACAAATGCAGAAAATGACTAGAAGAAGGGAAAGCTTGCTGGACTAAAAAGAATATGGGTTGTATTCACCAGAGTGGGGCTTAGACAAGTGGAATAAGGCATGTGGGAACAACCCTCCTTCACTCCCAGGGAATGGGGACTCTGACATCAAGGAGTAACTGAAGGGCACTAGTGAACTCAGACCAGTTATGGCTAGAGTCTCAACTTCCCCGACGGCTTCCTATATTTTGGTTAGATCTATACACATAATGGAGAAACCTTAATATTTTTCCCTTGTCCTGCCGGCAAAGCTTGTGCCTACGCTATCCCACTGGGACCAAAAACCACATTGAGATTCCACAAGTACATTTTTTACAATACTGGGCAATAGCACATTCAGAAAGACTCTTCCCAGGGTAGCTACTGCAATCAACTTTCTCACTTTGGGTTTCTATAGTAAAGAACTTGTCTGAAGGTTTCATGCAGAGAATTCAATTTATATCATCCAAATAGGTGAAACATGAAGTGTACCTCCCTAGCTCCTGGGGTTGGTAGCAGTCCCCATGTTTACCTTCACTATTTCCTGGTTTCTGGGAGCAAATGAATTGAAATTCATGTTACAATTAAAAACCATTAACAAACATCAGGAATAAGAAGCAATTAGTTAATGTATTATTTAAGGCTTTACTACACTTCAGCTATCAAGGGCAATCATTCATTTGCAGTAAAATTTGTTTTACCCATTATTAAATGCTTAAGTGTCTACTGATAACTGAAAATATGTTTGGATTTGCTTGAATTCTACTCTAGGGAACAATACCTTGACAATATTTCCTGACCAAATACCTAAAATTATGGCATGGGGTCTAAAGCTAAATATATTAACTTTCCAACCCCCCTAAATGCTAGTCTATATATTTTGCTATAGATTCTTTATGTTAATCCATCCATAATTTTTAAATATCTGTTCTGTTCAGGGCACTATGTTCAAAGCTACAGGGTAGTTGAAATGTAGTTATTATCCTCCATAAGCTTCACTTCTTCTCAATGGATGTAGTTAACTAGACATTAATAATGACAACAATAGGGCTAGACATTTATTCCAGCACCATTTATTGAATAGGGAATCCTTTCCCCATTATTTGTTTCTGTGAGGGTTATCAAAGATCAGAGTGTTGTAGGTGTGCAGCTTTATTTCTGGATTCTCTATTCTGTTCTATTGGCCTATGTGTCTCTTTTTGTACCAGTACCATGCTGTTTTGGTTACTGTAGCCCTGTAGTATAGTTTGAAGTCAAGTAGTGTGATTTCTCCAGCTTTGTTCTTTTTGCTTAGTATTACTTCGGCTATTTGGACTATTTCTTGGTTCCATATGAATTTTTAAAAAGTTTTATCTAGTTCTGTGAAGAATATCAGTGGTAGTTTAATAGGAATAGCATTGAATCTATAAATTGCTTTGGGCAATATAGCCATTTTAATGATATCGATTCCTCCTATTCATGAGCATGGAATGTTTTTCTAATTGTTTGTGTCATCTTTGATTTCTTTGAGCAGTGGTTTGTAGTTCTCCTTGTAGAAACCTTTCACCTCCCTAGTTAGCTGTATTCCTAGGTATTTTATTCTTTTTGTGGCAGTTGTGAACGGGAGTTCATTCCTGACCTGGCTCTCAGCTTGACTGTTGTCCTTTGCAGGGACACAGATTGGGTTAGAGGCCATTAACCTTAGCAAACTGACACAGGAACAGAAAAGCAAATACCACATGCTCTCACTTATAAGTGGGATCTAAATGATAAGAACACATGGACATATAGAGGGGAACAACACACACTGGGGCATTTTGAAGGGTGGATGGTGGGAGGATGGAGAGGATCAGGAAAAATAACTAATGGGTACTAGGCTTAATACCTGGGTGATGAAATAATCTGTACAACAAATTCTCATGACACAAGTTTACCTATATAACAAACCTGCACTTGTACCCCTAAACTTAAAATAAAAGTTAAAATACATGACAATAGTAACAATAACTGTCTATAGATAATTTTTTAAACAAAATTAAGAGCTGGCTGGGTGCGGTGGCTCATGATCCTAGCACTTTGGGAGGCCAAGGAGGGCAGATTGCCTGAGCTCAGGAGTTGGAGACCAGACTGGACAACATGGTGAAACCCCGTCTCTACCAAAATACAAAAGAAATTAGATGGGCGTGGCAGCATGTGCCTGTAATCCCAGTTACTCAGGAGGCTGAGGCAGGAGAATTGCTTGAACCTGGGAAGCGGAGGCTGCAGTGAGCTGAGATCACACCACTGCACTCCAGCCTGGGTGACAGAGCGGGACTCCATCTCTACAAAAAAAAAAAAAAAGAGCTTTCATTCATAAAATTTTATCTTTTAATTTTCCATTTAATATTCAAGGGGATTCTTTGAGATAAGAGGTAGGGAGAGGCAAGACTAGCTACACTAAATAAGAAAAAAGAGTTTAGCTAGAGACATTTAATAACTTACTCAAAGTCACAAAGTTGGTGATGGGAATAGAACTAATATTGAATTTCCAGACATGTGATGAAGTACTCCATTTACCTACCGACTGAATTTTTAGTTATATGACACTAGCATGTCTCCCATATACTGTGGAAGAAGTACTCTGTAATGGTAAGGCAATTTGGATGTAGGGATCTTCAAAGCAGAAATAGCAAATTTCTGTTTTAGAAAATTTCTGGCTTTATACCAAATTCAGAGGGGTAAATTGAGCTAACCCTGGATACTACCTTTCCATTCCAAACAAGATAAATTATGGATAGACTGTTTAAAACTTTAAACAATATGTACCTAACCATGAAAGCAAGAAATGAAAATGCCCAGATGCCAGAAATGAAGAGGAAACTAAAAACTAAAGTCATGAAAAGTTGAAGATAGAGAGGCATGAGATAACAGGAACTGCTAGGTGCCCTGGGACGGGGAGAAAAACACCTGATGAGGAAGGAGTCTGGAACTCAGGCAGCTGGCACTGGGCAACTGGTTCCTGGCCTGAGAAACTCAGCTCTGTGGCCTGAGAACTGGCACGGTGGCACACAGTCATCCCACACTGCGAATGAGAAGCATTTGCTCCAGAAAGAAACTGGAATCCCATGCTCAGTACTGTGTGCCGTAAGCTGGTGGGGGCCAAATTCATATTTCCTGAGAGGCACAAGGGCTTAATTTCAAAGCTACCTGATGGTATCTCTTCTAAGAAACCATAATTAAGATGTTCTGTTGCTACAATTTTAAAAGAATCATGAGAAGAATAAAGAACATAATATTTTCGAACCAGTAGAGGGAAAAGTGGGAGAGAAAAAACCTTTCAAAACCTAAAAATAAAAATTAAAAAAAATCTTAAAAGGAGACAAAAGACCTTAAAAGTTAACTAGAAAACATAAAATAGTATAAATAAGTCTAAATATATGAGTTATAAGTGGCCTAAATACAGTGGTTAAACATACAGATTGTCAAATTAGTTAAAAAATAAAAATTGAGTACATCTAAAATCTAAGGGCATGAAAAGATTGAAAATAAAAGAATAAATGAACAAACATGAATACATAATTATATGTTACATATATCATGCATACATATATGTATATATCTCAATAAAATTTAGATAGCTTTGTTAAAAACTGACAGAAGAGATTTTAAGACCATAAGCAATATTAGTGATAAATATGTTATCCATATGATAAAAATATAATTTACTAGAGAGCTATAACAATTTTAATTTAAACACCAAAAATAACAAAGTAAAAATTAACATGAGTACATGAAGAAATTGAAATTTTCATAATTTAATAGATTTCAATATGTAACTTACTATAATGATACCTCTAGAACTTAGAATTTAGTAAGAATATGGAATATTTGAATAATACTCAACATGCTGGATATAATGGACAGAAATAGAATGTTATACCCAACAACTGAAGAATATATATTCTTCTAATAAATTCCAGTTAATTCCTAATAAATTCCAAAGAAATGATATCATACAGATCACATTTCTGAACAAAGTGAAAATAACTTAAAAATCATTAAGAAAAAGAAAAATTAATCCCAAATAATTTAGAAATGAAAAGTTCATTTCTAAATAACTCATAGGTCAAGGAATAAATCATAGTAAGCAACTGAAAATATTTAGACCCCAATACTAATGGAACCATAATATATAAAAACTCATGGGATGCAGCTACAGGGGTGTAAGCACAAGATATCTTAAATATCTTAAATGCTTTTATTAAAAAAATTGAAAATCAATAAGCCAAGACTCACCCTCAAAGCAATTAGAATATAGAATGAAATAAAATAATGTGTAACATGATTTCCATTCTTGTCTATGATAGAAAAGATTATATAACGTTACCCCTACCACTAAGAATAACTAAGCAATCTGGGTAAAACTTAAAAATGAAGCGTCTGAGGGCAGTAGAGATCAACCAAGGCTGACAGGACTTGAGAGTCTAAGATCCTAAAGAGAAGGGAAGCACATTGGGGGGAACCTCACATTTGTCCCCATTTGTTCCTCTGAGGGGATTTGCTGATTTGTGGAATAAGGAAAAGAAGTAGAAATCATCAGCATGAGGCTTATGACAGTCTCATTGAGGTGAAGAGACAGAAGTTAAGAGTTTGGATCGCCAACATGGGCAGAACTTGAGAAGCCCAGATCTCAAAGAGGTTAGGAACTGCAGAGGAGTCAGCATGAAATTCTACATGCAATTTTCGCTATAGCTGTTTGTCAAGTCTTCAGCTACATATGCACAGGGCAAGGTGTCAAGAAACTAAGCAGAAAGAAGCTACTGTAAAGCCAAAGAACTTGAATAGAGTCTTTGGTTGGAGAAAAAGAGGTTGGAGCCGGGCAGCTACCAAAGTGGAGAAACCCCAGTAAACACCCCAGGCTTTCAGTTGAGACACCTGAAGGGTACACTCTAGGAATCAGAGCTTGCCCTAGAAGCAAAAGCAAGTTGAAATTAAAGACTCCTTTCTGCCAAAAATATCTGAAATCCAGCCTCACCTGGATCAAGGTGACCTCCCTATATGCTATTCACCTGCCAGAAAAAGAATTAAGTATTCTCTGTAGAAAGATAACGTCATCTAGATCCTTCACAATTTTTTTATTGTTACATACAGTGTCTAACATTCAATTAAAAATCACCATGCAAGTATAGAAATAAGACCACATGACAATGTTAAAAATAAAACAGGCAATAGCAATAGTCCCACAGGTGGTTACAATATGATTTCATGCTCCAGAAAATAGAGGAAAAGACAAAGCATTTTATCAGAGAATGCATTGGAGTTTATAAAAAAAGGGATCAAATAGAAATTTTAGAAATAAAAGTATAATAACTGATATTAACAATTTAATACTGGCTTAATAGTGGGTTGGACACAGTAGAAGAAAGGATTAGTGAAGATCAGTAAAACAAATCTCATAGAAGTTCAATACACAAAAATCAACTGCATTCCTATCTACCTGTAATACCTAGAGGATATGAAGTGTATCACTGATAATGGCAAAAAAGTATCTAGCAAGAAATCTAAAACAAATAAGTACGTGACCTTTATGGGGATATTTATAAAGACTTAAATAATTGGAGAGATTTTGCATAATTACAGATTACATCAGGGCTCCCCAAACTATAATATGCATATGAAACACATAACATCTTGTTCAAATGCAGATTTTAATTCAGTAGGTCTGGGGTGAAGCTCAAGATTTTACATTTCTAACAAACTTTCAGCTGATGTCCATGTTGCTAGTCTATAAACCAACTTTGAGTATCAAGAATTTAGAATGCTCGATATCATAAAGATGTAGGTTCTGCATAATTTACACGAATATTTCAATGAGATTTGAATGAAAATTGACAAATTCTTTCACAGAATTTTACAAGCTGGTTTTAAAATTTGTATGATAGAGGCTCAGTGCAGTGGCTCACGCCTGTAATCCCTGCACTTTGGGAGACTGAGGGAGGCGGATCACTTGAGGCCAGGAGTTCGAGACCAGCCTGGCCAACATGGTGAAACACCGTCTCTACTAAAAATACAAAAACTAGCTTGGCATTGTAGCACATGCCTGTAATCCCAGCTACTCGGGAAGCTGAGGCATAATAACAATTGCCTGAACCTGGGAGGTGGAGGTGGCAGTGAACCAAGATGGCACCACTGCACTCCAGCCTGGGCAACAGAGCAAGACTCTGTCTCCCAAAAAAACCAAATAATAAATAAAAGTAAATAATAATAAAATAAAATTTATATGGTAAAGTGTCACAAATAGCCAAGGCAATTTTGAAGCAGACATTTAATGGAGTTTATTTTTAATCAAATAATAAATCTATTCATAAAGCTAGAGTAAATAAAATTGTGTGGAATTGGTACAGAAAAGACAGATAAACCAATGTAACAGAATAAAAGGAAGGAGCAGGCCTATACATGAATGCAAACTTGATATATGAAAGAGGTGGAACTGTAGAGCAGTTAGAAAAAAAATTTAATGTTATTGGTATGATTAATTATTTATATGCAAAATAAAAATAAAATTGAAGCCCCATCTCATACCATACACAAAATAAATTCCAGGTAGGTGTAAGCATTAAATTTCAATAACAGGACTTTTAAATTAAAGAAGAATAAGGTGAGGAGGGGTTCAAGATGGCTTACTAGAGGCATCTGGTACTTGCCTTCTCTATAAGGAAGAACCAAAATAGTGAGTAGATAATCACACTTTGATTAGATTATTTAAAAAAGAATATTGGAATTAAACAGAGAAGTGACAAGAAACACCTAAATCAAGGAAGGAAAGAAAGCAAGGCTGCCTGCTCAGCTAGGATCAGCTGGAAGCCTGGAGAGGCTTCCCAGCATGGGGAAAGGATAAGTGAGAGACCCCCAGTGGTCCACATTTCCACTATGAACTCCTCACCTGTAGACAGAAAATATAGGGATGGAAACAGACATTCCATGCAATGGACTCCAAAGTAAGCAGAAGCAGCTCAGTCAAAAACAGTAAAAAGAGACAAAGAAGGTCATTATGTAATGATAAGGGGATCAATTCACCAAGAGGGTATAACAATTCTGAACATGTGTATGCATCCAACACTTGAGCACCCATATATATAAAGCAAATATTATTATATCGCAGGGGAGAGACAGACTCCAATACAATAGTGAATGGGGACTTCAACACTCTACTCTTAGCATTAGACAGATCATCTAGACAGAAAATTTACAGTGAACATTGGATTTAAACAGCACTTTAGTCCAAAAGGATTTAATAGACACTTCCAGAACATTTCATCCAACAGCTACAGAATATACATTCTTCTCATCACCACATGGAACATTTTCCAGGATAGATTATCTGTGAAGACACAAAAGTCTCCAATTTTATTTATTTATTTTTAATTTTTGTGGGCACATAGTAGGTGTATATATTTATGGGTTACATATGATATTTTGATACAGACATGCAGTGCATAATAATCACATCAGGGTAAATGGGGTATTCATCACCTCAAGCATTTATCCTTTGTGTTAGAAACAATTCAATTATACATTTTAATTATTTTAAAATGTATAATTACATTGTTTTTTAGTATGGGCACTCTGTTGTGCCAGCAAATACTAGGTCTTATTCTAACTATTTTTTGTACCCATTAACCATCTTCACTCTCATCTTTCCCACACTCCTTTTCCCAGCCTCTGGTAACTATCCTTCTACTCTCTGTCTCCAGTTCAATTATTTTAATATTTAGCTCCTACAGATAAGTGAGAACATGTCGACATGGTTTGGCTGTGTCCCCACCCAAATCTCATCTTGAATTGTAACTCTCACAATTCCCACATGTCATGGGAGGAACCCAGTGGGAGGTGATTGAATTATGGGGGCAGGTCTTTCCAGGGCTGTTCTCATGACAGTGAATGAGCCTCACAAGTATTGATGATTTTAAAAATGGGAGTTTTTCTGCACAAGCTCTCTTTGTCTGCCACCATCCATGTAAGATGTGACTTGCTCCTCCTTGCCTTCCTCTATGATTGTGAAGCCTCCCCAGCCATGTGGAACTGTAAGTCCAATTAAACTTCTTTCCTTTGCAAATTGCCCAGTCTCAGATATGTCCTTATCAGCAGCGTGAAAACAGACTAATACACATGTGAAGTTTGTCTTTCTGTGCCTGGCTTATTTCTTTTAACATAATGACCTCCAGTTCCATCCATTTTGTTACGAATGACAGGATTTCCTTCTTTTATATGGATGAATAGTACTCCATTGTGTATACGTGCCACATCTTTTAAATCTAATTATCTGATGATGGACACTTAGGTTCTTCCAAATACTAGGTATTGTGAATAGTGCTGCAATAAATGTGGGAATGCAGATGTCTCTTCAATATACTGATTTCCTTTCTTTTAGGTATATACCTCCTAGGAGTTGTATTTCTGGATCAGAACCTCCAAACTGTTCTCCATAGTGGCTGTACTAATTTACATTCCCATCCACAGTGTACAAGGTCTCCCTTTTCTCCACATCGTCACCAGCATTTTTATTGCCTGTTTTTTGGATAAAAGCCATTTTAGCTGGAGTGAGATAATGTTTCATTGTAGTCTTGATTTGCAATTCTCTGATGATAAATGATGTTGAACACCTTTTCGTATATCTGTTTGCCATTTGTATGTCTTCTTTTGAGAAATGTCTATTTAGATCTTTTGCCCATTTTAAAATTGGATTGTTAGATTTTTTTTTCCTATAGTATTGTTTCAGCTCCTTATGTATTCTGGTTATTAATTTCCTGTCAAACGGGCAGTTTGCAAATATTTTCTCCCATTCTGTGGTTTGTGTCTTTACTTTGTTGACTGTTTCCTTTGCTGTGCAGTAGCTTTTTCAACAAATTTTAAAAACTAAAATCATATCAAGTATATTCTCAGACTACAGTGGGATAAAACTAGAAATTAATAATGAAGAAGTTCAGAAACTATATAAATACATGGAAATTAAACAATATGCTCTAAAATGACCATTGGGTCAAGGAAGACATCAATAAATATGACACATAACAACGGACAAAATTATATAATCATCTCAAAAGATGCAGAAAAATCATTTACTAAAATTCAACAACTCTTCATGATAAAAACTCTCAACAAAATAGGCATAGAAGGAAATATCTCAACACAATAAAGGTCATATATGATAAACCCACAGTTAACATCATACTGAATGGGGAAAAGCTGAAAGCCTTTTTTTCAAGAACTGGAACAAGACAAAGATATTCACTATCATCACTTCTATTCAACATAGTACTGAATGTCTTAGCCAGAGTAATCAGGTAAGAGAAAGAAATAAAAGACAGCTAAATTGGAAAAGAGGAAGTCAAATTGTCCCTCTTTTCAAACTATATAATATTATATCTAGAAAAATACACAGATCCTACCAAGAAACTCTGAGGTCTGATAAATAAATTCAGTAAAGTTGCAGGATACCAAAGCAACATATAAAATTTAGTAGCATTTCTATAATGAAAGAGCTGAGAAAGACATCAAGAAGGCATCTCATTTAAAATAGCTACAAAATACATAGGAATAAATTCAACAAAGGAGAAAGACCTCTATAAGGAAACAACCATACTACCCAGAGCAATCTACAGATTCAATATAATTCCTATCAAAACACCAAGTCATTTTTTACAGAAATAGAAAAAAAAATCCTAATTTTTTTGTGGAACCAAAAAAGAGCTTGGATAGCCAAAGTAATCCTGAGCAAAAAGAACAAAGTTGGAGGCATCACACTACCCGACTTCAAAATATACTACATGGCTATAGTAACCAAAACAGCATGGTATTGGTATTAAAAATAGACACATAAACCAATGAAGTAGAATACAGAAACTCAAAATAAATTCATGCATTGACAACCAACTAAATTTTTACAAAGATGTCAAGAAAATACACTAGGGAAAGGACACCCTCTTCAATAAATTGTGCTGGGAAATTGGATATCTATATGCAGAAGAATGAAACTGAACCTCTGTCTCTCACCATATATGAAAATCAACTCAAGATGATTTAAGACTTAAATGTGAGACCTGGCACTATAAAACTACTAAAAGAAAACAGGGGAAATGCTTCAGGACATTGACAAGGATTTTATGGCTAAGACCTTCAAAGCACAAGCAACAAAATTAAAAATAAATTAGACTATATTTAAAAGGCTTCTGCACAGCAAAGGAACCAGTCAACAGGGTGAAGAGAAAATCTGTTGAATGGAAGAGTATGTTTGCAAACTGGTCATCGGATAAAGAACTAATTTCCAGATTATACAAGGAGTTCAAACAACAGAAAAAAATACAAATAATCCCATTAAAAGTGGACAAAGGACATTAATAGACATTTCTCATTCAGATCACCAACAAGTATATGAAAAAATGCTCAATATCACTAATCATCAGAGAAATGCAAATCAAAACCACATCAAGATATCATCTTACCCCAGTTAGAATGGCTATTATCAAAAAGACAAAAAATAACAGATGCTGACAAGGTTGTAGAGAAAAGAGACTCATATATGGCTAGTGGGATTATTAATTAGTACAGCCACTATGGAAAAAGTGTGAAGTTTTCTCAAAAACCTAAAAATGGAACTACCACACGATCTAGGAATCTCATTACTATTCATTCAAAGGAAAAGAAATCTGTACATCAAAGAGATACCTGCAGTCCCATGTTTATTGCAGCACTATTCACAATAGCAAAGATATGGAATTGACCTAAGCGTCCATCAGCAGATGAATGGATAAAAAACATGTGGTACATATACATGATGGAATAATATTTGGCCATGAAAAATAATGAAATAGTGTCATTTGCAGCAACATGAATGGAACTAGAGGTCCTAATGTTAAGTGAAATAAGCCCGGCACAGAAAGACAAATTTTGCATGTTCTTACTAATATGTGGGAGCTACAGCATTTTATCTCATGGAGGTAGAGAGTTAAATGAGAGATACTGAATGGTGGGAAGAATGTGTGGGTGTTGGGGGAGGGATGAAGAGAGGTTGATTAATGGTACCAAACATACAGTTTGATAGAAGGAACATGTTCTAATGTGTGATGGCAGAGGAGGGTAACTATAGTTAACAACAATGCATTGTTTTTTAAAAATATTGTATGTTTTGGCTGGGCGCGGTGGCTCACGCCTGTAATCCCAGTACTTTGGGAGGCTGAGGCGGGTGGATCACAAGGTCAGGAGATGGAGACCATCCTGGCTAACATGGTAAAACCCCGTCTCTACTAAAAATACAAAAAAAAAAATTAGCCGGGCGTGGTGGCGGGCGCCTGTAGTCCCAGCTACTCGGGAGGCTGAGGAAGGAGAATGGCGTGAACCCGGGAGGCGGAGCTTGCAGTGAGTCGGAGATCGTGCCACTGTACTCCAGCCCGGGGACAGAGCAAGACTCTGTCTCAAAAAAAGAAAAAAAGGGTATGTTTTAAAATAGCCAGAAGAGTATAGATTTAGTACAGGTAATCATCTGTGAAAAACGTCAACATACATCTACCATGATTCTTATTGTATGTTGTTCAGCCTGAGTCGGCAACTGTAGCACTGCTGTCTTTTTCTTTCATTTTCACACTTTATGTCCTGCTTTTTACACTTATGAATATGTTATGTTTATCACTTCATGTTGCCAATGTAAGAGCTACCTCAAAATTTTGAGTGGCTGCAGAATACTGTGCTTATATTCAGAGTTTGGGTTGCTTAAGATTTTTCACAAATACAGACAACGCTGCCATAGGTATCATTTTATACCTTTATTCGCACGCTTATCTGGTTTTTTTTTTTTTAGAAGAAATTCCTAGACACAGTATTGCCAGGTCCAAAGTTGTGTGTGTGTGTGTGTGTGAGAGAGAGAGAGAGAGAGAGAGAGAGAGAGAGAGTGTGTGTGTGTGTGTGTGTGTGTGTGTGTGTGTACTTTTTCTTTGCTTGCTTCTTATTTTGTGGGGTTTTCTTTAGTCCTTTTAGTTTCTTTCCGTGCTGGTAGGTATAAAATTCTGCGCTGTTTTAATTAACATTTCTTTAATTATAAAGGACATTAAATATTGTTTACTTCTCCATTGGCCATTGTATTTTTTTAACTGCCAAAAAAATACTACTTGAAGTATTCCCAACACATAGAAATGATAAATACTCAAGGCGATGTATACCCCAAATACCCTGACTTGATCATTATGCATTCCATGCATGCAATAAAATATCACATGTGCTCCATTAAATATGTACAAATATAACATACCAATAAAAATTTTTAAAAATCTACAAAAAGAAAATATGACAGTGTTTTTATGACTCAATGTATGGAGGGATTTCTTAACAATGCGAATAAGCATAAATGTTAAATTAATAGATTGAGAGCTTTGACTAAATTAAGGTAAAAATTTCTGTAAACCGAAAGTCACCAATAAAAAAAGTAAACGATAAGTCTCAGACTGGGAGAACACATTTTCAGTGCATACTACTGGAAATTAATTAGCATCCTGCTAATTGTAAAGCATCCTATAAATCAAGAAGAGAAGGAATTTAAAAAATAACAGAAATAACAAGCAGAAACTCAAATGGCAAAAGTAAAAGCATAAAAAGATGCTACGTCTTGCTGGGGACTAGAGAAGTAAAACACAAATGAAAATCACAAGGAGATATAATGTCCAGCCCACCAGAATGGCAAATATGAACATGCTGATAATTCCTGGAATTGACAATGAGGAGCAAGGTGAAGTGATCTTATAACAGGTGGGAGGATATTTTTAACTTTGGAGAGCAGTTTGACAAAATCTGTTAAACTGACAATAGCAAGTTCCTGTTATTCAACAATTCCTTTCCTAGGTATTTGCACTAAAAGTTTTTATGCACATGTGTGCAAGTTGGTATGTACTGGAAAGTTGATAGCATTATTTTGGTAATTGCAAAAAGTTAGGAGAAACCAAAATATATATCAACAGTAGATTGAATAACCGTATGACAGAATATTATGCCATGGAATATAATATAGAATTAAAACTAGATAAACTAGAAATCTATGTATCAACATGACAAATTAAATTTTTGACTAAAAAATGAAAGTAGCATCAGGATACCATATAATACCATTTTATAAAGTTTAAAAATATATTAAGCAAAACTGAATATTATTTGGAGGAATATATGCACATGTAAGGGTCCAAAAACTACACAATTCAGCAGTGCTTATCTCTGGAGGTGAGGCGGAGAGGTGATAGCAATTGAAAAGAACTACATGAGGCTTCAAAAGTATTTGTAATATTTTATGTCTTAAGCTGGCTAATGGCTACACAGGTTTACGTTATACTATTTTTATACCTTTTCATATGTCTGAAATATTTTATTACAGAACAATTTTTAAAAATGGTCCAGAAAGATTAAATCTGCAGGACCTTGTTAGAAGCAAATGCTAAACTGCTAGATGAGATCATTTCCACAATCCAGGCACTACTGAGAAAGTGGAAGACAACTGTTGAAAATAAGCTAACAGTAAAAAAGATATGAAGTACATCAAAAAATCCGCCCCCATAAGAGAGACCCAGCAGACACAACAAATGAAAGAATTCACAGTTGAGAAACTAAAGAAAATAGAGCAGTTTCTAAAGGACTTCAAAATAAGTATGTTTAAAAATGTTCAAAGAGATAAAAGAATCAACTGATCTCATAATGTTAGAAGACGTTATGGAAACAGAATAAGCAGACTTGAAAATAAACACATACTCTAGAATGGAAAATATTGCTATCATAATTGTAAGACTCCACAGAACATGTCAAAGCAGACCAAAACAAAAATTAATAAGTTGGAAGATGAATCTAAGAATGCAACTTAAAGACTCTAAAGATTCATGATAAGAAGGAAGCAATGAGAGAAGTGAATAATAGACTACAAAACTCCAATACATGCATCCACAAGAGTTCCAGAAGGGGAGTGAAGTAATGGGGAATAGTAACACACAAATATGGTTATGTAGAGAATTTCCTAGTAAGACATGAGTTCTCAGATGGAAAAGTCACACACCAGGTTCCAAACTGAAGAAAACTGAGAGAGAGAAAGCTGGAGAGAGAGAGAGAGAGGGAGAGAGAGAGAGAGAGAGAAAGTCAGAGAGTCAGAAACTGCAGTACATCAAAAATAAAGAAGAAACCTTTAAAACTACCAGAAGAGATAAAACAGATAACCTATGAGGAACAACATCCAGGTTGACAGAAGATTTTTCATGAGCCACAAGGTAATCTGGAAGAAAATGGAATAGTGCCTTCAAAGTGTCTAAGCAATAATATAGCAGCCAATCTAGAATCCTGCACTTACCTAAACTATAACTCAAGAATGAATGTGAAATAAGGATATTTTAACACATACTAAGAGAATTTATTAATCATTGAAATAAATTTTGAGGACAGAAATAGAATTTAGAAGAAAGGAATAGAACGGAAGTGGTAATGGTGATTAAAAACATTAGTAGGCATGCACATAAAAATAAAGGCTGGTCATAAAAATTAATGAATGTTAGAATTTAAAAATAAAACTTTATAAAACATGAAATATTTTTGGGGGGAAGTTCAGGTGGATTAGAATGTTCTCTTTTGCATCTTTATTCAAGATGTTGATTAACTTTAGACTTTGATAGAAAAATACAAAGTTAGACATACGCCTTAAAAAATTCAAGAGCAATCACATGGGAATAAAGCAGAAATTTACATCTTGCAAAGTAGTACATCGCAAAAAGGTAATTGAAAATCTCTCTGTTCAACAGAAGGCAGGAAATTAAGAAAGTAGGGGAGGTTGAGAGGAAGGAGAAGAGAGTCAGGAGGAAGGGAAGGGGAAGGGGAGAAGGAGCAGCACTAAAATATGTGGTAAATAAAAATCCAAATAAGATAACAGGAATTAGTCCAAATACAGATGCTCCTCAACTTATGATGGACTTATGTCTCAATAAACCCATAATAAGTTGAAAATGCATTTAATATACCTAACCTACCAAATATCATAGCTTAGCCTAGCCTACCTTAAATATGCTTAGAACACTTACATTAGCCACGGCTGGGCAAAATCCTCTAACACAAAGCCTATTTTATAATAAAGTGTTGAAAATCTCATGTAATTTATTAAATGCTATGCTGAAAGTGAAAACCAGAATGATTGTATGAGCACTTGAAGTATGGTTTCCACTGAATGCATATCCTTTGCATACCATCCTAAAATGGAAAGATCATAAGTAGAACCACTGTAAGTCAGGGACCAACTGTATATTAATGTAACAATATACTATTTGTGATAGTTGTACTTATTAAATTCACTAACCTAGAGTCCTTATTTATTCAAACACTAATCTAGATATTGTTGTAGAGGTATTTTGGAGATGCGATTAAAGTCCATACTCAGTTGACTTTAAGTCAGTTGACTTTAAGCCTGGAAGGCCTTGGTTCATCAATTGAAAGGCCTTAAGAGCAGAGTTAAGGCTTCCTCGAAGGAGAAGGTATTTAGTTTGTGCGCTGCAGCTTCAGCCTATTCCTGAGAGTACAGCCAGCCCTTTCTGACAGCCTGCTCTACAATTTCAGACTTGCCTAACCAGCCCCACAACTGTATGATCCAATCCCTTGCAATAAATTTCCTACTGGTTTTGTTTCTCTAGTTGAACCCTGACTGATACACTCTGTATATTAATAAAACTCACATCTTTACATGCAAAGATTCTCAAATTGCACTAAAAATAAATAAAAATATTCTTGAAGAGAAACACACCTAAAGCATAAAGAAGGTCCAAAATTAAGGATCAAGAGAATGTGTACAGTAGGCCAATTCATACTGAAGGAAAGCAGTGACAGGGTAAAGAGTGACATTACATGAGGATAAGAGTGCCTCTGATGAGCAGTGACATTAGGACCAACAAAAGAGTCTCCCAGAAGTCACCGGTACTTCCAGTGAAATCCCAGCCCTTTTGAGTTTCTGGGGTACTTGATCATTCCCTTCAACATCTCATACAAGCCCAGACCACTTCCTAAGTTAAACCTGTACATTTTAAAACTTTTAATTTTGAAATAATTATAGAGTCACCTCAAGTTGCACAGATTGTACACAGAGGTCTGTGTCCCTGACACCAAGTTTCCCCCAATGGTTACACCTTAGGTCACTGTAGCACAATATCAAAATCAGAATATTGATGTTACTGTGTGTGTGTGTGTAGTCCTGTAATTTTATCATGTATGTAGATTCCTGCGGCCACTGCCAAAATCAAGATCCAGAACTAGTCCATCATCACAAAGCTCTCTCCTGGACTATCCCTTTACAGTCATACATATCCTTCTTCCCTCAACATCTTTAGCTCCTGGCAACCACGAATCTGTTCCTCATCTCTATAAATTTGGGAATGTTATATAAATGGAATCACAGCACGCTACCTTTTGAGAGTGGCTTTTTCACGCAGCATAATGCCTTTGACAGCCATTCACATTGCTGCGTGTATCATTAGTTCATGCCTCTGTACTACTGAGTAGTATTCTGTAAACCTGTACCTGTTTTTAAATTCTAATAAAAGCTATGAATTTTGTTAAATGCTGCAGTGAGCTGAGATCATACCACTGGACTCCAGCCTGGGTGAAAAGAAAAGAAAAAAACTAGGATTAAGAAGGAGCATGTAAATATTGTAGATATTAGACATGGGGAAACTGGTAACATCCGTGCAGGTAAGAACTAAGAGGGCAACTGTGAGAATGAAGATGATGGGATTGTTGAGAGATGGTATGAAGATGGACAATTTAGGACACGGCACCTGGCGGAAATGACTGGGGGTTGTTGGTGAACAGGGAGGGAAGCATTCAAGGTGGCTTAGACGTTTCTTGTCTGCATACCTGGTTAGATAACAGTGGAATTGGAAAAGGAGGAATATGTTTCAAGGGGAAAAAGAAACTTCAGCTTCAGATACTTTGGATGAGGGATTCCAGGAGCACTTTTAGGTTGCAGGTAAAAATGTGGAAAGACTGAAACTCTGCAGAGAGTCTGGAGGGGCTGCAAAATTAGCCCTGAGAATGGATGAGCTTACTTCATACAAGATTTTCTAAATACTCAGTTTTTAAAGGATTTCTAACTAGTAAAGAGACCTCAGACTGAATAAACCAAGTTGGTCTTTAATCATGAAGTTCACATACCACTGAACCAAGATTTTGCTCAGTGTGTTACTTGCTTATTTATTTATTTTGAAGGGATTAACATTTAAGAGTTACATAAAAAAAAGAAAAAAGAAATGTTTAAATTCAAGGCTTAAAGGAATGGCTGTGGGAATTTATACCTGTTGTGGGGAAAAACCATAACTATAGTGCATTCTAAACTTGTCATGATTTCAATTTACAAACATGAGAATAAACTATTCTTGTTAGCAGTTGATGATCTTTTAAATTACAAGCTAATACTTCCTGGAGCAAAAAGTTTTGAAAATTTCAATATTTTGCATTCAGATTTCCTATCTGCCATTACTTAGGTAAAATCTTAGGTGTGGGGAAAAAGAGTGATTAAAATTGCAGAAATGGTAGTAATAATAAAAATAATAATAGTAATGGCAGCAACAAGTCCTCAAATCAATAACCTATGGGGTCTACTTGAAGTCTTGAAAAAAATTGTCTCTGTATCTTTAAAGTTTTGGCAGTTTTGGAAGAGGCTGCTTAGATTAATGTCTACTTTTTATTCTCCTGTTTCCATACTCAGTTCCTTTGTGAAGCATGAGTTAGTTGAGGTACTATTTGTGGAGGAAAAAAACAAAATGACTCCATTATGTCTCGGCTATCCCCTAAACAGTCAGTAATATTTCGCCTGTTTGTTTAGAACGCACCTCTAAGTATATCCTAGGAGAGAGATTCTTAACCCCCAATCCATAAATTGGCTTGAAGCAGGCCCTTGAACTTGTATACATAATTGTGAGTGAGGTGCATGCATTTTTCTGGAAGCTGGTCTTAGCTTTCCAAGTTGTCTATGAAGACTCAAGAAGCTCAGACCTCATCTCCTGGGATCTTTTTACGATCTGGGACTGTGGTCCTACGGTATACTCACTCTTGCTTGATTCTGAGCAGTGTGTGTGCATTGGAAAATACTTCAGGCTAGTATTTAGGAGACATTTATTTTAGAGCTGTCTGTACTCTAAGCTTGCATTAACTTCCAACAAGTCACTTTTTCTCTTTTGGCCTCAGTTTGTTCATCATTCAAATGGGAACAGAATGTCTATCCTACTCAGATAGACTAGACCAGCTATTGTGAGACTAACATAAGGGAGTAAATATACTCTGAATAATGCAAAGTATCCTAATGAAGCTAGATATTACCTGCGGCTTGGAGCCTTTGCTTTGTACTCATGCTTCCTTCATATTCTTTCTCTGCTTCTTTATTTTCCTGAAGGCTGTTGGTCCCCTCAATTCTGCATTCTCTACATTTTTACCCATGTGTTTTAGGTGCTGCAGTAGAGACAGACAAAAGGAAAAGATGTTGATTGGGCAAGGGGTCACTTTAAGAACTTGCTACTGGCCAGGTGCGGTGGCTCACACCTGTAATCCCAGCAATTTGGAAGGCCAAGGCGGGCAGATCACCTGAGGTAAGGAGTTCGAGACTAGCCTGGCCAACATGGCGAAACCCCATCTCTACTAAAAATACAAAAATTAGCTGGGCATGGTGGTGCGTGCCTGTAATACCAGCTACTTGGTAGGATTAGGTAGGAGAATTGCTTGAACTCGGGAGGTGGAGATTGCAGTGAGCAGAGATCACAGCACTGCACACTCCAACTTGGAGAGAGAATGGACTCCATTTCAAAAAAAGAACTTGCTTCTAAGAGGAAAATATTAATACTTTGCTCTCATAGAGTGTGTCAGCTTTTCAAGGCATTTCATATTAGCTGCCATGCTTCTTCACCATAGCAGACCAGGAAGAAGTTTTCACCACACTCATTTAATTTGGAAACTGAGGCAGAGACCAGGAGTCCAAGGTCACTCAAGTTATCAAGGGTGGTGCTAGGGCTGGAAACTGAGCTCTGTGACTCTGGGTGCCAGGGTTTTGTCAGCATTTCCTTGAGACTGATCTTGGGTGGCAGACACAGAATCAATCATGAGAGTATTTTGTAGTCAAACAGCGAGCAGATATGCATCAGCAATCCCTGTCTTGATCCATCCCTTTTCTTTATACGATGATCCAGGAGGAACTGTCTGTCTTCCATCGTGTCTGTTTTCAGACGGATTTTGACCTTGCAGCTAAGTCTTTCTCTCACTGCTGACTCTGCTCACTCTCCTTCAACTTGATTCATTTGGGCCCATTGGTTCCTGCTTGGGAAAGGCCCATCTGGGAGTGCTCAGTACATTCCCCTGTCAAGCAGGGGAAAGAGCTGCACTTGCAAAATGAGGAAACTTCCAAGAGGGCTCTGGCCAGAAGTCAATTTGCAATTTTGAGAGCAGCACTTGATCTGGAAACTGAAATAACATGCCTGTTGCTTATTACTTCAGAATGCTGCTACATAGCTTTTTACTCTTGCCGACAGCGATGAATGATCTAAACCAGTATACTGCTTAAGTTTTCAGCCAGTCTTTTAATGTGCAGGCATCTCACATACATTTTTTGGGCATCTACCAATGCCAAGTTCTCTAGGTAATAAGAAAATGAAAGTTGAAAGGGCCCACTCCAGTGCCTCCAGCATTCAGGAGATAGCAGTGGTGTATAGTGACTCACAGGTGCTTCTGGAGAAAGCTGTGCTCAGTGGCTCAGGGTTACAGGAAGAGAAGAGACTAAATTGCCAGGCTTAAAACATTAGCTTCAATAAAAAGATGTTCCACATTGTATGTCATCAGGCAAATGCAAATTAAAACAACAATGAGATAACACCACACATTTATTACAATGGCCAAAATCCAGAACACTGACACCACCAAATGCTGGTGAGGATACAGAGCAACAGGAACTCTTATTCCTTGCTGGTGGGAAAGCAAAATGCTAATGCCACTTTGGAGAACATTTGGCTATTTGTTACAAAACTACACATACTCTTACTATATGATCCAGCGACCACACTCCTTGGAGTTACCCAAAGGAGTTGAAAACTATATCCACAGAAAA
Organism: Homo sapiens; assembly: GCF_000001405.40. Classification (NCBI taxonomy): domain Eukaryota; kingdom Metazoa; phylum Chordata; class Mammalia; order Primates; family Hominidae; genus Homo; species Homo sapiens. The sequence continues at coordinate 61,299,965 of NC_000015.10, forward strand.
ACCTGCACACATCTTTCTATAGCAGTTTTATTCATAATTGCCAAAAACTCAGAGGCAACTAAGATGTCCTGATATCCTTCAGTAGGTAAATGCGTAAATAAACTGTGGTACATCAGACAATGGAATATTATTCAGTGATAAAAAGAAATGAATTATCAAGCCAAAAGACATGGAGGAAACAAATGAATATTAGTAAGTGAAAGAAACTCATCTGAAAGGGCAACATATAGTATGATTCAAATTCTATGACATTCTGGAAAAGGCAACACTGTGGATACAGTGAAAAGATCAGTGGTCGGCCAGGCACGGTGGCTCACGCCTGCAATCCCAGCAGTTTGGGAGGCCAAGGTGGGCAGATCACCAGGTCAGGAAATCAAGACCATCCTGGCCAACATGGTGAAACCCTGTCTCTACTAAAAATACAAAAAATTCGCCGGATGTGGTGGTGGGTGCCTGTAATCCCAGCTACTCGGGAGGCTAAGGCAGGAGAATCACTTGAACCTGGGAGGTAGATGTTGCAGTGAACCGAGATCGCGCCACTGCACTCCAGCCTGGGTGACAAAGCGAGACGCCATCTAAAAAAAAAAAAAAGAAGAAGATCAGTGGTCACCAGGGGTTAGGGGACAGAGAGGGATGAATAGGTAGGGCAAAGAAAATTTTTAGGGCCATAAAACTACTCTGTATGATACTATCATGGTGGATACATGTCATTATACATTTGCCTAAACCCACAGAATGTGCAGCACCGAGAGTGAACCCTAATGTAAACTATGAACTTTGTGAGATTGTGATGATGTCAATGTAGGTTCATCAGTTGCAACAAATATACCTCCCCGGTGGGGGATGTTACTAATCGGGGAGGCTGTGCATGTATGGGAGAGGGTGGGATTCACACATAGTGAATCTCTGTACCTTCTGCTAAATTTTGCTGTGAACCCAAAACTGCACCAAAAAATAAAGTCTATTTTAAAAAGTTTGAAAGCTCCATAAGAGCAAGGATCTCGTCTATCTTGTTCACTGCTAGATTCCCAGCTCCTAGCCTAGTGTGATGCTCAATAAATATTTCTTGATTGAATGACTAAATAACCTCTGTCTGAATTAAGGAGAAGGTTTCCTGGAGAATGTGAGACTTGAGTAAGTTTGATGATGAGTTGTGCCTCCCTGGGCATGGAAGTACAGGCATAGTGTGAAAATTACAGGCAAAGAGAATAATTCAATAAAAGCACAAAAGCATGGAAATGAATGAACTGCTTGGGGAACTTCAAATGATCCACCATCGCTGGAGTTTCGGAAGAAAAGTGGAAGGAGATAAGGACAAAAACATTGACTGGTGTCAGGATATAAAGTCATCATTATGACCCTCATGTTACAGAGGAAGAACCTGAGGCTCAAAGACGATAGGTGACTTATCAAAGGTTATGCATTAATAATATCTCTATCCTTTCTATGTATGGGTATCATACTAAGCACTTTTTGTGCACTGTCTCATTTAAATCCATATAGCGAGTTTATGAGATGGTTACTATTGTTTTTCTAATTTTATAGATAAAAATAATAAGACATAGGGAAGATAAATAACTTTTCCTGGGACATACTGTCCAAGATGGCAGATCGAGTACACACTATGGCCTCTTCTTCCTGACCTAAATCCCTAGAAATGAATGAAAACAACTTTTTTTCAAAGAGAAAAAGAAATCACAGCAACAATGGAAAATAAGGAGAGAAATCCTGGTAGACTAGAAGAAATTTTAAGACAGTTCTGAAAATAAGCATCAGGATATAGACTGAAGAATAAGCCTCTTTTGGTAGAGTTCTTTGGTGAAGGCTGGGAATAACACTAAGAGTGCTCCACTCTTGGGAGTGGTGGGTGCCCCAAGTAGGGGACCAGGGATGATGACAGGCTGATGAGTGGGAGCAGCTGGGCTGCTGAGCCCCTGCACATGCTTCCTCTCTCCTGGCAGGCAGCCATGGCTGAGGATGAGGGGCAGGCGGGGTCTGCCTCCAGACTGGAGCATGGGCTTGCGGGGGAATGCAATCAGAGACCCACAGGAAGGGACACCTCATGGCAGGGAGAAAACCCTTCACTCATCGATAGCTTCACAGGTTCCATGCCCAGAGGTGTGCTGTCTCACTCCACCATAATTTCACCAAAAAAATCTGGAATTTGAGCCTCAGCAGCACATCCTAGCCCTCCCCTTGCCCAAGAGTCACGAATTCTATTTGTGCACACAGATAGAGCCAACAGGTAACAAGGGATCTGAGCACAGAGATGGGCCCCCGATTAAGAATTACCAGCCAGGGTGAAAGTTACTTGGCCTCAGTCATCCCTAATTTGTTTGAAAACCCTAGTTGGTAGCAACAGCTTGGGTTCTCCATCTCAGGTCTCCACAGTGACATCTCTTTCCATTGTGCCAAACTATTTCCTAAATTGAACGTGTGTTATAGGAGGGGTCCCCAACCCCCAGGCCATGGACCCCCATCCATGGCCTGTTAGGAACTGGGGCACGCAGCAGGAGGTGAGTGGCAGTGAGCATTACCGCCTGAGCTCTGCCTCCTGTCAGATTAGCAGTGGCATTAGATTCTCATAGGAGCAAAGACCCTACTGTGAACTGTACACATGAGGGATCTAGGTTTTGTGCTCCTCATGAGAATCTAATTCCTGATGATCTGTCACTGTCTCCCATCATTCCCATATGGAACCATCTTGTTGCAGGAAAACAAGCTCAGGGGTCCCACTGATTCTACATTATGGTGAGTTGTTATATGTAAATGTAATTTTTTTTTCTTTTTTTTTTTTTTTTTTTTGAGATAGAGTCTCGCTCTGTCACCCAGGCTGAAGTGCAGTGGCGCGATCTCGGCTCACTGCAAACTCTGCCTACGGGGTTTATGCCATTCTCCTGCCTCGGCGTTCTGAGTAGCTGGGACTACAGGTGCCCGCCACCATGCCCAGCTAATTTTTTGTATTTTTAGTAGAGACAGGGTTTCACTGTATTAGCCAGGATGGTCTCGATTTCCTGACCTCGTGATCCGCCCACTTCGGCCTCCCAAAGTGTTGGGATTACAGGCGTGAGCCACCGCGCCCATCCAAATGTAATGCTCTTGAATCATTCCAAACATGCCCCCTACCCCCACCCCCAGCTCTGTCCATGGAAAAATTGTCTTCTATGAAACCAGTTCCTGGTGCCTAAAAGATTGGGGACCACTGTGTTATAGCATTGTTATAGCATTGTGTGGATCTGCATCCCAGCACTGGGGCAAGCCCTGGACGCTACATGAAAAGCTGTACAATTTTTGTTGGGATATTGACCCACCCGGCATGAAACACACACTCAACACAAATTCAGTGAGTGTCTCTTGTGGGTGCAGAGCCTTCCCCAGGGCTGGGGGAGCAGGTGCCGTAAGGAGGAAAGGCAGGAGCATGGACTTCGGAGGGAGTTCAAAGCTGACAGTCATGGGCCCAACGAATGGGTCTCCACAAATAATGGAGAAATGAAAGGACACCCAAAACTACTTAGTTTGAGCCTCATGAAAGTGGAGACCTTGAAGGAACTATGCTTCATGGAGGGTAAGGAAAACAGCAATGCCAAGAGTCTGAACCCGAGCCTGAATATGGGAATATTCAGAGAAGGCACTTACGTGACTCAAGGGAGCATCTTTGTCTGGGGCAGTAGCAAGACAGCCTGGTTTTTCCCACTTGTGAAAATGGGTAGTGTGGTATACTACCTTCCTAGGGCTGCTGTCACAAATGATCAGAAACTCAGGAACTTAAAACAACAGAGGTTTATTGTCTCACACTTCTGGAGGCCAAAAGTCCAAGATCAAGGTGTCAGCAGGGCCATGCTCCCTCTGCAGGCTCTAGGGAAGAATCCTTCCTTGCTCCTGCCAGAAACCCTTGGTGTTCCTTGGTGGGTAGCTGTATCTCTCCAATCTCTGCCTCCATCATCACATGGCCTTCTTCTAAGGACATCAGTCATTGGATTTAGGGCCTATCCTGATCCAGCATGACCTCATCTTAACTCATGACATCTGCAAGGATCCCTTCCAAATAAGGTCACATGCTAAGGTTCCAGGTGGCCATGAATTTTGAGGGGACATCATCCAACCCCGTACAGATGGTATCACCTAATCCTTCCTATAGGTGGTATGATTTATAAAGTGACTGCCAAGACTCTGCTTCTGGACACAGGTTCAGATTTTCTTGACTCAAAAATAGCTTGGCCACTCAAGGTGATGGAAACCCTTCCTGTAACTTCTGAAACTCTCCTAAACGATGGTTATCTACCATCCTTTCTCCCAAGTCATTCTGAGATGCCCAACAGTGCAGCTATTCCCTCCCCTTATTTGTTAATTTCATATTTGTGGATAAATGAGAATGTTATTCTCCCTCAAATAGTTTGCTTCTGCAGACAATGTACCGCTTTCCCGTTTCTATTTTAAAGCTGCGCACGCATCTGTAAGAAGACGGGAGTGTTATGTAATACCTACCATTTTTGTCAAAACCTCATCTCACCCCATTGCCTGATACAGGAGGAAGCTACTGGTGTGAAATTTGCTGTTTTTTTTTTTTTTTTTAAGGTGAAGAGTATATTCAGATGGATTTCATACCTCACATTCATAAGCAGGTCCATTTTTAAAAGACTATAGGTACTGTGTTAATGAAAGATGAAATTCACATCCATCTCCTGTATAGCATGCCAGCAATGATGGTACAAATATAGCTGAATACTCTGCCTTTGCCTTTATAGGTATTTTAAAGAGGTGCCCTAAAGGGAAGCATGCAGACTGATCAACAGAAAACGTCTTAAAGAGAGGAAGACGACCAAGAATATTTTCCCTTCTGAAAGGTTATGATGTTAAAGTCTTAGTCCATTTGGAGCTTGTCATCTGGACTATTGCAGTTTATAAACGAGAGCTACAGCAGCCCCAGGGGGCCTCAGAAAGGAAAAAATTACTTCAGGAAAATGATATTTCTTTGTTAGAATCAGGGCTTTGTGAGAGGTGAGATGGGCCAGCTCAGGGAGAGTCAGGACTTGGAATCCAGTCGGAGCTGCAGGCTTGGGCCAGGTGTCAGCACATAGGAGCCAAGGCAGGGCTTGGGTAGCACAGACACGGGGCGGGTGTGAGTCTGAAGTTGCTCTGAATGTAGGGGCCAATCTGTGAGAGGGACATTAGCAGGATGCAAAGTTCTATTAGACCAAAGTCCAGAGTGAGGCCACTCTAGTTTAGAGTATGAGCCATTGTAGGGAGTGGGAAGCTGACTGGGGTCCAGAAAAAGGAGGTCAATAACGTAAAGGTCTGGCATTGGTATTACGATCCCGGTCATGGGAAAACTGGGCGTTCAAGGGGAAGACATCCAGTCCAGCTAAGTTCTCAGACATTCCAACCTGGGATTGGGAAGGAGGTAAAGAAGGCCTTGGCAGCCATTTTGTAAATTGTACTATCAATAGAATGGATTGAGTGATATCATCTCTTCTGGATTGAGTGGTATTTCTTCCAAATTCATGTCTTCTGGAACTTCAGAGTGTGACTTTATTTGGAAATAGTGTTATTGCCGATGTAATTGATTAAGATGAGGTCACACGAGGTTAGGGTAGGCCCTAAATCCAATGACTGACGTCCTTATAAGAAGAAGGCCATGTGATGATGGAGGCAGAGACTGGAAAGACACAGCTACAAGCCAAGGAACACCAAGGATAGCTGGAGTCCAAAAGAAGCTAGAAAGAGGCAAGGGAAGGATTCTTCTCTAGCGCCTTCAGTGGGAGTGGTGCTGCAAGGAACCCTGGAGCACTTCATGCAGCACCATTTGGTGCTATTCTCTGCTAGTTCTGGGTCTGTGTGTCCCATGCCCATTGGGTCTGTGAGCACCACGAGCTCACAGCTTGGGGAAACTTGGGGAGCTTGCTATTTTTTGAGGCCTGGGAGCTTTCTATCCTGCATTGGTCAGCTTTGGTATTGAAAAGAGAACTAGACTTAAATTTAAGAGCCCTGGGCTGTGTTTTATTACTTATTTAGGTATGCATTTATCCACTTAGCGAATATTTATGGATCACCTAATGTAGATCAGGCACTGAGCTACGTCCTGGGGAGATATAGATACATAACAGAGTCTCTCACATCACGGAACCACTGACTGGTGACATGTCCAGTCAGTTACATTCCTGTGAAATAATGCATAAAGGTGATAACAGAGGATTATAAAAGCCCTGGGGGAGGCACAGCAAAGGTAGCTGAGGGGAGATGGGAGATGGTGGAAGGCAGGAAACGGTCCATGAAATGAAACCCAAACAGAATTTGTAAAGAGTAAACAGGAGTGAGCTAGGTGAAGAGGGTGGGGAAGGCATTTTAGAGAGAAGAGACAGCATGGGCAAGTGAGTGGAGGTGGCATATGTAGCATTTGCAGAGACCCCCAATCAGATTGTGTGGCTGGAATTAAAACCTCTGAAGCAGGGAGGAGTGAAAATAAAAGTAGAGACATATATAAAGATGCAGATGATGAAGAGTCTTGAATATACGTTACAGAACTTGGACTTTATCTGCTGGTAATGAGAAGCCACTGATGACTTTGAGCAGACAGTGATAGGGTCAGATTTGTGAAGGATGGATTGGAACAAGGCTGGAGGTAGAGGCAGGAAGAGGAGGTTGTTGCAATAATTGAGGTGAGAGATGCTACTGAGCTGAACCAGGGAAGTGGGAGAAGAAGCGGGGAACAGTTTATCTTAAGAAACATTTAGGAGATCAATCAAGAATTAAAGCCTTGTGAACTTGTATAAATTAAGGCTCAGTTTCTGAGCCTTAATTTTCTCATCAGTAGAATGGGAAAGAATGATAGCCAGTCCATAGAGTTGTGGAAGGATTAAATTAGGTCACCAATGTCCAAATGGCTTGCAACTTCTCTAATGCTTTGCAACTTCAACTCAGCCTCCAGGGTGTGGCAATTAGTAGATTTTCCATAATATTTGTGGAATGGCCCACCTTGTGCCTAAATGATGGCCAACCTGGAGAAATACGTAAATACTGAATAGTTTCATAAGCTAACTTAGAAATTTAAAATGCGATTTTTAAAGCCCAGGTTTATAAGTACATACTTACTTCTATGCGCTTTCTAAAATATATAATTATGTTCTCTGCTCACATAATTTTATCCATTATAAAAACTGAGCATATCACTGTCACTTTTATTGCAGGATACTGGCAGAATTTGCTTTACCTAGCAGATGTGTTTCTGAAAATTTTACTTGTAAATTGATTTTAAAATGAGTCAAATCATACTTTATTTACACTAGGGAGATGCATTTCAAAGAACCCTCTGGTTGTGTCTCCTTTGGTAAAATTAATAATTATCTTGAATTTTTGCAGGGATTAAATATGAGCCTCTACATACTTAAATTGGTGGTAGTGGTCTATATAAAATATATTTAATATACAGAAAATGTACAATATCTGTTCAAATAAATGAAGCAAAGTTTCTCAGCCTGTTGCCGTGTGGTTGGACTTTTTAATACCCACCCATTGTAATTTAAGACATTCTCCCACCAAACGTGTCAAATTAACATCTACATTAATCTTCTTCATACTTGACACAAACCCAGTCCCAACCCTTCCATTACTGACATGAGATCAATTCACTTTCACAATATGATCTTCTAAGAGACAATAAATTACACACTTTCTATTTAGTATCTAGTCGGCATCTAATTGCATTTTGATTTGTTTCTTGATGTGCGGCTGGAGTGCTGAGAATTGGACATAGAAAGTCGGATGAGTCATATGGCCTAATTATAACTTGTAATTGTTAAACATAACAGTATTACTATGATAAGTGCTGCAAATCAATACTAAAAATGTTCAGGCAGGAAAGATTTATGGCAACACGGGTTTAGAATAATGGTCATTTATGAAGCACCTACTACGCTCCAGGAACTGCACTTGTTACTTTATTTTTACCTCTCCCCTAGCCCTAGCAGATATTATTATTTCTCATTTTGCAAATGAGAAAATGGAAGCCTAGCTATAAGCAGTCATTCACACTAAGTGACCCAGCTAGGACCTAGTAGAGCTGAAATGTAAATCCTCAACTAATATCCTGTCAGGTCCTCTCACTTGGAGACCTGGGTTCCAGCGCGGTGTGGGCTTCTAACTTACCTTTGTACCTGGGTTCCTCATCTGTCACAGAGGAGTTTGTTCATTTTTATCTCTGAGACCCATTCTGCTTCCTGACGTTTTCAATGAAGTTTCAAGAAGGCCTTGAGCTACTTTTAAACAGCCTGGCATTCCACCACACCTCCCCATAGTCAATGAATTCCAACTTGAAATCCAAGAATAGCTAAACCTCTACTTCAGTCCCAAGAGCCATTTCACTTACTGAAATACTTACCACACTACCATCCAATTACTATGTAAAACACCTTGGGATACCATTAATACAAAAGGTTATATATTCTAAAACCCAAATGTCATTTTGTATTAGACATTTTCTTAAGGGCTACTTATCTCAGGATGAATTCCAAGAATGAGTGCTTAATAATTATTTTGCATTTAAACAACCTACTTATGAATTCCAGGGATACATTGTGCCACAGTACGGCTTCTGCAGGATACAGCAATTATTATAAATGCTGGTGGATTAACTACTACAGTATTGCAGCCTGACAAAATGACACATCTGTATTAGATCACTGGTAGGTCATCAGGCAAAATCCTTCCTTCTTCTCCACCCCCAGTCCTCATTCCAGAAAATAGGGCTGTAAGGAATATTTCTCAACCCAGTAAGAAATAATATCAACCCTCAGCAGCTTATACAATATATGTAGAACTCCATATACTGGACCTGGTCATAGATATTTTTATTATTCGGTGAATTGCAGTACAAACACATCCCTCTTAAAAGATGCTGGGAAGAAGATTTTTAAAAGCCAAGGTATTTTTACATAGACTCCTGATGAATTTGACTTAAAAGCCAACTCAGCCACAGAAATCTGGGGCTTAGGTCTGTTTGGATTTATAAAATTTTTATTAAAAGAATAGGATATAATTTTGGAGAAAACAGGGCTTGGATCAAAACATGTGGATTCGTTCTTGTGTGCATATATGTGTGAGTGTGTGGGGTGGAGGGGGAGGGCTGGGGTAGGGAAAAAATTTCAGTTAACCTCTTATGAACTCAAACAGCCAAGCTCCATGCAGCTTTAATAAGTAATCACTTGGTGATGAACATTTAACAGTCTCATTAAATCATAATTTAAAAGATTGCCTTTTTTTTTGCCCCAAACAAATAAAACTCTGTTAAATTCTAATAAGGATCTTTGGAACAGCTGTTTTGTGCTACAGAATGTGTAATGACCTTATAATTGTATTAGATGTGGCATGCAAATGTTTATGTTTCTGCTCTAGTATGAAATGCGCTAAATAACAGAAGCCAAAGAAAAGGGATTCGTTATGAATTCCAACGGCACAAGGGCTGCATTTCCAGAGATGGTTGGGCGGTCGGGGGTCCTCAGTCAATTTCTGACGTTGATGCTGGGCTGGGCTGGATCAGACTGAGGCAGGCTAGCTGGTTGCCATACAGTTGGATTCCCTTCTCTGCCTGCCACCGCATCCTTCACTTCACCTCAAACACCTACCACGACTCTTAGATCTTAGAAAAACCTACTCTCTGATCAGACTCTCAGGTTGCAAGGGCTCAGAATTTTCAGGGCCAGCTCCTGTTTTCTTTGGATTTTTTTTACATTAGAAAAATAAATCTGATTGTATATGTTTGAGGTTCACAACATGATGTTATATTGTGAATTTCCCCTAGCGTGGGCGTTGCACGACTGCTGTTGGTGCCGTAGGTCTGCTGTCCAGCACCACCCTCCAGGCCTGGCAGGCTAACCCGTGTGAACTTGAACTCTATCTACTGGCTTCTTGGCCTTCTGCTCTCCTTGGGTGTGGCCAGTGGGGAGCCCAGCAGGAGGGGGCAGAGTGAAGTTCAGTAAATAGTTCCCTGGCTCATTCCCTGTGGGGTTACCATGGATTGTGTCTCTTTATGTATATCTCCTTTTGTACTGTTTATTTTAGAATTGAGGGTACATGTGCAAGTTTATTACAAAGGTATATCACCTGATGTTGAAGTCTGGGGTATGACTGAACCCGGCACCTAGGTGGTAATCATAGTACCCAATAGGTAGTTTTCAGCCCTTGCTCCCTTTTCTCTCTCCTGGCTCTAGTAATCCCCAGTGTCTATTGTTTCCATCTTTATGTGCATGTGGACCCAATGTTTAGTTCCCACTTATAAGTGCGAACATTCAGTATTTGGTTTTCTGTTTCTGCATTTGTTTGCTTGGGATGATGGCCTCCAGCTGCATATACATTGCTTGATGAATATAAAGCATTCATATAAAGACATGATTTCACTCTTTTTAATAGCTGCATGGTATTCTATGGTATATGTGTACCATATTTTCTTTATCCAGTCCACTGCTGATAGGCTCCTGGGTTGACTCCATGTTTTTGCTATTGTGAATAGTGCCATGATAAACATACAGGTGCACATGTCCTTTTGGTGGAATGATTTATTTTCCTTTGGGGCTATCCATATGCAGAAGAATGAAACTGGATCTCTACCTATCACCGTATAGAAAAATTAATTCAAGATGGATAAAAGACATAAGTGTCTGTCTCTCTACCGGGGCCTCAGCTCCTATCAGGAGGCCTGGCTCCAAAGGCTCTTTGCCTGGAGGTTCTGGTAACTTGCTGCCTCCTTTAGCTCCTTCAAGCCTCAGAGTGGAAACAGATCCTACCTGGTAATAGCCCTGGGATGCTCCTTAAAGAGATGGCCTGGCAAACTAGTTCTCCAGAAGCAAAAATGAAAATCAAAAAACAAAAACAAAAGCCAGATGTGTAGTGTTTGCTGATTTCCAGGATGTAAGTGTTCCCACCATGGCTGATTTCAGACTATCAGCATGGCGTCACTCAAGGCAGAGATGGGAAGGATCTCCCACAATCGACTGTCACAGCCTTGGTGAGCTGGCTGCAGCACCCAGCCACTTCCCCACAGCCTGCTCACACCTTTCTAGTGTCTTTATTAGGCTCTGCACATATTACCCATTTTGACCTCACCGTCTGTTACCCGAGTGACACAATCTTCTTCTGAAATGGTGGGCCTTGTGTGCTCATACATATGTAGTGATGCAGAAGCATCTCTGAAGCAGCACGATTTCTCTTGGGCCAGTTCCTACTGTTACAAGTTCTTCCACCAGCTACAGGGGGATTTGCTCCCCTGGGTCCCCTACTCGGAGTATCATGATGCTCCCAGTCTGTTTCCAAAGTGCAGGTACTGGAGCTCTCCTCTCTCCGATTAGGGGTCTACATACAAGTGAACGAGGGTGCTGTGGCTGGGTTCATACTGCTATTGAACCAGGGGCTGACAAATCCCATCCCATGACACGGAGGCAGCTGCCCTGAGAAACCTTGCTTGCCTGGGTCTGAGATGGCTCCTCTCAGGCAGCCACTGCTCGTTTTTGTGAGGGTCTCTCCAGCAACCTTGAATCCACCCTTTAGTTTCAGCATTTGCTGGGCCTCGTGCTGCTGATGGACTCCATGTCAGGGCAGGTGCTCCTGTCTGAGGCTTCCTACTCTGAGCTGTCCTTTCTTTTCCCTTCCGGATCAGCTCCCTCTTTTTTTCTAGCCCTTTCAGGTCAAATAAGGGCTTCCAGCTAATTTGCTCCCACAAGAGATCTCAGTGGTTCATCGGGCAGAGTGTAGTGCCCTGGGATATCTCAGACAATGGAAATTAAAAAAAAAAAAGAGCTTATTTACTTCCCTTGGGGCTAATTCAACTGTTACTACCATTGCTAGTGCTGCTGTTGGTCATAATACTCTGTAACATTTATTAAGCACTTACTACGAGTCAGGTGCTGTCTAAGCACATTAACTTATTTAAAAACTTGTATCAGTCAGAGTTCCTGCCAGAAACAGATGGCACACTCATATAATTGAAGAGGGTTTAATGAAGGAGTTATTTATCCCTGTAAATGTATAGTCAGGATTAAGAGAACCAAGTAGGAATAGTGTAGCATCATAGACTACCAACAATGGGAAACATTACTACTCATCATGACAGGGAAGGAGCAAGGGGAGATAACAGTGTTCACAGAATTTAGAGGTGCAAGCTGTGAAGAGAAGCAGGTTCCCTACAGGAGCTGTGGTGACAGAAGTCAGCATCCACCTCCAAAATTAAGAGCTCAGTGAGTACGGAGTGGATGGACATATTGGGAGGTGATCAAGATCCTGACCCATTTCTTTCCACCTGATGTTGGCTAAGCCCCATGGAAGTGAGAGGGCCCAAGAGCCAGGTGATACAATCCATAAACCTTAGCCTCTTGGATATTGAGCACAGCAGAGAGGGCTGAAAATGAACCTCAGTGGGAATTGATATATACAGAACAAGCACTATCAACCCCAATAAATAAGTATGACCATCCATCAACCTTAATATGCAAAGCAGCTGGATTTGAACCTAGGGAATTCAGTGGCAGAGCTTTTATACTGCATTCCAAGGCTCATGATGGAGTTTGCAGAAAAGGAAAGTGCTTCCATTTGCTCCAAATTAGTGTTCTCTTCCCCATTCCATTTCCAATGCCCAGAGATGTCATAGCCATGAAAATATGAATGCAAATTGACTTTTCAGAAGGTCACCCAAGAGGTCCATCCTGGGCTGGATAACTGCTGTGTATGTTGTGATAAAATCAGTCTGTCACCACTCATTTGGTACAAATGGTAGTTTCCATTTGTTCATCTTAGTTCTGTTCCTTGGGGCTACAGAAACCAAGCCTGTTTCTCTTCTACCCGAATCCCTTTGCATGCGGACGTGCAGCCACTCTGCTTCCTTGCAAGCTCCTCTGCCTCATTGAGCCTTACTTCCCTCAGTTGTCTCTCTGCTGATGTTTTGGTTGCCTTCACTGAACAGAGCCCTTTCCCTGGCACATGGTTTGATATGCACCTCTCTTAAAGAAGACAATCCTCTTGTAGAAGTCCTCCTTTATTTGCATACAGGGAGGCAGAAGGAAGAATAGTTTTAGAGAAATTTTGGACCCATATTTTCAAAGGAAAAGGCTCTATATTTAAAATCCTTCCATGTTGCTGAGAGCAAATATAAACTCTTCCTCAAATAGATTTCATTTCTCTATTAAGGTAGCAGAAAGCTACACATACATTGACTGAATTATTTTAACATCAAAACACCTTCCTAAAATGAAAAGGAAGCTCTCAACTATTATTTATTTATTGAGACAGAGTCTCTCTCTGTCTTCCAGACTGGAGAGCAGTGGAGCCACAATGGCTCACTGCAGCCTCGACCTCCCAGACTCAAGCGATCCTCCCGCTTCAGCCTCTTAAGTAGCTAGGAACACAGGCATTCTCCACCACGCCTGGCTAATTTTTAAAATTTTTGTAGAGATGGGGTCTTCCTATGTTACCCAGGCTAGTTTCGAACTCTTGGGATCGAACGATCCTCCTGACTCGGCCTCCCAAAGTGCTGGGATTACAGGTGTGGGCCACCACGTCTGGCTCCTCTCAACTTTTATAAGAAAGATCACTCAAAAACTTTCTGCAAAATTTTGTACAACCACCACCACCATAGGCAACCTCTATGGTGTGATCTTTCCTGATAATGTGTCATTTCTCCTTTGATAAGCTAGTGAGAGCTGTAAAGATATCTTCTCTTTTTGACTTGACTTACAGGAAGTTCCGTGTTAATTTGTTCATGCAACGGTTGTAGTAACTTACTTTACCTCAGGCCTTCTGGTACTAGTCTTGTTGCTGCATCCTGACTTTAATTGCTCTACAAAAATTGTGTCCTTCATTCTTTGATTAAGTAAGCTAGTGATAACAGTAATTAGTTCTATGTCTAGTAAGTTGACATAGTGATTTTTATATTCTTTTCTGATCCTTACATCAACCCTATGAGGCCTACTGAACTACTGCCATTTTGATGTTTTTAGATAGCATTCAGGGAGGTGAACTAATTTGGCCCAAGTCACTCAGCTTGTAAGGAGTGGCCCCTGTAGAGAGAATAGCAGAGTGAGAAAAATGATTTTTGAGCTCTGCAGTCTGTGTGGTGCATGTATCGGTTCATGCCAAGTCCACTTGACCTTGAGCAAATCACTTACCTGAGCCTCCCCTATGTAAGCTTCACTGTTCTCATCTTTAAAGTGGGAATAATGCTTGTACCTACTTCACAGGACTCTTTGAAAAACAGAAATGAGATAATCCATGAAAGCACTCAGCATACCTGATGCTTAGTAAGAACCCAGGAAATGCTAATTATGATGATGATGATGAATAGTATTTAATCTAATTCCAGGCTGTCTTCATTTTGCCTAAGGCTAGCCTTCTTTATACCACCATGCTACCTTTCAGAGGTTATAAACAAATGGTAAGCATACTGCATTCAAAAGTTTCTTTTTTTCTGAATGTATATATATATGTTCCTCCCCAGACCTGATGTCAACTTGCAATCCAGCAGACCCTTGAGTTACACAATATAATTGGAGAAAGCTGCTGGCCAGGAGCAAGTTTTAGTCATGGACTGATGCCACAGAGGAATGGGCTGCATCAGCACCCAGGGGAGGGATGGGGCTGATGGTACTGCTGGGATAGGTGCTCTTGCCTTACACTAGCACCTCCTCCAAGAACAGCTCCCTCTGTCATTTTGGCAGCTGCTGCTCTCACAGTGCCTTCTGCAGGGCCCATTACTTTACTGGAAGACACCCCAGTTCAGAATTTACAAATAAAGAAATAGGCTACTTGGATGGGCCACTTCCCTTTCTGGGCTCTGTTTCCTGATAAGTAAAGAGGATGGGTGGTGGTGAGAATGGACACCAGGATTTCAAAGTGCCACTGTCTGACCCCAAAACCAATGTGACCTCTCTGTAGGGAAACTGGCTAACAGGCCCCCAGGACTGAAACATCTCCTCCACCTACTGGCCTGTCCCAGCTCTCTCTAGCACGTTCTATGTAAGGACATGGGGTCACCTGGGAGGCACAAGAGAATACGAAGATTCATTGATAAGATTAACACCCATTGTCAATTGCTGACTCTAGAGAGAGGGGAAATTTGAAGGATCAAGTCACATATTTGTAGAGTTTGAAGGCCGAGCGTGGGGGAGTGGAATTAAAATAATAACATATGATGTTACATTTTACAAAGCATCGCCTCATGCATTATCTTTCATTCCCCTGACAAATTCAGGACATAGGTGTTGTTGTGTGAGTTGCTTAAGACCACACAAGTAATAGTCTGAGAATTAAACCAGAATTTACAGCTCAAAAACCAAGAGATGCTCCATTACACCGCCCACATTTTTATAGCTCAGCCCAGAGTTCAGGTTTTTCTGAACTATATATGTGTTATATATTTAAAAATTTGACAGATCTACTTCCCCCATTTTCCAAGACAGTCTATAGACATGACAAAACACAAAGTTCAGGGCAGACAACCATGTTCAACAATAGATACTGCAGAGGTGGCCTGGAGGTGGGGTGATGTTGGAACCAGCTGGTTAAAGTTTCAATACTGTTGCCTTGACTTTCAAACTGGCTATCATCACATCTACTCACTCCTCACCCATGGGATCCAATCAGTCCTTCTGAGGTTTGGGCTTATATCTCATTTCACAGCTGTGTGACTGAATTTTGTGTCTCTGCAGGTTTTGCTTGTTCAGACACCTCAAGCTGTCAAGTGGCATGTCATCTCCCCGGCAATGAGTCACAGACCTGTAAAACCTGAGTGCTGTGCGGGCTTTCTGAGAGGCACCGTAGTGTCGATCAATGGTCCTCAAAGTTTAGTGTGCATCAGAATCCTCCGGAAGGCCTATTAAAGCACAGATGCTGCCCCCCTTACCTCCCGGAGTTTCTGGCTCAGGTGGTCTGGAAGGGGACTGAGCGTTTGCGTCTCTAACAAGTTCCCAGGTGAGGCCGATGCCACTGGCCCAAGAACCATTAATACCAAGGTGGAGTAAGGTGGAGCTTTAGCATTGCCAAGATTTTGGTGCAGTCTTGGTTCAGCTTCTTAGACAAATTGCCAGACCTCCTGGAGGTTCAGGCTCCTCATTTTGCAAGTGATGATAATAGCATCTACTCCACAAAATTACTGAAAATGTTAAATGAGATGGCCCATGTGTAACCCAGGGGGCAGATGTTCCCTGAATCATCAGGCTGTGACCATGCAAATGGCAGAACTCGGCACACCCAATAATAGAGGACACCCAATAATAATTCACTTGTAGAAAAGCATCCATAAGCACCTAGAGTCTGAAGAAGATTTGAAGAGGAAGTTTACATCACACCCCACAACCAACAACTGGAAGTCCCTCCTTCAACATTCTTGTTCTCCCAACCTCCTTCCTTGGCCTGTTAGCCATGACCTTTTATCCCTGACCCAGACTGATGGAGGTCCCCAGTGACACTGGATGTCTTCTCTCCATTGTTCACAACTTTAATTTCTTTCACATTGAAGGAGACAGAGTAATTTACCTCTCTGCTAGCCTTTCCCCTCCCACTCTTGTCATGGCATTTGTACAACAAGTCGCCTCCAGTTAGGAGCACGCACCTTCCTGCAGGAAGCTCTTGGCCATCTTTTGTGACTTGAGTTTGCCTTTTTCTTAGTAGAGCATCTACCCCGTCCTCATCTCCCCTACATTGGTCTCCACCCAATTAAAAGAATAAAGTATCTTCCCTGTCCCTGCAAGTTATTATAGAGCTGTTTTCTCAAGGAAGAAATAGTTTAGGGGAGAGGCAAAACAAACAATACCTGGTGGCACTTGGGCCTTCTTAGACACAGTCCCAACCTCCCGAATCTCCTCCTAAGGGGTCTGAAAGGACTTGCTTCTGACATGCCATTAGAAGATTCTTCCCTGGATCTGATGGCTCATAGGGCAGGGGTTGTCCTCACCCTCTGTCTGCTGGCTGATGCTTCCAGCCCCTCCAAGCATTTATCTGTCAGCAGGATCTCTCAGAGTGCACTGGAACAGTGTGGCATTACAGCTCCCTAGGCTGATTAAACCCACAGCCTGAGGCTGCCCTCTTCCTCCGCCATGGAGCCAGGGCCCACCCTTCGGCCTCTCACTCTCACAGCCAGATGATACTGGCACTTCTCTCTGGTGTCTCAGCCACCATCAAGAAAATGAGTCTCCTGTCTCTCAAGCCATTCCCCTCCCTTTGAAAATCTCGCTCTGCATCCTCTCATGTATTTCCGATTGGAAGCTCTGGTTCCAATACACCTGCTCTTGTCCTCCATGGGCTTTAATTATCACCGCCCTCCCATTTCTCTCTAATTTAAAACTAGCTTCATGAAAAGCAAGACCTAGGGAATCCCAATCCCTGCCTCGCTGGGAAGCGAGCTATGTCTTCCAATCATGATTGCCCCAAATGGCTCTCACTCTGACTTACTCCAGCAAGCCTCATTTTTCAAACCGTACCCCAAATCTCCACATCTCTTAGTTTGTTGCCACTGTCTCATAAATCCAAAAATGAAAGCAACAGTGTTTTTATTTTTCCCTCTTGGGGCACATTGGCCACTAAGGTCTAGAGGGTCTCCACATATCAAGTACCCCTATGAGCACTCAGCCATAGCAATTGAGGAGCTGTTGACTTTGGGGCCATGTTTGTTGCCTGAGGTTGGATCCAGTGAGCTTTGTATTAATCTTCTTTGATTATACACCCACGTGTCCCTTGGCCTCTCCCAAAGAGGCGAATTTATTTAATTATCTTACTCTTGTGGTTGGAGGAGCTTAGGATCTGATTTCAGAAAAATGTATGAGTTCACATGTGATAAGCTGCTAACCAGTTTGTTTTTGTTTTTGTTTTGACACAGGACCTCCCTCTGTCGCCCAGGCTGGAGGGCAGTGGCGTGATCTCGGCTCACTGCAACCTCCGCCTCCCGGGTTCAAGTGATTCTCATGCCTCAGCCTCCTGAGCGGCTGGGATTACAGGTGCCTGCTACGACACCCGGCTAATTTTTAAGTTTTTAGTAGAGATGGGGTTTCACCATGTTGGTCAGGCTGGTCTTGAACTCCTGACCTCAAGTGATCAGCCCATCTCGGCTTCCCAAAATCCTCATATTACAGGCATAAGCCACCGTGCCTGGCCGCTGCTAACCAGTTTGTTTGGAAAGACTGTTTCACCACTCAGCCTATGTCCTTGTCAAAAAGGGATCATAAAATAGGGCTCGTGCTAACATCTACTTTAGAAAAAGATTGAGAGAATTAAGGTGTATGTGAAGCCTTTTGCAAATATTTGGTACTTTTAACAGGTGCTTCTTTTATTTCTAGGTGCACTCACCTATTCTTTCTTCCGAGGTTTCTTCTCCAGCCAATACATAACTGAGCATTTGGGCATATGAATAAAGTAGGATATTCTTTTGTCAATTTTACTCCAGGTGACTAGGCTGCCCTGCTCCCATGGAGCGAAACACGTCCAAGTTGTTGTCACGTTAATCACAAGCCAACTGGGAGCAGGCTATTTACACTGTGTCACTTCCTCCAAGATTCGATTACTGTAATTGCCTATTGACTGTGTGGTCTGCCAGCTTCCACACCAGCTCCAGCTGTCAGGGTTGGGAGCAGGGGGCAGTTTGTATCATGGCGAAAGAGGACGCTTCCACATCTACACCAAACCAGCTTCTGAGCCTGCCTGTCCATCATTCCCAAGCCCTTGTTTAATGTGCTGGTCCTCAAATTGCTCCTTTTCCCTTTGTTGGTCTGGTATAATGCATCCCTGGCCACGGATATCTCTCTGCATTTTGCCTTGGATTCTGTGATCAAATCCTGCCTAATAGAATTATCCAAGGTTATACAGAATCTTGTTTAAAGATATGTCTTTTCATTTGGAATTGTCTGATGCCCTCACTGTATTTTTTTTTTAATTTAAGCTTTCTGCTTATCTCATGCTGCTTAAATTGATTTTTATGAATCATTTGGCTTCTCTACTGATTTTTCCATTTTATTTCATTAGTGTTTTTTTTTGTGGGGAGGGTGCTAGTGACCGTTCATTGTTTGCTTTTTCAGTCAACCAAGTTATGGGCTATCAGACTTTCACCCTCAGCTGGGGAGCCAGGTGCAAACTTTCATTTTCTTCAATATATAAATTGGTTCGGAAGAGGATTCATGAATGAATTTAATTCCTGCCATTTCAGGCATGAGTGCACTATTCAGCCTCCCTGCTGATGCCTCAGCCTAACTTTACACAAGTTGTCCCATGTTCAGTTGTCATCCAGAACGGAATTTGGCTTAAATCACTGCCATCTACTGCGATTGCCGCAGACAAATCTTTCCAGTCATCTAGCTCTCAAATGAAAAGTAATTCCTCACTGCCCATTTGATGGAGGGTAATGAGGTGCTGTTTCTACGAGATTACTTACCCAATGAGACAGGAGGGCTTGTTTGGAAAGACGTAGACAGGACCCCAGATGGCTCTGGCTGAACACTTCTGGAGAATTGAGCTAGCATTTTGGCAGAGAGAAGTCAATGCTTTTTCTCCTCCCTTTAAGCCCCAATAAATTAATGCAGCTGTTTGTCTTTATAAAATCCTCTTCAGCATTTTCATTGTCCCCAGTGCCTAGAGCAGTGATTCTCTAACTTGAACACCCATCAGAATCACTAGCACATCTCACCAAAACACGGATCCCTGGGTCCCACCCCCTGAGTTATTAATTCAATAGGTCTGCCTTGGGACCCGATGGTTTGCATTTCTAACAATTTCCCACGTGCTGCTGCTGCTGGTCTAGATACCGCACTTTAAGAACCATTGGCCTGGAGTATGTAAAGCCAGCAAGCCATTGTTGCAGCCCTCAATCATTTGGCTGCTTTCTCCTGTTCCAGTCTTGTCTTCCATTGCTACCACACACTGACCATTCACTGGATCTTTCATTCATTCACTCACTTAGCATATATGTATCTGTGGATAATAAATCCCTTATAGTTCTTGAAAGCAGCAAAGTACCACCCATTTCTTGCCTTTGCTGGTTGTTGTCAACTATCCTTCATCCCCACCTCACCTGTCTGGCTCATCCCAACTCATCCAAGTTTTATGTCAAACACTAACTTCTCTGTGAATCCGTTCCTTTCCCAGTGAGTCAGCACTTTCATTTTGCCACTACTGGACTTTGCATGATTCCCCATCATAGCACTTGTTACTTTGTATTTTGGCTGTTTCTTTATACATTTTTGCCCTTGCTACACTGACTTTCTGAGGGCAGAGTTTGTAATTTAATTATCTTAACTCCAGACCTCATACAATGCCTACCTCATGTTTGCTGCTCTGCATATGTTTGTGGGTGTATTAGTCGGTTTTCATGCTGCTGATAAACACATACCCAAGACTGGGAAGAAAAAGAGGTTTAATGGACTTACAGTTCCACATGGCTGGGGAGGCCTCACAACCATGGCGGAAGGCAAGGAGGAGCAAGTCATGTCTTACATGGATGGCAGCAAGCAAAGAGAGAGAGCTTGTGCAGGGGGATCTCCCCTTTTTAAAACCATCTGATCTTGTAAGACTTATTCACTATCATGAGAAGAGCATGGGAAAGACCTGCCCCCATGATTTAATTACCTCCCACCAGGTCCCTCCCACAACTCACGGGAATTCCAGATGAGATTTTGGTGGGGACCCAGCCAAACCATATCAGTGGGATTGATTATTTCATGGCAGGGACATCCACTTGATTTAATTAACTAGGAACTTGGGATTGAATGTGATTCCGTTTGATAGACGGGCACACTGTTTGTTTTGTCAGTTGGAGTCCCGTGTAAGTGAAGCTCAAAGAAGAGTGCTTGTCCCCTCATAGGTCTGGTTGCTTCACCTTATTCCATGATCTCAATCTACATCTCTAATAATCAGTAAGGAGCTGAGCCAGAAAGCAGAGATGTTTGAGATTGTTGTATGTTTGAATAGTATTCTATAACATTAAAACATGTTCACATCCATTATCTTAGTAAATCCTGAAAAATGGTCCTATGATGTACTATGATGCTCAGGTAGACACAACTCATCATTTGGTTTGGAAAAATTACCTATGCAAAGAGCCTTCAATACAGTGATCAGGAGGTGAATAGCAGTCCAGGTCAGGGATGGAGAGCACAGGAGGAGAGTGGGCACTGCTTTGGGCAAAGAAAGTGTCCAGGAATGGATTTAGGAGGCATGAGTTCCTTGGTCATGATCCACTTATGGATCTCTCAGTCTCAGTTTCTTCATCTGTAAAATGACCTAGCTGACTTCTCAGGTCTCTTCCAGCCTTAAAAATCCTGTGATAAGATCTTTAGACTAAAAAAGAGGTTCATTTACAAATTCCCAAATGAACCCTTCAAAGGCAATGCTGGCTTCAGATTGACATTCTCCAGAACTGTCACAGCTTATTCTCCAGTGTGCATCAGGCCACGCCTCTGAGGGAAGGGGCTAAGAGAATACAGGTTAGTTCCTAGGTGGAATGCTCACTGAGGATGTTTTTAAAAATAGACTTTGGAATGGAACTGAGCTCAGATTCATCCCAGACTTTGTTCTGCGCACTGCCGGTATTGGTCTTGGTTTTCCAAAGGCCAAGAATTTTATAGCGTATTTTCCTCTTTGGGGACCTCCATACATGAACACAAAGCTCAAATGCTCACTGGAAGTTTCTCCTAACTCATGGCTTCAGTGAATAACTCAGTGCTTATGACTGTCCAAGCAAGATTTCCAGCCCTGATCCCTGCTGGAGCTGCTCAGCATTCATGCTGTGTGCTCTACCTGTTACTGCAGAAGCAACATCTCCAAGGTAAACCTATCTCACCTGCCTAATAAGCTCTACTTTCTAGGGTTCTCCAAATCTTTTAATAGAATCCTGTTACCTATGTTTAAAATGATGGATTCCTCTTTGACTCCCACTTCTCCTCACTCTATATTCTAAAGGTCCCATCCATTTGTTTCTGGGTTATTTCTGCTCCCCTTTCCTGCCTTTATCTCACTCCACTGTCCTAGTACAGGTCTCTACATCTTGCCTGGAGTTGTGTAGCTGGCTTCCTTTAACATCTATTTCTCTGGCTACAACCTGTCTGTCCTTTGGAAGTCGACTCTGAGGATCCATGAACAGGTAATATATTACAGAAGGGCTTCTGAGAGAAACTGGTAAGGAAGTGCAAGAAGCAAGACAGGTAATGCAAAGAAACTACGCAGGATGGATTTCACGCAAAGTCTCAACCTCAGCCTGGTCCTGTGGGGTAGCTCTGGAGTGTAAATTACACTTCAGAGTTTGTGCCAACTGAAGGGAAGAAAGCCGGGCCTTCATATCTCCACACTGTCAGTCATTGGCTAAGGGCCACCCCAAGGGATGTTAAGTCCCAACATTTTCAGCACTCTGCTTGTTTTGTCAAAGTACCTCCTGCAACCCAAGACAGGCATCCGAATAAAGTCAAAGGTGTGAGCTGTTAGAAGCAAAAATACAAATCTTGGGGTGGGCCTGTGGTGGGGTTGGGGGAGGGGTCAGAGAGAGCAAAAGCAGTCTGAGGGAACCTGGGCACTTGGCAGAGCATTGACAGTGTCCCCTATACTGACCTTCACGATATGGCCAGCTTAACATTGCCATATTACTGCTCAGTCATTGCTTTACTTATCAACCATTAATGCCTCCCTAAACTTTCTAAGCTTCTTAACTACATCAAACTTTCAATAATTTAGCACCAACAACTTATCCGTGCTTGCCTTTTTTTCTTCACAAATCTTACATTTCTGACAGATTGGTTTAGTATTTTACATACAGATGAGAGCTTTGCAGCCTCTATGCCTTAGCCCACTCAGTTCCCTCTGCCTGGAATGGTCTTTAATCCACATCTGCAAATCTTACTCATCCTTCAAAGACCAGGAAAACTTTTCTGATTATCTCCCAAGAGATGAGGTCTTTCCCTTTTTGGCTCTTCCCTAGCACTCTGTCTGTTCCTCGACACATGTATTATGCATGCAAGTGGTTGTCTCATCTCTCCTCTGGACCAGTGGCCAGACTCACCATCTCATTTCTCTTTGCAGCCTTCCAGCACCAATCTCAGTGCTCAGGCCTTGGAAAACAAAGGATGTTATAAATGCTTGTTGAATAAATGGTTGAAACTCCTCATGTGCATATGTCAGACAAGAGGGTGAACTGGGAAGTGACAGCCCCCTACCTCCAACTGAGTTCTTGAAATCCAGTTTTTTAGATGAGATGTTTAAGTCTTTGGAAAAAAATGGATCCCTTCTGCACCTTTTTCATGCCTACTGTGTCAACCCCTGCTGTGGAGGGGATGCAATGGTGAAGTTGGTGTTAAAAAAGAATTCCAATTCACCATGCCCTAAAACAACTCTTTCTTTCAAGGAAATTATAGTAAATAGCTTAAGAAACCACTTAATATGTGTAGCATATGTAACACTCAGGAGTTTTTTGGTTTCTTTTTTGAGATGGAGTCTCGCTCTGTCACCCAGGCTGCAGTGCAGTGGCGTGATCTTGGCTCACTGCAACCTCCACCTCCTGGGTTCAAGTAATTCTCCTGCCTCAGCCTCCTGAGTAACTGGGATTAAAAGCACTCACCACCATGTCTGGCTAATTTTTTTTGTATTTTTAGTAGAGACACTGTCTCACCATTTTGCCCAGGCTGGTCTTGAACCCCTGACCTCAAGTGATCCACCTGCCTCGGCCTCCCAAAGTGCTGGGATTATAGGCGTGAGTCACTGTGCCCAGCCTCAAGAGTATTTTTATGACCATAAATGTGAAGTGGTTTCCTATTGGGAAAACTGCTGGGACGGCATTTAAAGACCTGGGGTCTAGTACTGTCCCCACCATTTTGTACTGTGAGGCATTGATCAACTCAATTAACCTTTTTGGGTTCCTTTTTCTCATAAGTTAGTGGTGTGGTTGGGTGAGATGGTATCAAAGAGCCTCATTAGCACTGTGTTTTATGATTTCACCAGGAGACTTTACATGCTAGCCACTGCACTAAGTACTGCAGGTATGAAGACCAATGTCATAGTTCCCTTGACCACAAAACTCTTGGAAATGTGGCTGTCCAGGATGCCCTTGAATATCATCAAGGTACCCTAGAAGAAAGCTTGTTCTGGTGTTTAAATTTTCCTTCCTGCATCTTTTTCCCTTTCGTTCCAATCAAACCTTTTATTGAAAAGCATTGAAGATAAGCCTTCTTCTTCCATTGGGCAAGTCTTTAATCACAGGAGACTCTCAGGAACTTTGAGACTTCAAATTTGTCCACAGAGTTTATCCCATAAAACACATACATAGAGATAAGTAGAGGAGAAAAAAACCCATGTCAAGTACGGATCCCAGCAGTCAGCTAGGTTCACTCAGTAGTCATTTGATGGGATTACACACAATTACTCACTATCACATGCAATTCAAATTAATGGCAGAGTCTAATGAAAATTCCCTACACCATGGACCATTGGGTTCCCTCTTACATACTTGAAACTGACCTATCAAATCATGAATACTACCGGTCTTCTCTCCTATAGACTAAACAAACATAATCATAGCCCCATTGACCCTCTTGATTCTTCCGCCTCTCACTCTTCTGATTGACTCTGTTACGATTGTCTGAGATGTCAGTGTATGGTTTTGTTCACTTATTAAATACTTATCTTTACCAAGTACTGCATAAGTCTTTACACGTACTAAAATATTGACAAATGTCCAAGGACTGGAGGAGATTACAGCCTAGTACTCTTCAGGTGCTCTAACCAGTTCAGAATTATTTCTCATGGTTTGCCCCTTCTTCCTGCATGTGTAGTCTAAGACCATGTTTGTATTTTGCTTCACCTTGCATATAAAACTCTTCGGCCTGTAATAAAAAAGGCTAAAAGTGTCTTCATTTTTGTTGTTGGCTTGACTGTGTTTTCTTTCTGGACCAATTACCAGTGCATTATATGATATCACTGGATTCCCAAGCATGAGGCAGCAGGTGCCATGCATTTGTGCAGAATGATTTTGTTTTGACTTAAAAGCCTCTTGTCAGAATCTGGCATTTTGGAGGGGGAAGGAACATTGCTTAAAAGATACCCTTTTGGAAAGTTAAGAGCTTTGGTTTTGGACAGAAAATCTCCCCTCCTAGAGAGTTTCTTCTCTTCCCCATACCCCTTGCTATAAAGCATGGAAGCTGTAGACCAGTTTGGAAGGAAGGTATTTTATGGTGAACTAGCTCTGGACGTGCAATCCACCTGAGATGGCTGGAGAGCAAGTTTACTCAGAGGCCTTACTGTTGGTGAGGTTGACAAGGCTCAAGATTTGTGATTCGACTGGAAATGCTACAGGGCAATGCTATGCACGTGCTGCAAAGCTCCATTTGGAGGTGAAGAATCTCTCCCTGGTTTACCATAAAGCAAACCCCTGGCTTTTTTAGGGCACCAACAGGAGAAGTCTTCCCCTCCTTTGTTGTACCATTTCCTCTCCTTGCATGCTTCTAGGTGTTTTTTGTTTTCACTCAAGGTCCTTAATCAACATGACATTTTCCATTAAAGGAAAGTAGAGGGGGTAGTAAACTTTGAAGAAAACTCAGATTATTTTGTTTGGGCATTTATTTTCAGGGGGGAGAAAGTTTTCTCTTAGATAATTTCTTTATCTTTTACCTGGAGATACAGTGAAGAGATTGTAAAACAATGCTAAGAATAATTTTATGAGGGAATATAAGATTGCTTCTAAGCAATACCTGGCCCATATCTTCAGGTAAAGGATGACAAGGATTTTAGATAAGTTCATGTGAAAATGTGCATTCTCTAAGCAGCTGACAATGAATGGGTATCACTGATTAACATGTGTCTATTCCCTGTATGTTCCTCGGGGTCAAATCTAAGAGAAGCACCATACTGGGGAATGGTTACGAGGGGCCATGTTAAGGTGGGAGGGGCTTTTGCAAGAATGTCCAGAGTTGCTCAGCTAGAGAAAGATTCCTACGGTACTTATGAGGGGGAAACATAAGTTCTGTTGAGTAAAAGAAAAGTCATAACTAAGGGAAGAAGTAACATGGACAGAAACTGGGGCATTTAGTAGTTGGTTGGAAAAGCAAGGAACAAAGTCATTGCAGGTGCATACTCCAGAAGCAATGCCACAAAGAATGAGAGGTACCCAAATCCCATTTTTAAGGGTTGCCTTACTGTTTCCTACCTCGCCAAGTTTACACCATCTGTCTCTTCCCTCACATGGTTCTTCTAAAATGGTCTTGCCATGTCACTGTTCTCCTTGTCTATATTTTGCTGAACCTTCAAGGCCTAGTTGAAGTTCTACCTTCTCTGTGAGGCTTTCTTCTTATTCCCATTGCTCTCAGGTCTAGTCACTCTGTTAACTCTTTGAGAACCACATGACTTAAATGGCAGGGCAGATGCAATCCTTTTTCCTAATCATCTGCATCATTCTGTCTAGGAGTTTACCTCAGCATATGCTGCCGAAAAAGAACATGTTTTGTGCACTAATTATCTCAGATAGATGCTACTTGTCTCTTTCAATTAAATACCTTTCAGGGAAGCAGCAGTGTAGGATAACTTCTTTTATCCCCAAATGTGTGGCAGAGTGCTAAGTAATCATAGTAGCCAACATGTATTGTACACTGACCATGTGCTTGCCATTGTTCTAAGTACTTTGCAAGTATTAACTTATTTAGTTATCACAACAACCCTATGAGGTAGCTACTAGTATTATCCTCATTTTACAGGTAAAGAAACTGAGACTTAGAGGAGTTTTGTAAATTGCCCAAGACCACACAGCTAGGAAGTGGGAGAGGTAAGGTTCAAATGCAGGCTGTCCACACCATTGGTCGTTTATTGTAATGGTTGCTGCTAGGTAATCTGTAAATGTTTAATACTTGTTAGTGGATCAATTTTGGCTAAAGAGGGAAAAAATTAACTCTAAAGCATCCTTTGTACAGAAAGGGGGCTCGTGCTTCATAGTGAGTATTCCTAATTTCCTGTTACTTGAATTCGATTTGAAAATTGAATAGAAAAAAAATCAGTCTTTTCAGGCTGCCCTTGGGCTTTTATTAAAAACTACAGGAAACACAGAGTCTGATCAGGGCTTTCAACCGGGTTCCTCCTCATCTAAAGGTGAAGTGGAAACTGGGCAAGTATCCAAACGCTTTACCAAACCAGCTCATGCTACTGGAAGCTCCCTAGAAACCATTTAGGGGCTCACAAAGCCCATAGTACACAGGGAAACCTGGGCTGCTCATGAAAAGAGGAAACAGGAAACAAGCATCAAAGAACAAGCTCTTTGGATGATACGTTCACGTTACATATATGAATCATCTCTCAACAGAAAGGACAAAGGCTGCTCTTTGCTTCCAGGCTTGTTACGTCCACGCTGCATCCAAAGTGGTAATGTGGTGTTTGCTAAGGCTGCCCTTTGAAAAGCTCTCCTGGTCTTCCAGAAATGCAAGCCAGCAGCAGAGTTGACAGGGAGTGGTATGAGCAGTCCCTTGTGGAGCATGAGGATTATCTCTCCTCCCCCTATCATCTATTTGGATGTTTATAAATGAGTAACGAGGTCAATTTGGGACAGGCAGGTTTTGTGCCACAATTTGGACAGATGTTCAGAGGCTCTGGAAAGCACAGCTGCCTGGTCCAAGTGGTGGTTCTTGCCAAAAGTACTAAGTGTTCAAAGGCGATGGGTCACCAGGGACGCTTGGAGGAGTCCACTGATTATCAGGGAGTCTGCTGGTATTGATGCTTTCCAACCAGATGTATACTTGCAGAATCTTTAGCTTTCACAAAGTACAAACACATAAAATCAAAAGACATTTTTAGAATTCATAAATATTCTGTCAACGTAGTCGTCAATCTTTGTCTCCTTATATCCAAAAAGATTACATTTGTATTCTCTTCAATTGGTTGAAATTCAGCTTTGAACCAGTCACTACTAAGGTGTCTGAGTGCCATTCTAATTGATGATATGATTTGGTCATTTTGATAACAGGCACAGAACTATGAAATGGAATAGGAAGATGTTTTTTACGGTACATGTAGTTTACATGATATTGGATGTGAAATGGCTATAAAATGCCAGAGCTGCTGTGGAGATATCTAATGAAGCCAAACAGGATATGCCATGGGATTAGATGTTTCTGCCCAAAGGGCATTGTATCCATTGTTAGGTAAGATCATATATCTGTTTTTTTTTGCTATTACAAACCGTGCTGGCATGTACATTTTCTGCATGGCTCTTTGTGCACATTTGTTGTTTCCCTAGGGCTCATACTAAAAGTGGAAGACCTGGTCTGTAAAGCAGACACATTTTCAACCATTCTAGTTATGTTCAAATTGCCCTCTAAAAAGGTAGTACCAATTTGAACTATTACCAGCAGTTCTTGAGAGTCCTCACTTCTCTACATCTTTGCCAACATTTAATGTCAGGTCCTTTTATGTTTGCCCAGCTGGTTGGTATGATATATTTTTTGTGTTTTTTGTTTGTTTGTTTGTTTGTTTTCTTCTTTTGAGACAGACCTCTGTTGCCAGGCTGGAGTGCAGTGGTGCAATCTCAGCTCAGTGCAACCTCTGCCTCCCGGGTTCAAGCGATTCTCCCGCCTCAGCCTCCTGAGTAGCTGGGATCACAGGCATGCAAGACCACACCCAGCTAATTTTTTGTATTTTTAGTAGAGACAGGGTTTCACCATGTTGGTCAGGCTGGTCTCCAACCCCTGACCTCATGATCGGCCCACGTGGGCCTCCCAAAGTGCTGGGATTACAGGCGTGAGCCACCGTGCCTGGCCAGTATGATATATTTCTTAATCGTCTTGTTTTCATTGCTCTGATTTCTAGTAGGGCTAAACATTGTTACATTTTTTTGGGGCAAAGGATTACTCTTCTCTGGAAGGTCTGTTATTTCCATTGCCATTTTCCCTATTGGGTTGTTTCTCTTATTATTTCAAGAATTCTTTATAGACTCTGGATATCAGTTCTTTGTAAGTTACATGCATTGTAAACTGTCTCCCAGCCTGAAATTTGTTTTCTTCATTTTCTTTCTTGGGTCTATTTTTAAAAAGAATTGTAAAATGTTTGTGCAGTCACACTTAACAATGTTTTCCCCTTCAAAGATTATGCATTTGCGTCTTGTTTATATACTCTTTCCCTAACCCAGTTCACAATGATGTTCTTCTATGTTTTATTATAGAAGATAGTTTTGCTTTCCACATATAAGTTTTTAATCCACCTGGATTTTATTTATAAAATATGATGTGAGATAGGAATCCAATTTTGTCTTTTTCCATAGATGGCCAATTGTCCTCACATCCTATTCTTTAACAGTTAATTTGTTTTCCCGTGATTTATAATACTATTTCTGTTGTGTATCAATTTTCCATTTTTGGTACCTCTATTTCTGGTGGCTATTTTTTGTTGCTCTATTGTCTCATTTGTCTATCTGCCTGTCTTTCTGTCAGTAGATGCATCATCTTCTTTAGGACAGCTCTATAAAGCATCTTAATATCTGATAGGGCTAGCAGAACTGTCAACCAATCCTGTTCTTTTTTCCAAAATTATATTAGCTACTTTGGGCCTTTTTCTCATCTAAATCAACTTTAGGATGAGTTTGTAAAGTTCTAAGAACTTTTTTTGTATGTGTATTGACAATCTTTGCAGCTACAGGTTAATTTGGTGATAACTGACATATAACAGTTTGTTTCCCAACCAATGAACATGGTATAACTTTCTATTAATTCAAACAATCTTTTATGTGCTTCAATAAACTTTTGTATTTTTTTCCAGAGAGATCATAGACATATTTGTTGATTTTAGCAGTAATTGTCTTAGAGATTTGTTACTATTGTGAATAAAATATTTCCATTTCATTTTAAAATGTTTTATTCTTGGCATATATAAAAATATTGGGTTTTGATTAGTAAAAAATATCTAGCTACCATGTTGAACTTTCTTATCAATTATGAAAAGTTTTTGTAAATTTCGACGAACTTTCCACACAAATAATCACTATAAGTAAAAACGTTTCTCCTTCCTCTCCAATTCTTTTACTTATTTTTTTTTTATTTTTTATTTTTTTGAGATGGAGTCTCACTCTGTCGCCTAGGCTGGAGGGCAGTGGCGCAATCTCGGCTGACTGCAAGCTCCGCCTCCCGGGTTCACGCCATTCTTCTGCCTCAGCCTCCGGAGTAGCTGGGACTACAGGTGCCCGCCACCATGCCCCGCTAAGTATTTTTGGTATTTTTAGTAGAGACGGGGTTTCACCGTGTTATCCGGGGTTTCACCGTGTTATCCGGGATCTCCTGACCTCGTGATCCGCCCGCCTCCGCCTCCCAAAGTGCTGGGATTACAGGCGTGAGCCACCGCGCCCGGCCCAATTCTTATACTTAAAAAAAATCTTAATTCAATAGCTAGAAACCGAGAAGTGGTGATAGTGAGTATTCTTGCTATGCTTTTCAATTTAATGAAATTGCTTTTAAAGTGTCGCATTAAGTATAATGTATGATGTGAGTTTTGAATATATATCAGCAGATTAAGGAAGCTGTCTCCAAAATTTAGTTTGCTAAGGGTCTATTTCCTGAATAAATATTGAATTTAGTCAAATCATTTTCCTAAACCTATTAAAATCGTCACATTTTTCTACTTTAATTTGTTAATTTGCTGTGTTACATTATTAATGTTTATTCCTTAATTTCTAGGGCAAAACATATTTGGGTGCCATTTAAGAAAATACTGCTAAATCAGATATACTAATATTTTATATAAAATTTCTGCATCTATATTCATAGTTGAGGTTGATCAATAAATTCATTTTCAAATATGTCAAGATTATAACAACCTTATGATATGAGCTGTAAAACTTTTCCTCATTTTTCTTTTTGTTAATTTTCTTTAGAGTTTTTGTTTTGAATCAAAGTTGTAAATGCACAAACTTTAAAGAGTAAAATAGTTTCTCTAAGGTTTTCTACAATAACAAAAAGCTTCCTTCAACACCTAACACTCCTGTCCCTCACTACAATTTTTCTTGTAGACAAAACCAGGGACAAAAACTTTTAGCTGATTATTTTGAAATTTACCTCAAGATTACTGGAAAATATGCTTGCATTGTTCTTGATTTTGCAATTTAATAAGTATTGATTTCCTACTATAAAGAAGGAGGATTTATCTTTCTTTCCTTCCCTTGTTCCTGCACACGCATATACTTTACCTGCCTCTCCACCCTCCCGATAGAGTCATCTTATAATACTGGTTAGATATGACTACATCAGTGTTTAATTATAAAGACTATGTAACTGCTTTTCAAAATGAAGACAGTTTTTGCTCCCTGCACCTTATTCACCTTTTTTGCTTAAAGTAAATAATAATGGTGTTTTTATTTGTTTTGTTTCGTTTTGCTTAGTTTCTATGTTTTATCACTAATTCAATCCCAAACTAAACTCCTCACCAATTGTCTAATAACCTCCTCTTGGACATTCAGATATCATAGGTATTCTAGTCAATTTTATCTTCTGCAAAAGTCTCTGACCTGCTCCAAAATAGACTGGCTGCTGTCTATACTGAGTGGAGAGCTGCCATTCTGAGATTTTCCTTCATTACCATATTGGAGATTCCCTTGGCTCCTTTCCTGTATGGATGTTTCCTGAATTCCATGTTTTCCACTGTCTTTGGATGGGTACATGTTTTGAGATGTTACATGGCTGAAAATGTTTATTATAACTCTCCTTGAATGCTAATTTGGCTGATTATAGAATTCTATATTGGAGACAGCATTCCTGTAGAATTTTGAAGGAAGGTATTGCTCAATAGCCCCATACTTTCCAGTGTTAATTCCGAGAAGTCCGAAGCCATTCTGATTCCTGATCCTCGCTATGTGACCTATTTTCACCCTCCTGGAAATTCATATGTTTTCCTCTCTGAGCCGAGCGTTCTGGCATTTCAGAAAGATATTCTTTGTGTAGGTCTATTTCTACCCACTTTTCTGGGCACTCAGTAAGCTTTCTCAATCTGGGAACTAAGATTCATTTCTGAGAAATTTTCTTGAATTATTTTTACTACGTTTTCTTTCAATGCATTTTTAGTATTCTTCTAGAATTTTCAGAGGTTCAACCTCTTGGACAGGCTGTCTGATTTTCTTATTTTTTCTCTCTTTTTTTGTTTTTGTCTTTCTTTCTAGCAATTTTCCTTCACTTATCTTTGACAAATTCTATCAATTATTGTGTTCCTTCAATTTAATTCTAATTTTCAAGAGGAGATGATGGTTGTGGTTCTTTAGGTAATCCTTTTTATGGTAGAATGTTCTGGTTTTATGGTCAAAATATTTTCTAATCTTTCTCTGTTATGACCTTGATAATGATGTTTTGAAGTTTTCTCCTCTCTGCTCAGTCTCTGTTTCTTCTAAGTTGCTTATTTCTGTTTATTTTGGTCTTTAACTTTCATTTTATAGGCTTTCCCTCAGTGTCTTGTGTCTAAGTTGTCACCTTGCTTTTCTGTTTAGATCTTTCCTCTTGGACTGTTTAGATCCCAAGAATAGACTTTTCCAATCATACGTGCCTGAGTGCCCTGCTACTGTTTTGGGAAAATAAAAAAGACTGGCATAGACCTGTGGGAACTGGAGATCTCAGCATTGAATATGCCCATGTTTTCTTAATAGCCTCTGTTTCAGTGTGGTGCCCCCACCCTCAGCTGTGCCAGCCTCCTCCAAATCACAGCCTCTGTTGACCCTTTTTGGTCTTTTGTTGGGGGTGAGGGAGGGGAGTTTCTGGGCTGTCAGGAGTAGGGAAGAGGATGTGAAGAGCCAAATGCTCTTTAGACTTTCGACCCAACATTTCTTCACCCCATTTCCTGAGGTAACAGGTGTGGACAATTCCTGAGTCTTTTGGGGATTCTGGGAAATCTAATGAGTTTTTGGCAATTTCCTTTGCAAGTTTAAAATTAGTTTTCTCAAGTCTGCTAAGTTCTTTAAGCCTTACCCCAATGCTTTCCAGCTTCCAGAGTTCTATTGCTTTCTGATTATTCCTGTATTTGTCTCCAGTTTACTTCTGATCTCAATTCCACTTTATTCTGACCATTCTTTTTTTTAGATATCTCAGTATTCTTCAAGTATTAATATATTTCTTCAAAGTTATTTTCAAATTATTTTGTATGTGATAAGGTAGTTTTTTTCTTCCAATTTGACTATAAGCCCCCAAAGTCTTCTCATTTTTACTCCGATCATTTTCCCAGAGTAGCTACTGGAGTGGTCCCCTCTTATCCATGGAGGTACATTCCAAGACCCCTAGTGGATAGTGTGGAACTCTATACATACTATATTTTTCCTATACATGCATAACATGATAAGGTTTAATTTATAAATTCTGAACAATAATAGGGTTAACAACAACAATGATAAAATAGAGCAATTATAACAATATAGTATAATAAAAGTTATGTGAATGTGGTCTCTCTCCCTGTCTCAAAATATCTTAGTGTACTATACTCACTTATTTTTTTTGGCTGCATTTGGCCACAGTTAACTGCAGTTAACTGAAACCGCAAAACCATGGATAAGGGGGACTATTGAACACTCCTCATTTGTAGGACTTGATGCCTGTGGGTAACTACTGTCATATTCAAGCAACACATTCAATGTATCACCATAAGCTGCTCCATGTCTAGATACAATATTTGTGTAGCATTGCATCAATTTTTTCTGATCACCAATGTGTTGTAACCAGCAGCCAACTGGACATATATTAAATAATGGTTGTGATCATGTTGAGAAAGATGGAGATAGGACATTATGGATGTCTTTAACTTTTTTGAAGTAGTTCCATGTAACTCCAGTACTATGGTATATATGAACAGGTGTTAATAAACAAAGGAGTGTTGGTCAAATTAATGTGGCACATACTGGGTTAGGCAAACTTAAATAGGCTTCTTTATCATAGGATTTCTCAGAGCCTTTAATATGTTTTCATGCATGATACAGCATTTTCCACATTGTCTGTCCACAAAATACTTTTGTTTACAGGACACATTTTCACATATTTTTTGGTTTACTTTACATGTAATGAACTTAGAACAAAGTGTTCTAAGTTTTATTCAGGAATTTTTGGTTTTGTTTTCCGGTTTGCCTTGCTTTTAGGTTGTTGTTGTTGCCTATGTTTTAAAAATCTAGCCTCAAAGTTAGGACAGCTGTGAAATATTAAATGTAATTTTTCCTTAAATTTTTTTCTGACCACACTTTGAAGAATAAGATTAAATAGAATATTTCTTCATCAGCAAGAAAAGAAGAAACAAGGCCACTTCCTGTGTTATACCAACATGCTTTCTAACTAAAGGCGGAGGTCTGAATGAAATCACTGAGCACTAAGAAATCATAGTGCAGTTCTCACTGATAAAGCCAGGGAAATACCGTAAAAACAGCGTCCCAGGGAGAGTTTGGTGAGCCAGACTGTTATAATGGGTGAGTCGAGAAGAAGGCCAAGTCCAAGAGGACAATGTTTGGGGAAGGGGCAGACAGTGGTCTGATCTTAGGCTTCTTCTCCAAGGGGTTCATCTCATCATTCATGAGAGCCAAGGTGGTAGGAGCCAAGAAGATCGGAGCTGTGAGCAGCTAGGAAGCAAGCCTAAACAGGATGAAATAAGGGGCTCAGGGGCTCATTATTATTGAGTTCTGGCTGGGGAACCTAGGATGGGTTGGTTGGTTTAAAGTAACAGGGCTGGCCAGCCACGGTGGCTCACACCTGTAATCCTAGCACTTTGGGAGGCAGAGATGGGTGGATTGCCTGAGCTCAGGAGTTCGAGACCAGCCTGGGCAACACGGTGAAACCCCATCTCTACTAAAATACAAAAAAAGTAGCTGGGCATGGTGGCATACGCCTGTAATCCCAAATACTTGGGAGGCTGAGGCAGGAGAATTGCTTGAACCCAGGAGGCGGTGGTTGCAGTGAGCTGAGATCGCACCATTGCACTCCAGCCTGGCCGACAGAGCGAGACTCTGTCTCAAAATAAATAAATAAATAAATAAATAAATAAATAAATAAATAAATAAAGTAACAGGGCTGCATCCAGAGTATAAACTTTGACTAAGATGGCCTTAACTTGATTAAACTTTAGACAGACTTCTTCCTAAGTCTAGGCTCTTCCCATTCTCTTTTTTAGAGCATTTACTTTAGAAAATTTTCTATTGTAAATTATTTCTCTGCCCCTTTAAGATGTAAACCTTTTCACAGCCTCTAGCCAGTTATGCCACCCAGGAATGTCTTTTTCAAGAACTTCGGGACTATCCTTTTGGAATGTAGTCATGAAGAAAGATAGCGCCCCTGTTTCCCAGTCTCTGCAGGGGGGCAGAAGCCTAACTTTGATTTTTAAGTACCAATTATCAAATATAGATGCCCTAATCGCATTGATCAATATCCCCACCATTTGTTTCAGCAAAGTTGAGTTCAGTCTCTCTCCCCTATTGCAATAGACTTGAATAAAATCTTCCTTACTGATTTTTAAAAAGTAAAGTAAAATTTTTTAAAGTAATAGGGCTGAATCGGGTGATAAGTCACATAACTTAAAACAAGTTTCAAGTAATTCTGTTCCCATATGAAAGAGGAGGAACTCGGATCCTTTCAGGCTTGTATGACTTGCAGAAGGTACATGAGTGAGCTGCAGAACTGCTTAGAGAATAGTTCCTGGACTTTCAGTTCATCTTCATTGCCAATCTACCATCTTGCTTTTCATACATGCTTCTTTAGCATCCTTGGGGCAATTGAACTCACTCAGATATGCTAACACCATCATCCTAAGAGCCTCTCTAGCTGCCAAAGCAAGGGGGTTACAGTCAAAGGCCAGAATCCTCTACCTGAAATCCATGATAATGCAAACATGTTTCCTGGGATTATGACACATGGGCTTCATCAACAAAAGGCCTGCCTACTTGGAAAATCTAAGGTCACTTTACATATACATATACATATACATATACATATACATATACATATACATATACATATACATATACAGAGAAAGAGAGAGACTAAGTTTAGCATGCAGCACAGAAACAAATATATTTTCCTTGTGTCAACTGCTGTTCAGAGTAATGCAGCCAGACCACAGGAAGCCTTAGCACCCTGCTAGAAAGATGATGTTCAGGGATGATTCCAGTAATGAGGCTTGAGGCGATTAACCCTGGTGCCCAACACAGCTGGCTGAGTCTAGTTTAATAACTCTGATAGCTGGATAGGCATTAGCTCAAAAGGGCTGAATTCCCTACCCCAACTGCCCACCATCACTTAGTCATCTGGGCTCTGCAATCTTGGCTAACATGCAGATCTCTGGACTCCAAACACATCACCCTGGGAGGTTGTCTGCTTCATCCTGTTGGTGCTTCCTGCCTGAAAATGCCCAGAATGCTTATATATCTTAAATCCAAGCCCCCAATCCAGCCATGACCCTTCAAGTAGGCTGACTCACCCCCACCCCTGTCGCTATCCCAAGTCCATGCTTCTGGCTAGCCCTCTGTACCATTTAAATCATTAGTTTGACAAAGCAGACTTGAAAGTTAATGATTACTCTTGGTAAAGCACCTTGAAACATTTCTGTTGCTATTCAAGAGGAAGCTGTGGGGTGACTTTGCCTGTCTAACAATACCTGGCTAATTAGAAATAACTTCCTTCTCTCTCCATTGCTTGTTCTTTAGGCTAATGCTATTTTCACTTCCCATCTCCAACTTTTTTTTTTTAACGAAATGTAAAAACAATACAGCAACCAAAATTTTAATTTAAGAATTAAAGAAAAAATAAAACTGCAGAGCAAATACCCAGGTCTCACACCTCGGAACAATTCTTTTCTCTTTAAATTTATTCCTTGTCTCTCCTAAATATCTCACATTTCACCTGGTAATATCCATTGTGTAAGAATAATTCCATGTGTTTTTATTTAATACTCTATCTTAGAATTTTTCTGCACATATAATTTTTCTTAATGCTCATGACTACTTGATATTCCACAAAGTTGCTGTCACAATCCCATTATTTCTAGAAGACCCCATTTATTTTTATGAGCATCATTTCACTAACTATCCTTGTGCTAACTGCCCATTATTAAAGCAGACACTTTAGCATCTTATCCTTGTGTTAAGTTTTCAAAATGAGAAAACGAAAGGGAAAACAAGTTACATAAGAAAGCAAGCATCAGAGCCTAGGAATTACAGATCACAACTCTATCACCAAGAATTCTGGGCTGATTTCTGTGAAGTCAGAGGTAAAGATTAATCTAAGCAAAGAAGGAGAAGCCTGAGCATTATGAAGTCAGGAAGACATAGACCTTGAGGGTCAAAACAGAGAGGGGCTTGGAGTCCCCAGGTGATTCCGCCAAGGCAGTATTGTAAAAGAGGAGGCGTCCTTCCATAGAGCTTTGCTGCCTGCCCTCCCATTCATTCTTCTGGCTGTTTTGGTTGTTTCTCAGATTACCAGGGATGGGGGCATTTAACAGGTATTATTTGTGGCTGAAGTAACTTGATGCATATTTGCTTTGCCTCCAACTAAAGCAGCATTCAGAAAACTGGAATTCCAAGGGTGCGCCCTAGAATGGCAAGTTCATGCCCTGCCCATGATGTCTCCCAAGAGGATCTGCTCCACTCATGGTCCTTACTGAAGGGGGAAGACAAGGGAGCTGTCCTCGGTTGGATCGGGGTGGGCACCCAACTCAAAAGCAGCCTAATGCCGGATCTGTGAAAATAAACTGGGCCAATCTGGTTTTGTTTTAAGGAGTTTTGCTGTTTGGAGACTGAGGGATTGTTGCCAGTTAGTGACAGTATAAAAGAATACGCATGGAGTAGAGGAGCCTGTCAGCCACAATGCAGCACATGGGATGAAGTTAGGAGGAAATGGCAATCGAGTGAGGTGGAAATGAAAACAAAGCGAGCATCCTCGTGCAAGAATAATCAACAGAGAAGAAAAGCAGTTCCCCAAAGATATTCCAGTTCGTGCCTTTGCTAGTGCCTGTTTCTTCATTTCCTGGGTGTAGCATACACATGCATCTTTTCATTAAATCTTTTCTTTTTCCCTCCCAGAGGCATCTGAGTGAATCTCTGTTCCAACTAAAAGATCACTGTGTCAAGGACTCTAACAATGAAGTC
Source organism: Homo sapiens (assembly GCF_000001405.40). Taxonomy (NCBI): domain Eukaryota; kingdom Metazoa; phylum Chordata; class Mammalia; order Primates; family Hominidae; genus Homo; species Homo sapiens. The sequence continues at coordinate 61,338,015 of NC_000015.10, forward strand.
TCAATAAAGAAGAAATTCCCCAGAAATCCCCAAATGAGGTTGCCTTAAAGTCACATTTCCAACATATAGGAGATTTGGCAAGAAAAACCAAAAGAGCTCATTGCCTACCTTTACAGGCAGACAATTAAACTAATTAAAAAGTGAGGTACTGTAGGCCTTTTGCCTTCAAGATCAGGGCTTGACCTACTAGAACCTTGGCAAAGTCTTGCAGTCTGAAGAGAGTAAGAAATCATCCCTGCCGATGACAGACTTCTGAGTAGATGGTTAGTAAATCAAGGTCCTGATGTGAAATGTTGATGCTATTTAGCCCAGGACGATGCAGGTGAAATATTACCAAGTTAATCACAGAGGGAGGACTACAGGAAGTCACTGGTCACTGTCCTTAAGGAAAAGTGTGGGATGAGATCCTGGTTGCAAGGAGCAGGACTATAAAACCAATTTAGAGCCCCAAGCCCATTGGGATAGGAGGGAGTTATCATTAAGAAGATATCATTTGTATTTGAAAAAGTGAACAAGAGCCTCCTTATTTGGCAAACAGACTATGTATTCTGAATGGGTAAGAAAGAGGAGGGTAGCCTACTCCAGGATTGGTATAATAGGATTGGTAATATTAAACTCCCAATTGCAATGATGGGTTCCTCAATATATTCAGAATAATCATAATAATAAGCACATAGTAGAAAAAGCACAGGGCTGAAACAGCTGTGTCCAAACACCAAATCTGTGGATTTTAGCTTTGGGTTGTGGGTCCATCAATTTCCCTTCTTTTATTAAAAGGGATTCATATTCCTATTCTTTAGGGTGGGCTATTCTTGCTTAGGTGGTTCTCCCTTGGGGTAGAATCAAGTAAGAAGTTCCTGGCTGACTTTTGCTTGGAAAGACAAAGGGCAGATGCCCAGAGTCCAGACTCCCACAGAAAATGCCTGTGGGAACCCCAGCACCCAGTGTATGAATATCCACTTTCTGGGTGCTGTAGCCTACAGATGCCCCACAACACCCACTGTCCTTAGGTGAAAACTGCAGTCAGGCTCCAAAGGGACTTGTTTAGAGACTGTCATACTTATACTTTTCAATTTTCTTGTGGGGCTTTTTAACATGACTTATTACATACCATCCTCACAGCTACCTTGCAAGGGAAGTGTTATTATTTCTACTTAACAGATGAAATTGATGCTCTGAGAAGTGAAGCAAATTGTCCAAGGTTGCACAACATGCAGGCAATAGAACTAGGATCTGAACAACTCATCACATCACAGTGTGTGTGCTCGTTCCATATCCTATGGAAACTCTGTTTAGTGGGCTGTCATCATGGCACTTCATCAGCTAATTGCAGGCTGCTACCACTGCCTTTCTCACAGTTTGTCCTAGTTCAGTGCTTCTCAACACAAATGTGCATGTAAATCACCTGGGCTCTTGTTAAACTGAGCCCAGTGTAATTTGAATTAATATGAATTCAATAGGTCTGGAGTGGGGCGTGAGATGCAAGTGCCCAGGTAGTACCGATACTGTTGGTTTGCTGACCACACACTGAGTAACAAAATGCTAGCTAACACCCAACACTTGCAAACTATTTGCTGGGTTATGAATAGAACCCCCTTTTGAAGCTCAGTATCTTCTCTCTCACTAAATAGTTAGTGGCCAGATCTGTGAAGCAGTCTCAAATAGCTCTTAATGAAATTAAAACCAGACTGACATCCCTAATACTCTCCAGCTGTTATCCAGTATGTGTCATTAGGGTAATTGTGTGGGAGAGCTGAGAGTTGAAGCTAAAACAATAATCTAACCAAAATCTATTTAAAGCTGCAGGCAACACTTGATTGGTAAGGTAAGGAAATTTAAGATGGAAATCATGGATGGGAGGCAGTAGTAGTAGCTGTACCAGTATCATTAATTGAATGCCTTCTATATTTTAAATTAGGCATATATTTTATGGGTAATTCTTATAGCAGTTCAGCAATATAGACATTATTATTACTTTTTAGTTACTCATAGTCTACTTTCATTGATAAAGTAATCTAGCACCACATCCAAGAATATTTAATATTTAAATATGTTAATATTTAACATAGAACAAGAGAATACAAATTTCAATGGGGAAACAAGAAGAAATAATCTGGGTACAAACAAAGTAGTGCCAAGAAGGTGGCCCTCAGTGACTGCAGAGGGATTGAATACATTCTTGGCTCTCAGTGAGCCATACTTGGTTCTCAACTTTCCAGCAGCCAACAAGAAAAGAGGAATCTAGCCAGTTGAACATTCTATAGTGATCATGCAATTAAAAAAAAACAAAAACAAAAAAAACAAACCCTTTTCAAAGACAGCAAACTGTTCTTCAGACCAGATCATAAAAGATATCTCCTCGCCTACTGGGGATATCGTGTGCTGTAATGAATGACTTTCTCAACAGCTACTTATAACAGTCTCAAGGATGGCTTTCATTAGGTTATGTTTACCGTGATCCTCAATGGAGGCTGATGCATTGAAACCAGGCACGATTCAGAAACGCAGTCCTTCTGGGACAAATGTAACACAGCCTAGCATCTCACATTTGGTGGCGCTGGTTTGATTCAGAACGACATCTTGGACAATCGGAAGAAATGGAAAGGTTGTGTGTCCTTCCAGGAATCTCCCTTTCCGTTGTCATCCCCCCAGTGCCATTTTCTTCAAGATGATAACGAAGGACCCACAAATAAATTAACTAAATAAGGTGCTAAATGCTAGAAGGAAAATAACAGAGTATATTCCTGATAGAGATTAAGGGTGGTGGGCTGGGATGGTGTACAAGGGGGTAGTCAGGGAAGGCGTCTCTAGGGAGGTGGTGCTCAAATGAGATCTGCGGAATGAGAAGCATCAGGGGAAAAGCATTCTGGATGCAAAACTCCTGGTGCGGAAGGAGCATGCTAGTTAGAGGAACAAGCAGAAAGCAACTAAATGGTCACATCTTATTGGGTATTTACCATGCAGCTATGACTGGAGATGTCAACCAAAATAATTTATTTTAGAATAGTTGATCAATTTCTCTTCCTCTTTGCAATAATTATTCAGCAAGGACAGTCAGACACTCATTGTTTAATGTAAGAAGCCCTATCATTTACATGTAAGGATGCATGACTTTCTTTTCCTATAGTGGGACACATACATTTTGCTTATTCAAAATAGGCATCAGATCTTTAGGAATCACATTAAATACAAGGGATATCTCTCATGTCCAGGCAATTATGAGGCCTCCTTGAAGCCTCATAGCACCAGAATTTAAAACACAAATTTGTCCACAGCGTAGACCTTTGCTTCTACACAATCGAGGGTACTAAAGCTTGAAGAGACATAATCAACCTTAGGATAGTCCTCATTTAAGGACATTATCTGCCTTGGGGCTCTGAAGAAGGAACGCAGTAGCTCACAAGTTCGCCCTTGTAGCCCTACCCTGGAATATCAGCCTTAAGAAAAGCCAGCTAGGTGGGATGGCTCACACCTATAATCCCAGGACTTTGGGAGACTGAGGTGGATGGATTACTTGAGGCCAGGAGTTCGAGACCAGCCTGGCCAATGCGGAGAAACCCCATGTCTACTAAAAAGAACATACAAAAATTAGCTGGGTGTGGTGGCAAGTGCCTGTAATCCCGGCTACTCAGGAGGTTGAGACACGAGAATCGCTTGAACTCGGGAGGCGGAGGTTGCAGTGAGCTGTGATCATGCCACTGTACTCCAGCCTGGGCGACAGAGCAAGACTCTATCTGGAGAATAAAAAAAAAAAAATGCCCTGCAGTTTCTCTTCACAAGTATGTGACCCTATTCTCCTAAATTCCACCAGCAGAAGTAATACTATTGCACCAAAACATACTATTCAAATGCCCACTTTTCCTGGGGTTTGCTAAGCCCTGGGGTGGAGAGGTTTCCTGTCTATGGATACAACTGCTTTTTTACTTGGCTGGTCTTTTTCCTCTGGACATAGTGTAGATTCCAGCATTCCCTCACCATCGTTTTGCTTTTGCAGAAACCTCTGCTTCTTACTGTCTCCATCTTATTTATCAGACAAGACCCCAGTTCTGGGTGAGCTCTCCCTTTCTTCTCTGAGCTTATACCCAACCTGCTCAATGTGGATAGAAAAGATGAAAGATAGCTGTCTAATTCACTTTAAATTCGTGATCTCCAGCGTCAAATGGGCACTCAAAACTGCCCAGCAGGTCTTTTATTTTTCTCTTGTTGGTTTACTTTCCTATTCCCTGAGAAGACTGTTTTCTATCTTCTCTTCTCTCCTGAAACCTCCTACATTCCTTTCTCTACACTCAGATGATGACTTCTCATTTCATGGAGAAAATTGAAAAATCATCTTCCCTTCACCAAACCTGCAATCTTCATCAGGGCCCATTTTCTCCTTCTTTGCTCTGGTTAAAATGGAAAATGTACCCTTTAGCCTATCAAAGTCTAATTTCTGCATGTACACCCTGGATTTTATCCACTCAAATACTGTCCTACTTTAGTTATTCCTTGTTTTTACATTATTAATCCCTCTCTCTCTTACTGAATCAGCCCCACCAATAAATAAACATGCTCTCTTATCTCCTGTATTTATTTAAAGCAAAACAAAACAAACAGTCTTTACTGACCTCACATCGCTCCATGTACCACCCCATTTCTTGAGTTTGTAACCCAAGTCTACATACTGCTGTCTACATACTGGCTTCACACTCAGTCCACCTTTTGCCCCCTCCCACCCTCCCATCCAATGACCTCAATATGCAGCGCAAAGTTTCCAAAGACCTTCAGGATGCCAGGTCAAATGGACAACTTTTAATCGCCACCTTATTCAACATCTCAGCAGCAGACAACTCCCCTTCCCTTAGGCTCACTTCTGACTCCCATGACACCTGTTTTTCTCTTTTATGTGACTTCCAAATTAGAATGTTCTCAGGACTCAGTGTGAGCTGCTTTTCTCTCTCCCTGAGCAACCTCATCCAGTCCACTGGCTTATGTGTTTTCAGAAAAATTGATTTTCATTTTTTATCGGAGAAGCACGTGTACAGAGCTTAAAAGACAGACAATATTGGTAGAAAGTCTATTCATATTTTCCAAACATCAAACACACTAGATCATCTGACAGCATAATTTCTTTTCCTGGTTTCTTTACTCTGATAGGCTGCCGCCCTCTTCCTCATTCAACCTGGCTCTCCTGCACAGCTGACATCCTGAGACTTGCCTTCACCACTCTTCTGTGTTAAGTAAAATATCTCCTGGATCTCTTTCTCTTTCTTGGTTTACAACTTTATTTTGCTGAAGAACATCCTTCAGTAGCTTCTTAAGAAAGGGCACATACATTTGAATTCTTGAAATTATTAAAATATTGTTATCTTCTTTTTTTGGTTAGTAATTTATCTAAAAATATAATTCTATGTTAAAAATAATGACGACTAAGAATTTTGAAGCACTGTTCTGTATTCTTCTAATTTTCAGTGTTACTGTTGAGAAGTCCAGTGTCATCCTGATTCCTTTTACTTTATATGTGGTTATTTTCTTTCTGTCTAAAAGCTCTAGTAAGATCTATCTCTGGGTTCTAAAATTTCTCAATGGAATGTTTCACGTTGTGTGTCTTCCTTCACTCATCGTGCTTGGCACTTAGTGGTCCCTTTTCAATGGGATAAATGTGTTTTTTAATTTGGAATGTTTGTATTAAATCAAATTAGTCGGCTGTTGGGCTTCTTGTATCAATCTTCTAATTATCTTCTCTCTTTCTTGCTTATTATATATTCTTTTTAAGTTCTTGTTCTATGATTTATGAAACTGCTTCTATTTCATCTTTCGACCTTTCTATTGATTTTAAAAACTTAATTGTCAGATTATAATCTTCAAGAACTCTTATTCTCTGTTCCTTTTTCATAGTATCTTATTCTCGTTTGGTAGACATCATGTCATCCCTCACCCATTCTAACAATATTAATTTTCATTCACTTGCAACTTTTTCGTCTGCTCTCTTGTAAAAATTGTTTGCTGTGGTTTCTCTTTTATTCTGAAGATGTTCCTAAAATGTCTATTCTTCTTGTATGTTTATTTGTATTTAAAAGAGAATTAATAAAAGCTGCTTGCAAGCTCTGTGAGCTTAGTGGGGCTTGACAGCTGGTATATTATATTGTAGATTGTACCAGCCAAACTGGGGATTTTTAAATTCCTGAAACCTGGCTTTGGACATTATGATCTATCTGGAATCTACCTTTCATCTCTCTCTCTCTCTTGCCTGAAGCCTATTATCCTTTTAGACCTGTGCGTATACATCACTACTCCAGTGGAGCTTTGTCTAGCCATTCTGTCTAAATAAAATAGCTCCCATTATTTTCTCTCTCTTTCCTTACTCTAGAATATTTACCACAATCTAATTTATGTAATTGATGGACTTATGTATTATGCAATTGAGTACTTTCCTGTGTACGTCCCATCATCCAACAACAAACTTTGTGTGGACAAGAATCATTTCTATTTTGCTTAGTGCTCTAACCTCAGGACTTTGCACTGAAACACAGCATGCTCAACAAATATTTATTCAATAAATGAATGAATGGATGGATGAATGAATGTATGGATGAGTGAACGGATGAATAGTAATTCTAAATTAAACATTTAGAATTACTCTAAATGTCTAAAAACATAGTCTCAACTATAAGTATGTCTATAACATTAGGCAAGTCAATTAACCTTCCCAAACTCTGTTTTATTTAGTCTCTTCAGATATAGAGAAACACTGCTTATTCTACTGTAGAGGTATTTATGAGGCACAAATGAAATAATAGATGTAAAAGTGTTGAGTAAAGAGGTTTCATATAAATATGAGATTACAAAGACTCATATGAAAGAATATGGATCATTCCTTTTCCTTTTTTCTTCTAATTTTGAAACCACAATTTAACACTTCAAAGATGATACCTTGGTAGTATTTCTTAAGTGGTGTTAAGAATTCTTTTTAGAACAAAATTAACTAACTCTTCGAAGTGATTTAAATCAGACATACCTTGTTTGGACTCTTGAGCAAATAATGTCATAAGAAGGTTTTGGTTTCTGGTTCTACTCAGTGAAGGGAATTGGCAATGTCAACTCATGTTCTACTCTCGATTACAAAAATAAAAAAGAGTATAGAAATTCCGGTTCAGGCCTTTTCTGGATCTATTGAGATAATCATGTGGCTTTTGTCATTGGTTTTGTTTATGTGATGGATTATGTTTATTGATTTGCGTATGTTGAACCAGCCTTGCATCCCAGGGATGAAGCTGACTTGATTATGATGGATAAGCTTTTTGATGTGCTGCTGGATTCGGTTTGCCAGTATTTTATTGAGCATTTTTGCACCAATGTTCATCAGGGATCTTGGCCCAAAATTCAACAGCCCTTCATGCTAAAAGCTCTCAATAAACTAGGTATTGATGGAACGCATCTCAAAATAATAAGAACTATTTATGACAAACCCACAGCCAATATCATACTGAATGGGTAAAAACTGGAAGCCTTCCCTTTGAAAACCGGCACAAGACAAGGATGCCATCTCTCACCACTCCTATTAACATAGTGTTGGAAGTTCTGGCTAGGGCAATCAGGCAAGAGAAAGAAATAAAGGGTATTCAATTAGAGAAAGAGGAAGTTAAATTGTCTTTGTTTGCAGATGACATAATTGTATATTTAGAAATCCCCATCGTCTCAGCCCAAAATCTCCTTAAGCTGACAAGCCATTCAGCAAAGTCTCAGGATACAAAATCAATGTGCAAAAATCACAAGCATTCCTATATACCAATAATAGACAAACAGAGAGCCAAATCATGAGTGAACTCCTGTTCAGAATTACTACAAAGAGAATAAAATACCTAGGAATCCAACTTCCAAGGGATGTGAAGGACCTCTTCAAGGAGAACTACAAACCACTGCTCGACTAAATAAAAGAGGACACAAATAAATGGAATAACATTCCATGCTCATGGATAGGAAGAATCACTATTGTGAAAATGGCCATACTGCCCAAGGTAATTTATAGATTCAATGCTATCGCCATCAAGCTACCAGTGACTTTCTTCACAGAATTGGAAACAACTACTTTAATGTTCATATGGAACCAAAAAAGAGCCTGCATAGCCAAGACAATCCTAAGCAAAAAGAACAAAGCTGGAGGCATCACGCTACCTGACTTCAAACTATACTACAAGGCTACAGTAACCAAAACAGCATGGTACTGGTACCAAAACAGAGATATAGACCAATGGAACAGAACAGAGCCCTCAGAAATAACACCACACATCTACAACCATCTGATCTTTGACAAACCTGACAAAAACAAGCAATGGGGAAAGGATTCCCTATTTAATAAATTGTGCTGGGAAAACTGGCTAGCCATATGTGGAAAGCTGAAACTGGATCCCTTCCTTACACCATATACAAAAATTAACTCAGAATGGATTAAAGAATTAAATGTAAGACCTAACACCATAAAAACCATAGAAGAAAACCTAGGCAATACCCTTCAGAACATGGGCATGGGCAAAGACTTCATGACTAAAACACCATAAGCCATGGCAACAAAAGCCAAAACAGACAAATGGGATCTAATTAAACTAAAGTGCTTCTGCACAGCAAAAGAAACTATCATCTGAGTGAACAGGCAACCTACAAAATGGGAAGAAATCTTTGCAATCTACCCATCTGGCAAAGGGCTAATATCCAGAATCTACAAAGAACTTAAACAAATTTACAAGAAAAAAACCAACAACCCCCTCAAAAAGTGGGCAAGGCTATGAACAGACACTTCTCAAAAGAAGATATTTATGCAGCCAATAGACATATGAAAAAATGCTCATCATTACTGGTCATCAGAGAAATGCAAATCAAAACCACAATGAGATACCGTCTCACACCAGTTAGAATGGCGATCATTAAAAAGTCAGGAAACAACAGATGCTGGAGAGGATGTGGAGAAATAGGAATGCTTTTACACTGTTGGTGGGAGTGTAAATTGGTGATTCCTCAAGGATCTAGAACTAGAAATACCACTTGACCCAGCAATCCCATTACTGGGTATATACCCAAAGGATTATAAATTGTGCTACTATAAAGACACATGCACACGTATATTTATTGTGGCACTATTCACAATAGCAAAGACTTGGAACCAACCCAAATGTCCAACAATGATAGACTGGATTAAGAAAATGTGGCACATATACACCATGGAATACAATGCAGCCATAAAAAAGGATGAGTTCATGTCCTTTGCAGGGACATGGATGAAGCTGGAAACCATCATTCTCAGCAAACTATCACAAGGACTGAAAACTAAACACCGCATGTTCTCACTCATAGGTGGGAACTGAACAATGAGAACACATGGACACAGGGTGGGGAACATCACACACTGGGGCCTGTTGGCGGGCGGGGGGCTGGCAGAGGGATAGCATGAGGAGAAATACCTAATGTAAATGATGAGTTGGTGGTGCAGCAAACCAACATGGCACATGTATACCTATGTAACAAACCTGCACATTGTGCACATGTAACCTACAACTTAAAGTATAATAACAAAAAAAAAGAAATTCTGGTTCAGCAATGAAAATTAAGCTACCCCTATATTTGTAGCATTATTGTCCTTTAATATTTGCCCCAAACTCACCAAAAATATTCATTCCCAATTCTGGTAAGTGTGTGGTCGAACTAGCACATTTATTCATTGTTGATAGAAATGTAAATTGATAAAATTCTTCTAGAAAGCAATTTAGAAATATCTATAAGATGGTTTAAAGGTATTTATATCTTTTGGTACCATAACTATTTTGAGAAATTATCCTAAGGAAATAGTCCAAAATATAGAAAAAACTATATATTAAAAATGATTATTTCAGGAATTTAAAAATTTTAACTATTATATTATTAATTCATATATTTCTAATAATATATTTTATAATATATATTTCTAATAATATACTAAAGCTTCAGTAAATTTAAGGAGTATATTTGGTGGAATATTATGCAGCCACAAAAGTCAGGATTATGAAAGCTACACAGCCACCTGGAGAAATGTTTATGAGATATATATACCCTATATATATATATATATATATATATATATATATATCTCATTATATATTATATACCAAATAATATATAATGATATATATATCATTTGATTTATAAATGTTTGATATGTATTTATATATCAAATGATTATATAAATATATCAAATGATATATCATTATCAAATTGTATATACACTATTATTACTGATTTTAAAATGCTTAAATTTTTAAAAAGTTTAAATAATCATGACCAAACACATCCTGTTTAAATGGTAAAATAATGGAAAAATTACTTTTCCACAGGTGCCTGGGGATTGGCCAATTGGTTAACTGCATGCTGTGTTTAAACTTTAGGAAAAGGATATAAAGAAAAACCATGAAGGGGAAGGGAAAATCACCTTCATGGTTTATCTTTCTATACATGTATCCCAGAACTTAAAGTATAATAAAAGAAAGATATATGAAAAAAAAGAGGCTTCATGCCGTAGTGTTTGTCTCTTGCCCTTCCAGCTTCTGCCATGTCCACCATGTGAGGACACAGCTAGAAGATCCTCACCAGACACCAAATGCCAGTGCCTTAATTTTGGACTTCCCAGACCCTCCAGAACTGTGAAAAATAAATTTCTTTTCTTTACTTAAAAAAATACTCCCTGCAGAGCTTAACTTGTATCTTGGCACATATTAAACAGAAGCATGATTATCAAATGCACAGACTATTGGTCTTTGGCTCTAGTTCCAGTTCTGAGGCTCTTTCTGATTCTTACTGCAAGATTGAACACTAATAAGGAAGCAGACGGGCCTCCTTTTAAGAGTATCTCATACTACAGGGGAGTTGGGCAGATATCTCTAGCTCAGGTGCTACCAAACTTTTCCTATAAAAGGCCAGATAGTAAATATTTTAAACTTTGCAGATCATGTGATTTCCATTGCAGCTACTCAGTGTTGACATAGTAGAGTGAACATAGCCATAGACAATTCATAAATGAGTAAGCATGGCTGTGTTCCAATAAAATTTTATTTACCAAAACCAAAGGATGGGCCATAGCTTGTGGATCCTTGATAAAGCTAATGTTTTCGTCTTCATGTGATTTTGATGCTCCCATTTGTCATAAATGCTCAGTTAGTTCCAGGATTTCCTTATCTCTTTAAACAGCTTCTATTTCCACCGGGCAGTAAACCCATTTAGTTTCATATCCTCAATATGTCCTCTGGAGCCTTGCTTTTGAAAGTACAGTCGACTGACTTGCAACATTGGCATCATCCAGAAGCTGGTTAGAAATAAGAATTTGGGGTCTACCCCAGATCTGCTAAATCAGAATCTGCATTTTAGCAAAGTTTGAGGTGATTCATATGCACAGCACAGTCTGAGAGGCACCACTCTAGAGGAAAAAAAATCACAGTTGTCCCTGTAGAGCTGCCTATAACACTATGATACTATGTGGTTCTTTAAAGAAATTAGGGGAGCAGCCGGCCGCGGTGGCTCACGCCTGTAATCCCAGCACTTTGGGAGGCTGAGGTGGGTGGATCACCTGAGGTAGGAAGTTCAAGACCAGCCTGACCAACACGGAGAAACTCCCATCTCTACTAAAAATACAAAATTAGCCAGGAGTGGTGGTGCATGCCTGTAATCCTAGCTACTCGGGAAGCTGAGGCAGAAGAATTCTGCCTTGAACCCAGGAGGCGGAGATTGCAGTGAGCCGAGATCACACCATTGCACTCCAGCCTGGGCAACAAGAGCAAAACTCTGTCTCAAAAAAAAAAAAAAAATTTAGGAGAGCAAATCAGTGTGTTATCACCTGGTCTCCCTCCTGGATGACTCCTCAATGCCTCTTTGCCTCTGTTAAGGTTGGCCAAGGGACTACTGACAGATGACAGCGTTAGGGCTTTTCCTTTCTTCCCCACTATAGGGTCCATCCTTCCATCTAGTCAGGGTTTAAACTCAGCTAAATAACAGTACTTTCACATTTCTCTTTACATGGCTCTCCTATAAGGCACTGGGTCCCCAAAGTAATCTAAGAACCTAGAGTATCCAATAATTCCATGAGGCAAAGGTACAAATCCACTAGCCACAATCCTGTTCGTGAGGCCATTAGGTAGTTTTTAGAGAGATGTACTACAGCTTACTATGCTCGCGCCCAAACTGTGAGTAGAGACATATTAGGTTGAACCACATAAAAACAGCATCTTGGTAGGTCAATAATTAGTTGGACATCATTCATTTCACGTGGTTCAACCTAATGATAATACAAATAACTCACATTATGGCTTAACTGCTGTCATTTGTTCTTACTTACTATTTGCCTTGTTGGGCAAATTTCACATACCATTATTCTAGCTAGCTCTCAAAATGACCATGTAAAATAAATGTTTGTGTTTCCTATGTTACAGATGGAGAAATAGAAGCTCATAGAAATTGCATACATGACCCAAGATTAAGCTGCAAACTGAGGTTTCAGTTTCAGAATCTAGGTTCATTCCATTGAATCACACTGCTTTTCTAAATATCACTTTTTAAAGTTCAAGTCCAAACTCTAGGCCTATAAAAACAATCATGGCTTACATTTGAGCCAGATATTGAGGAAGGCAAAAGCACCTTAGGTATTCTGTGTCCCTGGCTCCCCCTTTCCCCCTGACATCTGTCTAGGTTACCAGTGCCATCATGTTGCTTAGGGGCGTCCACTAAAGAGGCTTGTTGATCCCTGAACCTCCTTTGCTCTAGACCATTGGCTCTCGGTGGTTTACAACCCTTAGGATGCATCAGAATCATCTGGAGGACTTGTTAAACACAGATTGTTGACTTCAATCTCTAGAATTTCTAATTCAGTAGGTTTGGAGCTAGGCCCAATAATTTGCATTTCTACTACTTCTCAGGTGTACTGGTGCTTCTGGCCCAGGTGACCATAGTTTGAGAACCACTGTTCTAGACCTTGACCTTTCAATCTTCTAGCCCCTTGTTGGAGTTAGGCTCCCCTGGACCTCTGACCCTCCCATTCTTGTTCACTGCTAAACAAATGTGAGTAGCTATTCTGACTTGATAAATTCATGGGATGATAATGATAGGTAATAGTAGAGTGCTTGCTAGATGCCAAGAACATTTGGCACACATTTAGATACATACAAATGCTGTGTTGTTTCATATGCAACCCACTGCGAGAGTAGATTATACCCCACTCAGGGGTGCAATTCTTATGTCGGAGGTGCCCTGGTTATGTTTTTCACTTTTTGGTGGGAAGGTCTTAAGTTTTCCTTAATCTTTATCTTGAGTCCCCTTCTAGTGTTCAACATTCTTTCTCTTGCTGCCCTGGCTTTACTCATGGAGGTCCTCAGGATAGTGTTTGAGCAGGGGGCTGAATGAAAAGAAAACAATGGTCTGCATACACAATAAGTTAAATGTGTGTACAGTGACCGAAAGTCTTGCACTATGTGAGTAACTTGGAGTCCTCCAATGGGTAATGTCTGCACTCATGCATCACCAGAGAGAGGCTAGGTATTTTCTGTTTCTGTCCCCTGGGGCCTTTGGAGTGGTTATCTGCCATATGCCTCTCTCCTAGATCCTTCTCCCTTGGAACTCTCTCTTGATTTCTTACAAGTGGGAGATCTTCAAGTTGGTGACACTTAACTTGGACAGCCCTCATCTCAGTACCTCTAGAAATTCCTGATCACACCCTTGGCTTTAGCCTGTCCACTCCTCCTTTTTGCTGCTTTGATGCCGTAAGCTTGTGTCTTATGTAGGCTTCTATGCCTCTGCACAATAGATACAAATCCTGCCAAAGCGTGATTTTTTTTCTCTAGTTTCTTGATTCTCAGGTATATCTGTACATCATACCTTCAAACCACATTTTGTGTCCTAGGATGGCAAAAGTTTTCATTCACTCAACACACATGTGTTGAATGACTTTTAGATGCCAGACACTGTGTTAAGAATTGGGAGGGCAGATGTATTCAACATGCAATATTTGCCCTAAATAACATCTTGTATTTTATGAAAATCCTGAGTATACTGACACTGAATATCAGGCCATTGAAAACACTTGGATGTTTTTGGTATGTGATAAAAAGAGAAGCTAAATGACTACACTTATTACTGTCCGACTCAAGGTAGCCCCACCCATAAATGAAGTAGGAATGCCTTAGGTGGCATGTTTTTAGGGACTCCTTCCTCAAGGTTGCACAGATTCTTCCATTCTTTGCTGCTTTGGTTGTGGTAAGGGTAATATAAATATAAGAGGATTTGTCTCATATTAATTCAGATTCTGTTCTTCATTTTAGCTATCCAAAGGAATAGGATATAGGTCAAAATAGCTTTTATGTGGGAGAGAAGGTTGAGGAGTTGGTATCTTGAGACTCGGGTGCACGAATCATGGCTCAAGGGGCCAAGAATAACAAGGAGTTTCCTGAAGATTCCTAGCCAGCCAGGAATTATCTTGGGAGTGTTGGGTGTCTGGCAGCAGATGGGAATGAAGATATAGATGATCAAAACTCTAGAGTTAAACTTCAGTTACGCAAATGTTAACAAGATAGTTTTCTTTAAGGGCATGAAATTAGTCTTATTCACCAGGTCCAATTGCATATGTTGTCCCCTCCCCTTTGGCTGAGGACTGTCATTCAGTATTTCAAATCTAGTTTCAAATAAGCATTCCAAAGTCTTAGTGTAGCTCCAGATGAGTAGCCTCTAAACCAGAAATTAAGAGTCTGAGAAATCTAGCTATGAGCTGAGAGGTTGGCAATTGGGTTTATAATTATCAACATTCTCAAATATCTTTTTAAACATAATGGCAAAAGGCTCAAATCATAAAAGTAATGATTGACAGGTCACATTGTGTAAAACAGTTTTTTAAGGCATTCAAAATGCCATAAAGACAATTTTAAATGCAAACAAGCTGGGGATTTTTTTTTTTTGCAAAATGTATGGTAAAAATTTTATATTACATATTTAATAATAAACACAGAGCTCTTTCAAATGAATAAAAAACTCAGTACCCCAACACAAAAAAGGTATATTAATTACGGTAATGCTCACAATTGAAAGAGCAAAATCTCAGTAATTTATTACAATAGACATTCTTTCTCACTCATAAAGTCTAACATAAATACTATGGTGTGAATGTTTGTGTCCCTCCAAAATTCATGTTAAAATTTAATCCCCAAATAGGTTGGGCCTTTGGGAGCTAACTAAGTCATGAGGGCAGAGCCCTTGTGAACAGGATTAGTGCCCTTATAAAGGTGACTCGAGGGAGCTTGTTAGCTCCTGCCCCTTTGCCATGTGAGAACACATAGCAGGCTCCATCTGTGAGGAGCAAGCCCTCATCAGATACCGAATCTGCTGGCACCTTGATCTTGGGCTTCTCAGCTTCCAGAACAGTGAGCAATAAATATCTGTTGTTTACCTAGTCTAAGGTATTTTGTTATAGCAGCACAAATAGACTAGGACAATAAGTAAGTGTTCATTGTTGGCAGGGGACTTTTGTCCCTGTAAAGATTTAGAGTCCCAACTTTTTCCAATTACGGCTCTACCATTTTCAACATGCGGCCTCCAAGATGATTGGATTCCACTTTATGGGCTGATAGAAGAGAAAAAATCTGGGACTGTGCATGGGAGATTTTTACAGGCCAGTAGCTCATGTCATGTCCTATTGCATAGAACTGAGTCCCAGTCACGTGGAAGTGCATAAGTGCAAAGGAAGATGAGAAATATTGTACAGCTCTGTGTCCAGGAAGAAGAAGAAATGGTCGGTTAATAACTTTCTATTCTCTGCTGCAGCAGGTTGCCAAATTTCATGCATTCTAGAAACCAAATATTTATATATCCACTTATAAACACCTGAAGCGCTATGAGTCTTTATCTAAACTGAGACCCTAAGATAATAGATGTGAGAGCATCACAGGGGAGACGAAAGGTGTTCACAAAACAGTCTTGTGACTGAACCGCTCATTGACTGAAAGAATATAAAAAGAATATGAAGTTACAGATGGGAAGAGGATTTATTTAGAGAGAGAGAGTTATTGGTGTTCCATGAGTTCCATACTTCTCCTCTTTTTTAAGCCTTGGAAAGATATTTCAATGAGATCACTTGGAGAACTTAATATATGTCTTATGGCTGAGAAGTCTAAAGAGAGAGAAGCTGAGGTAAATAGCTGAAAGAAGGGAATTAGAGGTTGCGGTTTGGGAAGTAACTTCACTCTTGTCATGGATAGGAGGTTTGTGTTTTGTGCAGGCCAGACTTGAGAACCACATGCCAGGAGAGTTGGTGAGCAGTTGCTTCAAATCCTGACCAACAGGGGCCACTTGGAGAGACGTGGAAACCTCAGCAGAGCAAGCTGGAGATGTACTGCCAGATGCTTAGAGGCTCAGAAAAGCAACCATCCAAAAGGAACATATCTACTTGTGTCAAGAGAATTACAAGTGAGAAATTCTCAGAAATGGGATGGGGAATCTCCAAAGAACCCCCTAAAATGCTCCAGGAGAGAAAACATGAGTTAAGTACTTGTTAGGTCCAGATAGTATTGAGGCCAACTCATGACAGCATCAGTCAAGTCAGAACTCTCTTGTGTCCCTTTCTTTTTCTCCGTCCCCATCTTCCAGTTCCATAGCATCAGAAAGCAAGTGGGCAAGTCAGAGGAGAAGAAGAAGGGCTGGGTGAAGAAAGAAGGAGCCCTCCTTTCTCACTGCAGGAAGCTGCCATGCATGGGCCCATGGTGGAGGGCAGGGAAGGTGGCAGGGGCTGGGGAGCTTTACCTGTAAGTAAAGATTGGAGCTTAGATTACTACTCTGGGCTGGACATTAACTACTGAACCAAACTGTTTTATGAACAAAAGTGACTGAAGAACTTGTATCTGAAGTGACCAGGTTTTCATCCAAGTGGAGGATGGAGGAGTTTTGATGTACAATACAAGACTGCATATGTGATTTCCATATAACCATTTCACCCACACGTGTACACAGTTCAGAAAAGATAATGATAATCTGCTAGCAAGCATACTGCCTGGATGGTGGGATTATAGCCAAGTTAGTTTTCTTTTTTTATGTATATATATCTATGTATTGCAAAGTTCCCACAGTACACCCTGTATTTACCATACAATCAGTATGATGTACATACTGTACAGTGTGCAATAAATTATACATAATTGTAAAATATTCTGCCACATTCCATATTGCAAGATGACTATTTTCCTGATACCTAACATCAAAATCATCGAGTGTAAAAGCCCTAATTATTTGATTTATGAACATTACACTGGACATGAAATCCATTTTTAAGTGGCCATATTGGTATCAGTTCATGTTTTAAAGTGTCATGTTTACAGCAATTGAGTGATCATTTCACAGTGCAGCATCTCTAACCTTTTGCCCTCCAAACATCTGTCTGCTATTTCTGAATTTCTTCTTTCTCGGAGTCCTCATTAAAGTTATCTGTCTTAAAAGAGAAAAACTTTGGCATCCATCTCAAATCCTACATCTTCAAAAAGGTTTCCATCATTGCTCTGTAAATCTCTTCCCCCTCCAGACTCCCACAGTGAAAGAATTTGGTCATATAGCTGAACAATTGAGGAAGTACTGTCTTATGTAGATAGATTGCTGGATGTTAGGCTTATTTTCTTAACTAGACGGAAGTTTCTTGATGCTAAAGTATGCTTGTAGTCTTGCCAAATGCCTTGAGTCCCTAACAGCCTATTCCTACACATCTATTAGGTGCAGAGACAAAGTGTTTACTACATTAAATAAATTTAGGTAAGGGGACATGCCTTCTTCATTCATCTTGTCTGATAACCTCTGCGATCTTGAGGCACTCAGGAAGGTTTTTCTAGCCATGGTTATAAGACTATTATTGTTTTTCTGGTTTGTATTCTCTTGCCTTTTGGTTTCTTGCCTATCAGCACCTTTATCTGATGGCCTGCATTTGAAGGGTTTTGTTGATCCATATGCCAGGTGAGCTCCAGAAAAAGAGGAGGAATGAGAATAAATGTCAGCAAACACTTCAAACCACATACACTTGTTGTTTGACCTGGCTGTGAGTTTGGGAATGATTGGTAGACTATCTGCTTGTGCTATTTCCCAAAAAATAAATTATTTGAGGCATTATCTAATTTTATTATTATCCTTAGATACTTTTTATTAAGCTCCTTCTCTTTATATTTTATAAGGCACTTTATAAATATTATCTCAATTAATTCTCACAACACTGATAAAATATAGAATTATTTACCCTCATTTGCAGATGAGGAAACAGAGAGGTTAAATGACTTTTCTAGAGTCATTCATCAGCTAAATAGCAGTATTGAGATGTCAGTTCAGGTTTACTTGCATCTAATGCCAGCAAAGACTTAAATACAAATGTTAATAGCAGCTTGTTTGTAATATCCCAAACTTGCAAACCATCTGAATGTCCATTGTCAGATGAATAGACAAATAAAATGTGGCATATCTATGTAATGGAATACTACCAGCCATAAAAAGATAGGAACTACTGATGCATACAACATGAATCGACCTTCAAAACATTATCCTGAGTGAAACAAGTCACTAACAAAAGACAACTTGTCTTATGATTTCATTTATATGAAACTTCAAGAGAAGACAGGTCTAGAGATGAAAATCTGGTCAACAATCACTTAGGACTCGGGATGTCAGTGAGGATTTAGTACAAATGAAAAACGGAATTTATGGGAGATGGAATTCTTCATACTGCAGTATAATGGTTGTACAGCTGTTTAATTCAGTAAAAATTATCAAACAAAAGGAGAACTGTATGGTATTTTGAGTTTAATAAAGCTCTTAAAAATGAGTATACCCATTTTAAGTGTACAGATGAATATGCATCACTCCATTCATGACACTGGACATTTCTACCACTTTCATAAGTTCCCGTGTACTCCTTTCCAGTCAATCCCCATTTGTCCTGTCCTCTGGTTTAGGCAGACACTGATAGATGAGTTTGACTTATTCTACATTTTATATAAATGAATCATATAGTATTTTCTCTATTGTGTTTGGCTCTTATCACTCAGTATAATGTTTTTGAGAATTATCTGTATTGCTGCATATATCAGTAGTTCATTCCATACTCCATTGTATGAATATAAATTTGTTTATTCATTCACCTGTTGATGGAAATTTGTGCTGTTTTTAGTTTTTGACGATTATCAATAAAGATACTATGAACATTCATTTACAAGTCTAAGTAATACCTGTTGACTTTATTGATTTTCTCTATTAGTTGTTTCCTATTTCACTTACTTGTGCTGCTAATTTATTTTCTTTCTTCTAATTTTGAGCATAATTTGCTTTTTATTTTCTAGCTTCTTAAGAAGGAAAATTAGATCATTGATTTTATACCTTTATTTAGTTCTAATATATCCATTTAACTTCTTAATTTTCCTCTAAGCATGCTACGGATTTTTATATATTATATTTTCATTATACTTTAGTTTGAAATTCTGCCTAATTTCCTTTATGTGATCTTCTTTAATCCATAGGGTATATAAAAGAGTGTTGCTTTGTTACCAAATATCGGGCGATTTGTAGATAGCTTATTGTTATTGACTTTTAATTTAATACTGTTATGATCAGAAAACATGTATTACAGTTTATATTCTTTGAAACACATTTAAATTTGTGTTATGGCCCAACATGAAAAAGAATGTCTATTATACAGTTGTTGGATGTATTATTCTATAAATGTCATCTAGGTCAATTGGATGTTTCAGGTTGTCAAATCTTCTATAAACTTACTGATTATTTAACTATTCTATTAATTATTGAGAATGAAATATTAAAATCTCCAACTGTAATTGAGGGTTGATCTATTTCTCTGGTCATATGAATTTTTGCTGTATGTATTTTGAAACACAGTATTAGTCATCAACACATTTAGGACTATTATACCTTCTCAAGGAACTGATCCTTTCCTCATTATGCTATTTCCCTTTTTATTTATAATTAGTTCTCTTTATTTTGCCTTCTGTTGGCCTTACAGTTATGTAACCACTATAGCTTTTTGATGCATAGAATCTCTTCATTTTATATCCAACCAGTCTATATGTTTGATTTTAAAGTGTATGTCATGTAAACAGCATCTATTTATATCTTGCCTTTTAATATAGTATGTAAATCTCTACCTTTTACTTGAAGCATGTGTTACATTTACATTTAATGTAATTATTGATAAGGTTAGGTAGAGACTGTCATCCTGGTATTTGTTTTCTACTTGTTCCTCCCATTTCTTTTTTACTCTATTATGCCTTTTCTGCCATCTTTCAGTGAATTTAATTCCATTCTATTGGATACAAGTATTCCATTTTATCTTGTTTATTGACATTTTAGATATATTCCTTTGTGTTATTTTTAAATTATTGCTCTAGAGATTAAATATATATCTTTAATTTATTACAATGTACCTTCACATTATATGCCTTCCCAAACAATGTAAGAATGTTAACTTAGTATAATTCATATTACCACTGTACTATCCTTTATGTTCTTATGTAGTTTACTTTCATCATGATATAAATTCTTATTTTTGTTTTAAAGTCAATAATCTTTTACAGATATTAAAATACACACATATAAATATAAATAGTAAAGATAATAAAAACATTTTATATTTACTCTTTCTGATGTTTTTCATTCTTTCCTGTAGATTTGAATTCCATATGGCATAATCTCCCATTCAGCATGATAAACTTCTTCTAGTACTTCTTGTAGTGTAGGTATGTTGGAGTGAATTATTTCATCTTTTGTATATCTGGAAATGTCTTTATTTTGGCTTCAGTTTTGAAGAATGTGTTTGCAGAATATGAGCGTGTCAGCTGACAGGGCTTCTTTTTCTTTCAGAATTTTAAAGATGTCTTTATATTGTTTTATGCCCTATACTATTTCTGATGGGAAGTCAGCCATCATTGTACTCTGGTATGTAATATGCCTGTGTTTTTTTTCAACTTGGCTGCTATAATATAAAGATTTTCTTTTTAACTTTAGTGTATTTGAGTATGATGTATTTAGATTTGGTTTAATCTTTATCTTTTTTCTTGTGGCTTACAAACATTTTGAATATATGACTTGAAATCTTCTATCAGTTTTGGAAATTTTTAGCTCTTCAGCCATTATCTCTTCAAATATTTTTTCTTTTTTTAAAATTTCGTCTTAAAAAAAAATGGGATACACGTGCAGAACGTGCAGGTTTGTTACATAGGTATATGTGTGCCATGGTGGTTTGCTGGACCTATTGACCTGTCCTCTAAGTTCCCTCCCCTCTCCCCCCACCTCCCAACAGTCTCTGGTGTGTGTTGTTTCCCTCTCTGAGTCCATTTCTTCTCATTGTTCAACTCCTGCTTATGAGTGAGAACATGCAGCATTTGGTTTTCTGTTTCTGTGTTAGTTTGCTGAGGATGATGGCTTCCAGCTTCATCCATGTCCCTGCAAAAGACATGATCTCATTCCTTTTTGTGGCTGCATAGTATTCTGTGGTATATATGTACCACATTTTCTTTATTCAGTCTGCTATTGATGGGCATTTGGGAGTGTTCCATGTTTTTGCTATTGTGAATAGTGCTGTAACAAACATACGTGTGCATGTATCTTTATAGTAGAATGATTTATGTTCCTTTGGGTGTATAACCAGTAATGGGATTACTGGGTCAAATGGTACTTCTGGTTCTAGATCCTTGAGGAATCACCATACTGTCTTCCACTAATTTAGATTCCCACCAACAATGTAAAAGCATTCCTATTTCTCCACAGCCTTGCCAGCATCTATTGTTTCCTGGCTTTTTAATAATCACCATTCTGACCGGCGTGAGATGGTATCTCATTGTTGTTTTGATTTGCATTTCTCTGATGATCAGTGATGTTGAGCTTTTTTTCACGTGTTTGTTGGCTGCATACGTGTCTTCTTTTGAGAAATGTCTGTTCATATCCTTTGCCCACTTTTTGATGGGGTTGTTTTTTTCTTGTAAATTTGTTTGTAAATTCTGGATGTTAGACCTTTGTCAGATGGGTAGATATCAAAAATTTTATCCTATTCTGTAGGTTGCCTGTTTGCTCTGATGATAGTTTCTTTTGCTGTGCAGAAGCTCTTTAATTTAATTAGATCCCATTTGTCAATTTTGACTTTTGTTGCAATTGCTTTTGGCATTTTTGTCATGAAGTCTTTGCCCATGCCTATGTCCTGAATGGTATTGCCTAGGTTTTCTTCTAAGGTTTTTATGGTTTTGGGTTTTACATTTAAGTCTTTAATCCATCTTGAGTTAATTTCTGTATAAGGTATAAAGAAGGGGTTCAGTTTCAGTTGTCTGCATATGGCTAGCCAGTCTTCCCAGCACCATTTTCTGAATAGATCCTTTCCCTATTGCTTGTTTTTGTCGGGTTTTTCAAAGATCAGATGGTTGTAGATGTGTGGTGTTATTTCTGAGGTCTCTGTTTTGCTCCATTGGTCTATATGTCTCTTTTGGTACCAGTACTATGCTGTTTTGGTTACCGTAGCCTTGTAGTATAGTTTGAGTTCAGGTAGCGTGATGCCTCCAGCTTTGTTTGTTTTGCTTAGGATTGTCTTGGCTATACGGGGTCTTCTTTGATTCCATGTGAAATTTAAAATAGTTTTTTTCTAATTCTGTGAAAACTTTCAATGGTAGTTTGATGGGAATAGCATTGAATCTATAAATAACTTTGGGCAGTATGGCCATTTTCATGATATTGATCCTTCCTATCCATGAGGATGGAATGTTTTTCCATTTGTTTGTGTCCTCTGTTGTTTCATTGAGCAATGGTTTGTAGTCTCCTTGAAGAAGCTAACATCCTCGTTAGCTGTATTCCTAAGTATTTTATTCTCTTTGTAGTGATTGTGAATGTGAGTTCATTCATGATTTAGCTCTCTGCTTGTCTATTGTTGGTGTAAAGGAATGCTTGTGATTTTTGCACACTGATTCTGTATCCTAAGACTTTGCTGAAGTTGCTTATCAGTTTAGTTTTTCGGCTGAGATGATGAAGTTTTCTAAATATAAAATCATGTCATCTGCAAACAGAGACAATTTAACTTCCTCTCTTCCTATTTGAATATCCTTTATTTCTTTCTCTTGCCTGATTGCCCTGGCCAGAACTTCCAATACCACGTTGAATAGGATGGTGAGAGAAGGCATCCTTGTCTTGTACTGGTTTTCAAAGGGAATGCTTCTAGCCTTTGCCCATTCAATATGATATTGGCTGTTGGTCTGTCATAAATAATTCTTATTATTTTGAGAGATGTTCCATCACTACCTAGTTTATTGAGAGTTTTTAGCAAGAAGCGATGTTGAATTTTATCAAAGGCCTTTTCTTCATCTATTGAGATTATCATGTGGCTTTTGTCTTTGGTTCTGTTTATGTGATGGAATACATTTATTGATTTGCATATGTTGAACCAGCCTTGCATCCCAGGGATGAAGCTGACTTGATTGTGGTGGATAAGTTTTTTGATGTGCTGCTGGATTTTGATTCCCAGTAGTTTATTGAGGATTTTCAGATAGATGTTCATCAGGGATATTGACCTGAAATTTTCTTTTTTTATTGTGTTTCTTCCCAGTTTTGATATCAGGATGATGCTGGCTTCATAAAACGAGTGAGGGAGGCATCCCTCCTTTTCAATTGTTTATAATAGTTTCAGAAGGAATGGTACCAGCTCCTCTTTGTATTTCTGGTAGAATTCAGCTGTGAATCCGTCTGGTCCTGGGCTTTTTTTTGTTGGTAGGCTATTAATTACTGCCTCAATTTCAGAACTTATTATTGATCTATTCAGGGATTTGACTTCTTCCTGATTTAGGCTTGGGAGGGTGTATGTGTCCAGGAATGTATCAATTTTTTCTAGATTTTCTAGTTTATTTGCATAGAGGTGTTTACAGTATTCTGTGATGGTAATTTGTATTTCTGTGGAGTCAGTGGTGCAATCCTCTTTATCATTTTTTATTGTGTCTATTTGATTCTTCTCTTTTTTCTCTTTATTAGTCCAGCTAGCAGTCTATCTAGTTAATTAAAAAAAAAACAGCTCCTGGATTCATTGATTTTTTTTGGAGTGTTTTTCATGTCTCTATCTCCTTCAGTTCTTCTCTGATCTTAGTTATTTCTTGTCTTCTGCTAACTTTTGGATTAGTTTGCTCTTGCCCCTCTAGCTCTTTTAATTGTCATGTTAGGGTATTGATTTAAGACCTTTCCACCTTTCTGATGTGGGCATTTAGTGCTATAAATTTCCTTCTTAACACTGCTTTAGCTGTGTCCCAGAGATTCTGGTATGTTGTCTCTTCATTCTCATTGGTCTCAAAGAACTTCTTGATTTCTGCCTTAATTTCATTATTTACCCAGGAGTCACTCAGGAGCAGGTTGTTTAATTTCCATGTAATTGTGTGGTTTTGAGATGAGTTTCTTAGTCCTGAGTTCTAATTTGGTTGCACTGTGGTCTGAGAGACTGTTTTTTATGATTTCAGTTCTTTCGCATTTGCTGAGGAGTCTTTTACTTCCAGTTATGTGGTCGATTTTAGAATAAGTGCCATGTGGCACTGAGAAGAAGCCATATTTTGTTGATTTGGGGTAGAGAGTTCTGTAGATATCTACTAGGTCCACTTGATCCAGAGCTGAGTTCAAGTCCTGAATATTCTTGTTAATTTTTTGTCTTATTGATCTGTCTAACACTGACAGTGGAGTGTTTAGCTCTCCCACTATTATTTTGTGGGAGTCTAAGTCTCTTTGTAGGTCTCTAAGAACTTGTTTTATGAATCTGGGTGCTCCTATATTGGGTGCATATATATTTAAAATAGTTAGCTCTTCTTGTTGAATTGTTCCCTTTACCATTATGTAATGCCCTTGTCTTTTTTAATCTCTGTTGGTTTAAAGTCTGTTTTGTCAGAGACTGGATTGCAACCCCTGCTTTTTCTGCTTTCCATTTGCTTGGTAAATTCTCCTCCATCCCTTTATTTTGAGCCTATGTGTGTCTTTGCATGTGAGCTTGGTCTCCTGACTACAGCACACCAATGGGTCTTGACTCTCAAATTTGCCAGTCTGTGTCTTTTAATTGGGGAATTTAGCCCATTTACATTTAAGGTTAGTATTGTTATATGTTAATTTGATCCTGTCATCATGATGCTTTTTAGTTATTTTGCAACTAATTGATGCAGTTTCTCCATAGTGTCATTGGTCTTTATATTTTGGTGTGTTTTTGTAGTGGCTAGTACCAGTTTTTCCTTTCCATATTTAGGGCCTCTTTCAGGAGTTCTTGCAGGGCAGGCCTTGTAGTAATGAAATCCCTCTGCATTTGCTTGTCTGGAAAGGATTTTATTTCTCCTTTGCTTATGAAGCTTAATTTAGCTGGATATGAAATTCTGGGTTGAAATTTCTTTTCTTTAAGAATGTTGAATATAGGCCCCCAATCTCTTCTGGCTTGTAGAGTTTCTGCTGAAAGGTACCCTGTTAATCTGACAGGCTTCCCTCTGTAGGTGACCTGGCCTTTCTCTCTGGCTGCCCTTAACAGTTTTTCCTTCATTACGACCTTGGAGAATCTGATGATTATGTCTCTTGAGGTTAAACTTCATGTGGAGTATCTTAATGGTGTTCTCTGTATTTCCTGAATTTGCATGTTGGCCTGTCTTGCTAGGTTGGGGAAGTTCTGAATAATATCCTGGAGTATGTTTTCCAGCTTGTTTCCATTCTCCCTGTCTCTTCTGGTACTCCAGTCAATCGTAGGTTCGGTCTTTCTATGAAGTCCCATATATCTTGGAGGCTTTGTCCATTTATTTTCATATTTTCTCTAGTCTTGTCTGCATGCCTTATTTCAGCAAGGTGGTCTTCAAACTCTGATATCCTTTCTTCTGCTTGGTGGATTCAGCTATTGATACTCGTATATGCTTCACGAAGTTCTCATGCTCTGTTTTTCAGCTCCATCCGGTCGTTTATATTCCTCTCTAAACTGATTATTCTATTTGTCAATTCTTCCTACCTTTTATCAAGGTTCCTAGCTTATTTGCATTGGGTTAGAACATGCTCCATTAGCTCAGCGTAGTTTTTTATTACCCATCTTCTGAAGCCTACTTCTGTCAATTCGTCCATCTGATCCTCCGTCCAGTTCTGTGCCCTTGATGGAGAGATGTTGTGAGCGCTTGAAGGAGAAGAGGCACTCTGGCCTTTTGGGTTTTCAGCATTTTTTCATTGATTGTTTCTCATTCATGAGTTTGTCTAGTTTTGGTCTTTGAGGCTGCTGACCCTTGGATGGGGTTTCTATGGGGGCTTTTTTGTTGTTGTTGTTGATGCTGTTGTTGTTGCTTTCTGCTTATTTGTTTTTCTTTCAAAGGGCAGGTCCCTCTTCTGTAGGGCTGCTGCGTTTGCTGGGGGTTCACTTCAGGCCCTATTCATCTGATTATCTCCCATGCCTGGAGATGTCACTTCAGGAGGCTGGAGAGCAGCAAAGATGAGTGCCTGCTCCTTCTTCTGGGACCTCTGACCTCGAGGGGCACCAGCCTGATGCCAGTAGGATTGCTCCTGTATAGGGTGTCTGACAACCCCTGTTGGAGGGTCTCACTCAGTTGGGTGGCACCGGGAATAGGGCCTGTTTAACAAAGTACTTTGTCCTTTGGTGGAGGGGGTGTGCCTCGCTGGGGTGAAACCCATTCTTCTGGGCTGCCTGGATTCCTCAGAACCACCAGGAGGAGAGGCTAAGTCTGCTGGTCCACAGATACTGCAGCTGCCCCTCCCCCTAGGGGCTCAGGCCCAGGGAGATCCGAATTCTGTCCCTGAGCCTCTGGCTGGGAGTTATTGGAGATCCTGCAGGGAAGTCTCACCCCAGTGAGGAAGGATGGGTCAGGGTCAGGCCTGAAGAGGCACTCTGGCCACAGACTGCCACAGCCAGTGTGTTGGGCTGTGGGGGACAAGTCTTGGAACTAAGCCGTCTAGCCTCCCTGGCTCCAGCAGGGGAAAAGCACAGCCTGGAGCTATAGACATGGGTGCCGCCCTTCCCCCGCCCATGAAGCTTAGTGTGTTAGGCAGTGGCGAGTCCCAGTGCTGGCTACTGCCCCTCCCCCAAGGAGCTCAAAGGGCTTAGACGGCAGGCAGCGGGCAGCGGCAGCTGCAGTGCTGGTCGCCCCTCCCCGCAGGAGTTCCGTAGGCTTAAGCAGATTCCAGCTGAGAGGCTGTTGAGAATCTGTGTGTTCCAGGGTTGTGATGCTAGGCCCCCGTGGTGTGGGTTCGCGAATGGGATCTTGCAGTCCGTGAGTTGTGCAGCTCCGTGGAGGAAGCACAGTTTCCCTGGCTGGGTAGTGCACTCACTCATTGCCTCCCTTGGTTGGGGGGAGGGGGCTCCCCTGCCCCGTGTGGCTCTCAGGTGGGCCGCTGCACCACACTGTTCTTCTTTCTCTCCGTAGGTCATGCCAGCCTCCTAGTCAGTTCTGATGAGAGAACCTGGGTGCCTTGGTTGCCGGTGAAGGATTCACACGCTTATTATGGTTTTTTTCGATGGGAGCCTCCAAAGGCCCCACTGTTACTAGTTGGCCATCTTGGCCCCACCCCTCCAAATATTTTTTTTCTACCCCCATTCTCTCTCTCATCAGGTTTTGGAATCTCAATAACAAATGTATTAGATCATTTGATATTGTTCCTCAGTTTTAATTTGCTTTCTTTTTTTTTTTCTTCTCTGTGTTTCAGTTTGGTTGACTTTCACTAAACTTTCTTAAATGTTGCTGACGATTTCCTGTGATTTTCCTGTGGCTGTAAAACCTTTTGAATAAATTAGTCTTTTGTGGTATCATGTTTTTTATTCCTAGCATTTCTACTTTGTTTCTTTGTATAGTTTTCATCTCTCTGCAAATATATCTCCTCTGTGAATACATGCTATCTTTTCCACTAGATTCTTGGACATATGTTTATAGTTATTTTAAAGTTCCTGTCTTAAAATTCCAATATTTCCTATCTTCACCCTGGCTCACATGGTTTTGCTTCTTTGGTAGTATTATTTTAAAAATTATATGCAGACGTTGTCTATTAAAAACTTGTAGAGACTGAACTAAATAATACTGCTCTCAGAAAAAAAGTGCCTCTTTCCCTGTAAGGCCACTATTTGAGGAAGCTTATTCTATCACTGATGTAGTTTATGTGGGTTTATAATTTAATTAGTTTAATAGAGCAGTAGTTAGATTCTATTTACCACTAGCTTTAAATATTTTGAGAGCATCATAAAGAATTTCATTTCAGCAGGACCTGGAATATCTGGTGACTAAGTTGCTCAATTTTTAGCTTTCCAAAGTGTGAGAATTATTTCTTTGCCTAACAGCCCATGGCATACAGCTTCTTCAGTTAATAGTAAGTTCCTTTTTTGGGGGGTGTCACTCTATTACCCAGGCTGGAGTGCAGTGGTGCAATTATAGCTCACTGCGGCCTCGAACTCCTGGGCTCAAGTGATCCTCCCACCTCAGCCTCCTGAGTTGCTAGGACTACAGGTGCACACCACCATGCTTAGTTCTCTGAGAATTTCTTCTGCTCTTCAATTCTACCAGGGTGAAGACTAGGATGAGGGAAGCAAGGCAGCTAGGGCACAAAACTCCCAGGGTTGTGTAAGTGTGGTGTTGGGGTGGCAGATTTAATGTGTTAGACTGAGGGGGTGAAGATAACTAACAGACTTCTTAGTTGGTTGATTGAAACCTAGGCCTAAATACGTACAATACTAAATAAGTTTTGAATGCCAGACATGTCCTGATGCAGAGGAAGATATCCAAAGTCTTAGAACTGGAATGCTAGAGTGGGCTTATCATGTAATATCTGCTCATACGCTTTCTCTTTATGTCCTCTGCAGCATTATAAGCACACACTTTTTACTACACTGTGAAAAAAGAATTGCTAGGGGTGTCCAGCTTCCTTAAAGAAATTTGTCATTGTCATTCTCTAAAGGCCATTAATAACAGTGGGAACTGCTGTCATTAAACTAGGCTCCCTGAATTCAGCAGGGATGATAAAACTTCAGTGTGGCAGATACTTCATGGTGGCACTGAATTGCCAAACACTGAGTGAGCATGGTTACTATAATGAGCAGTAGAGCCAAAGTTGTTATAAGAATAATATGACCTGCAGAGATCTTTGATGTTGGCTTGTTGTTATTACAATGTTCCTATAAATGAAATAGATGGGCAACCTACTAAGGTCTTACTTGAGTTGTTTAAACAGAGAAACTCTAAGCCTGGTGAATAGAAGTCTAATCACCACACTAAGTATCATGACCCTTCATCAACTTCCCAGACTTGAGCCGGTTCACAGACTGAGAATACTTTGAATGAGAGGGAGGTCAGGTTTCCTTGAAGAAAAACCATGCTATACAACCAACGATCTATACTATCAATCTTATTTGCCATTCATACAGCAACCAGTGGATGTTTTCCAAGGTGATTGTGAATTGGGGAAGGGGGGACTAATCGGGCTTGCTCTGAATTGATACCACAAATGCCATTGTACAACTATAGTCAGAGCAGAGGATCGGGAAGGCCATGTGATCAGCGGAGTTTTGGCCCATCTCACAGTGGGTCTAGTGGGTCCCTAAACTCAGTTTTTTTAGGTACCCAGTCCTAGAAGGAATAATTGGAATAGAAATCCTAGAAACTTGGAGAATATTCACTTTGGTTACTTAGTCCATGGAATAACAGCTATTGTGGAAGCAATGGCCAAGTGTAAGCCACTGAAATTGTCTATCTGCTGAAAAGGTAAGCCAAAAGCAAGACCACATTTCTGGATGGCAGAAATGAGGGATACCATCAAGGGACTTGAAATATGTAGGCATGATGATTTCTACCATATCTCCATTCAACAATGCAGAAGATACATACACCTTGGAGAATGACCATGGATTACTGTAAAGTTAATCAAGTGGAGAAGATGGCTTTTCCTGTGGACATCAGTGAGTCTTTTTCATCAGCCACTGCCATTCTTGCCCAATGGACTCACAAAGTTGCCATGGTGACATGGAGGAAGGTTATGCATGGGCTTAGTAACATGGCCGCTCTTGAAGTCCAACCTGGCTCCTGTCACTAAAGAGTACCCAATCTGCCAACAACCTGCTAAGCCTGTGCTATGACAATATAGCATCATTCCCCAAGGGCATCAGCTAGCCACCTGGTGGCAGGTTGTTGACATTGGAGTACATCCATCATGGAAGGAGCAGAGCTGTATTCTCACTGGAATGGATACTTACTGCGAATACAGATTTGCCTTCCCTACCTACAATATTTCTACCAAAACCATCACCTACTGACTTGTGAATGCCTTATTCACTGTCTTAACATTCAATACAGCCTAGTGTCCAAGGATCTTGTTCTATAGCAAATGCAATATGGCCATGGGCACATGCTCATGGGCTGACCACATCTTTCAATCACCCATAAAGTGACTGGCCTGACAGAATAGTGGAATGGCTTTTGAAGCTCAGATATAGTGGCTGCTGGTAGCAAAACCTTGCAGGTCTGGGACAGTGTCCGCTAGGAGGTAGTATACGCTCTAAGCCAGCAAGCAATATATGGTTTCTTCCATAGACAGGATTCATGGGACCTTGATGAGGGGTGGCCATAGCAGGGACTCCTCTCATTATTATGCCTCGTTACCTGCTAGAAACATTTTTGCATCCCTCCCCACATCTGTGTGAACTGCTGCTCTAGAGGTTTTACTCTCCAGAGGAAGAATGCTTACACCATTGGGCACAGCAATGGTTCTCTGAAAATGGAAGCTGAAACGGACACCTGGCCATTTTGGAATCTTCAAGACAGTGAATCAATAGGAAGAGAAAGGGATTTTTCTACTGACTGGGGTGATTGAACCTAACTACCAGGGTAAAATGGGGTTGCTATGATACATGACGGGAAGGCAGAATATGTCCAGAATGTAAGAAATCCCCTCTGGAACCTCTCAATACTCCCCTGTCCTATGACTACATTAAACAGAAAATAACAACCCAATATAGGATTGCTTATGGTCAAGACTCTTCAGGAATGAAGGTTTGAGTTACCCCATCAGGCAAGGAATCACAACCCGCCAACACATCTGCTGAGCACAAATGCAATGTAGAATAGGTACTGCAAGAAAATAGTTATAAATACCAGCAATGACCACCTGACCAGATGCAAACACAGACATGAGGACTATAGTAGTTTTGAGTAGTTCTTTCTTATTTTGATATAAAGTATTTGTGTATATATAAACCAATTTTTTTCTCTTGTCTTTTCCAAACCTCCTACCATCTGACATACATAAGATATGTTAATAGTACTTAAACTTCTATGTCAGTATTTAAATTATAGGATATTAAATAGGCAATGTGACTCAGATAGAAGAATGAAATCACTAAAGATGGGAGGGAGGATAATGGCATCCCCGTGATGTGCACATTCTAATACCTGGAACTTGTGAATATAGTAGGTTACATGGTAAAGGAGAATTGAAGTGGAAGATGGAATCAAGATTGATAATCAGCTGACCTTAAAATAGAGAGATTGTCTTGGATTATCCAGGTGGCCCAATGTAATTGTAAGGAAGCTTAAAAGTTAGAAGGGGGTGGTACCAGAGAGGTCGCAGCATAAGAAGGACTCGCCATTCTATATTGCAGGCTTTGAAGTAGAGAAAGGAAGCTATAAGACAAAAATGTAGGCAGCATCTAGAAATTGGGAGAGGTAAGGAAATAAATTCTTCCTTAGGGCCTGCAGAAGAAACACAGCCCCGTTGACACCTTGATTTTAGCATTTTGGACCTCTGACCTCCAGAATTATAAGATAGTACATTTGCATTGTTTTAAGCCAAGAAGTTTACGATAATTTGTTAAAGCAGCAATAGGAACTAGTACAGAAGGTTAGCACGTTTTGAGTTGCAGGAGAGGCACCCGGTGCTGCAGCAGCTGGTGTACTTTATCACTTGGCTGTTCTCACCTGATTGTTGTGAGGCAGCAGCTGGGTCACAGTTTCTCCAGCTCCCATTGGACCCTCCTTCAGCTTCTCCAAGTGAAGAACACCCTCCTGGCTCAGATGGATGTTGAGCTCTGTGACAAAGGGTACCACCTTCTCCTACAAGACACCTGCACCATCACAATGGGAGGGTTGGATACACTGAGAGATAAGGGTGGGCCCAGTCTATTCCATGGATTTCAGCTCATCATGGGTTCCAGTTTTTCCTTTTTCTCCCCTACTTCATACCCATTTTCCCTTCCTGACACCTGTCCTTCTGACTTCAGGCTCAGGCATCAGATACAAAGCTGTTAACAATGACCTAAGGTGAAATTCATACAATAAATCCTGATTATATGTACCACTCCTAGTGTTTTTTTTTCCTCTCCTTGAACTCTGATTGATGCAGTTATGCATTTAAGCTACTTTCATCACTGTTGTTAAGGATTTTCCAGCATTTTTATGTGTTTAGAGCAGGAATTAGATCCTTCTATGTCAGCTTATTCTGCCGTGTTGAATATAAGTCTTCTAAGTTTGCTTTATATTGTTAAATTTATAATTTCCCTACCTCCTCCCAACATGCCCTCTGTTATTTAGTGGAGAAGCTTATACTTGGGCACGGATTCATCTATCTTTGAATTTACCAGTCTCACTTTGTCTCCACGAATTCTGAATAAAAGCAGCATGAGAGTAAAACACAAGTAAAACTACTTGTGTCTCATGTTTTGTTTTTTTTTTTTCCAGATCCTGTCAGACATGGGAAAAATCTGTTTACAACCACAGAAATTTGGCTCCAGCTCCCACCTGTTATTGTTCTGGAGGCTCCATTCCTCTCAGTCCTGCTGTTCGCTCCTCGGTGACAGGTTCTCGGCCTCCTTAAATGGAACCAATTGAGCATCAGCTTTACTCTGCTGCAGCATTTATCAATGCCCCATAGGAAGATGGAAGGCATTTGTAGGCTTAGATCCAGGACACACTGAACTCCTTTGTCCCATAATTTTCTTATCACTTCATACCCTTTATTACTATTGCCTTTGGACTGACCTTGACCACTAGCCCTCCCATTCAAAACAGGAGTCTTCTCAGACTTGAAGCTTAGCTCCCTTCAGTGCACATGTCTTCTTACTCTTCTCTACCCCAGATGAGCATAGATGGAAGAAATGAGCAATTTTTACCTCCCCTTCTCTGATCAAGAATCCTAATCATAATATCTTGGTGTCCAAGTCCCAAATTCACTGCATGAAAATAGGACTAAATTCCCTGAAGCAGGTAAACAAATTGGTCACCACCATGACTCTTTTTTTGCTTTTGTTTTTTTAGAGATGGAGTCTCACTCTGTCACCCAGGCTGGAGTGCCATGGCGCGATATCACCTAACTGCAACCTGCACCTCCTGGGTTCAAGTGATTCTCCTGGTTCAGCCTCCTGAGAAGCTGGGATTACAGGCACAGGCCATCACCTTGGGCTAATTTTTTTGTATTTTTAGTACAGGCAGGGTTTCATCATGTTGGTCAGGCTGGTCTCGAACTCCTGACCTCAAGTGATCTGTCCTCCTCAGCCTCCCAAAGTACTGGGTTTACAGGTGTGAGCCACTGCACCCGGCCCATCATGACTCTTGATAGCTGCTTAAAGTATAATTTATCTGTAGTTGTCTTCATCTGTTTACATTGCTATAAAGGTAATTTATTTTTTAAAAAAGAGGTTTATTTGGCTCACAGTTCTGCAGGCTGTAGAAGAAGCATCTGCTTCTGGTGAGGGCTTCAGACCACTTCTATTTGTGGCTGCAGGTGGACGGAAGCAGGCATTATATGGGAAGAGGAAGCAAGGGGAAGGAGGTGCCAGGCTCTTTTCAACAATCAGTTCTTGTGGGAACTAACAGAGCAAGAACTCACTTATCACCATGAAGATGGCACCAAGCCATTCATGAGGGATCTGGCCCCATGGCCCACACACTTCCCATTAGGCCCCACCTCCAACACTGAGGAATCAAGTTTCAACAAGAGATTTGGAGGGGACAAATATCCAAACTATATCAGTAGTGTTAAGCAAACGCCAGATTGAGAGAGGTATAAATGCATTTCTACATATAAACTGGCCAACACATGGTAACCAAGGCAATTTCTGAATGCTGATCTAAAAGGACAAATGTTTCCTGATGGTCTGTGTGCTTGGTCCTGCAGGGTCTCTTGCCTCCCTCACAGGACAGGAGACTATGGACCAAGGGTCACCTGGGCCTCCAGACTACATGAATCTCTACTACCTTTGCCTTTTTGATTATGCACCAAAAATTTGCTTGGGAGAGTTTAGACACATTAGACAAATACCACATTAGGAGTAAAGTGGCATATTGTTCAAGAAAACATCTGGTATGGTTTTATCATTGCTACTAACACATTGTATTACATTGGGCAAGCCATTTTATCTTCCTTGGCCTCTGTTTCCTCACTTGTGAAGTGAAGTAATTAGACTTCATACTTTAAAACACTTTCTAACACTAACAGTCTGCTATTATCTAAATAATGGGAAAAACATGTCAGGGTAGGGATAACAAGTTCTTAAACTATAGTGCCTTATGGGGAAGACTGGCTCTGGGCAATCCTAATTGTGATATACTGATATAGGAACTCACAAAGAACAAAACTTGAAGATAGAATCACAGCAGCTCTGGTCTACAGAAGGAAAGATAAATCTGGATATATTCAGACACAAATCAATCAACTAAATAAAGTAGCAAAAGAGAAAGAGAGGAATTCAGCTTGCACTTACATATTTAACCAATATTTATAGTTTTAGCCACTGTGCTAGTCACGAGGGAACGAATCGTGAGCAAAACAGCCATGGCCCTTACTCCGGTGAGCTTACGTTCCAGCAGAGGAGAAAGACATTGATTGAATAATCACACCAGTGGATAATTACAAGCTGTGATAAATGCTATGAAGGAAAAGCACAGAGGCAAAGTAAGGGGTCAGGGCAAGCTTTCCCAAAAGTGTCATTTGAACTGGGATCTGAATAAGTTAACTGGAGGCTTATGCATTGTATGATAAACATTGCTAGAGATCAGGATTTGTGGGGGTAGTTTTAGACAGGCTGGGGTTAAGATGTTTTTGAGATACCCGAGTGGAGATGGAGGCAGTTGGATACATGGGCCAGAGGTGCGGAGGAGAGAATGGGACTGGATGTATATATTGGGAGCTGCAGTGTCTACTCAGCAACTGAAGCCAAGGGTGAGGATGAGATCACTGAGGAATAAAATGCAGTGGGAGGAGAAAGAAGGCTAGGAGTATACCTTGAGGAACTATCATATTCAAAAGTAAAGAAAAAGGAGGTTAAGAATGGTGACCAGGGAGATAGGAAATTGGGAGAGGGAGGTTTGTGGAAGACAAGGTTGATGGTGTTGAACACTGCCGAGGCCAGAGAAGAGAAGAGAACTGGGCCCATTGGGTTCAATGACAGGAAGGTCATTGGTGGTCCCAGTGAGATCTGTTCAAGTGGAGAGAGTCATGGAGTAAATGAGAGGCGAATAAATAGAGGCAGAGAGTTTATGTAATTCTTTTAAGTAATCTGATAACAAATATTTAAATGTTAGGTTTAAAGATATGCAGAAAGGAAGCCTGAGATCGGGAGTGTGCCAATTCCTTCTGGTTGTGCATTCATTGCCCACTTTCAGCAGTTCTGGGCATGTCCCTGACCTACTGACTTGGTCATTCATCCACCCATTCGCTTATTCATTCAGTAAGTAACACGAATAAAAAACCATCTCTGCCTTTGAGGAGCTTACCATCTATTGGAGTTCAGGGTTTGCTTAAAATACTTCATTTGAGTATCTGCTCTGTGGGAAGCACTTTGCAGAGATGGACACAGAGATGAATAGGACATGCCTGCTTCCTGCCTTCAAGAGTAAAGTCTATTGGGACAATACAGGAATCAGCAGCAAATGCAAAATAGCATTTCAAGACTGTTTTGTCCGTGCCCAGCTGTCTATGACAGTAATGTTGATTACAAGTTAAGCTAAACGGAGCTATGAACTAAAGAAAGGCAAGCCTAATGTGATGTTCCTCCTTGTTCTTTCTGGAGAGAAATTATAGAAGAGTGTTGCATACTCAGGGTGAATAGGACCTAGAGGCTGTGTTAGTTATCTATTGCTGTACAACAAATTACCGCAAACTTAGTGTTTTAAAATATGAAACATGTATCGCAGTCAAGGATCCAGGCAGAGCTTACTTGGCTCCTCCACTTTGTGTCCTTCACACGTTGCAAGGAAGGTGTCATCCTGGGCTGTGGTCTCTTCTGAAGGCTCCACTGGAAAGGGTTGCTTCCAAGCTTATGTGCTTGTTGGA
Organism: Homo sapiens; assembly: GCF_000001405.40. Taxonomy (NCBI): domain Eukaryota; kingdom Metazoa; phylum Chordata; class Mammalia; order Primates; family Hominidae; genus Homo; species Homo sapiens. The sequence goes on from NC_000015.10 coordinate 61,374,306, forward strand.
AGAATTCAGCTCCTTTGGGACTACTGGACTGACCACATCAGTTCCTTGTTGGCTGTTAGCCAGAGACTTCCCTCAGTTTCTTCCTACATGGGCCTCTTACAACACGGCAAATTGCTTCAGCAAGGCCTGCAAGCCTATCCACCACAGGTATCCAAAGCCACCATGAATTGCTAGGTAAGTTCTGACTCTTGATTTTCATTCAAGGTACCCAGATGATTTGTAATTTGTTTTCTAAGCCTTGTTGACTCTCTTAGACAGCTGGGCTCTGACACCTTCATTGCAAGAAACTCCCAATTCCAGTATGCAGCAGGGACTGGACCCTGTCTCGTCTTGATGAATTTCTCTGACTCATGACACTGGCACTGACCAGAAAAAACAGGACTAATTGCCGTCTTTGTGCCATTTCCATCCCTTTGGTTCATAGCCCTAAGCTAGATCACATCACCTTCAAGCTCTGGAATCTTGACTCTTCCTTGGGGATACGACACTTAATTTCTCCCGGTCAAGCCATATGAGTGTTAGGAGACCTGCTAAGCCCACACTCTGGCCAGGAAACTCCTGTCATAAATCTCATATTTTCAAAACAGTTTTATTGAGATACAATTAACACATCATAAAATTTATCATTTAAAGTGTATGATTCGGTGGCTTTTAGTATATTCACAGAGTTGAGCAACCATCACCACAATCAATATTAGAATTGACCTCTTACCCAAAAAGAAACCTTGTATTCATTAACAGTCACTCCCCATTTCCCCCAAACCCTAGACAATCATTAATCTACTTTCTGTCTCCGTAGATTTTCATATTCTGGACATTTCAAATAACTGGGATCAAATAATATGTGGCCTTTTCTATCTGGCTTTTTTCACTTAATGTTTTCAAGGTCCATCCATGCTGTACTTCCATCAGTACTTCATTCCTTTTTATTGGAAAATAATATTCGATACATATTATCAACCATACATATCACCAATGTTCATAAAGAATATCGATGTACAAGGCATTGTATGGATATACCACATTTTATTTAACCATTCATTTGGATGGTTTCTACTTTTTGGCTATCATGAATAGTAGTTCTAGGAACATTTGTATATGAGTTTTTTTTGGGTGGACATATGTTTTCATTTCTCTTGGGTACATACCTAGGAGTGGATGGTTGGGTCACATGGTAACCTCATGTTTAGCAATTTGAGGAACTGCCGAACTGTTTTCCAAAGCAACTGCACCATTTCGTATTTCCAGCAGCAATGTATTAGGGTTCCAAATATCTCCACATCTTTATCAACACTTGTTATTAATTATCTTTTTGATTATAGACATACCAGTGGGTGTAAGGTGGTGTCTCACTGTGGTTTTGACTTGCATTTCGCCGATGGCTAAATGATGCTGAGCATCTTTTTATGTACTTATTAACTATTGGTGTATCTGCTTTAGAGAAATATCTGCTCAAACTCATTGCTTGGCCTCATATGGTACCTGGCCCTTTCTGATTCTCCTCTGGCCCCTCTCCATGGGATAGGAATCCAGGATCCAACGTGACATGCCAACCTAGAGCCCATGCCCCCTCTGGGAGATGATGCTTTGCGTACTGGGGAAACTGGAATTCCCTGTCCAAATGGGATCCTTCAGGTCTCTTAAGTCTGTGGACCTGAAGGCAGACCATACTGCCAATCTACACACCCCAAGTCCTAAAGGGTGGCCACCCAGGGGGAAACTGTTTGTGGAGAGTATGGTGGAGCATGAACATGTGGGCAGGGGTGTGAGTGTGGCCCCTTATGGTGTAGGCAGAAGCAGGGTGGGAAGAAAAGGTGGAGGCTGGCCTGGGCCTAGAGATGAGCTCTCCCTGTGCTGACAAGTTCTAGAGCAGAACTCCTGGGAATGTGAGAACTCTAACTTCACGCCTAGTCTTCCAGGTCATTATGAAGACAATAATTTTCAAAATTGGAAGACAGAACTTATTTAACAGTTTGCAGGCATGATTTATAACTTTTAAAACATTGGACATACATTATGCGGACTTCCATGTGTTCTTTTGCTCTGACCTACAAATAGAATAGTAGGGTCAGGGATGAAATTGTCCCCATTGCATGCGCTTCCTTTGCTGGGAACTCCATAGCTGTGGGTTGGAGCTTGGTCAGGACACCAAATACAAAGGGCAAATGGAAGTTAAGTGATATGCATGAGCCCAGAGAGCTTAGCAGCTAAGGGCAGAGGCTCCAGAGCAAGGCTGCCTAGATTTTGAGTCCCATCTCTACCGCATACTGGCTCTCTGAACTGGACTAAGTTCTTAACAATTCTCTAGGTTTGTCTCTGCAAAATGAGAATAATTATACTATCTGCCTCAAAGGAGTTCTGTGAATTTTAAATGCGTTACTACTTTCAGAGTATTCAGAATACTGCCTGACCTGGAGGTAGCATTCAGTGCTGTCATTATTGAGGGATGCTGTGGGCACCAGAGAAGGCAGAAGGCAGACTTTCTCAGATCTAGTTGTCTCTTCTTCAGTGGAAACCCACTAAGATCATCCCTAAATCCCAAAAGACTGCACGGAAAGGGACAAATTCCCAGGGGTAAATTTCTTTCTGTTTCCATGGCCTTTTAAGACAGCAACCCTCCCCAGCAAATGCCAAGAAGCCCTGGTTTCATACTCCAACATTCTCTAGCATTTGCATGAGGGCACTCTGAGAATAGCTTATGCTTGAGAAGGGGACTTGGGGTGGGGGGGCTAAAAATGCTAAAATTTGACTAAGTCTCCAAATGAAAAATACAGCTTTAGGGAAAACCAGAGACATCTCCTTCTTTTTCTTTCTGTCTCAAAATGCATTGTGATGAATAATGCCCCAGGGCTGGTGTATGCAAACTTCCACTGTGCTCATGGAGATAATTGAATCCCCTATAATGATGGGCCAAAAAAAAAAAAAAAAAACTAGACAGAGAAGGCTGTGGATCGGCCCAGTTTGGCTTTTAGCTCACAGAACCTACAATTATTCTGCAGTGATTTTTATTTACCTATTTAGTGCTTCCACTAGGCCGGGAAGGAGAGAGAGAGCCGGAGAGGGAGAATCTAGTCATAATTCAGCCCTCATGGTTAGGCAGCAAGCTCGAAATTGAAAAAGTTATTCAAATGGATAATGAAATGGGGCTGAGTTTCTAATGTCCTCCTCCTTGGGAAAATGGCATAAATTGTGGGGCTTTGCAAATGGCTTACATGCTGTTTGTGATGAGATTATTTAAGAGTCAGCTTGGCCAGGTGTGGTGGCTCATGCCTGTAATCCCAGGACTTTGGGAAGCTGAGGCTGGTGGATCACCTGAGGCCAGGAGTTCAAGACCAGCCTGGTCCAACATGGTGAAACCCTGTCTCTACTAAAAATACAAAAATTAGCCAGGCGTGGTGGTGGGCACCTGTAATCCCAGCTACTCGAGAGGCTGAGGCAGGAGAATTGCTTGAACCCAGGAGCTGGAGGTTGCAGTGAGCTGAGATCCCACCACTGCACTCCAGCCTGGGTGACAGAGCAAGACTCTGTCTCAAAAAACAAAACAAAACAAAACAAAACAAAAAAGAGTCAGCTCAGTGATGCTGCTGTATGAGGGCATTATCCCAGGGTGACCTTTGCACCTGCATCCAAAGGAAGAGTGGAGTCTCTGAATTTGGTCTTCAGAGGGTCATTGTCAGCCAGTGAGTGGAACCAGGGACTCTTCTGGGCTGCTGAGATCCTCACTGGTGAAACTATGGGTAAGAATTGTCTTTCAAGGCTGTGGCCCCAGATGAAATGTTTGAAACATAGTCAGACAATCAGAGTACGTTCCTCAGTGCTGCTTAGTCCAGAGGAGAGGTTGATAATATAAAACACCTGTCAAAAACAGCATGCGGCCAATCCTAGAGGCTGGTGGAGCTGTGGCCACGACCACACCTCTCCCCCCATCTATGGTGAGGGTCAGCCCCAAATAGTTTCCTCCGTCTTAAGAATAGGCAACAAGCACATGGTGATCACTTCTGTTACATGGCCCATCTGCAATCCCCAATGAAATTCAACGTTAGTTTTGAATGTAATAACAAGCACTTTTATGTACAACAGCTCAGGGAAATAAGTAATCTACTTTATTGTCACTTTATAGATCTGGAGTAACTAAAGGGCAGGAAGTAAAGTGATTTGCTCAAGCTCATATGGTTAGTGAGGCCTTGGAGCCAAGGTATAAATCTGCGGCTCCATAACTTTTCACCATATTTAAGCCCATATCCCTTTCATAATTGGAATTTTGACACTCAGATTTTGAAATTTGACGTTTCATGATCCAGAGCAGCACTGTCCAACAGAACTTTCTGTAGAGATGGAAATGTTCTATAATCTGTGTTGTCCAATATGGTAGCCCCTAGCTACATGTAGCTTTTGAGCACTTGAGAAGTGGCTAATGTGATTGAAGAACTGAATTTCAAATTTTATTACAGTGAATTTAAATTTAAAAATCACATGTTGCTAGTAAGTTACCTGCCATATTAGGCAACAGAAAACTATTCACCTATCCAAAGGAAATTTGATCCTACTCTAGACAAACACAGTGGTTTAGAGCATGCACTTCAGGGTCAGATTATTTCACACAATATCCAGTCAAATGAGAAATTAATGAGAAAGGAGTGGGGAGCTTTGAAGAAATATAATGAAATGGCTTAGAAATCAGAAAATTGAGGTCTAAGTGTCTTATAATATATATATCATTGTTACTGCATTAATATATGACTGAAAAAAGAAAAAATATAAAAAAGTAACTGGAAAGAAGAGGTAATCATTTGTTTAATTTTTCCCTAGCAGTATCTTCCTCATGTTGAACTATGGAGAAATTGTGAAGTTTGGCAGCAAGAGGCACAGTCCCACTTGCAGAGAAAGGTGATCTGGCAGGCAGGGGATGCTCACTAGGGAGGTCACAGCCACAGCTTTGAATGAAATCAGGCAACTTGGACTTGAGGCTGAATGTCACACTGGAGACACAGACATATGATAGGTATCCAGTAAGCCCCGGGATCTCAATTCCAAGTGGAACAGTGAAAGAAAAGAGTCAAAATTGTGTCTTTTTGAAGCAATTAAAGAGAATACAGGGTAAGAATCCAGGAGCCTGATATGTAAGACTTAGAAAGTTCTAGATTCTACCAGAAGTTTGCTGCCAGGATGTAGAGAAAGAAAGACAGGATCTATGGATGGCCATTGTTGCAGCGAAGAGTTCTGAGATGCTACAGTGTAGTAGCAGTTGTTGCTGTTTAGAGACAGGCGTCTAGGCTGGAGGGCAGTGGCACAATCACAGCTCACTTCAGCCTTGAACACCTGGGCTTAAGGCTGTAATTACTGAGGTATAAACCTCACATGTGGGAGCAGCACAATCAAACACCAAACAAAGGTCAGGATGCATTTGAATGCAAGTCAAAGAATCCCCAGGTAGTGTGTTTTAAACAATAAGGACATTTATTATTTCACACAGTGAGAATTCCAGAGGTAGACAGAGTGATTTCAGAGTTTGATTACTTTTATTGCGTTGTATTCTCATGACAATTTCATTAGCGAAGTTCGTTTTGTAGCCATGAAGAATTTAAAGCTTTGGGAGGTTAAATTACTTGTCCAAGGTCACACAGCTGATGGAGCCACAGTTGAACCCATAAAGCCATGGATACTCCAGGTACCTAAAGACTACATTGCAGTGAGGTTTACCTTATATAAAGGATGTTTTTTGTGTGTTTTACATCAGCATTAGGAAAAGGAAATAACCTTTATCCCATAAGATGTATCCAAGAAGATATAATTTCCATTTTTTGAAGGTCAGAATTCACGGCAGAGAGAGATCATGAACACAGTGTCCAAACCACACAGCAGGTCAAATTGGTAATGAACCCTATGGCTCAAAACAGAGCTTCCTATCAGAACTATCAGGTGTCATTTCATAGCTCCCACCCCTGTGGAAGAACAGTAAACAAACAAACAAACAAAATCAAACAACACTTCATGCCTCACAGTGCTGGCAGAGTGCTCCATGATGCCAGTCTCGTTTTTCCCCCCTCATTCCCAATGGCTGCTGTTTCCACAAAATGAAGAGACAGTGAGGCGGCATGACATGGATTCAAAGCAAAGTGAGAAGGCTGAAGTCAGCATCTGCAGCCCTGGGGGTGGACCACCCCAGGAGAAACTGACCCCACACCAAGGACAAAAGGAAGTCCTGGCTTAATCTAGGGAGGTGGAGTCTAAATGTTGAGCCACTTGACCATCTGTCTCTATTTAAAGCCTCAAACTGGATTTTGTGTCAAAAAGTAGCCCATGAGCAAATGAGCCCATAAGCACACCTGCATGAAAAGGGCTTTAAAAATATGCAGCCTGTGTATAATCTGAGAAAAAGGTATTACTTTTGGTTGTAGAGAACGTCCACAATTGGAAGGTCTCAAACATATTCAATAGATAGATCTAAGCTTGGCTTAGCCTATGTGGAGTGCTATTATTTTTCAAAAGGTAATTATCCATGTATTACCTTATCTGTTGCCAATGTCACGTAACACTGAGAAATTGATCAGCATACAGCCTTAAATGCCTAAGACTCCAGAATGGAAATAACTGCCAAATATGGATTAAATTGATAAAAATAATTCCAAACATGATTAGAGTCACTCTGTTGTATATCCCACACAGCAGGTGGGAAATCCTTGAGAAGAATTAGGGAAAGGTTTAGAGAAAGCAGATTAATGGAGAAAGATTAAATGTGTTTCAAAAGCAGCACAAAACATATTTTAAATGACAATCCTTGCATAGGCAACATTAAAAGGTATTTGGACATATGAAAAATTCAAGCACTTGATTTAAATGTACATCGTGCAGTAAAAAAATAGAAATCTGTCCATGTGGCATAAATTGTACCCATGGGAGATGCTGGAGAGTGACAACTACAAGTGGTGATAAAGTTATTTTTCTTTTTATCTTTGCATTTAATTACACAAGTGATATGGAAAACACATTCTTATTGTAAAAAATTCAAACAGTACAAAGAACAATGTATAGATCCCCCTGGATGTTGCAACCTCCTTGCCAGCCCCTCCTTCCCCATATGCTTATTTCCCAGAGTCGCCTGGTGCTAACTGGGATGTGAGGCTTCTGAGCTCCTTCTACTCATCTACCCACGTACACTCACATATGTACATACATTTTTGTTTCTTACATAAATGTAGACAATAATGTAAATATTATTTCATTACTTGATTTTTCTCTTCACATACTAATATATCCTGAAGCAATTTTTCTGTTAGTACATATATATCTACCTTATTTTTAAATGTCTGACAGAGTATCTCATGGCATGGGTATTTCATAATCTATTTAGCTAATGTCTTGTTGACTATAGTTGGCGTGTTTGCAATGCTTTATTATAACAAAGATTCCAAAGAAGGCTTGTTTACTGATTTTCCAAGAGATATATCAGAGAAGGCATTATTTCTAGTGGACTCACTTAAAACTCGCTCATGACTATTACTAGATAGGCAGCCTATGGTGAACCAATTAATGCCACTTCTGCCCCTATGGCCGAGGCCAGGTAGCCATTTGCCATGACCCCTCCTCTTGATTTATTAGCATTCTAATCACTGAAATTTAGGGAGGGTGATCCACCACATCACTGCATCCCTGAGAAGCAATGCCATCTGCTCTCTACGGGGTGTCAGAACCCCTCTCCTTCTCTCTTGTTGGTCTGTAGAACCACACCTTCCACAGAATACATAAACAGCAGTTATTTCTGAATAGTGGGTCACTGTGAGATTATTTATGCTTGTCTATATTTTATGTTTCTATGACGTACATGTATTACTGGTGTAATAAATAAATAATAAAATAGTTTTTTAAAGGTACATGGTATGTTAAGAAAATCAGAAAAGAAAGCAAGTGAGCAAGCATGAACCTGGAAGTCACACAGACTCAACCATAAAACTTTATCATTTATTAATAGTAAATACATAATAACATATATTACATATAATTTAATAATATGTAACAATAGACATATGAAAAATATCTTTTTTTTTTTGAGACGGAGTTTCGCTCTTATCACCCAGGCTGGAGTGCAGTGGCATGATCTCAGCTCACTGCAACCTCCGCCTCCCGGGTTCAAGCAATTCTCCTGCCTCAGCCTCCTGAGTAGCTGGGATTACAGGCGTGCACCACTACACCTGGCTAATTTTTTTATTTTTAGTACAGACGGGGTTTTGCCATGTTGGCCAGGCTGGTCTCAAACTCCTGACCTCAAGTGATCCACCCTCCATGGCCTCCCAAACTGCTGGGATTACCAGCTTGAGCCACTGCGCCCAACTGATAAATATAATCTTTACTTGTAATCTATATGTTATCTGTGTAAAACTAAGCAAATTGCTCAATTTCTCTAAAGCTTAGTTGTTGTTTGTTCTTAAATAAAAAATAAGGATGCTAATTCAACCTCATAGAGTGTGAAAGTCAAATGAAATGATGTTCATAAAATGTAACATAGTATATAAGAGGAACAAAATGGTATACAGTGTAACACAGTGATAAAGAACATACACACATGGGGTTGAATGCCTGCTTCATCACTTACCTAAAGAGTGACCTTGAGAAAATGGACTAACCCTCTGAATCTCAGTTTCCTTATCCATAAAATGAGGATAATGTCAACTCCATAATGTGATTGTGAGGACTAAATAAGAAATTATATCCTAGCATTTGACCTACCATGTGGAGAGTTCCCAATAATTCCCCTACTACCAAAGGTCAGTTCCCCTCCTGTTCTGTTTTCCTTTTTGTTGATTGCAAAACTTCAAATGAAACAAATACTATGACTTCACTAAGAAAATATGGTGACGTGGTTACCAAGGCTTACTTCTTTATAGTTTTGCAGGCAATTTAGCAAATGTTGTATTGTTTGATTCACATAAAATCCTCTGTGCTAGACAGAAAACTTCATGGTTTTTGTCATGGTTTTTCATTGTTGTGAAACAATTTCCCATGGATGTCTTATATTTCTGTACATCTTGTAAGCAAACGCACTGACAGCCTTTTTGGTGGACTGTCTCATTAAGGATGTTTTTATCAGGAGCATCAACCTCTGGAACAAAGAGCAGATTTGTTCACTGTTCAGTGTAAGAAAGATTATGTTGTCTTCCAGGGCAACGGGCAGATTTTCATACAGCTCATTATAAAAGATTTGGGCTTCCTAAGCTTGGAGTTCCTCAGCTGTGATGCAAAGCCACTGTGTGTATGGCATGCACCTTAGCCACTCTGTGAATCCCCGTGGGACTTGGGGGCATGGGAAACTGATGCAAACATGAAGCTCATACTGCCTGCTCTGGGATGAGTAATAAAGTTCTTCATCTCTGAATCACAGTCTCATGTCTTCTTCCAGCATCCATAAAACTGTGGCAGACTAACATATTAGCTTCCAAGTAAGGTAAAAGCTCAGACCCCTTATGTTTTTGACAGCTCCACAGTGCATGGGACTACCATTCATCTACCAGAAAGTATGGAGACCATTCTGAAAACCTTCATCTCCTTATCTTTTTATATATTTCAAAACCAAGTCCTGTCAGTTTACCAGGTAAATATGGCCTTGATTTGTCTAATTATCTCTCCAACATTACTACCACCCCAGTTAAACTCCCACCATCATATTCTGAGTGACTGTAGTAACCTCCAAATTTATCTACTTGCAGCCCCTTTGACTCTACTCTAACCCAAGACTTCTACAGTAGCCAGTACTCTTTGAAAAATGAAGATCTGATAGTGTGACTTCCTAAAACTTTTAGAATAAAGACAAGATTCCTTTGCATGACCACCACCTTTCTTTCCTGACTTATGTGACATCATGCTTCCTTCACTCTTCCAGGTGGAGCCACATGGGCCTTCTTTCATTTCTTTCTTTTTTTTGAGACAGAGTCTGTCGCTCTGTTGCCCAGGCCTGAGTGCAGTGGCGTGATCTCGGCTCACTGCAAGCTCTGCCTCCCGGGTTCACGCCATTCTCCTGCCTCAGCCTCCCGAGTAGCTGGGACTACAGGCGCCCGCCACTACGCCCGGCTAATTTTTTGTATTTTATGTAGAGATGGGGTTTCACCATGTTAGCCAGGATGGTCTCGATCTCCTGACTTGGTGATCCACCCGCCTCGGCCTCCCAAAGTGCTGGGATTACAGGCATGAGCCACCGCGCCCGGTCAGGCTTTCTTTCTTCCGTTTCTTAAATTGGAGTTGTCTTATACCGTTTTGCAGGTTTTGCAATGCACAACACTAAGGGGCATCAGTTAACATCACGCACATCCAAGAATTCAACAATCTTCTGGCAGCTAGCAATAAAGTGTCTGGGGAAAAAAGGGGCGTATTTTTCTGATTTTTCAAGGGCATCACAAAGACCACTATATTTTTATGACCATGAGGCCTTTGAATATGCTGTTCCATTTGCTCAGAGTACTCTACTTCTTTTGGTTCAGTTTTCTTGTATTTGACCTTCAAACGCTAATTCAAGCTTCACTTCCTCAGGAAAAGTCAATCTTCCCTGATTCCATTACTCCATAAAATCTTTCTATTATATGCCCAACATCCCTTCTTCACAGTGCCTGCCACAGTTAATATTTTATCTTTATTTGTAAGTCAAATTTATTATTTTATGTTTATTTATATTATTCGATTAATGTCTGAATCCCCCCGGACTGTAAGCTCTGTGCAGAGAAGGATCATTCCTATATTTTATTCACTGTAGTGTCCTCATTACTTGTTGTCAATAAACCTGGGTTGTATGCTGAATAAATAGACAGGGTGGGAAACATTATCCCAGTTTTACAGATAAGAAAATTGAGGCTTACAGATGATAAGTGAGTTTTCAAGGTCATAGAGCTACCAAGAGGCAGTGCCAGGTCTCACATTCAGGTTTCCCAAATGTACAAGTTTCTTTCCATGAAGGTTGTTCCTTTGAGTTCAGGACGGACTAGAAAGGTCTGCCTAAGGGGAACCGTATATAGTAGGAGAGTCTGGAGGATGGTTTATTCTCGGAAGGGTGTTATGTCTGTAAACTAAACAAAGGAACTAAAAGAAAAACAGACAAGAAGAAAAGACCATGGAACCAGATGGTAGATCCAAATGAGAGGTGGGGCAAGGGAGGGCTTACATGGGAGATGGGCAGCAGACTTGGTGGCCAGGAGGATTGGGTAGAATGAGGATTGAAGAGTAGGTGTAAAAGAGGTTAAGAGATTGAGAACCTGACCCTCAAAGACTGGTCTCTGGGCACTTGTTTTCAGAACAGAGGCATCTCCTTAGGAAAATAAAAGCTACTTATAATAATAAAAGTAATGATAATGGTCATTTATTAGATACCCTGTGTGTGTGTAGCCTTGTGTTAGATGCTCTACCAATGTAAATTTAGTTGGTCCTCTAAGCAGACTGGGGAAGACGCTAGAACCCTGGCTTGTCCTTTTCTTCTATTTGTTTTCACCATTCTAGTTATTAAGTATGTAAAGTGTTTCTCACTTCTTGTGTTTTTCTCACTTCTTGTGTTTCTCTCACTTCTACTTTGTCTCCTAGTCCCTACCCTCCCTCCCATCCTTTTTACAGCCAGGGGTTGGGCCTCTGATACCCTCCATGAAATTCCACTAGGTCTGTCTGTCTTTCTCCACCCTCTTTCTATTAAATTAATTGCCATTAAGGTTTAAATGACTAGCAGATTCTTACTCGATTCTGATTCTTATCTCTCCCAAGGACAAATGTATAATAATATTCTTAGAGAAATATTTAAAGTATTCTTCTAACCAAGTAAATGGATCTTTAATGATACTACTTAAGGCAGAGATGCAAGATATTTTTGAAGGGTGAAAAGATTTACTAGACATTTGAAATTACATCCATACCTGGGTCTCCACTAATTCCACCTTTGGAAGATTAATTCATTCTAGGTGTTCTAATCCTCCCCATCCCTTTTCCCACCTCTATGTTAAAATTCTATGACTTCACATGCCCCGTGGCCAGATAGAAACAACTTCTTTGTATATCGATAGCAATTCTCTCCACTGTCAACTACATCTCCCTGCACCCATGGGATCCCTGGGAAATGAGAAAGCTCAGCTGTCTCCAGGGTGTGGTGAATTAGGGCAGTTGTTCTGTTCCCTTTTCTACTGTAGAATGATTGGGATAATTGGGAGAAAGGTGGTTAGATGGGACTCACTTTTTGAATTTGTGTTATACACACAGCCAAGAGCTGTTAGAGATCTTCTGACAGTAATGACTAGTCAGTTTCTAGTTCTTTGAAGGTGCATTTGGGGTTGGCATGTGACATGGGGGGCTTTTTCTCCAGCCACAGTTGAGCCTTTAGGAGCTCCATGAAGAGTTTAAAGAAGTTCTCCAGGATCTGTTTCCATCTCCTGTAGAAATCTTTTCATTCTCATACGGACTGGGGTTCCTGGTTTCTGACCTGTTACTTCAACCCTAGATTCTGCCTCCTGGCTCATATCCCACATATAAACATTTCAGTTGAACTGTCTACTTGGCTTCTGATTTTGATTTCACTAATGAAGGTCGCCTCTTGGGCCATCTTCTTTTGTATTCCCTATAGACCCAAAGATAAGTCTCCCTATACCCTCTGCCCATTACAAGCTTCTGGGATTCTACTGTTCTGTGCTCCCACTTACCTGAGAGGAGAATTTTGATATGACTATTAAATGCCTTGCTTTGCCCTCAGACCACAATTAAGAATTGTTTAGCCAAGTGATTTTAACAAAGGTTACAATGAGAATGCTGCTTAAGCCATTATCTTATGGGTACTTCTTGCTCAGCCTTTCTTCATAGACAAATGAGAATTCAGAACTTGTATCCCAGGGCTTCGGCTGAATATGGGGATGTGGTGCAATGAGCCCCCTGAACTCGGGATAAAGGTGAATACCATGAGACAGAGTGTGTCCAGCAGCAATCAAAGTAAAAAAGCCAAGCTGTTTGGATGATCAAGACGAAAGTCTGCATGGCTTGGCCAAGGAGAAGAATCCAGGTACTAAATGATGGAACCAGAGGGTACCTTGTCAGAGAAGAAGAGACTGGAGACCAACCTTGAGTTTGCTGAAGGAATCTCTAGCCACTTTTTACAGGGTGCCTGTAGCCTCAGTTATAGATGTACAGACAGCTGAGTTAAGGGGCCAAACTGGTGTAAATAGATATGTAGTAAACAGATTTATACATTGTAGCTTTTCAACTCTGGTTCTTATTAGAAAAGTTCTTATTAGGTACCCAGTATGAGTGTATCAGTCAGTGACTGCTGTGTAATAAACCAACTCAATGCTCAGTGGTTTAACACAATTTGTTTTATAAATTTATAGGTAACATTATTATAACCCATGTTTCTAGGGGTTTGTTGCAAATTGGCTAATGTAGGCTGGGCTCATCTGGGTGGCTCTGGTCATCCTTGTTGGGCATACTCATGTGTCTGTGGATTGGCTGGGACAGGAAAGTGGTAGAGCCTCTGCTCTAAGCTAAGGCAACTTTGTTAGGAAAGCTCCACTCTTCAACTTAGTTAAGAAAGCTCCTCCTGAGAATAGCAAGCTAGGCCAGCATGTTCTCACAGTGATGCCAGAGGAGCAAGAGCAGAGCAGAAACACATAAGGTCTCTTGAGGCCTCTTCTAGGAACTGGCATAATGTTACAATCTGCTGCATTCTCTTGTCCAAGGTATACTTTGTGATCAAACCCAAATCAAAAGTCAAGGGAGTACATTCTGCTCACAGTGAGAAAGCACTGTAAAGATAAATAGCAAAGAGGGTAGAGGCAGGAAGGGGAAATAACTGAAGAAAATAACTCATTCCATAAAGTGTGCTAGGCACTCATTGAAGAATGGTATGCTCTTAGATGCTTTATCATCATATGTACAATGGGTAAGTATTTTGATCCTGATTCTATAGAGCTCAAAATGTTTACAACAGTCATTAAGGTAACACGTCAATTAAGTGGTAAACAAATTTCAACCCAGCTTCTTATGGTTCTAAATTTGAGATCTTTCCAATATGGGATAAGAATTCACCAACTTATCTGCCTCCATTCCAGTTAATTTTTATACAGAGCATACATACAAACACCTACGTTATATGTGACACTTTAACAATTCAACAAATAAAATTAAAATAAAAATGAAAGTTAAAAACAATCCTTATTTTATTGTATGTTCTTCCTATTTGCCAGTATATTAGTCTGTTCTCACACTGCTGACAAAGACATATCTGAGACTGGGTAATTTACAAAGAAAAAGAGGTTTAATGGACTCATGGTTCCATGTGGCTGGGGAGGCCTCACAATCATGGTGGAAGGCAAAAGGCACATCTTCCATGGCAGCAGGCAAAAAGAGAATGAGAACCAAGTGAAAGGGGTTTCCCCTTATAAAACCATCAGATCTTGTGAGACTTATTCACTACCACGAGAAAAGTATGGGGGAAACCACCCCCATGATTCAATTATCTCCCACCAGCTCCCTCCCACAACACATGGGAATTATGAGAGCTACAATTCAAGATGAGATTTGGGTGGGGACACAGCCAAACTATATCAGCCAGCAATCTTCCTGAGTCTGTTAAAATTTTTTGTCACTTATTCTTTGCCCTTATAATATTCTAGAAAGTTTAACATTCTGTATTAATAATTGTTCCTGCCATTTATACATATAGAGTTGGTATTTAATATATTATAACATCGAGCTCATTAGTAAGGCAATTCTTTCACGTCATGAACAAGCATTCCATTACTTAAAACAAAAAATTCTAACACCTTAGCACTAAGTATAGCAATTTGCTTTTGTGATGTCCCTTTAAAACATGTTCGGAGGGTTTATTTAAAGTTCTTGTGCCAGAGTCAGGCCTGTGAAATGTGTGATGACTATGGTGGACTCAGAGAAATGAAGGCCTGAATCATCATGCTGGGGCCTCAAAGGGATTATTCCTATAGGCAAATGAGCTTTATTTTATACAGATTCAAAAAAAAAAAAATGTAGGTTCTCATGACTATGCCCCAATATCACTGTTGGAAAGGGATCTTGCTAGTTCTCAATTGCTTAACAGACATCTGCTGAGAAGCAACACGATGAGGAATCTTCACGGCCCCCATCTCACCATGTCAAGAAACTACGAAGAATCGCTGCTGACCAGGCCCCCAGCTAGTCTGTGAATTCTTCCCAGGTGAGAATTAGTACCACACCCATCAGTTACAGCAAGCCTGATCTCTGTCCTCTCCATCAGCCTGTTTTAAAGCCTAAGACCAGGACAAATCCATTCTCACTTTTGAAAAGGGGAGAATTATTTATACAATGACATTCTGTGGGTGGTTTGTGAAGAAGGCAATACAAAGAAGAGAATATGTCTCTTCTATGTCTTTGTCAGCAAACTGAACTAAGAGTCAAGAGACGTGGGATCTGGTTCTGGTTTAACTACTAACCAGCAGTGAAACCTTGTGTGCACTACAACCCCTTCTTTAGCCTTAGGTTTCTCATCTGCCAAGTTTGAGAATAAAAAGTCAACATTTTAGAACCAGACAGTCCTAGGTTCCAGCTCCACATCAACAGAGAGCTGGTAGTTCTTGGTCATATTACTTAAGCTCTTAGATCCTGAATTGTCTCATCTATTTAACAGAGATAATGATCGCTACTTTCCTTTCCCTGGAGGGCTGAGAAAAACTGTTGGTGCTCAATAACTGTAAATTTGCTCCTCCACTTTGATCACTCTCTAGCTGTACTGTTGTGGAATTCCAAAAACTAGACTATTGATGATTTGAACAATTCTTTTTTTCTGTGAGATATGCCCTCCTAATAAGTTGCTGATAATAACACATCACTATACAGCTCTTTTCAAGACATTTTTCTGTCATACTCCATTCTATCAAAGTGACAAAAGACTTACATTCTTATTGTCTTATTTCCCATAGAAATAGTCTCAAACCAATGGGAGAATAATGGAAATTTTTTCAGTCCTGTGATCCCTCTACAGGTTCTTCCTATGCTTACATTCTCATGAAATTGCACAAGATCACACACAGCAGGTTTCACAGTCATGAAACTAAAAGCCACATTAAACCACAATGTGATGTCAGTCTTGTCTACCACTCACCATCTCACCTCAAAAACAAGTAGGAAAGGTCACATTTGGAGAAGAAAGCTTTATCTTCCTTTTTCCTCTAGTTATTAAGTTTACTGAAAGTTTTAGGGGAAAGGATTATTTTTTATTTTAATTCTGAAAAATGAAATACATTTAAGGGGTTTGGTTTGCCTGACTTCCCTTCTATCTCTCTGGATCCCAGTGGTTTGGGGAGCTATGGCAGAGAGGCACATGTGAGAGCACATACATCAGCCTGAATATACACTGAATATACACCAGTCTGACTGGCAGGTTCATTAACCAGTTATCTTTAACATTGTGCAGCTTCCTTTGAGTTAACCAATTCAGAAAGTTATTGATCAGTGGTCTGTAATACACGGCAGACCATATAGAGATTTTAAATATGTTGTCTTGCTTGATTCTTAGATCTGCAGAGCAATGATGGTGAGAGAGGAAATGAACAGACATTTGATTCTTATAACTTAATAATTTCCATATATGTATTATGGTTGTTTCATTGAGACCTTTACTGCATGTCAGGTCCCATGCTAAGATCTTTGCTTTCATTATCTCTTTTAATGCTTCCATGATGTAAGTTGCTATCACTCCCATTCAGAGACAAAGTCTTTCAAAGGTTATCCAGCCAATAATTTGTCAAACCACTCTTGTCTGACACTAGAGATAAAGGGTCTATGAAAGAAAGCATTAGGTCCAGGGAACCCCCTCATATTATAGAAAGTAAATACTGGAGGTGAGAATTGCGCCCTTTAAAGTCAGCACCACTGCTCATTTAAATACACCAAGGCTTGGCTTATTTTACCCTGACAAAGTGCCCTAAAATCCCCTTGCTGGGAGAAATAGCAATTAACGTGGATGGTAAGCATGTGGGCTGGTATTATGTAGTTGGAAAATACTGAGGTCAATTTCTCAGGGTGATCTTAAGTGCTCATGGGGGACATCACTTAGGAATAAATATATCATCATTTCTCCCATTCCATGAAAAGACATCGTTACAGTGACATTGAAAAATAATCACACATATGGTTGAACCATATGAAATTGCCAAATTCAAACCAATTTATAACCTACAAAGTGACAACTTTATATGGCTCAAATGTTTAAAAAGCAAATATAGTTCTGGTGTTTTTAAACACCTACACTAATTCTACTCCTTCCTAAAATCCCACTAAAACTTGTGAAGTAGATAATTTTAAAAGACAGAAACCTACAAGGAAAGGAAAACAGGACAGGCAACAACAATTACAAAATTTCGGAGGCTGAAAAGCAGGCAGATGAGTGATAACTAATTTAGCAGTTGCAATAAAGCTGAATCATAAGATAAAGTGAGGAAATATAAGGACCAATCCAAGTTGCATTGAAGAATCTTCAAGAGGCTCAGCACCCATCAGCACTGGAGCCTCTGGAACTGGGAGTGAAGAGATGGGAAGCTAAAGTCAAAAGGGTTGGTGAAAGACATGTTTTGAAGGAGTCCCCCCACCCCTTTTCTCATTCCTTGATAACTATCCCTTCTCCATCTCATCAAAAATCTGGAGGCCTCTTCTCTGGCGAGGAATGTTTTTAAAAAAGGTCTTTGGACATGGTGTTGACAGAAAAGGTTGATAGCAGTGAGTGGCTAATCGCATATCCAATGCTGAAAATTTCTAACCCTCTCCTATGGTTCAGCTGCCACAATACTGGTAGCCAGACTTTTGCCCTCCAGGCAGGATTTTGGAAGAGTACTCCCTAGAGAATATAACAAGCCCAAGGGGAAAGACATAAAAATAACCACAGGAGAGGTTCCCTAAACAACACATTCAGAAAATGCTACGGTGGATCTCAAATTCAATCAACTATCCCTTTCCCGCAATCACGAAAAAATAAGGATTGAGTAACAACTGAGGACAACCTGTAACACAGAAGAGAAAGGCCAAAAATCAAACTGAGAAATGCCACTTATACGTGGAACCTAGAACAACACACAATCATTAGTATCCCCAGAAATGAGAAGACAGTGTATTCATGAAAGTAGAATGTTGTGAAAAATAGAACACACACATACACAGCCTACTTATGAAATTAAAATCATCACAGCAGAAGTGAAAAGCTCAATAAAAGCATTTTTAAAGAGATGTTTTAAAGTCAAAATTGAATGATTTGTTTAGAAATCCAAAAAATAGTTCCAGAGAGAATAGAATAAATCCAGGGAAGGAAATAATCAATAAAATGATTCAAAAAGATTTCCTGCAGTGGAAGGACATGAGTTTCCAGACTAAAAGGGCCCACTGAGAGAGCAGTGGGAGGAAATGGGCTCTCATCAATGTACACTTTGTAAAATTTCAGAGTACTTGGCTCAAAGACTACATAAGCTGTCAGTGAGAATCAACAGGTGCGCGAAAAGAAGAATAGTCAGAATACGTTTAGATTTCCAAACAGCATTACAGAAAATCTAGAGGGCAGAGAATCCAAGTCTTTAGAAAATTCAGTGGAAATTCCTAGCATGGCATTGTTCTGCTGGTGTAGATAGCACTTGACAGATAGAAAGGGAAGATAGAGGTATTCCAGATGGATACACCCAAGAGAAAAATGGAAAAGATAAATTTCTTAGTGTGGTTGATGTGCGGAAAATTGTGCTAAAATTTTGGAAGGTATCAGGAAAATTAGCAATATATGCAGACAACTAATGATACGAAAAACAAAGAAGACAATCCACTTCAGAAAAGACAAAAGGCAAGAAAGAAAGCAAATGTAATTCTCTACAGTGCAAAGCTGGGAATAATATTTGCACAGAAGCACTACAGTAATAACTGAATATTGATTTAGCCAAATATAATGGGGACAGGGAAGCAGAGTGGAAGGAGCTGAAACCTCATCTATCATAATAGAAACTCAAGATAAAACTTAAAATTCATTTGTCCAAAGAAAGCAATATATGCATATTATTCAGAAATGTGTGTGCTTAAATGCCAGAAGTAAAAACTAAAAGAACAAAACTGTTCCTTGAAGAGGGAGATTGAAAAGAGTGTGGAGCAGTGACACAGGGAGTAACTTGGAAACTGTTATGAGCTTTTTATAATTATTTTTAAACCATGGGCATGTGTTACTTTGATAGAATAAATATTATTTTTTTAAATATAAGTTCAGTGAACATGAGGATACAGCCCCTCTGAAAACAAATTTTTTTCCCAGTTTTGACACAGGCCTTCTTACTATTACCAATACTTAGAGAGTGGGCAAAATTGGCAAAGCAGTATGTTAAGTACTGTTGAGAGAGTCACAAGAATACATGACTGAAATAAATTCATCTTAGGGAGTTCGAAGCTTTGACCTTACAAGACCAGTTGAGAAAGAAGAGTCAACGCTTCCTTGTGTGTTAACCAGAGCTGTAAGCTCAAGAAGTACATAGGCTACAAAACATCGTATACAAGACAGCACATTTTGGTAAAATGAATATTAATTACTAGTAAATAAGTTTAAGAAATAAATGTTAAACTATTTCTTATTTCCCTCTGTTGAGCTTTAAATCTTCATTACTTTCTAAAGTGATCTTTCTGTCTGTGAGACTTTGTTGACAAATCGTTTCATGTCCTCTGGGCAAGTCTTGGAACATTCTCTTTGTGCTTCCAAGGAGAATAATAATCTTGGCAAGAAGCTGTAGTTGTACTAGCTTTATTTCTCTTAGCTGCGGGTGAATGTCCCTCCAAGGGCTCCTGCTCTGGGCCAATTTTGGATGGGTGAAGTGTGACATAATTCTTATTTTTGCATCTGACCATTTAGAAGAGGTTGTCTTTGTCCTTTCAGTTTCAGTTCTGATAGGTCACTTTGTGGTGATCTATATTTAAGAATTGCTGTTGAGAAACATTGTCTTAGCATAAATACTAGACGTTGTGCTTTAACTCTTCCCTCACTTCTCACCCCCTTGCTGATCTAGGTTTTCTCTTGCCAAATTGCCATAACTCCTCATTCTTTTGCTTAGGTCTCTCATTCTCTTTTGCATCGTATCAAATGTTTATACAATTTTATGGGATTTTGGTTGGTGGTACATGAGCTCCTATGACTAACTCTTTAACCTGATGAAAAAGCCTCCTTTGACACCTTTGCTTCTGTTAGCACATTTGCAAGTTTGGTTTTGTCTTTTGCTACCCCTGCAAGCTCCCATTTGTAGTTACATTTTTTTTCTAATTTCTATCAAAGATCTATGATTACATGATTTCTGCTGCCTCTAGGGAGACTGTGTCTTTGTTGGTGTCTTCTCTATGTTGATGTCGACTTTCTGTTCTTCTTTAGAGTTATGAGTGTGTTTCTTCAAATACTCCCTCCTACATTCTCCAAATTTACACATTGGTTTTGGGGCCTAAATTCTGAATTCTGGCTGGTGCATTTCTTCATTTCAGGTGTGTCTTCATCTGGATTGTGGTGGATCTACTCTCTAAGACTTTGCCTATGTCTAGAATAAGGAGAGGAGACCTGGAAGAACTGCAAGTTTAAACTCAAGAGTTACTGAGAATACAGAAAATACCTGCAGAGCTGGGAAGCCAATGGGAATACAGAAAAGCTTGCAGAATTGAAGAATCCTGAAAACCCCAAGTGCTTTCAATCCAGACCCAGGCTCCCAGGGGGACACTGTGATGGCACTCACTCCAACAGTTCCCTAGCAAAGGTCTCCAAGCTGGTCTCCTGGAGAATGTTCCCTTCTTGGAAAGCTGCAGCTAATGAAACTAAAATAAATGATAAAAGGATATTTGATTCTCAGAAATCCCGTTTTCAGTCAATGTGGCTAGAATACATGCATTTAATAAAGTAAAGCCATCTCTTTTTTCTTAGTTTATATATTCAAAATAAGATTTACTTATGTTGCTGATGGCATTTACTCATGTCGTGTATTCATTAAACATTTATTAAGTACCTACTAAGGTCCAGGTACTGTAAATTGGCTTATTCTTTTGGATTATAATTCAGCAGCACATATTTGGAGTCATTTTTATATGATTAGTATCGGTAATCTGACTCGTGGGAATTTGTCTCAAGCTAATAATTCAGATGACAAAAACGTAAGTAATATGGAAAACATATTTATAGCAGCAATATTTATAATGGTAAAAAATCTAAGTGCCCAATGATAGGAGAATTAAGATAACAGTGGTATATTAATTCCATGAACGTTAGGTACTTACTGCAAACAATAAATATAAAGTTTAGTAAATGGAAAAGAGTACATGAGATGTTGGGAACAAAACTAAGACAAAAATTCCATTAAAGTACAATTGCAATTATATAAAAATATTTACATAGGTATGAAAAGTGACAGAAAACAATGAGAAATGAAATAGTTGATATGATTAAGTGGTCATATTATATCCTTATTTTTCTTTTTGAAAAATTATAAAGCTGTCTTAAGAGTAAGTAAAAATAATGACACGAATTAGAAAACATCTTAAAATCATCTACTTTTTATAGCACATGGCAATATGCAATGTATATGGAACTCCTAGGATCCTTAATATTAATAGTTTGGTTACATATGGAAATGTTTTGACCCTTGATGTCAAGGGAAACAGCATTCTCAGAAACCAGCAGCGATAACCAATGTCATCCAATACTCAAGGGCACGTAGTTTCCTAGTCTTAGCTACTTCATTTCCCAAACCAAATTTCCCTGGTTTCTATAACTCTTCAGTTGGTTTCTCACTACTCTAAGGAGTGATCACACTTGTCCAGTGCTTTCGGAACCTTGAACTCCTTAAGAGATCTCGGGGGTAATAGAAAATTCAGCTCATACTGAGCTAAACACTTACACTCTGACTGAGCCTGGTTTCCTCATATGTAGAAAGGAGATGATAATAGCTCCTCTCCCACAAGGCTGTAATGACAAGGTATACAATGCACCCAACACAATGCCTGCTCCTTGATGGGGCAGGGCAGGGGGACCAATAAAGGGGTATTTCCTATTTCAAGGTTAAAAAGCCAAGTAAGGTTCTATGGGCCATGCAATGTGAGAAGGTTGGTATGAACTTTTGTAAATAGTCACCTCTCACTCAGCTGGCACCAAGCTCTGCCATTGCAGCGTGTGACCTCAGGCAGCACGGTGGGCTGTGCCCTGAAAGCAAGTTTCTGGCAAGAACATTTGACTGCTTATTTTATTATTGTAAAGGCAATATAATTTTATTTGCTTACTAAAAAAAAACTTGTAAAGGAGTGAAAAGTGGAAAACAATTCCCAGAATCTTCCTTCCCTTTTGAAGACAATGACTGTTAACATTTTAAAGTGTACAGTCATGTGCTGCATAGCAATGATGGATGTCATATATATCAGTGGCCACATAGGATCATAATTGGGCTGTAAAATTCCTATTGCCTAGAGATGTCATAGCGCAATGCATTACTTCTGTGTTTGTGCTGGCACTGGTGTAAACAAATGTACTGCGCTGCCAGTCACGTAAAAGTCTAGCACATACAATTATGTACAGTACATAATACTTGAAAATAAATGACTCTGTTACTGGTTTATGTATTTATTATATTTTCAATATTTTAGAGTGTACTCCTACTTATAAAAAAAAGTTAACTGTAAAACGTCCTCAGGCAGGTCCTTCAGGAGGTATTCCAGAAGAAGGCACTGTTATCATAGGAGAGGACAGCTCCATGTGTGTTGTTGTCCTTGAAGAGCTTTCAGTGGGACAAGTTGTGGAGGTGGAAGACAGTGATATTGATGATCCTGACCCCGAACAGGCCTAGGCTAATATATGTGTTTGTGTCCCAGTTTTGAAAGCAAAGTTTAAAAAGTAAAAAATAAAAAAATTTTAAAACAGGGAAAACTTACAAAATACAAATATGAACACTTTTCTACAACTGTACCATGTGTTTGTGTTTTAAGGTAAGCGTTATCACAAAAGAACCAAAAAGTTTAACAAATTAAAATGTTTATAAAATAAAATTATAGTTAATTTTAAATAAAGCAAAAAAATTGCTAAGGACTCCTTTACTTTTAGTGAAGAAAAAAAGTTAAAACATTTTTAATGGTAAGGTTAAGGTTTATCGTTTAAGAAAGAAAACTATTTTTTCTAAATTTAGGCCTCATATTCACTCACCATTCATTCATTGACTCGCCCAGAGTAACTTCCAGTTCTACAAGCTCCATTCATGGTAAGCACCCTACAAAGGTGTACCATTTTTTATCTTTTATATTGCATTTTTTTGCTTTACTTTTTCTATGTTTAGATACACAAATACCATTGCATTACAGTCGCCTATAGTATTCAGTACAGCAAGGCGCTTTACTGATTAGTAGCCTAGGAGCAATAGGCTATAACATATAGCCCAGGTGTGCAGTAGGCTATACCATCTAGGTTTATGTAAGCACACTGCATGATGTTCACATAATGACAAAATTGCCTAATGATGCATTTCTCAGAACATATCTTGGTTATTAAATGACGCATAACTGTATTTCTTTCCAGGCTTCTCCTCTGCATAGGTTTTGGCTGGTAATCATATGCAGCGTGATGACAACTGTGATGCTGCACATGAAATTTTGCATTTTGGATTTTTTATTTAAATGCAGTAAATAAGTTTCTGGCAAGATCATCTAACCCATTTCATAGTTTTCAGGGCCATTTTTAATGGTTACATAACATTCCCATTTGGAAAACTTATAAGTAGCATGCGTGCTTTCCTTTCTTGCCCCAAGAAGCCACTTGCACTGCCTTTCATTTCTAGGAAGACATCTGAGTTTTCCAAAGGACTCTACATCACAGAGTCAAAGGTGTTTGGGAGCACAAAGATCTTCCTGGAAAGGGTGGAGTAAAGGGTAAGAGGAAAAGAAATAAACAGAGAAAGAGAAAGGCTGAAAGAGGAGAAAGGGAGAGAGAAAAAGTGAGGCAAGAAAGAGGAGGAAAAGAAGAAAAAAGGAGAAGAAATATGAAACAGACAAAATATGAAATAGAAGAAAAAGTAAAAGAAAAGGGAAGAGAAGAGAAGAAAAAACAAGGAGAAGGAAAGTGGGAGGAGGAAGAAGGTAGGAGGAGGAGGAAGAGGAAGTTTGAGGAGGAAGAGGAAGTTTGAGGAGGAAGAAGAAGTTGGAGAGGAAGAGGAAGTTTGAGGAGGAAGAAGGTAGGAGGAGGAGGAAGAGGAAGTTTGAGGAGGAAGAAGAAGTTGGAGAGGAAGAGGAAGTTTGAGGAGGAGAAGGAAGGCAGGGAGAGGAGGAGGAGGAATCTGAGGAAGAGAAAGGTTGGTGGGGGAAGAGAAAGAAGGGAGAAAAGAGGAAGAAGTGGGGAGGGAGAGGGGAAAGGTGGAGGGGAGGAAGAGAAAAGTGTGAGGAGGAAGATAAAGTAGAAGGAGGAGAGGCAAGTATCTGGTGTTTTTAGATAAAACCTGGTCGCCTTTGATTCTTCCACGATAGGTGCTTTCTAAGGAAGATCATGATTCCCTTGGGGTCTTGGCTCATTGGCTTCCAACATATCACCAGCCTCTGTCATTTTGTTCTCAATCATTCATATTTAAGGCTTGGCCACTGGAACTTTTGGCATTTGATAAATCTTTATTTTGAATCACAAACACATTTAACTGACATTCTTCTTTCTGAAGACTCATCATTACTCCACTAAATGGATGAAGGCCTTTAATTGACTCCTTGGGTTTCAAAGGGCTGGGTCCTTGAATTCTGCCTCAAGGGATTCCATTTTGTTTCTTTTTGATTCAGTGTCTGGCTGGGACTAAAAATCTCTCTTCCCCAGGTTTTGCTCCTGCGGCATTCACCACGTGCTGGCACTTTTACAGTCCCTGGTGGGGCTCTGGGCCCATGTGCTGCCTCCCGTTTTGGAAAAAGTAAGGTTTATGGAAGATTCTGGAAGCCCCTTATCCTGCTACCAGTTGATCAGAGCTGCTGAAATAAGGGCCCTGAGTCTGGCTGTCCTCCAGTCTGCTCAGTTAATTATGAGCCTGGGACCTGCCATTGCTCACAGGATGACTGTGGACATCAGAGGCACTGGCAGGTCCTCCAGTAAAGGCTGGAGCAGGACATGAACAGCTTGCCAGCATGCCTGCTCATCCCATCACCCCAGATGCCAAATGCTGTGCCATAGTGCCTTGGCAGGAAGACCCTCCCAATCAGTGGGTTTGCAGGGCCCTCTTCATCATAGCAGTCCAAGCCCAGCAAGCAGACAGACCCCTCCAGCCCCAACAAACACACACACAACCAGAGAGGGCAGGGATCGGGCTGCTTCTCTGCTAGGGAGGAGCCATGGTCAGAGAACCTGGTGCTTAAACCTGTCTCTCTCACTTGGGTCCTTTGTGACTTAAGTCAGCAAAATGCCTTAGACTCAGTGTCCTCATCTGTAAGATGGGGACAAGAATCCCTGTCCTGGTTACCTTGCAAAGTTGTTGCAATTGTAAAGGATATAATGGAAGTTAAAGTACACAGTAAATAAATGTGCTTCACAGGTCAAGGGAGAAGGAGAGTGCTGTAGTAGTAGAGAGAAGCTCTACCATTGGATTGGAGCTTTGGAATCAGGAGTCCTAGGTCCAGATAACAACTCTGCCATCCACAACATGCTTTCACTCAATTCCCTTGTTCTGTAAATGGAGCCAGCAATGCCCTCTGCCCTTCCTCACAGATATTTTTTGAACATCAGGTGAGATAAGGGGAGTAAACCTGGGAAGTGCTTCAAATAAGACACTATTAATATTATCAGCCTCCCTGTTGTTATGGGCACTATTGTCAGAGGCGATGCTCACCCTTGGTGTTATGAACCAAGCTTTTCCATTTCCATCCAAATTCAACCCAAATCAATTGAACCCTCACCCGCAAGGTAATGGAATCTAGAGGTGGGGCCTTTGGAAGGTTACCAGGGTTAGACGAGATCTTGAGAGTAGAGCCCTGTTGATGGGATTAGTACCCCTTTAAGAAGGGATACCAGAGAGCTTGCTTGCTCTTTCTTTGCTACAAGAGGATACAATGAGAAGGTCACCCTCCATAAACCAGGAAGAGAGCACTTACCAGAACTCGGCCAGGCTGGTGCCCTGATCTCAGACTTCTAGACTCCACCACTGTGAGAAAATAAATTTCTGTTGTTAACCACTCTGTTTCTGGGAAGACTAAGAAACTTGGTGTTAGGCCCAGCCAAGAACACGTTTCGTGCCCTAGATGTGGACCTGTTATCATACTCCCCACCATGGCTGGCAATCACCCAGGGTTGGGACTAGGGTCAAGAAAATGAAGACTGGCCTCAAGGCAGAATTTAAGGTGGTGCCTGAAACTCAGCACTGAGATAAATATTTCAACACAATGTTAAACACAACAACAATTTAATGCAAAATATCCAGGATGAACAAAATACCAAGATTTTAAGTAAAGATGAGATCAGTAACAGTGCTATACCAAGTCACATTGGAGCCTGAGGCAAAAGGAAAAATTAGTAAGAGTGAATTTATTTTAACAATTTTGATATTTTGCTCACCATGGATTTTTTTGCATAAATTTAGATTTTAAAAATATTGCCTTAAAATATGGATTTATCTTGATTGCTAAGTCTTGAGCCCACTGAAGTTTTGTACCTGAGGCAAGTGCCTCCCTCTCCTAACCTTAGTGCCGGACCTGTAGTCTCCCGTGTTGTGTCATTTCATGGGGCCTACTGGCCCATGACCCTGTCTCTACCTCTTCCTTGACAATCTAAATTTACTGTCTACTGTCTCATTTTTCTAGGCCATGTTCAGTAAATCTATGATGGATATTGAATTCAGATTTACTGAATAGTAACTATTGACAAAGGATTTATTCTCTCAGAAATTGGCCATTGAGCAAAAGTGTCCTTAAAACACAATGTGTGAAGCCAAAAGAATGAATCTCTCATGGTGGAATGTTAATTTTTCATTCAACAAACAATTATGAAATGTCCAGTGGTTTGTGTCTTATGCTGATACTGAGGATATTTAGACGAAAAGATCCTCTCTGTTCTGAAGGGCTTACGGCCTCACAAGGAAGCCAATGAATGACAGCACAATGAGAGCGGTGCTCCACGGCAGACGTGGGGAAAGGGAGGGCCGGGAACAGCTCTCAGTCGTGCCTCCAGAACCAGTCTTCACAGAAGACTCGCCAAAACTCACCAAAAATAGTAACTATTTTATTCTGATTCTATTTCATATATGCTTATTGTAGAAAAAATCGGAAAAGACAAAATATAAACAAGAAAATAAAAATATTTACTCTCACATCCCAGGTATGACTATTGTTAACATTTAGCTTAGTTTCTTTTCAATTTGTATCCATGCCTATATTTATATCTGCTAATATAAATAAGGTATAAATAAGATATAAAATAAGGTGTGCACAAAATACGGAACTGTTAAAACTTACTGCCTTCACTTTGTTCTGGGGCCTGCATTCCAAGCGATGGAGTTAAAGAGAAAGAGAAAGAAAAGAAAAAGAGCATTTTTACTAAAGAAAAGCTGTCTTAAAATAGTGGGATCCATTTTTAATAAATGTTCAATCAA